>NC_000014.9:47736713-48361713 GCF_000001405.40 Homo sapiens | reverse complement strand
AATACCCCTGAACTGTCCTGCACAAGAAATGAAACACATACATACACTCATGCAAGCCTTTTGTCCTGACACTGAAGAATAGAGATGATAAAGCAAAGATTCTTAAAGCTTGTGTATAAGGGAAAAAAATCAAAAAGTCTCATTGTACAATGAGACTAGATTTCTCATTACCAGCAAAAGAAGGTAGAAAGCAGTGTAGAAATGTCTTCAAGATCATAGGGAAAAAAAGTTTTTCAAACTCACTTATTGTCTATCAACCAGTTAAAAGTTAAGACTGAGCTGATTACATTTTGAGACATGAAAGGGCTCAAAGAGCTACACTTTGTGTGCCATTGAAAAGTGTAGTAAAACATGAAAGAGGAAAATCATGGAATTTGGGAAACTAACAGGCTTTCAGGCTTTTACATGGGAAATAAATGAAAGGCATTTCTGAGATTAAGAGGAAGAAAAATTTCAATATAACAGCTATACAGAAAGCCCAGGAACAATAAAATCATACTGGATTAGGGCAACAGAGGGATAATTCCAAGGTAAAAGAGGCAGCAGGTTAGGATGGAGTATAGAAATAAAATAAGTTTCCTGATGGGTTTGAATGTTTTATCAGAAAGCAGAAAATTTGTCAGAGGTTTTGTAGATGAATTTCTATAGGGGTTCTCTTTCCGTTTAATTTGGTACAGGTTGGGTTTCTCTAAGACTACAGGTCTTCATACACAAGGAAATACATAAGCACCACCATGACGTTGCAATTGTTGAAAACAGAAATGTGGAACTCTGAGCCTAGGTAGTGTAGGGAAAATTGAGAATAATTGCATTTCAGGGCAGGAGTTATCAAGGCCCTCCTATGCAACAGTGAAGCAGTTAACATATCTCCAGCATTTTATTGGCCCAGACCACATGTCCAATGAGGGTCTGTTACCCAAGTTATGGCTATAAAATGCTAGAATGCTGAATTTTTTTTTCCCTATTTCGAAAGACCTTTGTTAATGTGCTATAAGAAAAAGACAACTTCAGGGCCGGGCGCAGTGGCTCACGCCTGTAATCCCAGCACTTTGGGAGGCCAAAGTGGGCAGATCACCTGAGGCCAGAAGTTTGAGACCAGCCTGGCCAACATGATGAAACCCTGTCTCTACTAAAAATACAAAAATTAGCCAGGTCTGGTGGCATGGGTCTGTAGTCCCAGCTACTCAGGGGGCTGAGGCAGGAGAATCACTTGAACCCAGGAGCCCGAGGTTGCAGTGAGCAGAGATGGTGCCACTGCACTCCAGCCTGGGTCTGGGTGACAGAGCGAGACTCCATCTCAAAAAAAAAAAAAGAAAGAAAAAGACAACTTCAAATTCAGTTGAACCACCTGGAGGAAAATAGGGAAGAGCAGAACTATCTTATAATTTTGTTAAAAGGCATTCTTGCTGCTTGTTTTCAGTGGCCTGAAACAATCATCTGATTATAATTCATCTTGAAGAAGAATGAAAGTCAAGTTTTCTGCCACAACTTAAAGTTAGATCAGAAATCATGTAATTTTAGACATTTTGGAATGGGGAAATGGGAAACTGGGGACGAGTCAAATCGTCACTAGAACCTGAGCTTCAGACCCTTGACAAGTACTGAATACACCCTGCTTAACAGGGGTGATGGTGTCATCTATTATTCGACTCACCTTTTAGAAGCCATTTTTTAAGTTCTGTAACTAACACATTCCCTAAGCCATAGTATCCCCATCTATAAACTGTACTATCATCTGGAAAAGCCACATTTAGATAATGTGATCAATAAACACCCACAAGTACATTCTTTAGAACTGATGAAATAGTGGGGATTTACGGTTATCTCCACTGAATTGTAGGTTTCTGGCCAGTGTTCTCTACATCATACTTGTATCAATATCTCCTTCCTACTGACCTGCCCCCTGGGATTCCCCAACCTACCCCTGGTCTCTACTGCAGGTTTGGGCTTAAGCAGCCTTATTTGCAGCCTATGGCCCTTACTCCAAATGACTAGCCAGAGAGTGAACCCATATCTAGCCTGCCCAGAGTCAACAACATTCTTTCAAAAATTCTAATTTTAAGAGGTGCAGATAGCTAAGTCAAATAGGATTCTGTTCTACAGTTTCCACAAACCTTAGACAAATGTCTTCCTATTGTTTGTTGTATGAAATGCTGTTCAATTACACTTTTTGTCCTTCTTTGAGTGAATTTCTGTTCCATAATACAAACAAAATCTCTTATTAAAATATTTTGGCAACTTAAACATTTATTAAATTATAGCTTATATGAGACAGTAATACTTAACACTCATTACTAAGACAAGCAATGTATGTTTTGTACATGCAACTTCCCAAATGTACTTATGACTGCCACTATAATGTGTTGTGTCAATGTTCATATTAACATAAATTTAAACTTGTATAAAATATTATAATGGGCCGGGCGCGATGGCTCATGCCTGTAATCCCAGTACTTTAGGAGGCCGAGGCAGGGGGATCACAAAGTCAGGAGTTCAAGACCAGCCTGGCCAACATGGTGAAATATTAAAAATACAAAAAAAAATTAGCTGTGCTTGGTGGCGCGTATCTGTAATCCCAGCTACTCAGGAGGCTGAGGCAAGAGAATCATTTGAACCCGGGAGGTGGAGGTTGCAGTGAGCTGAGATTGTGCCACTGAACTCCAGCCTGGGTGACAAAGCAAGACTCCATCTCCAGGAAAAAAAAAAAAATATATATATATATATATACACACACACACACACACACACACATATCATATATATGTATATATGTATGTACATATGTATATATGCATACGTATACATATATATACACACATATATGTGTATATATGTGTATATATATTATATACATGATAGTAGATAATGACTTGAGAGAATAAAATTTGTGACTTTCTCAAACACCCCAAATAAAGAAGACTATGGTATTATTCTATAAATCTCTCATGTAAAATCTAGCCAATTATATGACTATTTCTAGTTCTATTTCTGAATAGGACAAAAAAAGAAAAGAAAATCTTATTTCTAATTCTAATTCTGATTTAAATTTAGTCCATTAAAAGAAGTTAATAAGAGATATAAAACACTTTCTGGTTACTAGCAGATATACATAAGAAGTAATTATTACTAACAGCAATTTAGTACTATAAATTTATTTCTGTTTATACATTGGTTAGTAAAATCAAGTAAAAAACACATTAATGTATTCTTGAAAGTGCTCATTACTTTATTGTTTATTAAGGCACTGAAATATATTTGATGTTGAATCCATCATACATCCTAAAGTTCTAAATGCACTTAGAGGGGAAAGCATAATTGAGGTCAAGATGTGAAGATTTATAATTCCAAATGATTTCTGATAAATGGAATTACTGTAATTTGTAAGGTAAATTAAAAGGTTATTCATTTTGGACTATGTGACTTTTTCTCTTGCTCTTTTATGGCAGAGTTCTCCATTATTTTGTCATTGGTTATTCTGACAAATTGAAGAGATTTTTAGAAATAGCAGAGATGTTTGAGGCCAGTGGGCATAAGTATATTTTAATGAAATACGTAGATTACTGGAGGTCTTTCAACTACCATGTCTCTTGTAGACCATGGCCTGCTCTATGGTCTATATTGGCAATTTCTTCAGTTACAATTAATTTCACATGCAGTTAACTTTCTCTTCTTACAGGATAGCTGAGATGATTTTTGTACATCCAACCAGAAATTTTTGGTTAAACAAACATTTGTTATTTTTGAGGCACTAGACTTACAGAATTGAAAAGGTGTGTACTTTTTTTTTTTTTTTTTTTTTTTTTTTTGAGACGGAGTCTCGCTCTGTCGCCCAGGCCGGACTGCGGACTGCAGTGGCGCAATCTCGGCTCACTGCAAGCTCCGCTTCCCGGGTTCACGCCATTCTCCTGCCTCAGCCTCCCGAGTAGCTGGGACTACAGGCGCCCGCCACCGCGCCCGGCTAATTTTTTGTATTTTTAGTAGAGACGGGGTTTCACCTTGTTAGCCAGGATGGTCTCGATCTCCTGACCTCATGATCCACCCGCCTCGGCCTCCCAAAGTGCTGGGATTACAGGCGTGAGCCACCGCGCCCGGCCAGGTGTGTACTTTATTTTTAATAATCTAGGAATCTAATTAAGGGAGAGGTGAAAGCAGCTCCTGATGGTACAGGGAAGATTCATATGTACATGATTATGGGGAAACAGTGCTTATAGATTGAATTGTGTCTCCCTAAATTTCGTGTGTTGAAGCTGTCATGCTCCATTTGACTGTGTTGGAGATAGGGTCTTTAAGGTGATGAGTAAGGTTAAATGAGGTCAAAAGAGTTGAGCCCTGACTCAATAGAACTCAACAGAACTTGCCCTAATAGGAAGAGAAAGAGATACCAGAGCTCACTCTCCACCATGTGAGAACACAGCAAAAAGGTGGCTGTCTGCAAACCTGTAACAGGTCCCTCACCAGAACTTGACTACACAGGAACCCTGATCTCAGACTTCTAGCCTCCAGAACTGTAAGAATATTAATTTATGTTGTTTCAGTCTCCCAATCTATGGTATTTTGTTATGGCAGCACAAGCTAATATACATGAAATGGGAAAATTTAACACTCATTGAGGGGACAGTGATGATATAAATCTTTACAGAGAAGCTGACTGTGGTATGTAAAATAATGTTCCTTCCCACAGAAACTTGTAAATATGTTACCTTACATGGAAAAATAGGTCTATGCAGATGTGATTAAGTTACAGATCCAGAGGTGTGATGATTAATTTAGATTGTCTTGGTGAGTACAATTTGAAGATGGAAGAATGAACAGTGACCCAGGGAATGCAGTTGGCTCTCAGAAAATGGAAAAGTCAAGGAAATGATTATCTCCTAGAGCTTTCAGATGGAATGCTGTTTGGCCAAGACCTTGACTTAGCCCAAGACCCATTTCAGAGTTGTAACTTCTAGAAGTGTAAGATAATTTTTGTTATTTTAAGCCACTAAGTTTGTTGTAATTTGTTACATCGGCAAAAGGAAACTAACACATCACATACTGGGCTTTGGCCCTGCTTTAGAAGGTAAAATGGGCAGAATGTGCATTCACAAACAAGCAAAACAAGGAACTGAGTTGGGGAAAGCAGCTGTCATTGCACAAATGTCAGCATGAAAAAGAATGGCTGGTTCAGAGAACTGAGTGATTCAGCTTGGATGAAGTGCAAAGGGTGAGCTGGAATTAGGGGGTGATGAAGTCTGAAAGCATTGGCAAGATTGCAATCTGATGACATGATAGGCCTTGCAAGTTGCTTGAGTTTTGTTGTAGGGAGTGAGGTGAAGGTTTTAGAGACATCAAGTTTGGAGACGCATTTATCAAAAGACTAACAGAAAGGCAGGGTGAGAGACAGTTGGGGATTTGGAGTGGAGATAATCCTGAACATTTAAAGGCCATTTAGAGGACTGTAAACGAGTACGATCTCTACCTAACTCACCAGATCCATCCTCTAGTCTTTAATATTTTCTTAAGCAGACCCAGTAATTTTCTACGACTTTGCTGTGTTTCATCTGTCCAATTTCTCTTATCCATTAAAAGTTAATGATTAAAATGTTGCATTATATAGTTAAAAGAACAATACCAACTTTTAATTTCTTATCCACTTTAATTACCATAGCTGAATTTTAAAATCTTTACTTCCCCTAAGAACCAGTTAATAAGAACACAGGAATACATAAGGATTCATTTTTCAGCTATTGCCACTTTCTTCAGATCGTTTATGTTCTCTGCATCAAAAGTTCAGGTAATTACTCTTTTCTGTGTTTCTACAATGTGTTGTACATAATAATCTACAATATGTTGTACATATGTACATAATCATATATAGACTATGTATATAGACAGTCTATTTTCCTTGCTAGTCTGTAATTCCTTTAGGGCAGAGAGAAATTTCTTTATTTTTACATCTCTGACATTTGCTGATAAATAATAGATGCTCAATAAATGTTTGTGGAAAAATAGTAAATAAGCAATGATAAATAAATGACCATCATTATAGCTGTTGGTCAGATACATATTATCTTCCCAGAGAAAATCATCTGAATTGTGCAGAAAGAAAAAATCAACATTAAACAAGAATACACGTAGATGTGAAACTCAGAATTGATGATGCCAAGTAGCCAAGGAAGATTTCATATGAAGAAAAAACAGCAGGGAAATTGTTGTACCTATGACTGCTAGGCTTATAGTAGCCCCATGACACCTGGAAGCAGCAAGAGCAAATTTTCTCAGGAAGAGTGTGCCTACAATTCAAGGGATTATCTCAGGAAAATTATCTCCAAAGTTGAGTAGGATTGAGCAGGAGATGCCAGTTGCAATAGCATCTGTATCTATTTGCAGTAACCTGCAGATAGACTCTTCAGCAATAATCAGTCCTCTGCACAACATCCAGGCAGGCCATACTGATTCTCTATTGAAAAGTGAGCTAGGCCGGGC
The DNA here is from genome assembly GCF_000001405.40 of Homo sapiens. NCBI lineage: Eukaryota > Metazoa > Chordata > Mammalia > Primates > Hominidae > Homo > Homo sapiens. Next base: position 48,355,248 of record NC_000014.9, on the reverse strand, counting down.
GCGGTGGCTCACGCCTGTAATCCCAGCACTTTGGGAGGCCGAGGCGGGCGGATCACGAGGTCAGGAGATCGAGACCATCCCGGCTAAAACGGTGAAACCCCGTCTCTACTAAAAATACAAAAAATTAGCCGGGCGTAGTGGCGGGCGCCTGTAGTCCCAGCTACTTGGGAGGCTGAGGCAGGAGAATGGCGTGAACCCGGGAGGCGGAGCTTGCAGTGAGCCGAGATCCCGCCACTGCACTCCAGCCTGGGCGACAGAGCGAGACTCCGTCTCAAAAAAAAAAAAAAAAAAAAAAAAAAAAAAAGAAAAGTGAGCTATATGGCAGTTTGCTTGGAAGAAAAAGAGAGTTGTTAGAACAAAAATGGTAATTGTTTGAAATTCTTTATTATCATAATTATTAGAATTTTTCATGACTTTGACTAGTCATATTAAATTACTTCACTACTTATTTTATGTATTTATGTACTTGACAAAGTAACCTAATTTGCTCTCTAATTAATGTAAAGAATTTTACTGTTTCCAGAATCTACTCTATCAGCAATAACATCAGATTTATGAGAGCTAATCTCATTAATATTAATAGAATTTTCACATACAAATCTCATCATGTATCACTGACAGATGAGAGCTTGGTGAAAACTCTAAAAATCTCATGGGCTAAGGACATTAGCAAAAATGGATGGTATCAAGGGATAGAAACCTTATTAAAGCATTGTCATCTAAATTATATTCATCAATTGTAAGAAATAATTGTCATTGTATCATAGAGAAAATGACCATTTTTACAGAATCGAAATAGATTCAAGTCTCCTTTCTTTTGGAAGAAAGTAGAATGGTGATACCTGCAAATGGAAAAATCACTGAGAATATATTTTGGCATAAAATTTCCTTGACAGCTGTCTGAATTTTTTTTTTTTTTTTAGAAATTATCTTTTTTAAAATGTTGCTTTAATTGATGTATTTCAGTGAAGAACAAAACCTCAATTAAACGCTTACTATCCTAAATAGTTCAGTCAATTTTCTGGGTAGCTACCATTTGCTATGCTTTGAAAACTTTAAGGCAATAGAATAGGCAGCAGCTGTGGCAGCAAGGGTGAAAGTGATATTACTACCATAGTAATAATGATTTTCATCAATAAGCAAAGTTAACCTTAGGCTGAGTGGTGAAGAGGGATTCCTAAGGCAACACGTATTTCAACTTGAGAATTATCAGTCTAGAACACAAATACTCATACCCATAACATGCATTAACTGAAAATATTTAATTGACGACATGTAGAAATCAAGGCGGCATAGGATGGAGGGCTAGTCATTTCTTTTTGTATCTTTTACATAAAAATCTATGACTGCTTCTCCTCTGAATGAAAGCACTTTAGCTAATCTTGATTAAACATATCAAATGCAATTTTCAATGGCAAAAAGAATCTTTATAAAAGCAAGTTAGATGAGTAAAAATAAAATAGTTTAGAAAAAGACAACTATTTATAAAAACTTTTTCAACTTTAACAGAGATTATAGGATATTACTTTGAACAATTTCAATCCACTTATTTAAATAATCAACACATTTGCCAACACATTTATTTAATACTGACTGTGTATAACACTATAATAGATACTGGAGGTGGAAGTGGAAGTAAAAATACAAATAAATATTTAATTAAAATAATTGTATTATGGGCCAAGAGAAAATCACAAGAGCATATGTCAGAGGGATTTAATTGAGGGTATGTGTAGACAGCAGAATGTGCGAGAGCTTCTTCAGGAACTGTCTAAAATCAGAAGAAGGGGTGAGATATGATTCGCTAGAGGATGCCATTGGGACTAGTGAATGGGAGGGTCTAGACAGACGGAACGGTGCCACTGGTTTCCTGAGTGAGAAAAGACTGTGGCAAATTCAACTGAAAGGCCAATGTAGCTGGAATACAAAGGGGTGGAGTAAAACAGCATGAAAGTAGGGAGATACTGGAGGACCTTCATCTATAAGGCAAAACTTTTGACCTGTATGCTAACAACTTTCAAAGCCATTAAGTGATTTTAAATAGGGGAGTGGCATGATCATTTCTGAGTTTATAAATCATCACTTTGGCTTTAATTTGGAAAGGGAAGCAAATGGAGAATGGATCATATTCAAGTAAAGATTTTTGTGCTAAAAATATTGTAAAATATGTGTAGCGTTTCAGGTAGTGACGTAGAAAAGCAATATACATCCTGATGGCCCAATTCTAATTTAGTTTTACATTTTAAATATTCAGCAATTAAACTCATTGTTTGGGTTTTTTAATTTAAACCAAATACGTCATATTTAATAGAATGTCATAAAATGTCTATGGGTAAAAATCAAATTATAAAATAGTTTTACATAATTAATAATTGATATAGTCATAACAAAAAAGCTCTGATTATTAAGATAAAGATAAACTTTCCACTAGTTTTGGGTACATATTTAAAATAATGCTATCTATCATGTTATGATAAATATTTTTATGCATCATCATCTACAGATAACTTCCCAGAAATGTCAGTGGAGTGCAGAAAAAATTAATAATTCCCCTTTATTGTATAAGCAAAAAAATAAAGAAAAAGAACAGATGCAACAACAAAGCAGCAACCAGGGAGAAATATTTGTTTGTTTTCTTCCCACATATTGATCCTCTTTTTTAATTTCAAAAATTGACAACACAGCAAACATATCAAATTAAGTAAATAAGAGTAAAGGCTGTGGCATGGATCACAAACCTTTAGATAACTCATATTCAAACAAGAGACCCATTCCTGATGGGTTACTGAGGCAAAGTTGATATTTTATCTCACTGCTTTATAAGCTTTCTTTACTAGCTTTTGTTTCTAGTGCAGTGAAGTTGGTACACTTATCAAGAACTTGCATCCCTTTGACACATTTATCAATACAAACGTACAAGACCCTAAAATCATTTAAAATTAGCATTTACTAACACTTAACAGGTAAGGTATTAATTGGCAGAAGGGTATTTTGCATGCAAAGTCCATATCGTATGTCACCTTTAATTTATGGCTATGACAAGTTCCATGCTGACACATTTGTAAAGGTAAAGCCTTTAATTATTTGCCTCAGACCAAGAACATGGTATACCTTTTAATTTTCAGCCTATCATAGGTTTAATCTAAATATCTTTAAGCAGTTTTTGGCAATAATTTAGAGGGCCAACATGCAAATATTTAACCCAGAATCATGTACAACTCGAAACCTTCAGGGTATTACTATGTTGACATTCCTGATAGGCTGTGTTGACATTCCTGATATATTTTTACTTCATTTCAAAATATGAAAATTCAACTAGATATTACTGAATTTCTCAAACTGTCTAAACAATGAATGGCAAATTGGAGACAGTTCAATAGAAATATAATTGAACTATTGTAGTACTTGCTATTTGTCTATAGCTACAAATTTTAAACTAAAGACATAGCTATCTTCTGGAATTAAGATTCAGTTTCTGTATGACAAAAATACACTAAACAGAGTAGAAGTTTTATAAGGTTAGCATTGTATGGCTGGCTTGGAACTATGACCATGATCTTGACCAGATTTTTAGATCTGTTCACTTAAAAGTGTGATACAAACTTTCCGATAAAATAATGAACATAATAAAAATAAGGCAGAAATAAACAGCTTTATATATGTAAATACACACACATATATATCTATAAATATTTATTTCATACACATTAATATATAATATAAATATTTATATGTGTGGATTTAGTATGATACATCTACTATTCAGAATGACAAATATTTTCTGGCTTTAACTCCTGTGCTTCGTAGCCCTGAATTGTGTCCCCATCTCTGATGTACAGTTTTTTAATAGTATCAAAGACGCTTTTTTACAATAGTACAGTAGTTTGCTCCATATCTGTAGTTTGACTTTCAGTAGTTGCAGTTACCCATGATCAACTGCAATCTGAAATATTCAATGGAAAATTCCAGAAATAAACAAGTCATAAGTTTTGAATTCCAAGCCATTCTGAGTAGCGTGATATAATCTTGCACCATCCTACTTTGTCCCACCTGTGGCATGAATCATCTCTCTGTCTGGTGCATGCATGCTGTAGATATCCCCCACGTGTGAGTCACTTAATAGCTATCTAGGTTGTCAGATTGACTGTCATGGTATGGCAGTGCTTGTGTTCAAGCCATCCTTATTTTACTTACTGATGGCCTCAAAGCACAAGAATAGTGATGCTGCCAATTCAGATATACCAAAGAGAAGCCAAATATTTGCAAAATATAAGTTGCTGTGCCTAATTTATAAATTAAACTTTATCATAGGAAGGTATAGGAAAAAAACACGGTATATATGGGGTTCATCACCATCCATGGTTTCAGGCATCCACTAGGGGTTTTGGAAAATACTTCCCACAGATAAGTGAGGTCTACCGTATTCATAGTGATGGTCCTTTTGAATTCCTAAAACGTATAATGAAAAACAATGGTTTTACAAAATGCTTATTACATATAAAGGTAATTAATATCCTGTCACATCTTTTCCATTGGTTTTGTTTTCCATCAGCAACTGGAAATATCATCTGAAAGGTTCTTTGATTCTGACTCATAGTAAGCCTTTATAGAGTGTTGGAGTTTATGTGATAGTCCCTGGTCATTAACAAAATGACACTGAGGTAAGGGAAATTATCCAACAGCTGAAACAAAGGCCTTAGGTTTTGATTATGCAAACAAAACAATATTATTTATTAGAACATAGCTTAACATCTGTTTGCAACCATATTAAAATGAACTTATGATTATTTTCCATCATTTTTTGCTTTGTAACCTAATGCAATGTCTTGTGTAAAATATATACTCATTAAATTATTTAATGGTATCCTTATTCTAAAGCCTGGCTTATCTTATATATCAGTGTTAATGTTTACCCGTATAAAATTCTGTTTCAACTAATAGAATACAAAATGATAGAAGAGAAGCAGCCAGAGTCTGGCAGAGCCATAACCAATAAGATGGCATGAATATTAAAAGGAGAAGTCATGCAAGAATAACCTTGATTACCTTTTTGTCAGAACATGGCATTTGATGAAAGGAAGTCAGTAAGCATAGATTATTTTTAGAGTGCATTTTTTGTAGTGCCTCAAATATTTAATTTAATTCAAAAAGGCTTTGAAATGAGTTTTGCTTTGATGTGTGAACCTTGTTAGAGAGATCATAACCAAACAATGGTTGTGTATTCAGAATAAGTGGGTTTATCACTTGTGCTAACAGTTCCCATATAGAGGAGTGGACCAAACAGTCAGATAGAAACCTCAGCACCTCTGAAACCAGTCTCAGATGTTTAAAGCCATGCAACTTAGCAATAGTATCGCTACTATTTATCCTTCTAAAATTTTATTCATAGTAGTCATCAAATCTGACTTAATAGTTTACGTGTTTCTTACTCATCTCCCAGCCACATGCAAAATAATTTTGATGAAAACAGGGACCTTATTTGTCTTATTCACTTCTTCAAGTCCAACAACTTGGGCAAAAATAATAGCATATGGTAGGCATAAGGTTAAAAATTATTATGGGAATAAATGAAATGCAATTTTATTCTCCATGCTTTTCTGCATTTTAAAAGTTTTACACACTTAGTGTGTATTTCTTTTATGAAGGAAAACAACAGAAAGTTGTGACTTTCTTATTTATATTTGTTGTTGCAGCATTTGTGCTTTGAATCTGTTCTTGTAAGCTAGAAGGCTCAGAGGACAACATAGTCTACTGTGTCTATACAATCAGCAGTCTGAATAATTGTATTTTCCTTTTTAATATTTACGAATGATTTAAGAATGTTGAAAGAGTAAAAGAAGGGTACAAAGAGTTTTTAAAATTTTGAGTATAATGTTTCACCACTGTTTGTAAAGAAAATTTTCAGGAGTCTACATTCAAGTAGGCATAGAAAATTTTTATAAATTCAACTTTTATTATTGACATTATTTTCAATCCCAAGCTTTCATAGAGAGCCCTTTATGGCTAACGAATCTGATATCATAGTGAGATGTTAATAAGGAACTCAAAAATTGTTGTTTTGTTGAATACAGAATTCCTGAAGGCTGCATTTTTAAGTACAGAGATTTCTAGTATCTAGCACAGTGTCTGGCCCATCATAAGGACACATTACCTATTTGTTAAATTAATGAACAAAGCTAGATGTAAAAAGAACACATTCTCTTTTCTCAAAATATCCTAATTCTATGTAGAGGTGCCTTGGAATAATTTTGTGTCAAGCCATAAAAGGTACAGCTTAAGTAATACAAGGAGAGGTAAGTAAAGATTCTATAAATTACTAATGTTATCAATTATAAGGTGAAAAATATTTTAATAAACAACATTATCACATGCACATCAAGATACAAATATATCACTCCACCAAACATTTGAATATTAGCTAGAAGATTTAGGTAAATACTTTTTATAATCTATGCTGCCCTTCCTGTACAGCCATTGCTCTGAAATATCGGTGCTAACCAAGACAAAGAACACTGTAGTTGTATATGGATTAAAATCATATACAATGCCTAGGAGTGCATTGGATGCATATGTATCACACGCAATGGACAATGTGGGTTTGGTGAGAGACCTACAGGAGAGAGCGTACCAGTGGAATAGAGGCCATACAACAGGGAGTGTGAAGTCAGTTAGCAAAGCTTAGGTAGGGCATACTCAAAGCTAAAATGAAGTCCTTAAACAAAAACAGATAACTCAGTTAAAAGAGGAATCCACAAGTCTGATAGTGAGTTATGCACATGAAACAGATTGGAGATATGATGGAAAATCAGGAACATCTTGGACTGATAAGAATCACAATGGGAGAACCTAAAGATCTAGAAGTATTCCAGGCAAAAGTGTACTGGTAGGTCATGGTAGAACCTATTTTAAGAGTTCCAAGTTTTTACTCTCACATGTCTTAAGGAGAGATTCCATATGACACATGAAGCTGTTCTTTCTTTCTTGTTTCCTTGTTTGCTTGCTTCTTGCTTTCCTGCTTTCTTTTTGGTACCTGACAGCTAAGTCTTACTAACCTTCTAAGAGATGTTGCCTAGGTAGGTGGACCAGCAGCTAATATATATATTCTATATAATCTTATCTAAAAAGTAGATAATCTTATCTAAATACCAGGAAATAAAATAATTAACTGTCATGATCAGGAGGCTTAAAGTATATTCTCTTTTTAGAATTATATATGCACAGTTTTTGGATAGTACTCTCATGGTTGGCTGATCTATCAATCTTGTTAATACAAAAGCCAAGAATTTCAGAAACCTTAAAGCAGTTTCTATGAACCTGATGCTGGAAAACAAAGTCTGATTCAAATGTCTCTGTTTGATGCTTCCAGAGGCAATGAATGAAATGACCATATCTATCACTACAAATAATGGTAATACAGAGGAATTAAAATTGAACTTGGAAGAAATTAGGTGCTGATGAGTCTATAATCTTTCTATTCTTGTCAAGAAACAAAAAAAGGCAAATTTCCAAAGTGACACTTTTTTTGACAAAATAAGACAAAAATCTAAATGAGCCCTGCAAAATAATGCTATCTGTAGGGGGGTGATCATGGTCATTATATGAGTTTTGCATGAAATAGAACCATCAGTCAAACCAGCAATGTCTACGCTGACCCATCGCAATTAGGCATCCAAATCAAATCTTTCCAAATCAAATTTTTCCAAATCAAATCTGTAAAATCCTGGCTGACATTTTTTTGTGATAAAGCACAACTCTCAGATTTAGGAACATAAGCCTCACTTACTTTTAGGAAATCACATTCCACTTTATTAAAGATACTTTTTTTCTTTAAGATTTCTTGATAAACTCCACATCTAACTGAATGTTACCCTATTGTAACATGATTGCTAATGATTGCTGTTAATGACATGAAATATTTTTTGAGAGATAGAAAACAGTTGACATAAAATATGGACCTTCGTTAAAACATTTTGTAGAGAGGTAAGTGCAGTGTTTACCTTCGAAATACTATTTTTAACATGACATCATAAAGGAAATGGTAAACAGTCCTCTTTTCTTATCAAAGTTCTTTGATGGTGAAAATAATACTTGTGGAAGGCAAGACTAGAAAGTATAAGTCATGTGACTTTCTCTACTAAGGATTATGATTGTGTTAAAAGGTGACAATAAATTGTATTAAAATTATAAGAATGATTAAAAATTGTGTTAAAAATATGTGACTACCCAAGAATAAGCTGCCTTTCAGTGAAACAAATTTTATGTTTAATTCACTGGTATATCATATTAAAACAAAACTAAGACTATAATGGCATCTTACAAAGTCTGATTTTTAATGGCTAGACTTGACTAGGGAATGAGATTTAGGAAGATAGTTTACATGTAATTTTTAATTCTAATTTTCTCTAGTTTAATATCAATGTATCATTTCATTCCACATATATTCGTTGATCACGTTCTGTGAGCAAAGTGCACACCTAGGTCCTAACATACTTCTTTCCATACTCTAACAAAACATTGTATTGGTCACGATCATAGGAGGTTTTTGTTTTAATGTTTTATTATACAAACTGTAGGCATGCACCAAAGCATATGGAAATGTATAAAAAATAATCCATGCACACAAAAGTAAGCTTCAACAAATAAGAACCCATGGTCAGTTTTACTTCCTTTAGTCCTTCTCCTACTTTTCCTGTTCCCATGTTATTTTGAGGCAAATTCCATGTTTAATACAATTTTATCGATATGTACTTTAGTAATTATCTGTAAAATATATGGTTTCTTTTACAGTTATATTTTTACAAAACCACTTTAACATATAACACCTAAAATTTGACTTTCTCTTAATACCATCAATTACATAGCTAGTGTTAAAATTTCCAATTATCATTTTTTATTTAAAAAATTAAATTATAGCACATATAAAAAGTACACAAATAATAAATGAACAGTTTGGTGAATTCTCCTAAAGTACAAAACTTATGTAACATACAGATCAAGAAATAGAATATTCCCAGAGTCACAGAAATTTTCTCGTGCCCCCTTTCAAGGGAAACCGTTATTCTGACTTCTGCCTAGATTAGCTTTGCCTGTTTTTGAATTTGATGTAAATGAAACCAACAGTGCATACACTTTTGCGTTTGGTTTGTTTTACTGAACATTTTGTCTATGAGATTCTCAATATTATTGTGTGTAGTTATAGTTCATTCATTCTCATTGCTGTGTAGCATTCCATTTTGTATCATTATTAGTCAATTCTATTATCAGTTCCATGTGGAGCTATATTGGAATCTGAGGCTAAAGGAAACAATAATATGGATCCTGCTTTTTTGCATTAATATTGATTTTAAAATGTTGTATTAAATGTTATGTATCTTGATTATTAGTCTTTTTATAGCCACTTAATTTTTTCTCCTGAACAAGTGCTTCACTTTCTTCACTCTAATCCCAACTCGGTCTACTATAAATGGACATGTCAGCTGCATACAGTTTTTGGAAATTAACATAGTGTTGATGTAAACATATTTATATAATTCTGTTAAGTGTATACGCACACACACACACACACACACAAACAGGATTGAAGTTTCTACAGGTAACTTTTTTTTACCTTCTTCACAAATGTGTTATGTGTAGAACACATTATTGTCAACTACAATGTTGTATAGCAAATCTCCAAAACTTAATCATTTTGCATAACTGAAACATTATACTAGTTGAATAGAAACCCCTCATTTCCACTCTGCCCAACCCTAGGCAACCACAATTGTACACTTTGTTTCTATGAGTTTGACTATTTTATATACCTCATATAAAAATCATGTAGTATTTGTACTTCTGTAGCTGGCTTCTTTCACTTAGCTTAATATCCTCAACGTTCATACAATTATCATAAATAGTATTCCTTTTTACAAAAGATGGAGTCTCACTATGTTGCTCAGTCTGGCCTAGAACTCCTGCACTCAAGTGAACCTCCATCCTCAGCCTCCCCAGTAGCTGGGACAAGGCACACTTCACCATCCCTGGCTCAATTTTCTTTTAAATGTCATAAAATCAAACTTAAAGGAATATTCTGTACACATTGTTTCTTTGAACAGAACCCAAGTATGATCCACACATTGCTACTGTTTGATGTGGCTCTTAAGTCTCTTTAGATCTATAGGGTCTGATCTCATCCTGTTTTCTCCCTTCTTTCAGTTTATTTGTTGAAAAAAAACAGGTTATGTGTCCCATAGAGTTCCCCACTATCTGGATTTTGGTGGTGAGTCCCATGGGTGCATTTTTAAACATTTATCTGTCAGATTTATGAGCATAATAAGCAGATTAAAATGTTTGGCAAAACTACTTTATAGGTGATGGGTGTGTTTTCTTCCACACACAGCACACAACTACCTGATTGTCTCACGTTTTTTATTAGCAGCCTTTCATGCCCAGTTCCTGTATCCATTAATTTTGCCAAATTTATGAAACATGAAAATGCTTACATTTTTTCTTGATTTATTATAAGTAGACTATAGCTGTAGGAATAAACATTTTCCATTAACTTTTGGGTTTTACAATGGTAGTCTTTATAGGAAAATAAAATAATTCTTGGTTTTTTTCTTTTAAATTGCCTATTTTTGAAATAACATATTGCTTTATTAGTATTCACCAGTGATGGGCAATTACTTTCAAATTGTTAAGAGCACATATAGATTTAATCATATTTGGTCTGTTTCAACCTGTTACAACTATTTTCCTTAATGATGATGAAATTGTTCCGTCTTTGCTAGAATGAGATATGTTGACTCCTGAAAACTTTTGAAAAGAGCCAAGTGATCTTGTGTAGCTTCCTTGCTCTTTTTTATGACAAGATGTTTTAGAAACATATTATAAATATGCTGCTCTGGGCCTGGAATGATCTGCTTTTCGTTTTGTAAATGGATCTGCCCTCACTTTGAGTTTGTCTGATGTTTGCTAGGATTAGATTCAGGTGTTTCGTTCCAGGGTTTAAAAATTACCTAAATAATGCTGTGTCCTTCAAAGGGTATCACATTGAAAGGAATATTATGTCAATCTGCCCCTCACTGCTGATGTTAATTTTTACACTCAATCAAGTTGTTGTGTTACTTCTCTTAGTATTACTATTTTTCATTGCAACTAATAAGGAATCTGTAGGAAAGCACTTGGACACCAAGCAAATATCCTCTATCTCATTTAAAAAATCTTCCTAGCTATAGCAACCATTCATCACTCTTGCCTAAGCCAATCTTCACTATAACTGTTACAAAATTGTATTTTTCCATCTTCTGCAATTGCTTAACATTTACCAACTGGCAATGGATACTGTACTTTAAGAAGCACTCTTCCCCCCATTCATTTACCTGCCTATTTATTTATGATTGTTACATACTCTTGGATTCCTACTTTGATGTTTAAGTTTTCCTGGATTTGCCTGTTAAGTGTCTCTTACAACTGCCTCCTATGTCCTCATAATATGCCCCCGTGTGTTTTCTGATTATTATTATTTTAGCAGCATTTTCTTACTTTCTGTAATAGCAAAGTTTTCAAGATGATGATGTGCCTATCTTACCCTAACTTTGTAATGGAGACATTTTATAAAATCAGGAAAAATTTGACATCATAATCTAATGAACACTTTATTAGAAAATAAAATTAGAGGATAATAACTGCTAGGAATATAAAAGCAAATACTTAACCCAATATGAGGAAACTGAATTCAGCAATCCTTCTGGATAACTAAGGATAATGGTTGCCATACAATGTCCAAAATTTTCCTTTCCAAATCAAAAAAAAGGAAAGTTCTCTTTTTATTCTTAAAAAATCAAAAGTGAAAGTTAAATTATGCAAATGTATGCCTAAAACATAATTTGAATACAACGCTGAAATTGTAAATATCTGTAAAAAGAGAAAAATATCCCACCAAATCCCAGTGCAGATCTCTCAGGCTGCCACACTGCTCTTGCACAGACACAAGGCTTTGTGGCAAGCAAAGATGGAATGCAAAAAACTATGGGAAAGATAAAACAGAGAGATTAGCCAAAGGAGCCTAAAGATGATTTGCAATGGACACTAAAAATATTCAATCCATTCTAAATCTAAAATACTGCATAAATGTCATCTGAGCAGATTGTGACATTAACTACAAGGGAAGGAGTTTAAAATATACATATATGATTTAGGGGGAGGCAGTATTTAAAGGGGCAATTATAACTTACAATGGCCCATGCCATATAAAGGGATACAATAGACTCAAAGGGAAATTTAAAAAGGCATAGCTTCTGGGGGAGGAAATGGGGCAAACAAGAAGGCAGAAGCACCTTTTGGCAATAGGATGATGAAGGAGAAAAGAAGAAAAAGAAGACCTTATTTGGATTCTACGGGACAAGAGAAGACTGATAATCCTTCCCCAAACAACAAAACAAACAAAAGCCCCTATATTTTGCAATAATGACTGAGGGGAGGAGGTGCTTATGGATCATGCTTTTGGTGTCATGAATAATGCTTTGATTAATCCTAGGCCACAGATATATTTTCTGTGTTTACATTTAGACTTGTGATACATTTTGAGTTAATTTGTATACAAGGTACAGGGTTTAGATTTAGGTTTGGTTATGTGTTTGCTTGTTTGTTTGCATGTAGTTATCATCAAATAGCTTCTTTTTTCATTCTGTCCAGGTTTTATAGTTTCTTTCAATGGGAAAGATGGGGTGAAATTAATTACTTTATCTTACTGAGTCCCTCCAGTATTCTCTTTAATAAACACTACAGGTATTATAACTTAGATCAGAGACAAGAAAAAGATGCCTACTATGTCAACTATTAATGTATTGGTACTATTATCCAATGCAAATAGGCAGGATAAATTAATTAGTGGTCCAAAAAGGGGTAAAGAAAAAGTCAGCTAGTCTCTATTTTCAGATGATAGGAGAGGCACCATAAAACCATGATAGCAGCAATCAATGTTAAAACTAAGTCAAATCATAAAATAATTCGGTCAAGTAGCAGAATATAAAATTAATTATCAAAAATCAATTGTTTTTTACTCAGAAATAATAGATGACATATTGGTAGGAAAACTTTAGTTATAATAGCAATAATAAATATTAACTATTTAGAAAAAGTTAACAAGAAATGTGCAAATCTTATATAGAAAAATGTTAGGACAACACTAAAGGGTACAGAAATAGAATTAAAACAACACCACAATATTTAAAAGATAACAATTCTCCATATATTAATCTATAAAGTGAATGCAGTAAGAATACAAATGCCAACAAACTGTTGTAGGGAGTGAATCAAATTGTGAACTAAAGTTAATATGAAAAAATAAACATGCATGAATAGCCAGGAAATTTTGAAAAATATATTTATGATAGGAAAGTAGCTCTGCTCTAACACTAAAACATGTGATACACTACCTGTAAAATTAAAGTAGCGATGTACAGGCAAACATGGCAATGGAGTACAAGAGAAAGTACAGAAATTAACCCCAGCACATAGAGAAATTTAGCATATTATAAAATGGCATCTTAAACCACTGGGGCAAGATGGATTTTTAAATAAATGATGCTGAAAAACCTGTAGCCATATAAATAAAATTTGGCCCATACCTCATACTATATAAAAGAGTAAATTCCAAATAACTTAGGTACCTCTAAAAGTAAAAAGAAAACCATAAAAATACTAGAAGAAACTTAGGCAAATTACTCTTTAACAATGGTATAGAATTCTGACTCAAATCCAAAGGAAATGAAAGAAAGAGCTATAAATCTGATTCCCTGAACAAATGCATTGCAAAGTGAATCATAAACAAGGCAAAATACTGTTGACAACTAGTAGATAATATTCACAGGCTATACCATGGACACAGGGTTAATATCCTTATTATTTAAAGAACTCTTAAAAATTGAAGGACAGTGCTTATTTTGGCAGGACATATACTAAAATTGGAAAGACACAGAAAAGATTATCTTGGCACCTATGCAATGATGACTTGCAAATTCGTGAAGTATTCCATATTTTTATGGCTGAAATGACAGAAGTAGAATTCAGAATGGATAGGTACAAAGTTAATTGAACTACAGAAACACATTCTAACCCAATGCAAGAAAGCTAAAAATCAAGATAAGAATTGAATGAGCTGACAGACAAAATAGCCAGTATAGAGAAGGATGTAACTGAACTGACAGAGCTGAAAAACACAAGAATTTCATAATGAAATTACAAATATTAATAGCAGAACAGCCGAAACAGACGAAAGAATGTCAGAGCTTGAAGAATGACTTCCTGACATAAGATAGGCAGACAACAATAGAGAAAAACAAATGAGAATGAATGAGCAAAACCTCTTAGAAACATGGGATTATGCAAAGAAACTGAATCTACAACTGATTGCTGCACCTGAAAGAGATAGGGAGAATGCAACCAACTCAGAAAACATATTTCAGGATGTCATCCAAGAGAATTTCCCCAACCTAGCTGCAGAGGCCAACATTCAACTCAGGAAATGCAGAGAATCCCTGTAAGATACTTCACAAGAAGATCATCCCCAAGACATATAATTTTCAGATTCCCCAAGGTCAAAATGAAAGAAAAAAAATGTTAAAGGCAGCTAGAGAGAAAGACCAGGTCACACACAAAGGGAAGCTCTCAGACTAAGAGTGGACCTCTCAGCTGACACTCTACAAGCCAGAAGAGATTGGGGGTCAATATTCAACATTTTTAAGAAAAGAAATTCCAACCTAGAAGTTCAAAAGCTGAGGAGAAATAGGATCCTTTTTAGACAAACAAGTGCTGAGAAATTTGTTACCACAGACCTGCCTTACAAGAGCTCCTGAAGGAAGCACTAAATATGAAAAGGAAACACTGACACCATTACTAGTCACTACAAAACACATTGAAGTATACTGACCAGTGACATTATAAAGTAAACACGTAAGTCTGCAAAATAACCAGCTAGCATTGTGATGACAGGACCAAATCTTCACACAACAATACTAACCTTAAATATAAATGGGCTAAATGTCCCAGTTAAAAGACACAAACTGGCAAGTGGGATAAAGTACTAAGACCCTTTGGTATGCTGTCTTCAAAAGACCCATCTCACATGCAATGACATACATAAGCTCAAGATAAAGAAGTAGAGAAAAATCTACCAGGAAAATGGAAAACAGAAAACATCAGGGTTGCAATCCTAGTTTCTGACAAAACAGACTTTAAACCAACAAATGTCAAAAAAGACAAAGAAGGCCATTACCTAATGGTAAAGGGTTCAATTCAACAAGAAGATCTAACTATCCTAAATATATATGCACCCAACACAGGAACATTCAGATTCATAAAGCAAGTTCTTAGAGACCTTCAAAGAGACTTAGACTCCCACACAATAATGGTAGGAGACTTTAACACCTGACAATATTAGACATATCTTTGAGGCAGAAAATTAATAAAGATATTCTGGACCTGAATTCAACACTGGATCAAAAGGACCTGATAAATATTAAAAGAACTCTCCACCCAAAAACAACAAAATATACCTTCTCATTGCTACATGGCACATATTCTAACATCAATCCGTAATTGGGAGTAAAACATTCCTCAGCAAATGCAAAAGAACTGAAATCATAACAGTCTTTCAGACTATAGTACAATCAAAATACTGATTAAGACTAAGAAATTCACCCAAAACTATACAATTGAATGGAAATTGAATACTCTGCTTCTAAATACCTATTATTTAGGTAAATAATAAAATTAAGGTATAAATCAAGAAGTTTTTATTTTATTATTATTATACTTTAAGTTTTAGGGTACATGTGCACAATGTACAGGTTAGTTACATATGTATACATGTGCCATGCTGGTGTGCTGCACCCATTAACTTGTCATTTAGCATTAGGTATATCTCCTAATGCTATCCATCCCCCCTCCCCCCACCCCACAACAGTCCCCAGAGTGTGATGTTCCCCTTCCTGTGTCCATGTGTTCTCATTGTTCAGTTCCCACCTATGAGTGAGAATATGCGGTGTTTGGTTTTTTTGTCCTTGCGATAGTTTACTGAGAATGATGATTTCCAATTTCATCCATGTCCCTACAAAGGACATGAACTCATCATTTTTTATGGCTGCATAGTATTCCATGGTGTATATATGCCACATTTTCTTAATCCAGTCTATCATTGTTGGACATTTGGTTGGTTCCAAGTCTTTGCTATTGTGAATAGTGCCACAATAAACATACGTGTGCATGTGTCTTTATAGCAGCATGATTTACAGTCCTTTGGGTATATACCCAGTAATGGGATGGCTGGGTCAAATGGTATTTCTAGTTCTAGATCCCTGAGGAATCGCCACACTGACTTCCATAATGGTTGAACTAGTTTACAGTCCCACCAACAGTGTAAAAGTGTTCCTATTTCTCCACATCCTCTCCAGCACCTGTTTTTTCCTGACTTTTTAATGATCACCATTCTAACTGGTGTGAGATGGTATCTCATTGTGGTTTTGATTTGCATTTCTCTGATGGCCCGTGATGGTGAGCATTTTTTCATGTGTTTTTTGGCTGCATAAATGTCTTCTTTTGAGAAGTGTCTGTTCATGTCCTTCTGCACAGCAAAAGAAACTACCACCAGAGTGAACAGGCAACCTACAAAATGGGAGAAAATTTTCACAACCTACTCATCTGACAAAGGGCTAATATCCACAATCTATAATGAACTCAAACAAAGTTTTTTTAAACTAATGAGAAAGTTACAACATACCAGAATCTTTGAGACACAGTTAAGGCAATGTTAAGAGGAAAATTTATAGCACTAAATGCCCACATCAAAAAGTTAGAAAGATGTCAAGTAAATAACCTAATATTACAACTAATAAAACTAGAGAAGCAAGAGCAAACAAATCCCAAACTTAGTAGAAGACAGAAAATAACAAAAATCAGAGTTGAACTGAAGGAGATCGAAACACAAAAAAACCCATTCAAAAGATCAATAAATTCAGGAGCTTGTTTTTGAAAAAATTAATAAAAAGGATAGACTGCTGGCTAGAATAATACAGAAGGAAAGAAGATTCAAATAACCACAATCAGAAACAACAAAGGGGATATTAACACTGACCCCACAAAAATATAAACTATCATCAGAGAATATTATGAACACCTCTATGCACAAAAAAAATCTACA
This sequence comes from Homo sapiens, assembly GCF_000001405.40. Lineage (NCBI taxonomy): Eukaryota > Metazoa > Chordata > Mammalia > Primates > Hominidae > Homo > Homo sapiens. The sequence continues at coordinate 48,338,069 of NC_000014.9, read as the reverse complement.
AGAATGGATAAATTCCTGGACACACACACCCTCCCAAGGCTAAACCAGGAAGAAAATGAATCCCTGAACAGAGCAATAATGAGCTCTGAAATTGAGGCAGAATAAATAGCCTACCAAAAAAAGGACCAGGGCCAGATGAATTCACAGCTGAATTTTATCGGAAGTACAAAGAAGAGCTGGTACCATCCCTACTGAAACTATTCCAAAAAATTGAGGAGAAGGGACTCCTCCCTAGCTCATTCTATGAGGCCAGCAATATCCTGATACCAAAAACTAGCAGAGATAGAACAAAAAAAAGAATACTTCAGGCCAATATCCTTGATGAACATCAATGCAAAAATTCTCAACAAAATACTAGCAAACCAAATACAGCAGCAAATCAAAAAGCTTATTCACAACAATCAAGTAGGCTTTATCCCTGTGATGCAAGGTTGGTTCAACAGACACAAATCAATAAATGTGATTCACCACATAAACAGAACTAAAGACAAAACCTGTATGATTATCTCCATAGATGAAGAAAAGGATTTCAATAAAATTCAATATCCATTCATGTTAAAAACTCTCAATAAATTAGATATTGAAGGAACATATCTAAAAATAATAAGAGCTATGTATGACAAACTCACAGCTAACATCATACTGAATGGATGAAAGCTGGAAGCATTCCCCTTGAAAACTGGTACAAGACAAGAATTCCCTCTCTCACCACTCCTATACATCAGAGTAATGGAAGTCATGGCCAGGGCAATCAGGCAAGAGAAAGAAAGAAAGGCATCCAAATAGGAAGAGAGGAAGACAAACTATCCCTGTTTGCAAATGACATGACCCTATATTTAGAAAACTTGATAATCTCATTCCAAAATATCCTTAGACTTCAGCGAATTTGTAGGTTACAAAATTAATATGCAAAAATTACTAGCATTCCTTTACATCAACAACAGTCAAACTGAGAGCCAAATCAGAAATGAACTCCCATTCACAACTGCCACAGAAAGAATAAAACACAGGAATACAGCTAACCAGGGAGACGAAGGATCTCCACAAGGATAACTACGAACCACTGCTCAAAGAAATCAGAGATGACACAAACAAATGGAAAAGCATTCCATGCTTATGGATAGTAAAAATCAGTATCGTTAAAATGGCTATACTGCCCACACCAATGTAAAGATTCAATATTATTCCTATTAAACTAACATTCAGATTCTTCACAGAACTGGAAAAACTATTTAAAAATTCATATGGGAACAAAAAAGAGCCAGAATAATGAAGGCAATCCTAAGCAAAAAGAACAAAGCTGAAGACATCATGCTACCTGACTTCAAACTATATGATGGGGCTACGGTAACCTAAACAGCATGGTACTGGTACAAAAACAGACACATGTAACAATGGAACAGAATAGAGAACCCAAAAATAAGACCGCACACCTACAACTATTTGATCTTCAACAAACCTGATAAAAACAAGCAATGGGGGAAGTATTCCCTATTTAATAAATGGTGCTGGGAGAACTGGCTAGCCATATGAAGAATATTGAAACTGGACCCCTTCCTTAAACCATATACAAAAATTAACTCAAGATGGATTAAAGACTTAAATGTAAAACCCAAAACTATAAAAACCCCGGTAGACAGCCTAGGTAATACCATTCAGGACATAGGCACAGTCAAAGGTTTCATGACAAAGATGCCGAAAGCAATTGCAACAAGAGCAAAAATTGACAAACGAGATGTAATTAAACTAAAGAGCTTTGACACAGCAAAATAAACTAACAGAGTAAACAGACAAGCTACAGAATGGGAGAGAATTTTTGCAAACTGTGCATCTAACAAAGGTCTTATATCCAGCATCTATAAGGAACTTAACCAAGTTTACAAGAAAAAATCAACCCCATTAAAAAGTGGGCAAAGGACATGAACGGACACTTTTCAAAACAAGACATATTGCAGCCAACAATTATATGCAAAAAAAGCTCAACATCACTGATCATTAGAGAAATGCAAATCAAAACCACAGTGAGATACTATCTCACATCAGTTAGAATGGCTACTATAAAAAGGTCAAAAAATAATAGGTGCTGGCAAGATTGTGGAGAAAGAGGAATGCTTATGCAATGTTGGTAAGAGTGTAAATTAATTCACTGATTGTAAAAGACAATGTGGTGATTCCTCAGTAACTTAAAGTCAGAAATACCATTTGACCCAGCAATCCTATTACTGGGTATATATGCCCCAAAATATAAATTGTTCTATTATAAAGACACACACATTTGTATGTTCATTGCAGCACTATTCACAATTGCAAAGACATGGAATCAACCTAAATGCCCATCAATGACAGACTGTATAAAGAAAATGTGGTAAGTTTGTTAGCAGTAGAATGTATCCAAGCCATGGGACACCAAAGTATGTTACTGGCAGCTAATGCATATGGGTCTGCAGCAGCCTCAATTCTTGCCTCCTCAGAAGAAAAATTTGACTGAGGGGCAGAAGGATAAAGGAGAGACCGAGGCAAGTTTTAGAGCAGGAGTGAAAGCTTATTAAAAAGATTTACAGCAAGAATGAAAGGAAATAAAGTACACTTGGAAGAGGGCCAAGTAGGCAACCTGAGAGATCTACTGTGTTTGACATTTGACTTGGGGTTTTATACATTGGCATTATTCCAGGGTCTTAAATCCCTTCTCCCCTGATTATTCCCTTGGGTCGGGCTGTCCACATGTACAGTGGCCTGTTAGCACTTGGGAGGGGCCGCATGCACAGTGTGTTTATTGGAGTTGCATGCATGCTCACTTAAGGTGTTCTTCCCTTACCAGTCCAGCATTCCTAGAGGAAGGTCAAATACCAGTTAAACTCTGCCATTTCGCCTTTTAGTGTGCATGCTTGAGCATGCTGGAGCCCTCTTGCCCAACTCCCAAGACCTTGTTGAGAAGATGCTGATCACCAGTTTTAGGTTTTTTCTATCCATTGGGAGACAGGCTTTCCCTAGTGCTGGATGTGAACAATTATTATTTTAGAGAGATGGTTAACAACCACCTGACCATCACCTGATGGTTGCATGGCATTCCTGGTGGGGATGTGGGGAACCCTCTCCTCCCCTGCTCATGCCTGAGTAGCCATCTACTCTCACACATATACACAATGAAATACTATGCAGCCATAAAAACAAACGAGATTATGTCCTTTGCAGAGACATGCATGAAGATGGAGGCCATTATCCTTAGCAAAATAATACAGAACAGAAACAGAAAACCAGTACTATATGTTTTCCCTCATAAGCGGGAGCTAAATGATGAGAACATATGGACACATAGAGAGAAACAACACACACTGGGGCCTATCAGAAGGTGCAGGGTGGGAGGAGAAAGAGGATCAGAAAAAATAACTAATGGGTACTAGGCTTAATGTGTGGGTGATAAAATAATCTGTACAATCAACCCCCATGACACAAGTTTATCTACGTAACAAACCTGCACATACGCCCCTGAACTTAAAATAAAAGTTGAAAAAAATTGAAGGACAAAGTCAAAAATCTCATATTGAGTTGTCAGTTGAATATAGGTATTCTAAAGCAAGCAGTGGCTTAAATATAAAGCTATGAAATGAAAATAAATCACCTAGGGAGATAACGTGCATATAGAAGACTTAAGATGACTGTGTATTCAAGCACAAATATGGTAGAAGCGAAAGAAGGAAATATAATTGAGAAAGAATAGCCATTTGATGAAAAATTTCCATACATCTTATGTTTTTTTCCCATCTTAACACCAGGAAATGGCTCAGAAGTGAATTCTATAAAATGAAGACGTGAGAAGTTGTTATTATAACAAAGTAACTTATTGATAAATTTATTCTTCATGCATAATAGCTTATTGTTAGTTTGTATCATTTAAACAACCATGATCATTTCTGTGTCGAATTAATGATTTCAAAACTTAATTAAACTAATTTGTATAATATCTAAATTATGGCTCCTACAATGAGATATACTAACTCTCCACAACATTATTCTCTGTGAATAATTAAGTGCCTGCTGGAACCATTTAGGAAATTATCATCTTCTCACTGCTGTACAGAATCCTGAAAATGCAGCTTTTCAAAACACAAAACTTATTTCTAGAAGAAAACAAATGCCCAAATAGCATGGCTTATTAAATAACACATTTTAATTATGGAGTAGTCCTTTCCCAAAACCACTGAAATCAGTTATTGAGTGAAGAATATAAACTCCTTGACCAGTGTTTAATCTATGCTGTCTCACTCTTGGTGGCCCATGTTAAAATGCTATGACAATAAATAGAGCTTGCTGTGTTTGACACACTATTTGGAGTAGCTAAGGCGAATAGAGGAACATTTACTGCTTTTAATCATTAACATAAAATGATTGATCAACAGTATTACTGGAATGCTCGTCATTTAAATCTAAAAACACTTTGAAGTTTCTAATTTTAGAAGGAAATAATTGAGTAATCAGCCAAATTAATCATTGTGAATACCTTAGTGTCAAGACAATTTGTAATTTTGAAAAACAGTAGTATGAAGTAACAAGAAATCTCACTGAGTTAATGTGATTTATTTTCTGAAATGTTATTTAAGTGGAAACTAAACTTGAGTCACTTTGACACAGATTGAGTCTAGCAAATAAAAGAAAGAAAGCTGACTTACTTACAAATTTAAAGACACTCATCATTTGTACTTGTCCTTACAGGAGGCAATTCATCACTCCAGGAATGTGTCTTTGTATTCATCATCCCATAATGTTTATAATAACCAAACTTACTCATACTGAATGGCTGGGATATTTTTAAATGCAATGTTTACTTGTTGTTATGTTTAGATTAGAAAGTAAGATTAGGGAAGGTGCATATTCAATCTCAAGGTCAAAGAATTAGAGAAAGGTTGGGAGAATCAGAGACAGACATTTTAGTCATCTTTAAAAGACTCTAAGAAAGTTGTAATGAAACCAATTTTTTCTGTAATTTTAAAGAGTGAAGATTCACTGAGTTTCTCTAAACTTTATTTGTCGAGGTTAAAATACAGATAGATAGATAGATAGATAGATAGATAGATAGATAGATGTAGATTGTATTATCAGTACTTCAGAAATCCTATCTCTACTTTCTTCATAGTTTCCCTTCATTTTGGGGTCAGTCTTGCTTTTATATTCTACCTATTAGGTCTAGGAAGAAAGAAATCTATTGAACACACTGATGGAAATTCTTATATGACTATTCCTGAGGGTAAACAATTTTTAAAAGAGGAGTTGAAATAATGAATTCTTAACCTGTATGAATATAACTCTTCAAATTAGATTAAAGGAACACCAGGATATATAAGAGTAAACACAAAACTAGATAATAATTTTGAAGGAATGTTTATGTAATGAAATTAATCATAATATAGATTGTTTATTTCATCCAGAATACCAGATTAGAGAAACTATAGTATCATTTAAGAGGATTTAAAAGGCAAAGTTTGGAATCTCACGGAGCAGGAGTTCACAAAATGTGTTAAAACATGTATAACGTCAAAAAGTTTTGCAGATCTCACCTAAAAATAATTTGTTTCTTTCTTTTTTTTTTTTTTTTTTTTTTTTTTTTTTGAGAAAGAGTCTTGCTCTGTTGCCCAGGCTGGAGTGCAGTGGCACGATCTCAGCTCACTGCAAGCTCCACCTCCTGGATTCACGCCATTCTCCTGCCTCAGCCTCCCGAGTAGCTGGGACTACAGGTGCCTGCCACCACGCCTGGCTAATTTTTTTTTATTTTTTAGTAGAGACGGGGTTTCACCATGTTAGCCAGGATGGTCTCGATCTCCTGACCTCGTGATCTGCCCTCCTTGGCCTCCCAAAGTGCTGGGATTACAGACGTGAGCCACCACGCCCAGCCAAAATAATTTCATTAATGGACAACCCAGTTACAGTTAAAGCATTACTGAAAGCGTCAATATTTTTCTGAGTTTGTATTGAATTAACCCAAGTTATACTGGAAAAATAGTAAGAAAATTTCGTGTGAACTGTTTTTATTTTTTTCAATGACAAAGTCCTATGCAAATAAAAATTTGAGAGCTTTAACAACTTTACAATGGTCAAGGTCCCTGAACATTCCCACCCCAAATATCAACTTGTCCACCCACATGTTTATGGCTCAACATCCAAATAGAAATAATGTATATGAATATATGGTACAGTTATAAACCAATGAAAAATAACTAATGAAACAACAGGTTGTTAACATGTTAAAATATTGGGAGGCAGAACAAATGTAGGTAGCCCATAGGTTATGAGGAAATTATTCTCTTAAAGTATATTTTAAAACTACTCTAGAACTTGAAAATCATCTTCTTGTGGAAACAATGGTGGTTAGGTTGTCACAGAGGCAATTTCTCTTGTATACCTCCAGGACAATTTATTTCTCAAATTCCATCTGGGAGTCCAGAAATACACTTCAGCCCCTGCAGGAGAATGACTAATAATCTATTTTGGTAACTGTGTAAACAGTAGGATTTATATACATTTCTGTGCCTAGAAATTTGTTTCCTTAATATTTGTGTAAGGAGAAGCAAGCTTCAATTCACTTCTTGGGGTCTTACACTGCGCATGCCTATGAGGTGGGTGTAAGAGGTCAAGTTTGCTATGTTTGCATAACAAACTACCTGTGTTTCAAAGTAGTCTTAATTGTTCTTTGTTCTTGCAGCTGATTAAGTTCAAATAGCTCAAATGTATGCTAAAGAATACTTGTACTGAATGAAGCATGTATCATGAGAGATGAAAAGTCCTGACACTATAGATTTAAATTTTCTGGTTTTCCAAAGGTACAATATGTGGTCATGGTGAAACCTTTCTGCCAGTACATTTTAATTCTGATAGGAAGGCATGGCCCTTGGAAGTTGGGACAGAGTTCATTGTCCACAGAATTTTACACTTGGCTTTTGTCCTGAGATCTCCAGCAAAGGCTCTTATTAATATCAATTTTCCTGACAGCTTTTATAATGTGGACACATTAATACTAGGAACTGGACTGTGATTACTGATATAAACTACTAAAGTGTTGTCAGAGAGCAGTGACTTTGGATCATTTACAGAGAATTTAATGCAGTGAAGAAAATTGACCTCATCAAGAATTTAGCTTGTGTATGAAGTAAGGAATACATTTATTACTTCATACTAAAAAGAAATGATTTGGGAAATAACATGATTCCATGGTTCTGATTGACTTTTGAGTATGAAAACATGGGATTTTCTCCATAATTTCTATTGATGTGTGTGACCTCAGGCAAATAATTTTCTTGGCTATTTCTTGAATATCCTATCAGAAGCAAGGTAAATCATGATTATTTAAAATAATGTGTGTAATCCTAAATAAAATATCTTACCTTGATTACAAGGCTTAATGATGCATTTTCTTTCTAAGACCTGTGGCAAAACATCGTTGTATTCTTAAATGAAAAATAGATATTTTTAAGTATTCCATGAACATAAAAATATAGTAATACATGAAATAGCTTTCAAATTCCCATTATTTTGTAAGTATTCTTCATTGTTCAACAGCTTTTTTTTTTTTTTTTTGAGATGGAGTCTTGCTCTGTCGCCCAGGCTGGAGTGCAGTGGCGCGATCTCGGCTCACTGCAAGCTCTGCCTCCCAGGTTCACGCCCTTCTTCTGCCTCAGCCTCCCGGGTAGCTGGGACTACAGGTGCCCGCCACCATGCCCGGCTAATTTTTTGTATTTTTTAGTAGAGACGGGGTTCCACCGTGTTAGCCAGGATGGTCTATGGTCTCCTGACCTCGTGATCCCCCTGCCTCGGCCTCCCAAAGTGCTGGGATTACAGGCATGAGCCACTGTGTTCGACAACTTTTAATACAGTATGTGAATATATTCTTAGGTTTCTTGTCATAAAAACTCTGAGGTTCAACTTAGTGATTCCTGGATCTACTGCAAAGAGATGGGCTTTGCCTTCTCTGACCATAGAAAAAAGCAGAGAATTAATCTAAGATCCAAGCCGCTATAATTACTAGAAATCCCAGCCACTTACATGCTACTAGTCCTCTCTTTTGCCAATTGAAGATCCCTCCAACAGACAGACATCCTGACACTAAAGGAGGTGAAGCAATACAGATTTGGAAAAATTGATTAATTGGCATGAAGAACAACTAAACCAGTAAATTTTTTTTTAAAGTTTCTATCAATTACCAATTTTGTCTATAACCTAACACCTTTTTATAATCTCTACTTCTGTTTGCTGCACAAATTCCTACAAAATCAGATCTTTGTCTTGGATGAAACCACCAAAATAATTGTTACTGTGTCACCTCTGGTTATTCTTTATTTCACTTATTTAAGGAGTTTTGCATTATAATATTATTGACATGAAGGGAGTTACACTATTCAGACAATCAGGAGTAGCTATGTCAAACATAGTGACTGCCCAAACACCAGTTTCCATTAGTGAGACCTTGTGTTCTTGGCTCATCCCACTTATCCTTGTGCATGCTCAGAAGCGTTTTAGTAGCTATTTTGTGTCTCTTTGTCTAGGAACATCTCCTTGACCAAGGCAACTTCACCGAGTAGACCTGACAACCATGGCTTAATTTTTCACCAGGCCATATTGACCCAAACTTTCCAGACTAGTAAATTTTATTCTCATTATTTCAGTAGAAAAGTAAAAGTAATCTCAATCTCATTAAATTTAAAAAGAACCTTGACCAAATGCAACAATTATTCTAATTCTTATACATCAAAATTATAGTTTCATTTTCCCTAAAATATTATTCTTATATTAAACAATGAAATACAATACAAAAAGAAAAATCCCTTTGCTATTCCATAGGTCCCATTACTTAGTTTCCAGGGAAATCATAAATTATTATTTATTTGATGTAGAGTAATATCAATACCAGGCACATCCTCAAACTCATTGTGCTAAGACTCGCTCTTAGAAATTTAGCATTCTAAGTGGAGTCTTCAAAATAACCTGTTATGGGTTCTTTGCCCTAGCTCTGCTTAAGAGGTTGATACTGGTGAATTTGCACTGTTGTGTAATTTATAAGAATAAACACAATTATATTTACCAAAGTTACCAATAATATAAATAAGAAAATCTCAGTACATATAGTTATAAGAATTATTCTGGAAATAATTCTCTGTTTATTGAAAAAGTATAATGTCAAATCGGCAGTTCTTTTCATACACTTTCCATTTGGTTTATCATATTGAAATTGACTAGTAGGACTTGCTAGATAAATAAATTAAAAAGATGTTTTATACTTCAATTTTTATTTAAAATAAATACAAATTAATGCATTAATAATATCAACAATAGTAATAATCACAGTAAACTACCTGAATTTTGTATTGTTAGCAAATATGGGGAAAAATAATAGCTAAAATATGTTTGCACAGCTCATTTTTTATGATAGTATGCTTAGCATTTTTAGAGTTGCTGAATTAGGACTGCAGAAAACAGATCAATTACTACGCAGCTCAGAGTCACAAGGATAAATGTTAAATCGTCATCTTATAATTGCAGAGATAATTAGGACATGTTTAATTTGATGATTATTGTCATTTCCTGATTGAGCATACAGTGGAAGGATATCAACAACATTTCTCAGTCAGAAACGTATCAACACCCTTTAATCTTTTTTTAACAAGAAGACCCATATATATTCAGGCCAGCATATTCTCTGCTCTTTTGTCCATGAAACAACTGAGAAAAAGAGCAACTCTAAGGCAAAGCTGCAGGTAAGAATACGGAAGGAATGCTATTCTTACTGAGCCCTGAGAGTTCTGTCTTCTCCTATCCATAGTAGATGTTATAAAGAGTAACATAATTGACCAGCTGCACCCTTCATGGTAGAAAAAATAATGTTTTTGGTGTCCTTACACTCTTTCTGAGGGTTTGCTGCCTAAAGCAGAGCTGCAGTTGTATGACATGTGTCAGATCTAAAGTCCTATGTGTAGGAGGGTGTCCTGGGAGAAAGGAACAAGAGCCACCCTTAGCATGGAAATGACCTGACTGGAATTTGTGAAGCCTGCTTCTCATTCGAGTTCCTCTGGCTTTTAAAAGTAACACCAACCCAAATGTCCAACAATGATAGACTGGATTAAGAAAATGTGGCACATATATACCATGGAATACTATGCAGCCATAAAAAATGATGAGTTCATGTCCTTTGTAGGGACATGGACGAAGCTGGAAACCATCATTCACAGCAAACTATCGCAAGGACAAAAAAACCAAATACCGCATGTTCTCACTCAAAAGTGGGAATTGAACAATGAGAACACATGGACACAGGAAAGGGAACATCACACACCAGGTCCTATTGTGGGGGTAAGGGGAGGGGGGAGGGATAGCATTAGGAAATATACCTAATGTTAAATGACAAGTTAATGGTGCAGCACACCAACATGGCACATGTATACATATGTAACAAACCTACACGTTGTGCACATGTACCCTAAAACTTAAAGTATATAAAAAAAAAAAGTAACAGGATATTGTCCTTTGACAGGTGACAAGCCTAGCTGCTGGCAAAAAAATGAACCGGAAGTAAAAATAATTTTCTTTCCTTTTCCACCGATGGAGATCTTTTGTAGTATCTTGAACTTATGAACTGAGTTAAGATGGAGATGAGTAATAGATTTTGATTTGTTTTAGGGATAAGATAATTAAGAATAAAAATACTGCTATGTTTAAAATGACTTGATAATATATACATATGTGTACACACACATGAATGTGTGCACACTCACACTCAATACATTTAATTGAAATTGTTTGGGAGTAAAAATAAGTTTGGCAGATCTTACTTCCTATGTGTCTAATCTGTGAGCTGCCCAAACTGCAGACGACAGTAAATACACTTTGGTCATGACAGTGATTTAGCTCTTTTGGGGTTTGTCCACTATTTCATACTAGTTAAATCTGAAGTCTGTAATTGTAAGACTAATATGTACATCTAGCAAAATAAATACAAAAATATTTAATAATCTTTTCCCTTACTAATGGTTTCCCATTGTAATTAGAATGAAACCAGCCCAGAAGGTCAGTTGTGAACTTTTTCTGTCTCCCTTCTCCCGCAGCACCTCTTTCCTCCCTCCATTTCACGTCTATGTTCTCTTGCTTTCTCTGATGCAGTCACATTGACATTTTGCCCATCAAAATGGCCAAGGCCATTCTCTCCTCTGCCTGGAATGTTCTTCAGATCCAGGTATGGCCAGCTGCCTGTCAGTCACTTCTCACCTTCAACAGTGCTTACTCCAGGGAGGCTTCCTGCATGACCTATCTAAAATTTCCCCAAACCTAGCCACTCTCTAACATAAACTTTCTCTTCTAGATGGCACTTATCCTCTGAGAGCTGATTTACTCATTTTATTGTCCTATTTCCTGCACGTTCAACTCCACATTTGAGCTCCATGAGGGAAAGACTTTGCCTATCTTTTTTTACTCCAGGGATCTCATAGGGTGAACTCTCAAATAATGATGAATCAGAGATTTGATCACATGCATATCTGATATTTCCTAGAACAATTAGTTTCTAATCAGGAGTTTTTATTTTTGAATAAAGAAGTCATAGAAATAACAATGATTTCATAAAACTGTGGTAAATATGTGATATTTCATTCAAATAAGATGTGATATTTCAAAGTAACCTACAAATCATCCCCTCCTATTTTAACTCAACACAAAGCTTTAAGGATTATAAAGGTACATACACATCTTGTACCACGATTCAAAATACTTTTTTTCTGTTCCAGAAGAAATTGGTAACTACTATTTATTACATTCAAGCCATGTAATAAAACAAATAATTGATCTCATAGTTTTTTTTTTAAACAAAAAACAATAGGGCAACATATATTCAACTGGATAAAGGTAATCAGCATTGCCAGATGCAATTTTAACATTTGCTTGATTTATTTCCATGTCAGACTGTGTTTATCTATGTCTGTTCTAGGTCTAAATAGCATAAAAGACAAATTAATGCAAGTGTCTTTAAACCTTAGTTCTCTTTAAGTTAATCTAATTGTAATATATCCCATTCCTGTCTTTAGAACTCCAGTCTGCCTGCAAAACACACCTCATCCTTTGCATGAAATCCAATCTCCTCAATGATTTCAGTGATGTGGAGCTGATCATATCTGTCCCCTTAATAATATAAATTAATTCTCCTTGTCATTTTTATGACAAATTCCTTATTGTAGTGCAAAATCTATTCAAGGCTTGAACCTCTCTCCCTCACATGTCCTTCTTCAAACCGTAGCATTCTGACCACCCTTCATGCCCTGGACTCTATGTATCTGGAAATAGTATTTATTCTGTCCTAGCATGTTCTACCAATTCTCATCTCTCCCAGATTTGTATGACTAATTCCTAGTCATCATTTGAGCCTTAGCTCTGTTATCTTGAGTGTGTGTGTGTGTGCATCCTTCTCTGAGCCCTGTAAGGACTCTCTCTAATAGCCTTTACATCTTTCTAACAAAGCTCCATTGCATTGTTTAATATTTGTCAGTTTGCTCTTCTATCTGCATCATTGGATTTTGAAATTCTTGAGCAAAAGAGAGTTTTTCTTCTTTCTTTCTTTCTTTCTTGCTTTCCTTCTCTCTCTCTTTCTCTCTCTCTCCCTTCCTTCCTTGCTCCTTTCCTTTCTCTTTCTTTTTCTTTTCTTTTTTTTTTTTTTTTTTTTAGATGGATTCTGGCTCTGTCATCCAGACTCTAGAGTGCAGTGGCACGATCTCAGCTCACAGCAACCTCTGCCTCCCGGGTTCAAGAAGTTCTCCTGCCTCAGCCTCCTGAGTAGCTGGGATTACAGGTGCATGCCATCACGCTTGTCTAATTTTTGTATTTTTAGTAGTGACGGGGTTTCACCATGTTAACCAGGCTGGTCACAAACTCCTGACCCCAGGTGATCTGCCCACCTTGGCTCCCAAAGTGCTGGGATTACAGGCATGAGCCACTGTGCCTGACCTAAAAGAGATTTTTTACTTATATGTTACTTCCCTAGCATAGTACTTGAAACATGATAGATTTCTCATTAATATATTTTTGAATAAATTGGCAAAAAGATTTTAAAAATGAGTAATTTTGAATTCAATATTGTCCTTTAAGCTCCTAGAAGGTAGCTACTGTTGTATCTGGTTCACTGTATCTATTGGATCTAGCAGAGGTCTGGCACATGGATAGAGTTTAATAAATACATGTTAAATAAATGGACAGATTTAACCTTAGGCAATACACAGTTATGATTATACAGTTCAAGTGACTCCCTCAATGTGGAAAGTCTATCCATTAGGATAGCAAAGTGGCTAAAGTGTAAAGTCTGCATTTGGGGCTAATTACTTGATCTTTTTCTAAAGTTAACTTGTTTTCAATATTTGTAGAATTTTTGGAAGATTAAAGATGGAGGTCAGTATATAGCTTTTGGTCTATGGTCTGGCACTTAAATGACCAATTGAGGTAAGATATTATCAATGCTACTTTTACTGTCACTTTTCTTCTTCCTCCTCCTTCTACCTGCACTGATAGATGAGAAAGAGTTAGAAACTTTTAAATGATAAGGATAAAGAAGAAACAATGGGGATGATTAATGATCAAAGATACTACACTTTTTTAACTTCTCTGAGTAATGCCTTCACAAAGTCACAAGTACACCATTGTATTTTGATATATAAATGCATTATGTATTAGAATTAGTATATTTGCAGTACATCTTTACAAATGGAATACCACTAAGTTTAGCCAAATGTAAATTTTAATATAAATAGAAAATAACCAGTGACAGTAGTAAATATTGAGAATATAAATTCATATGCCCATATGAATATGAATTGCCAGGCCACCCACATGTCAGCAATGGGATCCAAGAATTCTCAAGTAAAATGCTTACTGCCTCCAGCCTCAAATTCATGACATTAATTTTCTAATTAAACATGCTTGTCTCATGCATTTTGTGTTGCTACAGTCTGATTCTGCACTAAACCAGTTCAAATTGTTTTATGTTTTCGGTCTTGATTCATTGATATGCATTAGACAAAATGCTCTTTTCCTTTCCGGCACAGCTAGATATCAAAGCTTTCATTTGTATTCCACGCAGTTTGGGTAGCAATCTGGATTTTCTGTCAACATTCCATGATATTATGTTCACGAGACTCATTCTCCAGAATGTCAGGGATATTTATAAGCTTGACTGGCAAGAAGGGCCTACGTGACTTTGACAGTGTTCTAACAAATGTTTGTGGTATTTACAAACGAGTCATCTCATAGGCACCCAGCCATCACACAAGCTGATTGCTCATTGGGCTTACACAGTGATGATAATAAATAGTCCGTGTATAAAGAAAGGTTAACACAAACTTTGCTATAGTCATGTAAATTGCACTACAATATTTTGAGATACCTATACTTGAATCGCTAGCACAGATTTTGTGTGTCCCCTTCCCCCACAAATAGCTAACTTATTATTTATCTTAAAAGAAGTACATTCTAGATAAAATTATAACATGAGAAAAGTACTTATGATCTCTTTTCTCAGTTTCCTACTCTGACTTACGTGAATTCCCTAGGCTGGGAAAGAAAACTATAGGTAAAAGGAAGGAGTTTAAAGGAAGCTTAAGCTATCGCTTCAGCCTTCTACATCGGGTATGATAAAGTTCTCTGAACTACAAGGTAAGTCTGTTATCGGGAGGGAATGGAGAAGGAAGACGTTGAACCCATCAAAAATCCCATCACATATATTCTTCTATTTTTGCATATGGAAGTTGACTCTCATGACGATTGCTACACTAAACAAATTGCTAGAACTTTCCATTGATCACTTTTTCTTACCCTACTGTACACTCTTTCCCCTCTTACACCCAACTTGTTGGCTCTCTATTAGGGCCTTTAAATGATGTCTCTATTTAGGAAAAAAATTTTCTTTTTATTACATAACTTTCAATGATTCTTTTCAAGAACAAACTTTCCTTGGTCTTTCCTGGTCTACTGATATCAGGAAAGTCTAAGAAACAATGGTAGTAAAAAATATAACCTCCAGATCTGAATAAGATATAAGAGAACAGTGTTTTTACCAAAAGGAAAACATAATATGAATATATGAAATATCAAGATTAATATATCTTACATTATGGTAAAATAAATATACTACTTTACATAGCAGAAAATAAAATAGTTGAGCAAAGGATAGATTTGATAAACATATCCAGAAAAGTAAAAAAATGTTTAGAAAGGTGGGATTTATGAAGAAATTAAATTTTATATCAGGACATATGTCGTGTTTTAAAATTTAAAACATTTGATGTCTCTGGAACAGATAATAAAACAAAAGAAGTAAAGATATGACAGAGCAAATATTTCCTTTTCTAAGAAAACCAAGAGACATGTCTAAAACCAGTATACAATGTTATAAGTAAATTTTGTCCAAACAGTTCCAATAATAGAATAGAGATATAGAGATATTATTATATAATTGATATTATTATTAGATACAATAATGTAATAATCTCTCAAGCACACAAAGAAAAGTGAACAAATAAGCAAAGGCAGCAAACAAAATAGGTTTCCTGTGAAAGAATAAAAGTGAAGATGGTTGAAGACTGCTTTATGACTTAAATGCACCAAGAAAATGGAGTAAACTCTAATACTTAAAAAGCTTCGGTTGGTGTGGAAGCCATGATATAGTTCATGCGTAAAGGCAAAAAATAAAAAGATATTTTCAGATAGACAAGTTTCATGTATGTTTCATGTATGTTATTAGAATTCTGAAAGATGAGTCAAAATAGGAAACTCAAAATTGGGAAGTAATGGCTACAAAAGACTAGACCCAAATAATGAAAAGTTTTAAAATATAGAAATAAGAATGAATAGGGTTTCACGCTCAGAAATAAGAATAAATAGAGTTACAAGCGCAGGTGTTCTTTAAAGTGTGGTGTGTGGGGGTATGTGGTTGTATGAGGTTATGGGTGTGAGCATGTGTATGTGCCTCATACATGGCGTTCTTTTTGGCAAACGTCTCGACTTCCCCTGCAGCCTCTTTCTACCATAATCTAGACTAGGATACCTCTTCTTTCACTTTGTCTGTTAAGTGGCTGCCATCAACTTTCTGTTTTCCACAAGCTTTTGAAAAATGTATTCTATTAGTGCAACATCCTTTCATTTTTCTTCTTTCAACAGATTTGTCTTCGGTTTCTTCACTTTGTTCCACAGGAATCCTGAGATAGATGGGGAGCAATCCCATTTGTAAACGTGCAGCTATTATGAACAAGCTAAGGCTTCATTTCTTATGCCCTAATGCACATCCTTCTCTGTGTCTGAATTTACAGCTCATTGTAGCAAATGAAACTGATATCAATTTGAGGCATTAAAGTTTTTAATTGAAATGTAAAATTATATAAAGGATATCTATCATTGAATAATCCATTTTACTTTTTTCAAATTTTTATTTTATAAGAATGAATTTATAATGACATAAGTAATTATTAAAGTTTACTCTCTAATTATGACTGCTATATTGATAGAAATTATATTTTAAAAATACTTTAGTTATACTTAAGACATATTTGAATTTAAATTGTCCCTAAATCAACAAAAGGATGATTTTACCTTTTGCAATTCTGTCTGCATCACATTTATTCGCGTATACTACTTTTACATTACGAAAATTTATATCCAGATACTCAAATTGGGTATTTCATGGGAAAGACTATGATACTGGAAATCAGAACTTTTGGGGTTTAATTACACATTTTCAATCTCTGTGTGAAGTGGGCATATTCTTTAGCCTCTCCATACTACAATTTTCTAGTTTGTAAAAATAAAGAACCTGAAGTAACTGATTTGTTGGATCACTTTCTGGTGTACATTTTTCCAAAATTTAGGAAAGTAATTTGGTAAGTGTAATATATTTTGTATGGAATTTTAAACAAGTTTTTATGGTTTAATCAGCATTAACCTGGTTTTATGACTACCTGTGTTCATGTAAGAAAAATTTTGCAAGAAAAGCTAGCTAAGGAAACATTCCTTAATTTAAAATTAAAATATAGGGAGGAAACAATAAAACATTAATGAATAACCTAAGAAATGGACTGCATAGAAATAAAGAGTGCTCTCTAGTTATGTCTCTGGAATTTATTAGGAAAGGATGCAAATATGACCAATGGAAAGCAAGTTCTACTGTATTTCATTCAATTTTTAATATCTATGTATGTATTTCAGGATACCATGGATTTCAAAATTAAAATGTAATTTACATGTTAATCATAATTTGAAGATATTTTAGGAGGATAAACCATGAACCTCTGCATTAATGTCTTAGGAGTGAAATAAATTTTTCCCTGTTTATGTCTCAGGGCTAAGTTTTCACACGTAGAACATACCACGAGGGATCTTTCTTCTTGAAGGAATTACAGGTAAAGTGAAACTCTTATAGTGCGTACCTGAATTCTGGGTCCGATAATATGAAGTCTCCAAGGGGTAAAGACTGACATTTCAAATCTACTCCAGATAGGTGGGGCATGATTAGACCTTTATGTATGTGTTCCTTTTCTTTTGGAAAAACTATGTTTTGGTCTTTTGGAGATGAATATTTAAAGCTTGGGAAGTCTGGTATTCTAGAGGCAATGTACTTCTGTGGGACATGATTGAACAGTTATAATTTATAAGCAGAACTGTATCCTTCTAGTGTGTACATTTTAAGAAAAGAAAATTATTTCCCCCCTTAAGAAAATCATGAAAATTTCTCTGTGCCTAGAATAAAATAAACACATTTCTTATTCTTATAGAGTTGTAAAAGGTTGAGGTCCAAAAAGCTGCTACCATTATATAAGAAACAAAGGGCCCTACATTCAAGGAAAATGTGATGGTTAATTTTATGTCAACTTGACTAGACTACAGGGTGCCTAGATATTTGGTTACACATTCTGTGTATGTCTGTGAGAGTTTTTCTTGATAAGATTAACATTTTAATTGGTGGACTAAGTAAAGCAGGTTGCCCTCCCCAGTGTGGGTGGGCCTAATCCAATTTATTGAAGGCCTGAATAGAACAAATAAATGAGCAAGAGAGAATGCCCTTTCTCTGCCTGATGATCTCAAGCTGGGACATTTTCTTTTGTCCTCATACTCAGACTGGAGCTTATACCATCAGTTCTCCTTGTTCTCAGGCCTTTGGACTATAGATCTTGGGACTTCTGAGCCTAAATATTCACATGAGCCAATTATTTATTTTTAAAAATGCACTCTATCAGTCTACCTTTCTGTCTCTAAGTATATAAGTATATAGATACATATATTATATACACACATATATGTATATATATCTCTCAAATACTTATATGCATGTATATATACATATATATATAAAGAGAGAGAGAGAGAGAGAGCATTTTTAAAAATAAATAATTGGATCATGTGATTATGGAGGCTGAGAAGTCCCAAGATCTGCAAATAAGTATATATATATATATATATATATATATATATATGCACACACACATGCACACACATATATATGTATGTACTTATATATACACATATATGTATATATACATATGCATATATAAGTATTTCAAAGAGATATCTACATTATGTATATTTGTGTAGATATATATACACACACACACATATGTAAGTATATATATATGTGTGTATATATATATATACTCATATATATATACTTATATATATGGGAGCGCAGGAGCTCCTATATTTCCCCACTCCTGGAAGACTCTTGGTCTGGGATTATGCCAAGAATCCAGAGGTGAAAGGGGTCAAAGTAGAAAAAGGTGGTGCTGCCATCCAGGTCCTCAAGGAGCCTGAAGTGTGCACAGACCCTGTCTGGACATGGGCATCTGCATCTACAAGGAGGGGCAGGTTGTGCCTCTGAAATCGGATGTTGAATACCCCAAGATGCTGGAGGAGCTGAACCCCAAGGGCCGGTAGTACTGGCAGCTGCTGCGGAAACAAAGCATGGGGCACCACCATTGGCTGAGCAAGAACAAGAATTTCTAGTGGGGATGGGCATCCCCCACCCCACCACTGAGGACTTTTATTTTCCCAGAGAACACGGACTTTTGCAAGACTAGAGGCTGCTCCCCAGCCTGGGTCTCCCTGTGGCCCACAATAGGGCTGGACCAGGGCCCTAGAGGCCAATAAAGGCTAATCTGTGTTAAAAAAAAATAGTATGTGTATGTGTGTGTGTGTATATATATATATATATATATATGTATTTGAGATATATATGTATAGACATACATGTTTATAGTTGTATATATATGTGTGTGTATATATATACACAGACACATACATATATCTGAGAGGATAATATCTCAGCCATCATATAGATATATGCATACGTCTGTATATACATATATATCACATACTTATATGCATATATACCGACAGAGAATGATACAGAGATGGAGTATATATATGTGTATCAATACAAAGAGGTGTGCACAGAACCTGTCCAGCTCACATGCATCCCATGGGCATCAGCATCTACAAGGAGGGAGATGAAATGTATCTTGAAAATGAATGTTTGCACAGGAGTACTACTTCTAGACCTTAGGTGACAAAATTCGAAAAAGACCCATTCTCCTATATTTGTACAAAATCTACCAGCACCACAGCATTTATGCTTGCAGTGGTCTTAGGGGAATTGAGAGCCTTCTTTCGTGGAATTCAGTTACGCATTCTCAAAGAAGACATTGGAGAGAGCGTCAGAGACCTGATAGCTTGAAGAGGAGACCTGGTTAGAAAAATTTTAGAAGTTGAAATACAACTTTGGGGATTCTCAATAATAATTGGAAGTCACTAAAAGAGTACCTGAGTCTGCAGTTTTGGTAATATTTTCTTACTTTGGCTATAAATGTAAATGGAACTTAAGTGTATCATCTTCAAATGTAACAATTATACATGAACATGGGTGACTGCTTATCTCATTTTATCTGAAACCTTTGTTGCCTCTTTACCTTTTTCTGTCAAAAATGCAGTCATACCAAATGCTTCCAGTGAGTTTACTCACATTGTGAAGGATAAGCAGTTCTTATCTTGAGTGGAAACTTAAATTTTCTTTAGTAGCCAAGTGAAGGCTGCAGACTACCTTTGCTTAACAAAATGAAAAGGGGAAAAATTTACTTATTTGGAGAGAGAGGCAAATATTCAAGGGCATTATTTTTATCAAGATATTTCTCTCTCATGCTACAAATGTAGCAAGTTAATCCATAATGCTTCCTCATTAGGGAAAGAGCAATTAAAAATAACCACAACTGCATAACTGCACCTCTGTTTTTAGATGCCTAATTACAGAACCTCTTCAGGGCTATAGAAATGTCAGCTCATTAGAACACAGTTTTTTCTTATTTTAAGCAGAGTACGACCAATATAAAAGGGGCCATCTTAAAGCTAGGCATTTGTCATGACAGGACATATGACTAAATTATTATTTCCGAGTCCTTAAATATATGTTGATACTAATTCTGGGTAAGGTTTATTGCTTATGGGAACAATGTGAAGGATAGGAAGGAAAAGTAAATCTAATGTTTAATAGGATAATATCAAATTTATACTTTAAGAAAATTACTATATGACTTCATTTTACAAAGATCATAAGTTCCCCTTTACTCATCTAAATAATTTGAAGCTTTTCTGCAGTTGGGTAGTATTTCAATTAGGCAGCTGTTTTCTTCCACTACAATGCTTTAATATCTTTACTATGGATGCTAATGAGAATGAGTAGTATTGGGGACTTAAATCCAAGAAAAAAAGTCTCACACTGTTTTCCATCTGGCATATGCATGAATGATTCTATCATGAGCCCTCAGGAAACCAGTAAAGGCAGGTGATGGACCCAGACACTTCTTTCATCCTGGTAGAGATGCTGAATGGAATTATCATAACTGAGTAGTATCTAATATTAATGCTCCCCAAATTTTTTTCTTATCATAACTATGAGTACGTTATTCCAGTGAAATGTGCACGTTCCTACCTCTTTAATGTTTGTTTGACTACTATTGTTTTCTGTGTGGAAATAATTTCAAAACAGGATCTCATTTTTCAAATAGTACAGGAGTAGCCCCCAGATCACAGGTGACAATGGTTACAAAGAACAGCTTGAATAAAACTTTAGAACTGCTGTGTAAATCACTTGATGTCTGGCAGTCTGGTTTCTTGTTCCCATCTTTCCCAAAGAACTGAGAGGCCTTAAACATTTCCTTCTTCCACTCTGGATCTTGTTTTTCTCCAATGTAAAATAAGACTTGATTTCCATAGTTTCTAAAGGTCCTTCCAGTTGTGACATTTAATGATTTGATTTTAAGAATTCAGTCTCTCTCAGCTGTCCATGGAATTGCACTTTCCTTTTGTCCTCATTAAAGTGACTTGTACTGCCACCCTCTTCTTCCACTAGTTGCATTTGAAGAGCAGATAAGAGCAGAGGTCTGTACTCCCTCCTAATCAAAAGGAGTTCTGCATGTTCTGTGAGGGGGACAAGAGGATTTTGCTTTCTTGGTATTAGTATGAGAGTATAAATATCTATTTCCACTGGTCATCTGTGATAGCTAGTAGAGTGAGTGAATCATATCAGGATTTTCTGTCAAAGTGACTAACAAGGTCTTCTAGAATATCAAGTGGGATTTTTTCCTGTTGTCCTACAATTGATACCATGGCCCAAAGCTGAGCACAAAATTACCAAGTACCCAAAAGTATAAGGTGAAAACCCCACAGCAGGTCAGACCAGCCAGTTTTCCTTGGGATTAATTGAGAGGCTTAACAACTCAGCCATCTTTGCTCCTGCCTCCCGACTCAAGCTAACATAAGAAGATGGCTGAGAAAGTTATACTTTCTTAGAGAGTGTAGGGTCCATGGACAAGGGGCCTAAAACCAAGTCCCCCCCGGCCCTCGTCCACAACCCCAAATATCACGTGCAAAGACTAAGGGTACTTGTAAAAAGTGACTGGTATCTTGGTCTCCAGCTTGATGCTTGCTGAGCCTTGGAAACTGCTTATTCACCTGATGTACAGATAAGAGCAGAGAGCGATAAAATGTTCCTGTGACTTTTCAGGGAGCTTGATATTATGGGATTTTAGACCTGATTAATTCTTCTCCCATGCTGTGGGGAAAGGGATAGTATATATTTGAACTTACGAGTGATACGCGCCTCTGATGTAGGGAGGTCTGCACAAGAAAAGATTGCTGAAGCAGTCTGTGTAATAGTACTAGAAAGGGAAGTGGTTTGGTGTTCCAGGGAAGAAAACAGTGAACCATTCCCCTTGCATACGGGGCCCAAAGTAGGAGTGAACAAAAATTCAGCTCTTACCATGGCGCCACATCTACGAGCAGTGGGTAGGGAGGAAGGGGTTTTGTGAAGCTACTGAGATAAACAGAGGCATGCCCAACATGGTGGTGTACACCAAGCGTATACCCATGTGAAGACCACCACCTAAGAAAAGGGGTAAAGATCAATCAGAAGAGACTAAACAAGAGTGAAGCCTTTACCGGCACACCAGGAGACCTTGGCTTTCCCTAGCCTCTCTCCCTGAAACTTTTTTTTTTCTTTGTCTTTATTTATGAGCCCTTTATTTTTTTATTTTTTTTTATTATACTTTAAGTTTTAGGGTACATGTGCACAATGTGCAGGTTAGTTACATATGTATACGTGTGCCATGCTGGTGCGCTGCACCCACTAACTCGTCATCTAGCATTAGGTATATCTCCCAATGCTACCCCTCCCCCTCCCCCCACCCCACTACAGTCCCCAGAGTGTGATATTCCCCTTCCTGTGACCATGTGATCTCATTGTTCAATTCCCACCTATGAGTGAGAATATGCGGTGTTTGGTTTTTTGTTCTTGCGATAGTTTACTGAGAATGATGGTTTCCAATTTCATCCATGTCCCTACAAAGGACATGAACTCATGATTTTTTATGGCTGCATAGTATTCCATGGTGTATATGTGCCACATTTTCTTAATCCAGTCTATCATTGTTGGACATTTGGGTTGGTTCCAAGTCTTTGCTATTGTGAATAATGCCGCAATAAACATACGTGTGCATGTGTCTTTATAGCAGCATGATTTATAGTCCTTTGGGTATATACCCAGTAATGGGATGGCTGGGTCAAATGGTATTTCCAGTTCTAGATCCCTGAGGAATCGCCACACTGACTTCCACAATGGTTGAACTAGTTTACAGTCCCACCAACAGTGTAAAAGTGTTCCTATTTCTCCACATCCTCTCCAGCACCTGTTGTTTCCTGACTTTTTAATGATCGCCATTCTAACTGGTGTGAGATGGTATCTCATAGTGGTTTTGATTTGCATTTCTCTGATGGCCAGTGATGATGAGCATTTTTTCATGTCTTTTTTGGCTGCATAAATGTCTTCTTTTGAGAAGTGTCTGTTCATGTCCTTCGCCCACTTTTTGATGGGGTTGTTTTTTTCTTGTAAATTTGTTTGAGTTCATTGTAGATTCTGGATATTAGCCCTTTGTCAGATGAGTAGGTTGCGAAAATTTTCTCCCATGTTGTAGGTTGTCTGTTCACTCTGATGGTAGTTTCTTTTGCTGTGCAGAAGCTCTTTAGTTTAATTAGATCCCATTTGTCAATTTTGGCTTCTGTTGCCATTGCTTTTGGTGTTTTGGACATGAAGTACTTGCCCATGCCTATGTCCTGAATGGTAATGCCTAGGTTTTCTTCTAGGGTTTTTATGGTTTTAGGTCTAACGTTTAAATCTTTAATCCATCTTGAATTGATTTTTGTATAAGGTGTAAGGAAGGGCTCCAGTTTCAGCTTTCTACATATGGCTAGCCAGTTTTCCCAGCACCATTTATTAAATAGGGAATCCTTTCCCCATTGCTTGTTTTTCTCAGGTTTGTCAAAGATCAGATAGTTGTAGGTATGCGGCGTTATTTCTGAGGGCTCTGTTCTGTTCCATTGATCTATATCTCTGTTTTGGTACCAGTACCATGCTGTTTTGGTTACTGTAGCCTTGTAGTATAGTTTGAAGTCAGGTAGTGTGATGCCTCCAGCTTTGTTCTTTTGGCTTAGGATTGACTTGGCGATGCGGGCTCTCCCTGAAACTTTTACCCTACCTTGAATTCCATGCATAAAAAAGAGACGGGGAAGTGTCCTAGTGTCAAGCCAGATTCTTCCCCATTTCAGAGAGCCATGGCCAGGGAGGTAGCCTGCCTCAAGACAGTGGGGGGAATCAAACTTTGAATTGAATTGAGAATAAAGTTTTAAATGTGAAAACAACCAAATCTGAATAACTGAAATGAGGTTATTCTAGTAACACAAAGTGACAAATTCTGGAATGGAGACAAGCCTTCTCAGTATGAAGGAAGTATTCATTAGAATATAGTTGTTTTATCTGAAAAAATAAAATTTATATTATCAAGACTCCTCCAAAATTCGAGAAAAAATCCAGCTTTTCCCTTTACACAGCTAAGGGTACATTTGAAATGGATCTTACTATTTTACCTTTAAGCCACAGAATATTTTCTCAATATCCCAATTTTTCACAGCTATACCAAGATCCTCTCTCTAAGTTAAAAGATTCAGAGAAAAAAAGAGTTTGAAAGAGGAACAGATTATTTATTGAAGCATGGTAAAAAATCAATTTAAAAAATCTTAAATCCAGGGGTAGAGTATTCTTTCTCTCAGTCTTCCAGATATTTACTCTCATTTTCAATTTTCCTGGCAACTAGATGAATGTACTTAGTCTGGAGCCTACCTTGAAATATCAGACCTTCAAACTACATCAATATTATTAATAAAAGTCATTCCAACTATATCATCTGTATTAATAAATCTGTAATCATCAGATCTGAATAAAGAAATAACTAACCTTGGTAAACTATTTTAAGAATGAAAGCCTTCCATGCATTGAGATTGTTTGTACCTTGACTTAGTTAACTGAATTTTTTTATCTCAAATGTTAAAAATTTAAGTCAGCTCTGTCTCTTTTTAGATGTGTGAGTTTGAGCTTACCAATTGCCTTCTAATTACTTACTGTAGAATTTGGCGTGTAGAAAGTGCTCAACAAAATTGATTATAAATATTGGTGTGATTATCATCAGTAACATATGATTTTGATAGATATCAATATTCACATGTACACAACCTGAGCATAGGTTTATTTCATGCTACATTTATGTATATGGTTTATGATTTCAATCAATTTTGGGGGTATATTATAGGTATGTAAATACAGGTCCTTCTCTGAGTTTAAAGAAAAGGTTGAATTATTTAAATTTTGCACCAACTCCTAACTCATTAAAGTGCTTTCAGATGATTTTGTTGAAAATTTAGAATGTTACATAAAAATGCCATTGGAACAGAATAACATTATTGTTCATGCTGCAAACATCACAAGCAAATATAGAGAAAAGTAGTTCTTTTCTCTCTATTTCCAACATTATCTATAGTACCTATATCCCTGGATTACTACTAATACAGTTTTCAGTTATATTTATATTAAGAGAACATAGTGTAAACCAGCTGGTTGCTTGAGAGATCATAAAACAGCAATAGCAATCTCTAACAGCATCATGGCACTGTTTTTAAGGTAGAGGCTATGGGTTGTAAAAATAGACCTAAAAATTTAGTGGTTTTTACAAAACGGACTTAAACCTATGTCCGAAATAAATCTTGAGCTGTAGTCACATTCCCATGGAAGTGATTGAAATCAAATAGACTAAAAAGTTTCTGAGTTTTCAAAAGAACTGCATTCCTGATGATACCAGTAGCTTTGTATATTTAAAAACAGCAGCAACAACAACAACACATGGTCCCATCCCTAAAGTAATCTCAGACCCAAAACCTACAAAAACAAATTGTGAAATGTGTGCAGTGTAGCCAAATGGATCATACTGTATCTGGTACAACTCACATGGGACTACTTAAACCAATGGAAAAACAAGATTTATTTAGAAGGATTGAAAATTGATATGATTTTGCTCTGTCCCTACTCAAATCTCATCTTGAATTGTAGTTCCTATAATCCCCACATGTCCTGGGAGGGACCCAGTGGGAGGTAATTTAGTCATGAGGGCAGTTATCCTATGCTGTTCTTGTGATGGTGAGTTCGTTCTCTGGAGATCTGGTGGTTTTATATGGGACTTTTCCCCCTTTGCTCAGCACTTCTCCTTCCCGCCACCATCTGAAGAAGGATGTGTTTGCTTCCCCTTCTGCCATGATTGTAAGTTTTCTGAGGCCTTCCCAGCCCTTTGAAACAGTGAGTCAGTTAAACCTCCTTCCATTATAAATTACCCAATCTAGGGCAATTCTTTATAACAGCATGAGAACAGACTAATAAAAAGTCCAGGATTATATAAGACAATGAACAAGAAAGTTCCTCCCCAGAGAGCAGAACCAAGGTTTCAACAAGGAATTTAACTTCATGTCCATGGCTGAAGCACCTCATGGTTCTGCTCTGCATGTTATCAACCAATGATAACTGTTTGAAAGCCATCTTTTTTCTAAAAGGGAGAGTTTTTCAAACTGTGTTTCACTTATGTTTTTGTTTTACTTCTCCATTTGTTTCTATAGTTACCCTATCCTCCACCATTACATATCAGGTACAAAGTCACCGAATCTATTAGTTTATCCATCACTGTACCAAGAGGAACCAAATCCTGACCTGATGAAGATGGGGGCTAGGAATGACTCAGATTTGAGGATGTCAAGGCCTCCTCACCAGCCCTGAACTGCTTAATTCTGGACAGTTATGTTGAAGATAAATGGATTTGTATCTTACATAAGTTAATGTATTCTGGAATCTTTATGTTGTACAGTCTATGCTTAACTGATACAGTCTCCATAGTCTAAGCCAAGGATTTGCAAATTATGGCCCCAAGGTTAAATCTAGCCTGTCACCTGTTTTTGTACAGAAAGCTTTATTAGAACACAGCCATGCTCATTCCTTTATATATGTTACAGCACCTTTTGTGATGCATGTGCAGACTTTAGTACAGATTTAACAAAGATTATTTGGCCTGCTAAATCTAAAATATTTATCTGACACTTGTAGAAAACAATTGCTGACCCCTGATCGAAACTCTAAATGATGTAAGTTGATAGGGAAAATAATATAAATAAGATGCTTTCCCTGCATCGTGATCTATCTATTTTCAAAGGGTTTCCTGCAGTAAAGTAAGGAAAGAGAGCAAGAATAACTACATTATTGACCTTGGTTAGTTTAATGTATATATTTTGATCTCTTTCCTACTTCTTTATTACTATCACAATACTAAGTTTTGCCTTGGCCTTCTCCACAGCTCAGGAGAGAAAATCATCTGAGTCTCACACCAGCTTCAAACAGCCTTTAGCATTTTATGGAAGTGAACAATTTTTGACAAATCCTAATAGGGGAGTTTTTCCAGATAAAGGGAGATAACCTCCCTTATCTAGGACTCTGCCTCCTATTACTTTTACAGTTCCTTTAGTATTAAGTATGACCTGAGAAAATCTCCAATTTTCCAGCAATCGTGCTGGGAACCATTGCTACACCTTGGTCTGAACCTATTGAAACCCACTGTCTTTAAAGTTGTTTTACTTGAACTTTTATGCATCTGGCTACTGCCTCCATTGAAAGTAGCCACAACTTTGTCAAATACAAGCACACATGACCTTGAATCTTCATAACCAACCTGATTTCTCATCATACATGACTTCGCTCCCATTCATTTTTATAATGGTGCCTGTTCTTCAGTTATTTTTCACTTTAAGAAAATCCTGCCATCTGGCCACTTTTTAAAGTTGATTTAACAGTTACAACACTATGTTAACTTTAATAAGATATTCACTTTATCTTTTAAAATCACTGTCACGTACCTAATACTACTGCAAGGACAGTCAAGAGAGTAAACTCCTTGTATAAGCAAATTAAAAGCATTAAATTCTAACCCTCATCAGCACTTGGGAATAATTGCTCCTCTACATTACTAGGGGAAGGCTGAGTATTGGGTTTTCAGCTTTATATGGTGGATAATCTAATGATATTTCATACTGGACTTTTCTAAAGATAATGAGTGCACTATCTGAAAGTTCTTAGCATTTAATTCAATCACTGATAAACTTGATGCTCTATTGAATTTTCCTTGAAAGCTTTTTTAAATATTTACCCTCATGTCTTAAAATATACTTGAATTAATATATACTTAATGTATATATAAAGTATACAACATTTGCCTATATTAATATATGTGTATTTCTATATATAATCTTTTACTTTGTTTCTTAAATATACACTTAAGACTTAACATATGCTTAATAAATAAAATGTAATTAAAGACACACTTTAAACATTATTTGTGTATGATATATTGTAACAAAAATATTCTAGACTTGACTCCTTAAAATGTATTGTATTACATTACTGCAAGTTATATTTTATTAGTATATCTTTAATTTTTTTCTAGAAAGATTTTATGACCAGGATAGAAGAAAAAAAGTGAATACCTTAAAGAAGAAGACAGAATGCATCATAACATAAACTACTTAAAAATAGCCCCATTCCCAGTTGACGTTTGTCCTTCCAGACATTACTCTCTATGAATTTTCAGTATTTTATAGTAGTCCATGTATGCAACTATGTATTCTGCTTTTTAAATTTCCCTGTACAATATTTTATATAAACTATGCCATTTTTAAACTTAAACTTTAATCCCAGTTTGAAAACTTTTTGTGTTATATAAAATATTGAGATAAATTAATGAATGTATTTGCAGAATAAATATTTGTTTATGTCCCTTTTTGTCAGTTTTTTTCTGGTTTGCATTTTAGTTTGTATATGTTTTACTATAGGACCAGAAGTAGAATTATGATTAATATTAAACTGATACTTTACTTAAGTTTAAGAATTTAATGTCCCAGCAAGAAACCCAGGCCTGATGCCAATATTATTGGTATGGCACTTTAAAATTTTGATACAATATTAGCTCTTTGAAAATATTTTTTGCAATATGTATCTGGCATTTTATTTTCTATCTTGGCTGAACAGAGTAGTTTGGGGACTTCAGTTGACCCTGTCTACAATAGTGGCTATTATATGAAAACTACAAGAGGGTCTTCAAAACCACCCCTACTAAGGTTAAGATCAAATTATTGCATTTTGTACCATTGACAATGAACAGGCAGAGAAGTTGGCAGATTTCTGTAGATTTTGAAGAGCATGTACTACAATTGGGAATGTTATTTGCATGAATACATCAGGTAAATTAGGAATTTGAGAATTTTGAGTGAGACCCAATAAATTGAGGTTTCTCCAATAGGTCTAAGTTGTGGTGCAAGATCACATTTGATTCTACAAAAAAAAATGTCCATGTCTGATAAGAATTTCATGTTCAGTCTCTGGCAAACTTAATTGTAGAGTCACAACTCAGACCTCTTAAGTTCTAGAAAAAGGTGAAGAATTATTCATGGAGAAACTGCATGCTATTTGAAAATCAGTTCCTGGCATATTACTTATTACTAATTGAGACTGAAAGTTTGGCCATTAAACATTAAATGACCACATGAACAGAAGTACTCATCACCAAATGGGCATTGCCAGATCCACCAAATCATAATTTTGGGCAGAAGCATCAACAATCCATTGTATGACAAAAATGATACTTTAAAAATTAGATGCCCAGTCTTAGAGCGTGTCCAGAAAATTACATTGATAAGTGGTTCAGAGCCCCATTACCTATGTTGCAATGATCTTTCCTTTCATAACTCAAACTTATAGCCTTAAGGGAAAAACTGAAGCCTATTTTATAGAAAGTAGACATAGCTTGATATAAGGATATATGTGAGCTACTATGTAGTGGCAAATGACTGGCTAGTCAGAACCTAGCGGATACAGAACAAAACTAAAAGATCATAGAAAATGGGTTCTGGAGTAGAAGTAGAGGCATGTAGATGGACCAGCAGAGAGAATACAGCAGAAGGACAATTCCACCACCTGGTGAACAAATGGCTTTTCTAGCGTATGCTAACCAGCCTCTGTGTCTAGCTATAGCATTGTTTGTACAATGGACTCATGAAGGAAGTGGCAATGTTGGTAAAGATGAAGTCAAGAGTATGTGCTTCCCCTCACTGAGGCTGATCCAATGACTGCTATGTGTAATGTTTCATTAGCACTGGGCCCTGAAGGAGAATAAGTTACCATTAGGGACAAATTGATTATATTGGACCTCTTTCATCCTGACCTGGGCAACAGTGTTCCTTGTTGGAATTGATGCCTCACTCCAGATACGAATTTATTTCCCAGCCCCAAATGTTTCTGCAGTTACCACTATCCAAGGGCTTAGAGAGTAACTGATATATTGACATGAAATTTCACATATTATTGCCTCAGACAAAAAGAATCGTTTTATAGTAAAGTATATGCAATAATGGACACATGTCTAAATAAGCCACTGTTTCTACCAAATGCCAAATTACCTGGAAATATCTAGCCAAGGACTGCCACTTAATTAAGGCACCAACTTTGTGGGTGACACTGTGAACGCTGTCCTCCAGGTTTCTATTACATGACTGGCTAACCAGAATCACCAAGTTAGGATGTTTCAACTTAATGATTTTTCAACTTTATGATGGTGTGAAAGTAATATGCATTCATTATGATTCTCAATTTATGATGGGATTATGTCTAGATAAACCATCATAAATGGAAAATATCTTAAAACACACCCCATCGTAAGTTGAGACACAACTACATATTTATGAAAACAGCCAATATATGCTGCTGTGTCCTTTATATGTAGAAGGAATGGTCTGGGAACCAAATAATAGAATTGAGATTGGTTTCTTTAACTCTTAGTGACCCACTGTTAGAAATTTTGCTCTGCTTCTCCACAAGCTGAAGCTTTGCTGGTTAGAGATCCCAGTTCCCAGCAGAGCAACACTGTCTAAATCAAAACCTGAGGCTTTGTATGTTCTAAATATCTCTTTTAGATCAACAGGCCAGAAAGGAGTTACTATACTGGAGAAAGCACAGGATTCTCACGATTAAGAGGAGATAGGTTTACTGCTTCTTAGAAGAAGCAGGGAAAAGTACATCTGAAACATGGAGAATTCACAGAGGGGTCTTTTGGTGTTTCTGTAGCTGTAATAGCAGTGAAAGACAAAATGTAGCAACCACAGCTGAACAAGGCCAAGGAAATCAAAGCTCTGCCTATCCAAGGGTGAAGGCATGTGTTGAAGTCAGGCAGCAATTGAGGTCACCTGAAGGACTCGCTAAACATGAGTGAAATTTAGAAAGAGTCATGGCAAAGGGAAAGTATAACATAGACTACAAATTCAAGATGGATATAGATTATAAACTCAAGATAAGTTACAGAAATCTGAGTGATAGCTAGAAACTACCAAGTTATGGTTTTTATAGTGATTGCAACTTGGTACCTTTTAATGACTAATTAATATAGTGGACTCATTAAATAGGTGGACATTAATAGGGTACTTAATGTGGAGTTTAAGCAGATCTGGTCTTTTGTCCTGTAATTTAGTATTATAAATATTTATTCATATTTTTGCAAGTAGTAACAATTCCTTTTCAGCATTATAAAATATTGTACTGATGAAGTTGTCATTAATTTATGCATTTTACTTTTGTTGAATATATGAGTTTTTTACAATTATGTTTTATTTTACAATTTTTTTCTGTAAACACTCTAATACATAATTTCTGGTAAACATGGACAAAGCATATAGGAAATGAACATACCAGTGGAATTTGTGCATCATAGGTAGAGAAGCATGTATTTTTTTTTTTGAAAAAGTAATGATTTATGTCTACTTTATAGGCATCTCATACAATTCAGCATTTTTCCTGTTATTTTACATATTTTAATTTGATTTTTTAAAAGTGTTTTAGTAGACCTCTAATTTGTGCTTCCAGCTTCTGCCGTGGACTCTTCTATAAATGTATAAATGCATATGGAGTGAAAAGAGATTTTAGTTTTACACATGATTAAACCTGAAAGATTGCTGGTAATAACTCTCCTTCTTTGGCCAATCTTCCCAGATGCAAAGTGAAATTATCCTCACTTTTCAAGGACAGACACCATGCATAAAACAAAGAGTTCTCAGGCATGAGCAAGTCAGGGCAGCCAACTCCTTTAGGTCTTGAGTAGGAGTAGGAAAAATATTCTTCTCACTTTTCTTTCTGAGCACCTGGTACACAAACCATCTGGACCATAATTCTGGCTGTCAGAAATGTAGGAAATTTTAGGTTAGGTGAATATGTAGTATGTGGGGGAAATAGAAACTGAAGAATACTTCCATGGAGAGTATTCAGAATGTTCTTGCCAGAGTTGCTTGTCATTTATTGTATGAGGTAAATCTATAACTATTTATTTACGTTGAGTTTGGTTTGTTTAGTTACAATATTTTATGTTGCAATAAACTTTTCCAATGGCATTCAACTCCACTAAAAGTTCATATATATTGAATAGTTAAGTACAGAATTGCATTTATTAAGTTGATTAATTTGTAACTGTGCAAACTTTTGATGACATTTAAGGATGGCATACTGATAAACTGATTTCATGAATATTATTACCCACTATTTTTTTGAGAAAATATCTGCATCAGGATTAATTTGAAAAGTTAATATTCAATTTAAGCAGATTGTGCCTGTAGATGACCTTTCAACATGTGCAGCTCTAGAAGTTATGTTTATCATTTTATGATACATGACTTTTTAAATGAACTGTTATTTTAGGATAATACACCTATTCAAAAGTGCAAAAATCATGTCTATAATGAATTTTCACAAACTGAAGACAACCACATATACTCAATTCAAGAAAATATCAAATCTCCCCCTTTTATCTCTTCCAGTCATGACTCCCTTCTTTCCATCAGAAATCACTACTGTGCTTTCCAATAATGTAAGGTTTTTCTCTTTTGTAGAAAAGGGATTATATAACATGAACTCTTAGCATTTCTGAAGAATGACGTTCATTTAGACTAAATGACGACTTTTCTAAATTCATTGTTTTTATTCTTTATTACAAGTTTTCTTACTCATGTGTTAAAATGTAAGTCAACAGGAGGACAAAATGGACTCCCTGTGGCTAAAATGAGATACACCAAAAACGTAATTGAATGGCCAGCAGGGTGAGGTGTTGGTTATCTGCCTCTGTGTTACTAACTGCCACAAGGTTTTCTTTGCTGTAATTAAGCAGAGACCAGTTCCTGAAAAGCATTATCAGACTACAGCAGAAAGGTTTCTTTGCTAACCCCAACAGATCCCCTGATGCCAGCCAATGGAGTGCCCCCACTCAGTGGTCCCATCATGGCTCTCATTGGACAGAGGACCGGCCTTGCAAAAATCCTTTCCAGATAAACAACCACAGACTTCAAGCCAATTTCAGCCAGTTTGTAGAGACTACACACAAGCCATCTTTGTGTCCTATAGTTCACCTTTTGACATAAAGAACCAAATTCTGCCTCATTTGAATGCTAAAACCCCACTCTGAACACAGAATGTTTTACTTATATACCCAACTTCCTTCATAAACATTCGTAGATCTTCCCCAAACCTGCTGAATACATACATAAGGCAGGACCTGTTAGTCATAAATATCAGCTCCCCCTCCCTCCTTGGAGTGCCTATATTCAGTTTTTCCCTGAGGTTGCATGCTCAGATCTGCAGATTGCATTTCCCCCTTCCCCACCCCTCCGCTTCCCCCAGAATTTTCTCCTTTTCCTTCCTCCATGGATCTCATGGTTTTTTGTTAACACATGTATGAAAGATAAAGAAGTAACAGTTAATGCATTGTCTCCATTAAGAGACTCAGTCCTCCAGAGAGGTATGTAATACCGGTCATTTATCAGTTTCATTGGATGTTTCAAAAAGTGTGAAGTCAATTCCAATCACATAAATTCATTTCATAGAATAGTAAAAATGTAATGGTTGTTGATTCTATTGAAAGAGAAATTTCTGAAGTCTTGTGAGTGCCCTGGATATTTCGGTAAATAGTATAAAAGGGTAACATTGTTTTATAGGTAATTAAATAATTATAATTAAATAATTTTGTTGAAGCATAGTATATTGATTTAAAAGGTATAAAAATTAGGAGCTTTGGAGAAGAAATGTACCTGAAGTTAACAGTGATCACACATAATGCATATTTGCATCCTATAAAATACACAATTATGCTAATCAATAGAAGGTTTAGGTTGTGAAAATTTACCATTTTATATATGCTTTTAGTATAGCAGATCTTCACTTTTTCATTTGTGAGAAGTTGATGTTCATATCTCCCCCACCCATACAAACACAAATATCAACAAAGAAGTGTTCATTTTCTTGGTTGCACATTATCATATTTTAAAAATATTTTTTTAAAATTGAGCCTTTCGTGGGCATTTTATAAAACAATATAACTGTCTTATAATGGCATTGAAATTTTTATAAGCAAGTCATCAAATTTTGTTTGGTATTTTGGTTCAAATTAATTTGAACTATTTAATCAAAAGAGTTAATAAATGGAGCACCAAAGACTTCAGTTTGTAAAGCAATTATCTCATTGTAGTTTTGTATTTGTATTCTGTTAATTGTTTAGCATGTCACAGGCTATAAAACAAGGTGATTTGTGTAGCATTGCTTCAGGTGTTGCCCTCTAATACAGGAAGACGTTTTGCATGTCAAATAAAATAACTAATAAAAAAGCCAAATAGTGAACATTGCAAGATAGTTACTTAGTATGTACATTTTTCGATATGCATAAGATAAAATACTTTATTATATTAAACAATCTATGACTATTATAACTACATAGACCTAGCAATAGCATAGTCTTTCATAACCATTTTATTACTATTAAATCCTGAGAAAATCAGTGGCAAAAAATAATATTCAAAACTAGTTCTGAAATGTTTGTGTTATGGCTTTATTGGGCAGTAATTTTATTGTTTCAACTTTAAAAAAAAAATTTAAAAAAGCTTTTCTTTCTCATTCTGTCTAGAGGTAGAATAGAGATCCCACATTTTGCCATTTGGTATAACCTCAATGAAAATGGAGTTTTACTCTCAAATAACATGTAAGTTAAAAAAGAAGTAAATCCTCTCATTGGCAACAACATATATGAACCTGGAGGACATTAAGTGTAATAAACCAGGCACAGAAGGACAAATCACATGATCTCACTTATATGTGGAATCTAAAAAAGTGAAACTCATAGAAGAAGAGAGTAGAATGGTGGTTACCAGGGTCTGAGAGTGGGGAGGTGGAGTTGGGAGATGTTTATCAAAAGATACAAAACTTCAGTTAGACAGGAGAAATAAATTCAAGAGATCTATTGTACAACATCATGACTATAGTTAATAATCAATATATTGCATTCTTGAAAATTGCTAAGAGTATATTTTAAGTGTGCTCATTATAAAAAATAATAAATGCATGATGTAATGCACATGTTATTTAGCCTGATTTAGCCATTCCACAATGTGTACATATTTCAAAACATGTTGTTCACAGTAAATATATACAAATTTTATTAGTCAATTAAAAACATAAACACAAAGAGGAAAAAGAAAAAGAAATGATAACAAACATTTCTACTTAGAACATGTTGAGCTTTGTAGGGAAGAAAATAATATTTATGTCAACTATTAAGAAAGAAAACCAACACTGCAGGGCAGCAAACAAAAGAGACACATTTTAATTGGGGTATTAGGTATTGCAATTGAGGAGACACAGGTATAGCAAGCAGCTAAATCATTTTCCATCAGTATAGGTTGGGCAGGAGCTTAGAAAGGTTTACTGTAAGTTTTTATATCTGAAAGGTTTTAGCAGTCCATGATCAATGATGGCTGTTTAATACCTTAAGTTTTCTTTAGCTAATGATACATCTAGTTCATCACAGCTGTCTCCCCAGTACGTTGGTGATCAGGCCATATAAACAGTTGCAATCTCATGCAGCTGGTTTTACAATTTGGCCCAGTTTAACAGGTCAAATTTCATCCAGGTGTATGCTTGACTGGAGTCCAGCTCCTTAAGCTTTCCCAGCTCTGTTTTAGACATTGCTGGCATAACCGTCTTTTTTGGATTTTCTTTTCACACTTAAAATTGAACCTTCTTCCTCTCGTTTTTGTCTTCCTGCTTTAATCTCATAATTTACTTTCTAGTCCTTCCCTTTTCATTCTCTTCTCTTCCTTTATTTTTACAAAATTTTCTGATTTTTAACCTTCTTCTGTTTTTCTCCTCTCTCTATATCTATATATCTATATCTATCTATATCTATATCTATCTATCTGTATGTCTGTCTGTCTCTCTATTTTTTTCCTTCATGTAGAATTTAGGGAACTTCTAAATTATTTCACTTTCCCAGCATTGATTATCGCAGAAAAGTATTACTCTATGACTGCTATTCTTACTTAGGAAATCTAAATAATTAAAGAGTTTTATCTTAGATAGCATAACTGGAAAGTCAGTAAGTCTTAGTTCTTTCCATTTTCTCATTTGCTATTACTCTCTTCTCTCTGTTATATGTTTTATAAACAGATTGACATGGAATATCATTATAAATTTTCTTGAGGAAGAAAAGAAGTAACAGCCAGGAACTTCTACTTCATAACAACAGTTATTTTTGCCTTTAGGCATAGTGATAATTGTTCAGTCTAACCTCCATTAACTTGTTGGATAATTCTATTGATAAGTTTATGTTTTTTTATTTTTTGACTCAAAAAGCCCATTTTTAATTGAATTATTGCTAATTCATAAAGTTTTTAATATGGTTTAACTGCAAGTCCTTTATTAAATATATGATTTGTGTGAATATTTTCCCATATTCTGTGGCTCATAGTTTTACTTTATTGATGGTATAAATAAACAAGTAAAAAAGATTTAATTTTGATAAAGTCTAGTTTATATGTGTTTGGTACTTTTGCTTTTATCATCATATCTATAAATGTTTTGCATAACACAAGGTCCCAAAGATCACTTCTATAATTTTTTCTAGGACTTTTATAGTGTTAGCTCTTATATTTAGGTCTGTGGTACATTTTAAGTTAATTTCTGCATATGTAGTGAGGGAGAAGTCCAACTTTGTTCTTTTGAATGTAGACAGAGTTCTCCTAGTACTTTTCTATGTGTTGAAAGACTGTTCTTTCTCCATTAGATATTCTTAGTACTTTGCCAAAAATCAATTGACTTTAAATATTATTCTTTATTACTGAACTCTTGATTCTATTTGATTGATCTATGTGTCTATTCCCATACCAGTAACTCAGTATCTTCATTATTGTAGCTTTGTAGTAAGTTTTCAAATTGAGAAGTGTGCATACTCCTATGATTTTTATTTTCAAGACTGTTTTTGACT
Source organism: Homo sapiens (assembly GCF_000001405.40). NCBI lineage: Eukaryota > Metazoa > Chordata > Mammalia > Primates > Hominidae > Homo > Homo sapiens. The sequence continues at coordinate 48,300,765 of NC_000014.9, read as the reverse complement.
ATTCTGGGTGTTTTGCTGTACATGTGAATTTTAGGATTAGCTTGTCAATTACTAAAAAGTATCAGCTGGGATTTTTGATAGTGATTTTGTTGAATCTGTAGAGTATGGCCATCTTAACAATAGTAACTTTCCTGATTCATGAACACGGTATGTCTTTCCATTTATTCTGGACTTCTTTAATTTTTTTAACAATATTTTATTCTTTACAGAGTCAGTTTTGTACTTCTTTTGTGAAATTTATTCAAGTATTTTCTTCTCCTTGGTGCTATTATAAATGAAATTGCTTTCTTAATTTCATTTTCATGTTCTTTATTGTGTGTAGAAATATGATTTTCATAACTGGGCTATTTACTGTCTCTGACACAGGATTTAAATCCATTAGTGTATTTTTTGTTTCCTTGTTCTATTTTATGTCCTACCTTCCATTTTAACCAAAATATGCATCTCAGCTTACTTCATTGTCTTTTTATCTTTTTATTGTCAAATAAAAAGGTCTTTCTAATGTTCCATTGAGAAAAAATAGCAAAATATTTCTTATCTATAGTGTAAGACATATTTTAACTAAATATGTTATTAATTCATTCTATGGTGCTATAAAATGTAATGTAGTCTTTCAACAAATAGAAAAATATGTATTCATATATACTAAGAAGAAAAATATTTGGAATTAGCTTAGATATTCAAAAGGAAGTTTATTCAATTTGTACAGTGCCACTCATCCCTTTTGTTGGTGGCCATTCATCCTGAAGGTCATGACTAATTAATGTGTAGACTATTATGATAATTTCATCCGGATTGTCTTCATTTTCCACTCTCAAATGCTTCAGTGAACTTTGCACAATGTTATCCAATTAGTGTCTTCAAAAGTACCACTTTGTGTTTACTCCACACTCAAAAACATTAAGTGTTTGATTCTTTACTTTCCAACAAAGTCTAAATATCATTTGAATTGTTCATCCCAATATCCTTCAAAATTTCTCTTCTTGCTTTATTTCTATTTATTCAACAATTCAAAATCTTACCTCTTTAAAATATGAATTATCTGTCTCTCCTAAATTTTACCTTCCCTGGTTTACATCTGTTTATATAAATATATTTTCTGTTCACTACAAACCTTTATGTAAAAAATTTTACCAAAAATTTATCTTAAATATTATTCTGTAATATTTCTATTGTGATGACTACAAATTGGATGAGATCCATTTTTTTTCTGTTTTACCTATATCTTTAACTGTTCATATCTCCCTTATCACAAAGTATGCTGTTTATGCCACACTATAAGGTTGGCTTTTAGAAGGCTGTTTTATGTTATTTAATTTTAATTGACTTATGTTATCTCAAACCCACATAAGCCTCCCAAGCTAATTAGAATGTATTGTAAGTGTCAATGTTTGTCTCCTCTTTCAACCTCCTGACCCCTAGATTGTAAAATATTCGAAGTCAGGGCATTTATGTGAGTTTTGACTCAATCTGTTTTTACTTTGATGTATTTTCCAAGTTTTACACAAACTAGTGAAATGAATGTACAATAAATGAGACTTTAATCTTCACAGTCAGTTTTGTCTTGAAAAAGTGCCATTATAATATGTTTCCATTGGTTAACATAGGCTAATAATAGTATGCCAAAATATTTCTCATTATATTTATTCAAGAATAACTAGGAATTTAAGTGATAGAAATATACTGAAGAAATATATTTTACCATTACTTATATCTATTACTTATTATATGAGAATTTTATTTATTTTTAAAAGAGTAAGTAAAAGGCATTAGTTTATTCTTTATAATTGTTTAGCTCTGATAAAGAATAGAAAATTTTTGTGGGCCATCAAAGATATGACATAGGTTCTTAAATAGCAATATTAAAGTTTTGAAATCCATTTGTAAATTTGAAATAATATATTGTTATAATTATAATATAATCTATTACATTTAATGCAAAATCTATTTGCATTACATTTGAAGTAATAATATAATTTAACTTCTATATAAATAAAATCATGCAAAGATAATTTATTCACAATTTCAATTACTTTGAAATGTCAAAGTTTGAAAGGCAAACAATGACATTTATGTCAATATAGGGTTAGTTACATTAAGTTGAATCAACAGCTGTTTACTTAAAAACAAAACAGCAAAATCCAGCTAAAAGACAAACAAATGCTTAATAACATAAATGCCAGAAATATTAAAAAATTATACTATATTGTGCTAGCATGTTTCAGTATACACATCCTGAAAACTTTAAGACATATCTAAGTACGTGTCTATTAACCATATTATCTAGAAATAATTATTGAATTCTTAGCATGCTTGACAATCCTGATTACAATTTTTATAAAACCCTTACTCTAATAAATGTAATATATTTCAAAAATATATGTATATAATGATTTCATATTTCATGCAATATTAATACTAGATTTACATAGCAACATAGAAGTTTATTCATGGTCATTTCCAGACTAAAAATGGCAGCATACAATACTAGCCAAGAGAGGTTAGAGCTGGGACTTAGGTTAGATACAAAAGTGTTTTGCAGGTATATTAAATTAAGTAGTTCAGTGGGCACCCCCAGAAAGGATAATTAAGGGCAGCCTGTAATTATACACATTTACTTAGCACCCAGAAGCAGAGAGCACTGTGGAAGTAGTCAAATTAACGGGATGATAGTGTGCTAAGTGTAATATTTTCTGAGTTTGAGGAGGAGATGGCTGAATTTGAGGAGGATGATGAGAAACATCCATGTAGAAATGTAGAATAGACAAATGGATATGCACATCTGGAATTTAGAATAGATAGTTCAGATGGTCATCAGTATGTAATTGGCAGTTGAAAAAGAGAAGACAATGGGTATCAGAAAAAATAGAGTGAGAAAGAAAAAGTAACTCTGCAGAAGGAATACCAATATGTAAAGGAGCAAAAGAAGAAGAGACATCCACAGAGGAGATTGAGTAGGCTTAGACACAGAAGCAGAAAAAATCAGGAGCATAGGATGTTAAGGAGGACAAAGTTCCACATTTTTCAAGCACTGCTTAGAGAGCAAGACATATATGAAACACAATAAACTGTTTAGTGGATATGGAAATACAAAAAAAATTGGTGATGTTGGTAAGAATTTTAGTGAACTAGAGAGGAGCAGGAATTAAATGTTTATGGACTGAGACACAATCCTGCTCAATGTACCTCAAGTACAAAATATGAAAACCACACTAAGGCTCATCCAATTCAAATTCTTTGAAACCATTTATAAAGACAAAATCTTTAAAGCTGACAGGGTAAAAAGATCTGCACAGGTAAGACAAAGCCAAGGATGAAAAGCAGATTTCTTTTTTTCCAAAAACAATGCAAGTAAGAAAACAGTAGAATGATATGTTATGTTTAGGTTGCCAATATTGGCAACCTAAAATTTATATTTTTTGCAACTATCTTTTAGATATTAAGGTGAAATATAGACATTTTAAGATATATAAAACTTTAAAAAAATCCCCAAAAGCACATCCTTGATACAGAAAGTATGTTAAAAAACTCTGTCTGGCAGAAGAAAAATAATGCCAGCAGGAAACACGGATCTTCAGAAAGACCACTGAAAAAGGAAATTGTTTAAGGAAATTGTTTATGTTCCAGCCATGACATTGCTAAGCCTTTACCTAAGAGAAAATACAGTACAGGTTCATGCAAAGATGTATACATGAGTGTTCACAGCACCTTCCTTCTGATACTGCAAAACTAGAAACATCCCAAAAGTCTATCAACAAGCAAATGGAAAAACAAACTCCATTATGGAATAGTATTCAGCAAAGACATGAACTCATAATGCATGTTTCAACATAATCGAATCTCAAAATAATTACTCCGAGTAAGAGAAACCAGGAAATATAGAGTACATACCATAAAAATGCATTTTTTAAAATTCCATAGAAAGCAAACTATAGTACAGAAAACAAGTTAGTATTTTTTCCCTGGCCCCACATTATTAATTTCAATATAATATGAGGAATCTTAAAAAGAAATTAGCAGGTAAAACACGTACACACACATGCAAATAAAGAACAAAGAAAGTTGTTTGCTTTAAAAAAAAATGCCGTAAATTTTTAGTAGTGCAGAACTTTGAAGTTCAAAACCCAAAGGAAAGGAAAGAGCTTACCATAGATGTTTCTTTGATAAAAATGGGCCACTAAACATAACATCCAAAGAAAAGAATATGATTAACACAAATATTTGGCTGCAATATGTACATAGTAAAATGATTAAATCATGCATAGATGTAAGCATTGAAGTCTTGAATGTGATATTATTAAGATTTTACTTTAACAAAAATTTTATCTATTTCAGAAGTAGGAATGATTGTAATTCACTTCTATGGCTGTTATTCAAAGGGACCTTAAAATGTTCTTGCTCATTTGTTTCCATGGCACATTGAAACCAGATATATATCAAATGAAAAAAATCATGTCTCTCCAATTAAAAAGTTGTACTTGTAAAAAGAATCAGGCACTCATGTAGTGAAGATTTAATTTCCTTAAACAAATGGGGGGCTGCTTTCCTTTTCCTTAGAATTTTAATTTTCAGAGAGTAGATAATCAAATAAACATTAATTTCTTTCCAGGTGATTTTAAAACATCTGAGTGATGGAGCAGGTCTACGTTTTAGATTCTTGCCTGATAGTGCAATGAAGTAAACTATTATTCATCATTTTGCCATTTTAAAATTATTTTCCAGGTCATTCAGGGAAGCACTAAGACCCAAGTATCACAAATTTATGATTGCTAACTGAACTTACAATATATCATAATCCCCTTAACCTAGCTGTCTGACCATTTCCTGATTTTTGTCTGCACGAGAGTAAATTACATTGATAAAACAACTTTTGACTTCCTTCTCACTATCGTTTCCTTTACTTGCTAGAGGTACAAGGGATAACAGTAGGCAAAAGGGTATAACTGCCAGTAAGCCCAATTCGGTTCGTAATGGATTCATATGGCCTCTATAGGGATGAATGGCATGCTGCGCAAAGATCATGTAAATTGGCCACATATTTCCAATCAATTTTGTATCCTGGAAAAGCAACAAAAAGACTCAAGTGAGTATTAACTTTCTGATTTTCCAGAGAAGCATGGGGCTAAAACCTGAACTTCCTTCAGTGGCACAGCTGGCTTCACCACAAGTGCCCCCTCATACACATACACGTTACACATAGATACATACCAAGAAAGATGACAAATTCATATTATATATTTTTTAAATGAGCAGGAGGGAGGTGGATAAAAAAGAAATGTGAGGTCGCCCACTGTTTTGGCAAATCCAAACGAATCCTAATATTTCTTCTGAATGGGTTTAATAGGTTACACTTTTTGGTAAAGTGCTGCAACACACAAAATGTTCTCTAAATAATTCACTGAGTAATAATTCTATGTGTAACCCTCTAAAAAGTTAAAAATTCACTTTAATTGTTTCTGATGTTACACATAGTAATAATACTGACTTATTCACAAATCAAACTTGTCTAAAAATGCACTTTAGAGCACTGCATGGTAATGGGAACCTTCTTGGAAACTCCCATAATGGCACCATGTTAACGAATGCATATTGGCTTTATGAAGCCTACAGAGAAATCTGAAATTATTGTTTTTGAAATTTTGAAGAAAGGTTTAAGTTCATGGGGCTTTAGAAAAAAATTTCTTTAAATAAAGCATTTTAACATGCTGAAACAATAAGAGTTAGAGTGTTCAAATTCATATAGAAAACTAACATGGGACGTAAAATATTTGAAAATATGGTAATGGGAATGTACATACCTATGGATTTTTTTTTTTTTTTTGAGACGGAGTTTCGCTCTGTCGCCCAGGCTGGAGTGCAGTGGCGCGATCTCGACTCACTGCAAGCTCCGCCTCCCGGGTTCACGCCATTCTCCTGCCTCAGCCTCCCGTGTAGCTGGGACTACAGGCACGCGCCACCATGCCCGGCTAATTTTTGTATTTTTAGTAGAGACGGGGTTTCACCGTGTTAGCCAGCATGGTCTCGATCTCCTGACCTCGTGATCCGCCCGTCTCGGCCTCCCAAAGTGCTGGGATTACAGGCGTGAGCCACCGCGCCCGGCCCATACCTATGGATTTTTACTGTAAATTCTATACTCAAAATCTATGGCTTTTTCAGTTTTAAATTTTAAAATAGCTATTTTAATAGAATACATGATGACTAAGATTGTTACTAAGGTATTAGTTATTAAGTGCAATGAAGTAAACTAGTAATTATGTATTAGTATTCATATTATAATATAAATTATATGAGCAATTAAGTTAGCAATCATATCATAATATTAATTTTTTAAAGTTTCAATGATTTCCAAGACCCTAAATAGCTTAAACAATCTTGAGAAAAAAGAATAAAGCTGGAGGCATCACACGTCCTGTTTTCAAATTACATTGTGAAGTTATATTAATCAAAACGGTATGATAGTGGCATGAAACCAGATATCTAGACAATGGAGTGGAATAGAAATCCCAGAAATAAACCCACAACATATGTGATCAACTCATCTTCAACAAAGATGACAAAATTACATGACGGGGAAAGGATAGTATTTTCAAATAATGGTGTTGAGAAAATTGGATATCTACATGCAAAAAAATAAAAAATGAAAGTGGATTCTTATCCCACACCAAACACAGAAACAACATAAAATGAGTTAAAGACTTAAACATAAGACGTGGAACTGTAAAACTCCTGGAAAAAAACATAGAGGTCGAGCTCTATGACATTGGTCTTGGCAATTATTTTTTGAATATGACACCAAAAGCAGAGGCAACAAAAGCAACAATAAACAAGTGGGACTACATCAAACTAAAATGTATCTGCAGAACAAAGGAAAATAAAAATACAAAGGCAACTAATAGAATGAGAGAAAATATTTATAAATGATATATTAATGATAGATTAGTATACGCAACATATAAGGAACACATGCAACTTAATAGCAAAATAAAATAACCTATTTTAAAATGGGCAAAGGATCTGAATAGATGTATTTCTGAAGAAGATGCATGGCCAATAGGTATATACAAGGGTGCTCAGCATCACTAATCATCTGGAAAATGCAAATTACAACTACAATGAGATATCAGCTCACAGTGTTAGAATGGCTATTATCAAAAAGTCTAAAGATAACAAGTGCTGGCAAAGATATGGAGGAAAGCGAACCCTTATACACTGTTACGGAAAATACTGTAGAGCTTTCTCAAAAAATTAAAAATAGGACTACCATATTGTCTAGCAATCTCATTTCTGCATATATATTCAAAGGGAATAAAATTAGTATCTCATAGAAATATTTGTACTCCCATGTTCATTGCAGCATTATTCACAACAGCCAAGATATGGAAACAGCCTAAGTGTTAATCAATAGATGAATGAAGAAAGAAAATGTCAGCTAGATAGATAGACAGACAGATCCATAGAAGATAGATAGATAAATGAATAGAAATACCCACAATAGGATATTATTCAGCCTTAAAAAAGAAGGAAATCTTGTCATTTGCAACATGGATGAACCTGGAGAGCATTATGCTAAGTGAAAAAGTCAAATACACACAGACAAATCCTACAAGATCTCACTTACATGTGGAATCTAAAAAAGACAAACTCATAGAAGCAGACGGTAGAATAGTCACTGGTAGAGGCTGGGAGTGCTTCAGGATGCAAGAGTTGTTGGTCAAAGGGTACAAAGTTTCTGCTATAAGGGAATATGTTCAGGAGACTTAATATACAGCATGTTTACTATAATTAATTATAATGTATTATATACTTGAAAATTGCTAAGAGAGTAGATCTTAACTCTTCTCACTTTACAGAAACTATGTGAGGTGAGGCATATGTTAATTAGCTTGATTATGATAATCATTTCACAATGTCTGTGTGTATCAAAACATCATATTGTATACTTTAAATATATAAAATTGTTATTTGTCAATAATGATCTATTTTCAGATGAAATGAATTTTCTCACATATCAATTTTTATTTATATCAGATATTTTTGCATACATGTTGCAAGGGTAAATGAATTATTCTGAATTACTATATTCAGTCTTCTACTGGTGAATTTTGCATAACAAAGTTTCAAAAAGTAGAGAAAATATAAAAATAGAACGAAATCAATCTGCTGATGTTTCCATTAACTTAGAACTATTATATTCCTTTTCTTACTGTCTTTCTTAGACAAATCCCAGAGTAAAATGTACCAAGTTGTTAAATCAATAGTCTGAAAGAGCACATCTCCAGATAAAACAAGTACAAATGATGATGAGAGTAAATAAATCTAATTTTGTCCTTGTTACAAAAGTTATCTCTGAGACCAGTAAGGCATACATGAATAACTAATTGCTTTTGTGTATTTTTAAACAAAGATGTTTAACAATTCAAGAAGCTTGTAATATTCATTTTATTCCTAACAGACAGATAGTAAAGCAGGGGCAAAGTTCATTTCTGTATTTTCACCACCTTGGGAAATTTTGCAGGAATAAAGTCCAATTATTTGATTGTGCACACATTTTGTCCAAATAGTTACATACTATTGGGATGCAAGAATAAAACAGGGAGCCAAAGAAAAATACTGCCTCTCTAGATTAGAGAAAATTAGTAGAGGTTTATCAAGGCCAAATAATAAGAAAAATGTTTGCTTCAAATATGTATTGCCAAAGATATGTTACTTTAAGATCAAGATATTTCTATCATAATGATGTTAGTGTATGGATAGGGAATAGGTACTCTTAAATGTTGATGAGAGAACAAATTGTCACAACATTTCTGGTGGAAAACAGATATTTGATAATATATACATGTATAAAAATATGCATACACATTGATCTATCAATTCTGCTTTCTGTTCATTTGTCTTAGGAAAATAATAATGGTTACATATAAAACACTACCTACAAGGATATAAAGTTTAAGCACCCTAAATGCTAAATGTAAAACTGGTTAAATAATGTCACATGTTCATGTAGTAAAATACTGTGTGATGTATAACATATATTCAGCAATATGAAAATATGTTAAGAACATATTGTTAACATATGAAAACTAAGTAATTACAGAAGGCATGCATTGAATTATTTCACGGCAAAAAAAAAAAATGAACTCTTTTTGTAATTAGGTATCACTCTACCCAAATTTTCAGTATTCATTTCCTGAATGCTGCTCAATGATGATAGAACCCTCCTTTCCATCCAACCACAACTGATTGATGCAGGCAGCCATGAGCACCTCACCTTGCCTGAACCAATATACTTCTTTTTAAAAAATATCTCCTCAAAGAGAAAAATTTGTTCCATAATTATATCAGCAACTTGTAAACTTGTGAGATGTCAAGAATAGTATCTGGTAGGTGATATGGAAAAGGGAGAAAAATGTTCCATAGGGAAAGAGATCAACAAAGCTAACACTCAGAGAGGAGTAAAGATCAGAGGTCGAATAAAAGAACTTGGAACATTTCAGTCTGTGAATCTAGCCCATGTCTGAACGCTGGCTGCAGTCTTGAGCTTAACTCAATACAAACCTTCTATCCATCTACTTAATTATTCATTTCAGCTTATGTTAACTCCATTGAGTTTCTATTACATGTCAGTAAACATGTTCTCTGCAAAAGTTCTGGGCAGATAGTTAATGCAAATGTCAACAGGCATTATTAATATGTAGTAGAAGAACAGGCATTTTTCTTGTTATTATTTTCTGCATTTTCAAAAGTTTGTAAAACAATTTATTACATTTGAACATGGAAAATGTTAATTAAGTTTAAGATTAAAATATTTAAAATATTTGGATGTTTTTGAGGGAATATGAATTTATAGAATGGAAAACACTCATTCATCAGAAATTTTAGGTTACATTCAAACTGTTAATATATACTCTTGTATGTGTGCCAAGGTACACATACACACATACACTCATACACAAATAAATGTAATTTCAGCATTTTCTGTAATAGCATGACATTGCAAAATGTTCTAAGTCTTCATCAATATAACTGTAGTCATAACAATATATCATAGTATAGAATTCTATGTAAAATGACATAGATTAAGATATATACTTATGTGTGTGTATATATATATATACACACAGATACATACTGATATTAAACATTTTAAAGATATATTAAAGAGTGAAATAAACCAGTTATATATAACTAAAATTTAATAAATATACACATACATATACATATACTGGTATTTTCAGATAAAACTACTTTTGGAATTTTGCATGAGAGATGGTTAACTGTAGTTCCTTCCTGGTGTCATTAAGTAAAAGGATCAATCAAGGCTCAAGTGTAGAGTCTGAGATAAGGAAACATTTTCTAACACGTATAATTCTGGTTTTTTTTAAATTTTTATATGTCATAATCATGTATTTTCATTAATTCAATTTAAAACTTTGTGTAAATATACTTTGCCATCAATATTACATGGAAAAAAATGAAGTTGAGAGAGAAAGAGGGAAAAGAATAAGGAAATGAAATAAGGAAAAAAGAATGTTTGATGGAAATAGCTTCTCTCCTACTCTTGGACATACACCTGAGTTCACTGACACTGTGTGATTTATACAGATAACATCGAATTCCATTATGGATCTGGAGAAAATAAACAAATTCATCATTCTAAATAAAGAGGACATAAACATCTCTTTCACTGGGCTACTAAGGTATCTGCATTGTACATGGATAAAAAAATTCTTTCAACCACATACAATTGTTAGTCTCAAAATAGTTTTGAAAAAACTTAGCTATAATTTCCAGCATGTTCAAGAAACCAGCTTAACCCTACAAAATTCTATTTCAATTCCATTTCTGTGTCTCTGCCAATGGATTATGTGATTATGTATGAGGCTGCACAATGAAGCTTTCAGCTGCTACATGTTTTGAAACTCCATTTTCAAGATTAAAAGGCTATAAAGTGAAATACATTTGCTCATGTGCCAAAAATAGTAGGGAACTTATAAACAGAAGGGAATACAGATATATCCAGAACAGAAAGCACTGTTTTTATAATTTCTGTACTAAATTGTGTTCTCATTTATAAAGAATAATCATATTATTAAAACTGTTATATTCAAGAGATAAGAATTTTCTAATTATACCTAGGAAATCACAGCTAGCACTAAAATAAATTTTTTCTAGTAATTTTCTTGAGATTAAGAATTACATTGAAAAACCAAGATGCCCATTAATCTCTGATTTAAAATGTATTTAATGATATTTTTCTTTCCTTAAAGTCATTAACTTTGAGAAGTACATTTTACCTACTGTTCTTGACATGAATTCAATCTACTTTGTTTTCTACAAATGCTTTCCTGGGTACAATATGACAGTAAGCCATAAAATGAAAAAGGTTTTCATGTAAAAATAAGTATAAATCTATTTACTACTTTATAAACACTCTTCCATCAGCCATGACCAAGAAAGGTAAGGTTTTTATGCTAATGAACTCTCTGTTCTATCTTCTGACTTCTGAGTGTTATAAAACTATGCATTGCTCCTATGAGACAAAGTAATGAAAGTATCCAATAATATTGTTCGTCAGCAAATTATGTCAATCAGAAAACAAATACATGCCACTGATCAACACAACATTTCTCTTAGTATCTGAATATTTGAAATTTGTAAAAAGAATACTGGGAAACATAATAACAAACTTCTATAACATATTCTTTTTTAATTTTCACTATTCTGAGTAATGAGAAAATACTCAGTGAACACTTTGATTTATCCGTATCTTTGTTACATATTTCATGGACGAGGTAGTTAAAAATTCAAATTTACATCTAAAATATTAGAAATTGATTTTTCAAATAAGAGACTATATTTTCTCTTTTTTTCTGAATCATAGGAGGCACATTTTCATAACTTTTTCCACAAGTTTATTGGAATGCATCTTTTTTTCCTTCTCGGAAGACTGTTTATCATTATCCTTCCTGGACCATTTATCTTCACATTTGTTCATTCCCACTATGAATTTTCTTGGATTTGGATTTAGTAGAAATACATTATGGATTTTACTGAAATAATGCACTTAAGAACAATCACTAAATACACCTTGCATAATAGTGCCCATACCTTTTATTTATTTTGTTATTAAGGATCACTAAACCCCATTTTGTTATAACATTAAAAAAATCTTAAATCATGAATGCATAAAATAGTTTTTAAAAAAATCTACGTGCCTCATTATAGTTTCCCAATTTTAATTGATAACATAATTATATTTCAAAATGCAAAATACATTTTGTTTCTTTAAATATGAACCAATAAAACTTACAAATATAATTGACAATAACTGTTAAATATGACAGTCTAAATAATGGTAAATGTATATATTTTAAAGTGTATTCTGTATACATATATTTGTTACAAAGAAATAAAAATGCATGATTAATATAAAGATTTGAATTATAAATATATGATATATGAACAAATTCTGTGGGGAGCATTGCTTAGAAATATGAATCCTGGAAGCAAAATAAATGATGACTAAAGAAATTATAATTCAACAATATTTTAAATAAATTCTGTGGAAATAACCTTGCTATGATACATGAATTCCGTATATTGTCAAGTATTCTAGATTCAGCTTGAATTTACTCTTCATTCTAGCTTTTATCTATTTGGAGAGATTGAAAATAAACTCCCTGTAGGCTCTGAATATTAAACCTTTGTTGGATGGATACATTGCAAAAATTTTCTCCCATTCTGTAGGTTGTCTGTTCACTCTGCTGATAGTTTCTTTGGCTGTGCAGAAGCTCTTTAATTAGATCCCATTTGTCAATTTTTGATTTTGTTGCTTCTGCTTTTGGCATTTTCAGCACAAAATCTTTGCTCATGCCTATGTCCTGAATGGTATTGTCCAGATTTTCTTCTAGGGTTTTTATAGTTTTGGGTTTTACATTAAGTCTTCAATCCATCTTGAGTTAATTTTTATATAAGGTACAAGGAAGGTGCCCAGTTTCAATATTCTGCATATGGCTAGCCAGTTCTCCCAGCACCATTTATTAAATAAGGAATCCTTTCCCCATTGCTTGTTTTTGTGAGGTTTGTCAAAGATCAGATGGTTATAGATGTGCCATCTCATTTCTGAGTTCTCTATTCTGCTCCACGGTCTAAGAGTCTGTTTTTGTACCAGTATCATGTTGTTTTGGTTACTGTAGCCTTGTAGTATAGTTTGAAGTTGGGTAGTGTGATGTCTTCACCTACAAACCCATTTAAAAGTGAGCAAAAGACATGAACAACCACTTTTCAAAAGAAGACATTTATATGGCAACAAACATAAAAAAAGCTCAACATCACTGATCATTAGAGAAATGCAAATCAAAACCACAATGAGATACCATCTCACACTAGTTCAAAATGGTGATTATTATAAAGTCAAGAAAAAAACAAATGCTGGTGAGGTTCTGGAGTAGAAGGAATGCTCTTACACCATTGGTGGGATTGTAAATTAGTTCAACCATTGTGGAAGACAGTGTGGCAATTGTTCAAAGACCTAGAGGTATAAATACCATTTGACCTAGCAATCCCATTACCGGGTATATACCCAAAGGAACATAAATCATTCTATTATAAAGAGACATGCATGTGTATATTCATTGCAGCACTATTCACAAAACCAAACACCACATGTTCTCATACGTGTGAGCTGAACAATGAGAACACATGGACGCAGGGAGGGGAACAGTATACACTGGGGCTTGTTGGAAGGTGGGATGGGAGGAGGGAGAGCACTAGGAAAAATAGCTAATGGATGCTGGGCTTAATACCTAGTTGATGGGTTGATCTGTGCAGCAAACCACCATGGCACATGTTTGCCTAAGTAACAAACCTGCACATGTACCCTGGAACTTAAATTAAAAGTTGAAGTAAAAAAAGAAGAAGAAGAAAAATAAACTACATTTTTAAGTCTCCTTGAATTTATTAATAATTTTCTGACAATTAGATGCACTCCTATGAGATTTGGAATTGAGTCCCAGGACAGGTTCCTGCAACTCCTGGGAGCTATGTCTGACAAGTAAGTAATATTGGGGCAACTTAAAGCCATCCTGTAACAACATGCATTTCAGTTTCTAGTCTCTACCTTCACAGGTGGGAGAGGCAGTTGTATCAGGGATGATTGCATCTTCTTGCATTAAGCTTACCTCTCTGGAAGCCTCAGTTAAACAATTCTGTGTTATTTTGTGTCATTCTTAGAAGAACCAGTTTGGATCTTTCTTTTTCAAGAGTCCCACTAATTTTGTAGACACAAATTGCCAGTTATAATTTCATTCCTGCTTAAGATACCAGGAGTCTTTTTTGCTTCTGACACTGATCTCAGAATAATGCATTTTATACTAGAATTAAGATGGAATAGCTGCTTCTGATAGAACTTGATTAACTAAAGGAAGAAAATAGCAAGTTACAAGTTGCTCAAGGCAAATTCTGAGGACCAAATTTTTATATATTATATATATGTATTTTTTATATATATATGTATTTTATATATATATATATATATACACACACACACACACACACACACACACATACACAAACTACCAGGTACTACATCTCTTGAAAATTTTACTGGAAAAGGAAAACAAAAAAGGACAATAAGGTCTGGTATGGCAGATACTGAATTATACTATAAATTGAATGTACAAACTTTCTGTAAATTATATGTAAATCGAATTGTACAAGTAAAATTTTTAGTATTTATTAAGTAGGACTGAAACTTAGATAATTGTAGTGAAGACATCCAGGTGAATTGTGTTGACATACTTTAAACACAAAAGCCTCCTGTTTCCTTGTCTGTTAAGAGTAATCCTATAGTACACAAGGCCTAATAATTATTTTACTTTAAATATTTTCCTTGAAAATAACACACATTGAGAGGGGTGGAGCCAAGATGGCTGAATAGGAACAGCTCCAGTCTACAGCTCCCAGCGTGAGCGACACAGAAGATGGGTGATTTCTGCATTTCCAACTGAGGTACCAGGTTCATCTCACTGGGGAGTGCTGGGCAGTGAGTACAGGACAGTGGGTGCAGTTCATCGTGCATGAGCCGAAGCAGGGAGAGGCATCACCTCACCCAGGAAGTGCAAGGGGTCAAGGAATTCCCTTTCCTAGTCAAAGAAAGGGGTGACAGACGGCACCTGGAAAATTGGGTCGCTCCCACCCTAATACTGTGCTTTTCCAATGGGCTTAACAAACGGCACACCAGGAGATTATATCCCACACTTGGCTCGGAGGGTCCTATGCCCATGAAGCCTCACTCATTGCTAGCACAGCACTCTGAGATCAAACTGCAAGGCGGCAGCGAGGCTGGGGGAGGGGCGCCCGCCACTGCTGAGGCTTGAGTATGTAAACAAAGCCGCCAGGAAGCTCGAACTGGGTGGAGCCCACCACAGCTCAAGGAGGCCTGCCTGCCTCTGTAGGCTCCACCTTTAGGGGCAGGGCACAGACAAACAAAAGGCAGCAGTAACATCTGCAGCGTTAAATGTCCCTGTCTGACAGCTTTGAAGACAGTAGTGGTTCTCCCAGCACGCAACTGGATATCTGAGAACAGGCAGACTGCCTCCTCAAGTGGGTCCCTGACCCCCGAGTAGCCTAACTGGGAGGCACCCCCCCGTAGGGATGGACTGACACCTCACATGACCAGGTACTCCTCTGAGACAAAACTTCCACAGGAACGATCAGGCAACAGCATTTGCGGTTCACCAATATCCACTGTTCTGCAGCCACCACTGCTGATACCCAGGGAAACAGGGTCTGGATTGGACCTCCAGCAAACTCCAACAGACCTACAGCTGAGGGTCCTGACTGTTAGAAGGAAAATTAACAAACAGAAAGGACATCCACACCAAAACCCCATCTACACATCAACATCATCAAAGACCAAAGGTAGATAAAACCACAAAGATGGGGAAAAAACAGAGCAGAAAAACCGGAAACTCTAAAAATCAGAGCGCCTCTCCTCCTCCACAGGAATGCAGCTCCTCACCAGCAACGGAACAAAGCTGGATGGAGAATGACTTTGACGAGTTGAGAGAAGGCTTTAGAAGATCAAACTACTCCAAGCTAAAGGAGGAAGTTTGAACCAATGGCAAAGAACTTAAAAACCTTGAAAACAAATTAGATGAATGGCTAACTGGAATAACCAATGCAGAGAAGTCCTTAAAGGACCTCATGGAGCTGAAAACCATGGCATGAGAACTACGTGATGAATCCACAAGCCTCAGTAGCCAATGAGATCAACTGGAAGAAAGGGTATCAGCTACGGAAGATGAAATGAATGAAATGAAGCAAGAAGAGAAGTTTAGAGAAAAAAGAATAAAAAGAAACAAAGCCTCCAAGAAATATGGGACTATGTGAAAAGACCAAATCTATGTCTGATTGGTGTACCTGAAAGTGACAGGGAGAATGGAACCAAGTTGAAAAACACTCTGCAGGATATTATCCAGGAGAACATCCCCAAGCTAGCAAGGCAGGCCAACATTCAATTTCAGGAAATGCAGAGAACGCCACAAAGATACTCCTCGAGAAGAGCAACTCCAAGACACATAATTGTCAGATTCACCAAAGTTGAAATGAAGGAAAAAAATGTTAAGGGCAGCCAGAGAGAAAGGTCGGGTTACCCACAAAGGGAAACCCATCAGACTAACAGCGGATCTCTCAGCAGAAACTCTACAAGCCAGAAGAGAGTGGGGGCCAATATTCGACATTCTTAAAGAAAAGAATTTTCAACACAGAATTTCATATCCAGCCAAACTAAGCTTCTTAAGTGAAGGAGAAATAAAAATACTTTACAGACAAGCAAATGCTGAGAGATTTTGTCACCACCAGGCCTGTCCTAAAAGAGCTCCTGAAGGAAGCACTAAACATGGAAAGGAACAACTGGTACCAGCCACTGCAAAAACAAGTCAAACTGTAAAGACTATCAAGGCTAGGAAGAAATTGCATCAACTAATGAGCAAAATAACCAGCTAACATCATAATGACAAGATCAAATTCACATATAACAATATTAACTTTAAATATAAATGGGCTAAATGCTCCAATTAAAAGACACAGACTGGCAAATTGGATAAAGAGTCAAGAGCCATCAGTGTGCTGTATTCAGGAAACCCAATTCACGTGCAGAGACACACATAGGCTCAAAATAAAGGGATGGAGGAAGATCTTCAAAGTAAATGAAAAACAAAAAAAAGCAGGGATTGCAATCCTAGTCTCAGATAAAACAGACTTTAAACCAACAAAGATCAAAAGAGACAAAGAAGGTCATTACATAATGGTAAAGGGATCAATTCAACAAGAAGAGCTAACTATCCTAAATATATATGCACCCAATACAGGAGCACCCAGATTCATAAAGCAAGTCTTTAGTGACCTACAAAAAGACTTAGACTCCCACACAATAATAATGGGAGACTTTAACACCCCACTGTTAACATTAGACAGATCAACAAGACAGAAAGTTAACAAAGATATCCCATAATTGAACTCATCTCTGCACAAAGCGGACCTAATAGACATCTACAGAAGTCTCCACCCCAAATCAACAGAATATACATTCTTTTCAGCACCACACCACACCGATTCCAAAATTGACCACATAGTTGGAAATAAAGCACCCCTTAGCAAAGGTAAAAGAATAGAAATTATAACAAACTGTCTCTCAGACCACAGTGCAATCAAACTGGAACTCAGGATTAAGAAACTCACTCAAAACCACTCAACTACATGGAAACTGAACAACCTACTCCTAAATAACTACTGGGTACATAACAAAATGAAGTGAGAAATAAAGATGTTCTTTGAAACCAACGAGAACAAAGACACAACATACCAGAATCTCTGGGACACATTTAAAGCAGTGTGTAGAGGGAAATTTATAGCACTAAATGCCCACAAGAGAAAGCAGGAAAGATCTAAAATTGACACCCTAACATCACAATTAAAAGAACTAGAGAGGCAAGAGCAAACACATTCAAAAGCTAGCAGAGGGCAAGAAAAAACTAAGATAAGAGCAGAACTGAAGGAAATAGAGACACAAAAAACCCTTCAAAAAAATTAACGAATCTAGGAGCTGGTTTTTTGAAAAGATCAACAAAGTTCATAGACCACTAGTAAGACTAATAAAGAAGAAAATAGAGAAGAATCAAACAGATACAATAAAAAATGACAAAGGGGATATCATCACCAATCCCACAGAAATACAAACTACCATCAGAGAATACTACAAACACCTCTATGCAAAGAAACTAGAAAATCTAGAAGAAATGGATAAATTCCTTGACACATGCACCATCTCAAGACTAAAGCGGGAAGAACTTGAACCCCTGAAAAGATGAATAACAGGCTCGGAAATTGAGGCAATAATCAATAGCTTACCAACCAAAAAAAGTCCAGGACCAGATGGATTCACAGCTGAATTCTACCAGAAGTACAAGGAGGAACTGGTACCATTCCTTCTGAAACTATTCCAATCAATAGAAAAAGAGGAAATCTTCCCTAACTCATTTTATGAGGCCACCACCATCCTGATACCAAACCCTGGCAGAGACACAACAAAAAAAGAGAATTTTAGACCAATATCCTTGATGAACATTGATGCATAAATCTTCAATAAAGTACTGGCAAACCGAATCCAGCAGCACATCAAAAAGCTTATCCACCATGATCAAGTGGGCTTCATCCCTGGGATGCAAGGCTGGTTCAACATACAAAAATCAATAAACGTAATCCAGCATATAAACAGAACCAAAGACAAAAACCACATGATTATCTCAATAGATGCAGAAAAGGCCTTTGACAAAATTCAACAACCCTTCATGCTAAAAACTCCCAATAAATTAGGTATTGATGGGACGTATCACAAAATAATAAGAGCTATTTATGACAGACCCACAGCCAATACCATACTGAATGGGCAAAAACTGGAAGCATTCCCTTTGAAGACTGGCACAAGACAGGGATGCCCTCTCTCACCACTCCTACGCAACATAGTGTTGGAAGTTCTGGCCAGGGCAATCAAGCAGGAGAAGGAAATAAAGGGCATTCAATTAGGAAAAGAGGAAGTCAAATTGTCCCTGTTTGCAGATGCCATGATTTTATATCTAGAAAACCCCATCATCTCGGCCCAAAATCTCCTTAAGCTGATAAGCAACTTCAGCAAAGTCTCAGGAAACAAAATCAATGTGCAAAAATCACAAGCATTCTTATACACCAATAACAGACAAACAGATAGCCAAATCATGAGTGAACTCCCATTCACAATTGCTTCAAAGAGAATAAAATACCTAGGAATCCAACTTACAAGGGATGTGAAGGACCTCTTCAAGGAGAACTACAAACCACTGCTCAATGAAATAAAAGAGGATACAAACAAATGGAAGAACATTCCATGCTCATGGGTAGGAAGAATAAATATCGTGAAAATGGCCATACTGCCCAAGGTAATTTATAGATTCAATGCTATCCCCATCAAGCTACCAATGACTTTCTTCACAGAATTGGAAAAAACTACTTTCAAGTTCATATGGAACCAAAAAAGAGCCCACATTGCCAAGTCTATCCTAAGCCAAAAGAACAAAGCTGGAGTCATCACGCTACCTGACTTAACTGGCTAGTCATATGTAGACAGCTGAAACTGGAGCCCTTCCTTACACCTTATACAAAAATTAATTCAAGATGGATTAAAGACTTACATGTTAGACCTAAAACCATAAAAATCCTAGAAGAAAACCTAGGCAATGCCATTCAGGACATAGGCATGGGCAGGGACTTCATGTCTGAAACACCAAAAGCAATGGCAACAAAAGCCAAAATTGACAAATGGGATCTAATTAAACTGAAGAGCTTCTACACAGCAAAAGAAACTACCATCAGAGTGTACAGGCAACCTACAGAATGGGAGAAAATTTTTGCAACCTACTCATCTGACAAAGGGCTAATATCCAGAATGTACAATGAACTCAAACAAATTTACAAGAAAAAAAAACAACCCCATCAAAAAGTGGGTGAAGGATATGAACAGACACTTCTCAAAAGAAGACATTTATACAGCCAAAAAAACACATGAAAAAGTGCTCATCATCACTGGCCATCAGAGAAATGCAAATCAAAACCACAATGAGATACCATCTCACACCAGTTAGAATGGTGATCATTAAAAAGTCAGGAAAAAGCAGGTGCTGGAGAGGATGTGGAGAAATAGGAACACTTTTACACTGTTGGTGGGACTGTAAACTAGTTCAACTATTGTGGAAGTCAGTGTGGCGATTCCTCAGGGATCTAGAACTAGAAATACCATTTGACCCAGCCATCCCATTACTGGGTATATACCCAAAGGATTATAAATCATGGTGCTATAAAGACACATGCACACATATATTTATCGCAGCACTATTCACAATAGCAAAGACCTGGAACCAACTCAAATGTCCAACAATGATAGACTGGATTAAGAAAATGTGGCACATATACACCATGGAATGCTATGCAGCCATAAAAAATGATGAGCTCATGTCCTTTGTAGGGACATGGATGAAACTGGAAACCATCATTCTCAGCAAACTATTGCAAGGACAAAAAACCAAACGCCCCATGTTCTCACTGATAGGTGGGAATTGAACAATGAGAACAGATGGACACAGAAAGGGGAACATCACACACCGGGGATTGTTGTGGGGTCGGGGGAGTGTGGAGTGATAGCATTAGGAGATATACCTAATGTTAAATTACGAGTTAAGGGTGCAGCACACCAACGTGGCACATGTATACATATGTAACAAACCTGCACATTGTGCACATGTACCTTAAAATTTAAAGTATAATAATAATAAAATTTAAAAAAAAAGAAAATAATACAGATTATATCTGGCCTATTTTTATCAAACATTTCTGTAACCAGACAGAAACCAGAATCAGGACAATTTCAATGTCCCCTAGGGTATCAGGGATCTGAGCTGAGAAAAGATTATCTAGATTTCACAAATTTTATCAGAAATCTGAAAAATAAATTTCATAAGTGATATACAAGAGGGAAAAGAATAAAACTGTAGATTGAACCAAGATGAATAGTGATATGGACATATTTTTTTAAATATTCTGCTTAGTTCTATTCACTACTGAAAGTGTAGTGTTGAAGTCTCCCACTATCTTCCTGCATTTGAAAGCTCTGTCATTAGGTGCTATATGTTTATAATTGTTATGTTTTTCTAATGGGTTAACATTTTTTATTGTTTAAAATGTCTCCTTTTATACGTAGTCACATTTTCTATTTTAAATACTTTTTTCTGTTAGTAGTGTATGCTTTCTAGCTTTGTTATGATTGCCATTTGCAAAATATATTATTTTCCACCCTTTGCTCTCCATCTATTTGTATATCTGAATGTAAAGATTTGAATGCATCTCCTGCAAACAGCATATAGTGGGATCTTGTTTTTTAAAACTTTGTGAACATGCCTGCTTTTAATTGGATTTTTAATACATTTACATTTAATGTTATAATTGATGTAGTTGGACTTCTAACTGCTACTACCCTACTTTTTGTTCTATATCAGTGCCATGTCTTTTTTGTTCCTTTATTCTTCATTTTCATTAAGTGAATATTTTCTAGTGTAGCATTTTAATTCCTTTGATGATGTTTTCATTATATTTTTTTTAAATTTATTTTCCTAATGGTTACTCTGGAATTATCATGGACATTTTAATTTATCAGAATCTACATTAGATTTATATTAATTCTAGCAAGATATACCTAAAAATATTAATTCTATATAGCTCTATTCCCCCTTTCCTCTTTGTATGTTATTATTACTATATATATTACACTTATAAATGTCACAAACCCAATAATACATTGTTGTATTTACTATTTGTCAGGCCTCTGAGCCCAAGCTAAGCCATCATATCCCCTGTGACCTGCACGTACACATCCAGATGGCCCAAAGTAACTGAAGAATCACAAAAGAAGTGAAAATGGCCTGTTCCTGCCTTAACTGATGACATTACCTTGTGAAATTCCTTCTCCTGGCTCATTCTGGCTCAAAAGCTCCCCTACTGAGCACCTTGTGACTCCCACCCCTGCCCACCAAAGAACAACCCCCTTTAACTAATTTTCCTTTACCTACCCAAATCCTATATAACAGCCGCACCCCGTCTCCCTTCGCTGACTCTCTTTTCAGACTCAGCCCACCTGTACCCAGGTGAAATAAACAGCCTTGTTGCTCACACAAAGCCTGTTTGGTGGTCTATTCACATGGACAAGAGTAAAACTATTTTACATAGTTTTATGGTTTTTTTGAAAAAGTTGAGAGAAGAAAGGATGGCATGTATATATTCTTAGAGTTTGTTTTCTTGACCTTATTATATATCATTTCTGGCTCTCTTCACTTCTTTTCATGGATTCAAGTCACCATGTTGTATCATCTACTTGTGTTCAATACACCTTTACTTCTACCCACTCCTTATGCAGTTATTGTCACCAAATATATTTCTATTTCTTATAGGTCCCATAATAAAATTCAATACACAATGTTTTATTCAATTCCATTTTAAATAAGTGCTTTCCCTTGTACATAATGGTTGATTATTCCTTTGCTTCTTTCAAGATTTTCCCTCTGTTTGGTCTTCAATGTATTTACTACGATGTTTCTGAGTGTGAATGTTTTTGCATGTATCCTACTTTAAAAAATCTAGAGCTTCTTGGATATACAGATTATTGCCCATTAAATTTTAGACGTTTTCAGCTATTATTTCTTTGAGTTTTCTGCTACTTTCTTTTTCTCCTGTATTCTGGTACTCTTATTGCTTGTATGTTGGTGTGCATAATGGTGATCCAAGTTTCTCTGAGACTTTTGTTTATTCACATTCTATGTGTGATGTACTGTTGTCATATCTTCCTTTACCTCTTTGAGCACAGTGTTCTTATTCTTTGAAAATACTTACAAATTCTACTTTGAACCCTTTATCTGTTTAAATTTGACATCTGGATCCTCTCAAAGGCAGTTTTTGTTGACTTTCTCTTTTTCTCTTTTTTGTTTTCTGCCACACTTTCCTGTTTCTCTGCATAATTCATAGCTTTGTTGTTATTGAAAACTTCACAGTTTAAACATTATCACAACTCTGGATATGAATTCCTCTTTCTCGTCTTAAAGGCTTGTTATTATATGGTTTTCAGGTTTTTTTTTTAGTGACTATACTAGAATATTTTAGTAAAGTCTATTTCCCTCACATTGTGAATCCTCTGGTTTCATTCTTCAGGTGGTTTGACCTTTATGTAGGAGGCAGAATAATTATCTTCCAAAAATGTTCACATCCTCATCCCTGGAATCTGTGAATTTGTTACCTTATATAGCAATAAGGAATTTAGGTTGCAGATGGAATTAAGGTTGCTAATCAGCTGACTTTAAGATAGGGAGATGATATTGAATTATCCAGGTGGGCCAAGTGTAATTACAGTGGTTCTCATTTTCAGAATGCTGAGGCAAAATGTAAGTCAAAAGATACAACCTGAGAAGGACATCTCCTGTATTGCTTGTTTTGAAGGAGGAAGAAAAGGCTGTGAGATAAGAATGTGAGAAGCCTTTAGAAGCTTGGCAAAGGACTTTTGGCTAAGTCCCCAAAACCAACTGCAGCAAAAACAAAAACTGACAAGTGAAATCTAATTAAACTAAAGGGTTTCTGCACAGTGTAAGAAACAATCAAGTGAGCAAATAGATAACCTACAGAGTGGGAGAAAATATTCACACACTATGCATCTGGCAAAGGTCTAATATCCAGAATTTATTTTTTAAAAATAAACAAATCAACAAGCAAAAAACAACTCCACTGAAAACATAGGCAAAGGAAATTAATAGACACTTCTCAAAAGAAAACATATATGTAGCCAAGAAACATGAAAAAATGCTCATCGTTAATCATCAGAGAAATGCAAATCAAAACCACAACGAGATATAATGTCACACCAGTCAGAATGGCTGTTATTAAAAAGTCAAAAAACAACAGATGTTGGCAAGGCTGCGGAGAAAAGGGAACACTTATATACTTTAGTGGAAATGTAAATTAGTGCAACCATTGTGAAAAGCAGTTTGGAGATTTCTCAAAGAACTTAAAACAGAGCTGCCATTCAATCCAGCAATCCAATTATTTCATATATACCCAAAGGAAAATAGATCATTATACCAAAAGGACATGGAATCAACCTAGATGCCAATTAATGGTGAATGGGATAAAGAAAATGTGGTACATATACACCATAAAATACTACATAGCCATAAAAATGAATGAAATCATATTCTTTGCAGCCACACAAATGAAGCTGGTGGTCATCATTCTAAGCAAACTAACACAGAAACAGAAAACCAAATACCATATGCCTTCCTTTATGAGTGGGAGCTAAATGTTAAGCACACATGGACATACAGAAGGAAACAATAGGCACTGGGATAACTAAAGAGAGGAGGGAGGGAAGAAGGGGGGCATAGAATGAAAAACTACCCAATGGGTACTATGCTCACTACCCAGGTGCAACACACCCATATAACAAACCACACATGTACCCACTATGTCTAAAATGAAAGTTGCAATTAAAAAAAAAGAAGAAGAAGAAGAAGAAGAAGCTATGAAAGGCAAGAAAATGTACAGTCCCTAGAGCTTCCAGGAAGGAATGTAGCTCTCTCAATACCTTGACTTTATCTTGGCAAGGCCTATTTTGTAATTCAGACCTCCAAAACTGTTAAGATAATCAATTATTATTTTTGAAAATGCTAGTTGGTTGCAAATTTTATAGCAGCAGTAAAAAAATTAATATAATGTATCCTGCAATGACAGTGATTCTAGCAGGCATCTGTTTGACTTTAGTCTTTGACCTCTCTTTTAATATGTCTGCCTCTGTTGGTATTACACCTAAGTGTGAGGCTTCACTAATCGATTGGTTTTTGACAATGCTCTAGGGCATAAACTGCTCTATAATATGATCCATTTAAATTTGAGTCCCTTTGCAGGGATCCATTCTAATGCCAGTCTTTACTGTTTGCTCTGACCAAGGAGTGTGCTTTTCTTAGCCATTTATTACCATAGCTCTCTGAGCAAAACAGTTGGCCTATCATTTAGTTTCTTGTTGTCAGGGAACTACTAGCCTTCTATTAATTACTTGCCAACAAAAGCTCCATTGTTTTTGAAAGTGCTCTTAGGCTGGAACTTCTCCACTTTCTGGTCTAAATAAAGCCAGTTTGGTTCAGGGAGATCTTTGGAGCTTTCTTCTCAGAGTGCTTCCCTCCCTCCTTGGGAAAAATCTCTGAGTCACTGTTCCAGAGCTGAGGGTAAAGACAATAGTCCACCTCTCTCAGAGTGACACCATAGCTTTCTGAGCTGTTGGAGGCATTAGCCATTGGTCTTCATGGTTCAAATTTCTTTGCATGGAATAATTTTTTATAAATGGAATTAGGCAAAGGTGGTTGGGACTCCAGAATTTTTGGCCTGTTATACCTGTCATAGATCTCTGTTCTATGAGCAGAGACTGAGTGGGGGAAAGTAGCCTCTATCTCATGGCTACCTTGCCTGGAATTTAACCTTTGCAATATGTAGCTGAAGTAGATGAAAAATGCTGAAACCCTGATGTTGCTGAAGAAATATTATAGCCCTTGACTAGGAGATAGAGGAAAATGAAACTGCGTCTTCTCAGCCACCCTTGGCCAGAATGACGCTCACATCATGCTAAGTATGGGGAAAGGGATTAGGTCATGGCCAAGTGTCAAAGATTCTCATTGTTCTAACTGAACAGCAAGATTTACAGTGATTTTTTCTTTTTTTTTTTTGTGGTTGTTTTTTTTGACAAAATCTTGCTCTTGTCGCCCAGGCTGGAGTGCAATGGCATGATCTGGGCTCACTGCAACATCCACCTCCCTGATTCAAGCAATTCTCCTGCCTTAGCCTCCTGAGTACCCTGGGATTACAGGTACCTGCCACCGTGCCTGGCTAATTTTTGTATTTTCAGTAGATACAAGGTTTCACCAAGTTGGCCAGGCTGGTCTTGAATGCCTGACCTCAGGCAATTCACCTGCCTTGGCCTCCCGAAGTGCTGGGATTACAGGCATGAGCCAGCACAACTGGCCAACTTACAGTAATTCTCTTAAATAAATGTTTCTTCGTTTGTTTGATGACCTTAGGACAATTTTCAGAGATATAAATAGTGGTTTTCTAAGTAATTTTTACTTGTTATGACTGTTTCACTGGAAAGTATCTCACACTGACATTCTGTAAATGGACTGATAAGCATAAAAACCCATTTCATAGTGAGATCAGCGGTCCTGCAGAATCACTCTGGTTATTTTCCTAGTTCCTTAATGCCTGGTTGGCATAGATGTACTCAAAATCTGGCAAAATTTCTATATTTATTTCCTTAACCATGATATAAGAGATATTTTGGAAGATGAATCACTTAGGGACACCTTTCCAAATATATGCATGACCTAAAAGCAATGTCATATTTGTGAAGGAATTATCAAAGTCTTAACAAAGTGATGCAAATCCTCTCACATTTCTAATATGCATACTCGGCTCTTCAGTAGCTGGATTGGTTTTATGGAATATTATAATCAGATGTTACAACATAATCAGATGATAGCTTTAATTACATCTGTTGTTCCAGGTATGACTTTATTGCCACAAACGATTGTAGTCAAGTATTCAAATTGTCAATTTTGGTAATGTGTTTTTCTTTCAAACCAGAACTTTCTTTCACTTGAAGGGAATGGGAGTACATCTCATGATCTTATTTTGGGGCCATGCCAACTGTCTGACTTAGGCAAAAATCACGTACAGAAATTAGCAGGTCACAAGATGTTTGGAAACATATGTTCACAGCAGAGAGTAAAAAATAAATGAAAATGTAGGATACTGCTACTTCAGTGAAATTTTTGAGAGAATATCTTTAAAAATACCCTCCAGTATGAAAAACAATTACTCTGTTATGTTCTGTCCCTGAGAAAGAAGCACAATGTTTGGTAAACTGCCTTGATTTTGGAGACCACACATATAAAAATTAGTTTTGTTGCTATTATTGCAGTATGCAAGCGTAAGTTGGAATAGGATAATACAGGATAGACTTTACCAGTATTTATTACTGATTGCCCTGCTCTACCTCTGTTCTACAGAACGACTAGGTGAAAAAACTTAAAAGCTACATAACACTATTTTTCTGAATTCTTTGAAGCAAGTGCTCTGAATACAAATTATCATTTCCCTTTATGTGCAGGGTAAAAATGAGATAGTTATCATTTTCTTGTGATGTTATTTGTTTTTTGCTTGGGGCAAACAAGGTATTGGAAACAGGATACGTTTTAGCAGCAATATTTCCATGTCTGTTCTCTGTATATACCAGTGGCAATTGCCTGATTTGACTCAGTAATTCTTGGGTTATAGCTTTGCATGTCTATTCTCCAAATTTCTGGGTATTAAAGGAAATTACAACAGTAGTACATTTTTCTTCAGGAATGGCTACAATAGCAGCCTCAGGGAAAAGAGCTTCCTTAGAGGATCGGCACTTACTCATTTTGGAGATCATTTTGAGAAACTCATCATAGAAGCTGCTCTCTGTGTTAAACTACTTCCTATTTAAATCAACTAGTGTGTTTTCCACAACAAGCCCTGGTTGACACAACTTTATGCATTTAAAAGATTGATCATTTGATATTAGTTTAGAATGCCAATATGTCAAAAGAACATTTAACTTATAAAAAATAATCATTTAATGGAAAAGTTAGAAATGATGGAGATAAAGAGGAGTATTCCAGAAAAGCTTATACAAAGGCCTTGAAACTGAAAGAGTATGAAATTCAAGGAACTCAAAGGAAGCTGTTAGAAAAGAATAAGAATGACTAGATAATATTGGAGTGAGTTCAGATTCTTTAAGACAGAGTAAAAAATTTAGAATTTCTTTGAAGTATAATGACTGGAGTTTTAAAACATAATATAATTTTAAACATGGGAGTAAAACTGTGTCTTTTGTGATTGAAGAGCTACTTTGAAAGTAGAAATGCCAGGTGGTGATGATGGATTGCTAACAAATTACCCAACTCTTCCTATTGTTTTGAGTCTAGAAATTTATATGTGACATTTATTGAAAGAAAGAGCTATTTTATGTTTTTAATTTATTTGTTAAGTTTAAAAGCAAAAAACTTTCTCTCAAAAACCTCTAAAGAATGTATAAGAGAGGCAATTAAATAGTAATGGTAGGGAAAAAAAAGCTTATAGTTACATTCAAAGGCTAGTTTTCTGTTCTTGAATAAAAACATCTTTTTAATGTATTTCCTCCCTTATATTAGCATGTATAACTTGTATGTTATCCCATTGTGTACATACAACCCGTAAATCATTTTGTAGTAATATTTATCAGTATTTTTTATACTTCTCAAATAAAGGAGCTGTAAAATTCCAATGCAAAAGTTTGATTTAAGCTACGACTAAAGTCCATCTCCTATTTATTTCTTATTTTTCTTTTTAACTTATATGACAAGAGTTTTTCAGTTCAAGACCAATGCATTTTCTCATATAAAACATGATATTTAAATAAGCCAACTTCATAATATTCTAGTTCAGTGTTTATGTCTTATTTACTCTACTAGGATATTCATTAATATATACAACACCCATACATACACAAATGTGTGCATCTAGATTTTGAAAACGTTCAAACCATGGTATTAATCAAGATGGTCTATATTATGTTGGGATAGCCACAAACCCATGAATCTCAGTGGCTTAATACAACAAAGGTCTCTTGCTTGCTCAGTTGCAGTAAAATCCACTGCAGATCCAAAACATCTGTTATCCATACCGTAATTAAGCAATTCAGGCCAAGGGAGGCTATGGCCATGTCAGGTAGAGGATCTATTACTCTTACATACTCTGGACAAAATTTATACCCAAAGCCCATTGGCTAGAACTAGGCCTACTTTCCCACCTAACACCAAAAAAGTGTGAGTCTGAGAAATTTCTAATTATTCAAAGGAATAATAGATATATTTTAAGGTTCCTTTTAAAATTTATATTTTTAAAATAGATTATTTTAGGGCTGTTTTAGGCTCATAGCAAAATTAAGATAACAGTACAGATAATGCTCATGAACCCCCTTCCCTTGCATAGGCACAGCTTTCCCCACTGTCAACATCCCCCACAAAAGTGGTGCATTTGTAACAATTGACGAACTTCTATTGACACATCGTTATACACTAAAGTCCATAGTTTACATTAGGGTACATGGTTTGATAACTCATTTCTTTTTAGCAATGAATAAATATTTCATTGCCTGGATATACCACAGTTTATTCTGTCAGTCACCTGCTAAAGGATATCTTGGCTGCTACCCAGTTTAGGCAATTATGAATAATGCTGCTATAAACATCCATGGGCTGGTATTTGCATGGAACTTAGTTTTCAACTCAATTACATATCAAGGAGATTATATGGTAAGAGTATATTTAGTATTGTAAGAAACTCAAACTGTCTTCAAGAGTGGTTGTCATAGCATTCCCACCAGCAGTGAATGAGAGTTTCTGCAGCTCCACTCCTTCAGCATTTGGTGGTGTCAGTGTTTTGGACTTTTGCTATCCTAACTCATATGTAGCAGTATCTCATTTAATTTACAATTTTTTGATGACATATGATGTTAAGCATCTTTTCATGTGCTTATTTGCTATACGTATATCATCTTTGAATAAGTGTCTGTTCAGATCTTTTGCCCAATTTTTAATGTTTTTTTCTTATGTTTGAGTCTTAAGAGTTCTCTGTATATTTCGCACAACTATTCTTTATCAGGTATGTCTTGCAAAGGTTTTCTCCAAGTCTGTGGCTTACATTCTCATTTTCTTAACAGTACCTTTCACAGAGAAAAAGTTTTTAATTTTAAGAAAGTCCAATTTATCAACTATTTCTCTCATGGATTGTGCTTTGTTGTTGTATCTAAAAAGTCATCACCAAACCTAAAGCCATCTAGATTTTGTCTATATTACCCTCTGGGAGTTTTATATTTTTGCACTGTATATTTATGACTGATTAATATTATATTAAAATATTATTAAAATTAATATTTTGAGGAATGTAAGGTCTGTCTGTGAATTCATTTTTATTGGTTTGTTTGCATGTGAATGTCCAGTTGTTCCAGCACCATTTGTTGAAAAGACTACTTTTCTCTATTATATTGCCTTTGCTCCTTTGGTTTTTGGTGTTAGGTTAATTCTGAACTTATAGAAAGAGTTATGAACTATCCCTCTACTTCTATTTATTGGAAGACATTGTAGAGAATTGGTATAATTTCTTCTTTAAATGTCTGGTAAAATTCACCAAAGAACACATCTGGGCCTGGTACTTTCTGTTGTATAACATTATCATTTACTGATTTAATTTACCTAATAGATATAGGGCAGTTCAGGTTATTTCCTTTTGTGTGAATTTTGCAAGATTGTAACTTTCAAGGAATTCATTCATTGCACCTAAGTTACCAAATGTGTGTGCATAGGATTATTCATCATTTTTATTATTCTTTAAATGTGCTTGTGAGCTGCAGTTGATGTCCTCTCTTTCATTTGTGATCATACTAATTTGTCCCTTCACTCTTTTTTCTCTTAGGTAGACTGCCTAGAGGCTTATTGATTTTATGAATCTTTTGAAAGAACCAACTTCTATTGTTGTTGATTTTCTCTACTAGCACTTTTTTTTTTTCAATTTTGCCTCTAATTTTTATTATTCCTTTTCTTCTAGTAAGTTTGGAACTCATTTGCTCTTCCTTTTTTAATTTTCTAAGGTGGAAATTTAGATTACTAATTTTAGATCTTTTTTATTTTCTAACATATTATTTCAATGCTATATATTTTTCTATGAGCACTACTTTTCCTGCATCCTACAAAGTTTGATAAATTGTATTTTTATTTTCAAAATAATTTTTAGAAACCCTTTGTGACTTATTATTAGACTTATATATTATTTAGAAATGTGGTGTTTAATTTCCAGGTATTTTGTTTAATTTCCAAGTACTTTCAGCTATCTTTTTGGTTACTTATTTCCAGTTTAATGCCATTGTTTTCTTAGAGCATTCATTATATATCTATTTTTAAAAATTTGTTAAGGTGAGTTTTCACATTCTAACAGAAATGTGATCTCTCTTAGAAAAAGTTCAATGTGGGCTTGAGAAACATATGTATTCACTTTGTTGGATAAAGTAGTCTACAGATGCAAATTATATCCAGTGAATTAATGGTGCTGTTGAGTTCAACCATATCTCTCCTGCCTTTTCTGCCTGTTAGATCTAATAAATGGGCATTGAAGTCTCCAACTATAATATCTGATTCATTGATTTCTCCTTGAAGTGCTATTACTATTTGCCTCATGTATTTTGATGCTCTGTTATTATTCACATACACATTAAGGGTTTTTTTTCTTCCCGAAGAATTGACCACTGATAATTTTTCTTGCTCTGAAGTTTGCTCTATCTGAAATTAACACAGCTCCTCCAACTTTCTTTTGACTAGTTTTATAGTGGTATATCTTTCTCCATGCCTTTACTTTTAATCTATATGTGTCTTGATATTTAAAGGGTGTTTATTGTAGACAACATATAGTTGGGTCAGATTTTGTTCCACTCTGACAATATCTGTCTTTTAAGTGGAATATTAATACCATTCACATTTAAAGTGATAATTGATGTAGTTTGATTAATATCTACCATATTTATGTATGCTTTCTATTCATCACCCTTATAATTCATTTTTATTTTTGTCTTTCACCATTTTTCTACCTTTTGTGGTTTTAATTGAACATTTTATATGATTATATTTTGTTTCCTTTTCTTGATATATCAATTATACTTCCTTTTTAAAACATTTTTTCTTTTACAAATATTTTCTTTCATCCTGTGGGTTGTCTCTGCACTTTTCTGATTCATATGCTGTATAAAAGCTTTTGGCTTGATATGATACTACTATCAATTTTTGCTTCAGTTGCTTGTGCTTTTGAGGTTTCACTCAAGAAATCTTTGTGAACTACCCATCTGACAAGGGATTAATAACTAGAATATATAAGGAGCTCAAACAAATCCACAGGAAAAAATCCAATTTTAAAAATAGGCAAAATATCTGAATAGACATTTCTCAAAAGACATACAAATAGCAAATAAGTACATACAAATGCTCAACATCACTATTGATCAAAGAAGTGCAAGTTAAAACCACAATGAGATATTATCTCACCCCAGTTAAAATGGCTTTTACCAAAAAGTCAGATAATAACAGATACAGCAAGAATATGGGGAAAGGGGAACCCTCATAGACTGTTAGCAAAAATGTAAATCAGTGCAGCCACTATGGAAAACAGTTTTAAAGTTCCTCAAAAAACTTACAATACCTCTATCATGTAATACAATAATCCCATGCTGGATATATATCCAAAAGAAAGGACAACAATATTGTCATGCCTCTGAGCCTAAGCTAAGCCATCATATCCCCTGTGACCTGCACGTACACATCCAGATAGCCCATTCCTGCCTTAAGTGATGACATTCCACCACAAAATAAGTGAAAATGGCCTGTTCCTGCCTTAACTAATGACATTGTCTTGTGAAATTCCTTCTCCTGACTCATCCTGGCTTGAAGGCTCCCCCACTGAGTACATTGTGACCCCCACTCCTGCCCGCCAGACAACAACCCCGTTTGACTGTAATTTTCGTTTACCTACCCAAATCTTATAAAACAGCCCCACCCCTATCTCCCTTCACTGACTCTCTTTTCAGACTCAGCCCACCTGCACCCAGGTGAAATAAACAGCTTTATTGCTCACACAAAGCCTGTTTGGTGGTCTCTTCACACGGACGCGCATGAAATTTGGTACCGTGACTTGGATCGGGGGACCTCCCTTGGGAGATCAATACCCAGTCCTCCTGCTCTTTGCTCTGTGAGAAAGATCCCCCTACGACCTCAGGTCCTCAGACCAACCAGCCCAAGAAACATCTCGCCAATTTCAAATCCGGTAAGTGGCCTCTTTTTACTCTGTTCTCCAACCTCCCTCACTATGCCTCAGCCTCTTTCTCCTTTCAATCTTGGCACCACACTTCAATCTCTCCCTTCTTTTAATTTCAATTCCCTTTATTTTCTGGTAGAGACAAAGGAGACATGTTTTATCTGTGGACCCAAAACTCCGGCCCCGGTCATGGACTGCAAAGGCAGCCTTCCCTTGGTGTTTAATCATTGCAGGGACCCCTCTGATTATTCACCCAGGTTTCAGAGGTGTCAGACCACGCAGGGATGCCTGCCTTCGTCATTCAGCCTTAGCGGCAAGTCCTGCTTTTCTGGGGTAGGGTCAAGTACCCCAACACCTTCTCTCCATGTCTCTACCCCTTCTCTGCCTTTCTGAGGGGCAAGAAACCACAAACCCCTTCTCCTTCACCCTGAGCGGCAAGTCCCGCTTTTCTGGGGGAGGGACAAGTACCCCAACCTCCTATCTCTGTGCCCTGATCCCTTATTTCCACTCCCCGACATCTTATATCTCTGAGCCCCGATCTCCTATTTCCACAGCCCAACCTCTTATATCTCTGCGCCCCGATCCCGTTTCTGCGCCCCGACCTCTTATATCTCTGCACCCTGATCCCTTATTTCTGCACCCCAACCTCTTATATCTCTGCACCCCGATCCCTTATTTCCGTGCCCCATCTTATATCTCTGCACCCCATCCCTTATTTCTGCTCCCCAACCTCTTATATCTCTGCACCCTGATCCCTTATTTCCACACCTCAACCTCGTATCTCTGCGCCCCGACCCCTTCTCTGCTTTTCTGGAGGGCAAGAACCCCCCACCCCTTCTCCATGTCTCTACTCTCTTTTCTCTGGGCTTGCCTCCTTCACTATGAGCAAGCTTCCACCTTCCATTCCTCCTTCTTCTCCCTAGCCTGTGTTCTAAGAACTTAAAAACCTCTTCAACTCTCACCTGATCTAAAATCTAAGCATCTTATTTTCTTCTGCAATGCCACTTGACTCCAATACAAACTGGACAGTAGTTCCAAATAGCTGGAAAACGGCACTTTCAATTTTTCCATCCTGCAAGATCTAAATAATTCTTGTCATAAAATAGGCAAATGGTCTGAGGTGCCTGACATCCAGGCATTCTTTTACACATCGGTCCCTCTCTAGTCTCTCTTCCCAAGGCAACTCATCCCAAATCCTCCTTCTTTCCCTCCCGCCTGTCCCCTCAGTCCCAACCCCAAGTGTCACTGAGTCTTTCTAATCTTCCTTTTCTACAGATCCATCTGACGTCTCCCCTCCTCCCCAGGCTGCTTCTTGCCAGGCCAAGCTAGGTCCCAATTCTTCCTCAGCCTCGGCTCCTCCACCCTATAATCCTTTTATCACCTCCCCTCCTCACACCTGGTCTGGTTTACAGTTTCATTCCATGACTAACCCTCCCCCACTTGCCCAGCAATTTACCCTTAAAAAGCTGGCTGGAGCTAAAGGCATAATCAAGGTTAATGTTCCTTTTTCTTTATCCCAAATCAGATAGCGTTTAGGCTCTTTTTCATCAAATATAAAAATCCAGCCCAGTTCATGACTCGTTTGACAGCAACCCTGAGACGCTTTACAGCCCTAGACCCTAAAAGGTCAAAAGGCCGTCTTATTCACAAAATACAATTTATTACCCAATCTGCTCCCGACATTAAATAAAACAAAAATTAAATTCCGGCCCTCAAACCCCAGAACAGGATTTAATTAACCTTGCCTTCAAGGTGTACAATAATAGAAAAAAGTTGCAATTCCTTGCCTCCACTGTGAGACAAACCCCAGCCACATCTCCAGCACACAAGAACTTCCAAACGCCTGAACCGCAGCAGCCAGGCATTCCTCCAGAACCTCCCCCCCCAGGAGCTTGCTACAAGTGCCAGAAATCTGGCCACCAGGCCAAGGAATGCCTGCAGCCTGGGATTCCTCCTAAGCCATGTCCCATCTGTGCAGGACCCCACTGGAAATCGCACTGTCCAACTCACCTGGCAGCCAGTCCCAGAGCCCCTGGAACTCTGGCCCAAGGCTCTCTGACTCCTTCCCAGATCTTCTTGGCTTAGTGGCTGAAGACTGACGCTGCCCAATAGCCTCAGAAGCCCCCTAGACCATCACGGATGCCGAGCTTCAGATAACTCTCACAGTAGAAGGTAAGCCAGTCCCCTTCTTAATCAATACGGAGGCTACTCACTCCACATTACCTTCTTTTCAAGGGCCTATTTCCCTTGCCTCCATAACTGTTTTAGATATTGACAGCCAGGCTTCTAAACCTCTTAAAACTCCCCAACTCTGGTGCCAACTTAGACAATACTCTTTTAAGCACTCCTTTTAGTTATCCCCACCTGCCCAGTTCCCTTATTAGGCTGCCTTATTAGGCAGATAATTTAACTAAATTATCTGCTTCCCTGACCATTCCTGGATTACAGCTACATCTCATTGCCGCCCTTCTTTCCAATCCAAAGCCTCCTTTGTGTCCTCCTCTTGTATCCCCCCACCTTAAACCACAAGGATAAGATACCTCTACTCCCTCCTTGGCGACCGATCATGCACCCCTTACCATCTCATTAAAACCTAATCACCCTTACCCCGCTCAATGCCAAGATCCCATCCCACAGCACGCTTTAAAAGGATTAAAGCCTGTTATCACTCGCCTGCTACAGCATGGTCTTTTAAAGCCTATAAACTCTCCTTACAATTCCCCCATTTTACCTGTCCAAAAACTGGACAAGTCTTACAGATTAGTTCAGGATCTGTGCCTTATCAACTAAATTGTTTTGCCTATACACCCCGTGGTGCCGAACCCATATACTCTCCTATCCTCAATACCTCCCTCCACAACCCATTATTCTGTTCTAGATCTCAAACATGCTTTCTTTACTATTCCTTTGCAACCTTCATCCCAGCCTCTCTTCGCTTTCACTTAGACTGACCCGGACACCCATTAGGCTCAGCAAATTACCTAGGCTGTACTGCCGCAAGGCTTCACAGATAGCCCTCATTACTTCAGTCAAGCCCAAATTTCATCCTCATCTGTTACCTATCTTGGCATAATTCTCATAAAACACACGTGCTCTCCCTGCTTATCGTGTCCGATTAATCTCCCAAACCTCAATCCCTTACAAAACAACAACTCCTTTCCTTCCTAGGGATGGTTAGTGTGGTCAGAATTCTTACACAAGAGCCAGGATGGCACCCTGTAGCCTTTCTGTCCTAACAACTTGACCTTACTCTTTTAGCCTAGCCCTCAGGTCTGCATGCAATGGCTGTGGCTGCTTTAATACTTTTAGAGGCCCTAAAAATCACAAACTATGCTCATCTCACTCTCTACATTTCTCATAACTTCCAAAATCTATTTTCTTCCTCACACCTGACGCATATACTTTCTGCTCCCCAGCTCCTTCAGCTGTACTCACTCTTTGTTAAGTCCCACAATTACCATTGTTTCTGGCCCGGGCTTCAATCTGGCCTTGCACATTATTCCTGATACCACACCTGACCCTCATGACTGTATCTCTCTGATCCACCTGATATTCACCTCATTTCCCCACATTTCCTACTTCCCTGTTTCTCACCCTGATCACACTTAGTTTATTGATGGCAGTTCCACCAGTCCTAATCACCACACACCAGCAAAGGCAGGCTATGCTATAGTACAAGCCACTAGCCCGCCTCTTAGAACCTCTCATTTCCTTTCCATCATGGAAATCTATCCTCAAGGAAATAACTTCTCAGTGTTCCACCTGCTATTCTACTACTCCTCAGGGATTATTCAGGCCCCCTCCCTTCCCTACACATCAAGCTCAAGGATTTGCCCCCACCCAGGACTGGCAAATTAGCTTTACTCAACATGCCCCAAGTCAGATAACTGAAATACCTCTTAGTCTAGGTAGACACTTTCACTGGATAGGTAGAGGCCTTTCCTACAGGGTCTGAGAAGGCCACCGCAGTCATTTCTTCCCTTCTGTCAGACATAATTCCTCAGTTTAGCCTTCCCACCTCTATACAGTCTGATAACAGACCAGCCTTTTATAGTCAAATCAGCCAAGCATTTTTTCAGGCTCTTAGTATTCAGTGAAACCTTTATATCCCTTACGGTCCTCCTTCTTCAAGAAAAGTAGAACAGACTAAAAGTCTTTTAAAAACACACCTCACCAAGCTCAGCCACCAATTTAAAAAGG
Organism: Homo sapiens; assembly: GCF_000001405.40. NCBI lineage: Eukaryota > Metazoa > Chordata > Mammalia > Primates > Hominidae > Homo > Homo sapiens. The sequence goes on along the minus strand of NC_000014.9, from coordinate 48,263,532 downwards.
ACTGGACAATACTTTTACCACTTTCCTTTCTCAGAATTCAGGCATGTCTTCAGAATGCTACAAGGTACAGCCCATTTAAGCTCCTGTATAGATGATCCTTTTTATTAGGCCCCAGTCTCATTCCAGACACCAGACCAACTTAGACTGTGCCCCAAAACAACTTGTCATCCCTACTATCTTCTGTCTAGTCATACTCCTATTCACTGTTCTCAACTACTCATACATGCCCTGCTCTTGTTTACACTGCCGGTTTACACTGTTTCTCCAAGCCATCACAGCTGTTATCTCCTAGTGCTATCCCCAAACTGCCACTCTTAACTCTTGAAGTAAATAAATAATCTTTGCTGACAGGACTATGCTGAACCTCCTTAGGCACTCTCTAATCAGATATCCTGAGTCGTCCGAATTCTTAGACCTTTAATACCTGTTTTTCTCCTTCTCTTATTTCATTTAGTTTTTCAATTCATACAAAACTGTATCCAGGCCATCACCAATAATCTAAATGACAAATGTTCCTTCTAACAACACCACAATATCACCCCTTACCACAAAATCTTCCTTCGGTTTAAACTCTCCCACTCTGCGTTCCCATGCCGCCCCTAATCCCGGTCAAAGCAGCCCTGAGAAACATTGCCCATTATCTCTCCATACCATCCTCCAAAATTCTCACTGTCCCAACACTTTACCACTATTTCATTTTATTTTTCTTATTAATATAAGAAGACAGGAATGTCAGGCCTCTGAGCCCAAGCTAAGCCATCATATCCCCTGTGACCTGCACGTACACATCCAGATGGCCCGTTCCTGCCTTAACTGATGACATTCCACCACAAAAGAAGTGAAAATGGCCTGTTCCTGCCTTAACTGATGACATTGTCTTGTGAAACTCCTTCTCCTGGTTCATCCTGGCTCAAAAGCTCCCCCACTGAGTACCTTGTGACCCCCACTCCTGCCCACCAGAGAACAATCCTCTTTGACTGTAATTTTCCTTTACGTACCCAAATCTTATAAAACGGCCCCACCCCTATCTCCCTTCGCTCTCTTTTCAGATTCAGCCCATCTGCACCCAGGTGAAATAAACAGCTTTATTGATCACACAAAGCCTGTTTGGTAGTCTCTTCACACGGACGTGCATGAAAAATATATCAAAAGAGTATTCGCATTCCTGTGTTTATTGCAGCATTATTCAAAATAGCAAGACGTGGAACAACCTGAGTGTTCATTGACAGATGAATGCATCAAGAAAATATGGTACATATACACCATGGAATATTATTCAGCAATAAAAAATAATCAAATTCTGTCATTTGCAACAACATGGTTGGAATTACAGGTCATTATGTTAAGTGAAATTATCCAGGAACAGAAAGACACATCTTCTCACTGATATGTGAGAAAAAAATTAAATTGAACTCATAGAGAGTAGAATGATTGTTACCAAAACTGGGAAGGGTAGTGGGGAGAGGTAAATAAAGTGGGAATTGTTAATGAGTGCAAAAATACAATTAGGTGGAAGAAATAACATGTAGCATTTTGTAGCACAATAGGGTTAATATAGCTAAATATTTAGTTTATATTTCAAAATAACTAAAAGAAAGTAATTGGAATTTTCCTAATACAAAAGAGATGATAAATTGTAAGGTAATAGATATCCCAATTACCCTGATTTGATCATTGCACATTGTATACTTGTAACGAAATAACACATGTACCCCATAAATATGTACAACTATTATGTATATTAAAAAACATCTTTTTATTGTAGTGGTTGCCCTAAATCTTGCAATATACTTTTATGAATAAGTCAATTTCCAAAACTATATGGCTTCACGGGTAGTGCTAGTACTTTATAATAACAAAGTATTCTGAATTTCTCCCTCCACTCCATTGTAGCATTGCTCTCATTCACTTCACTTATGCATATGCTATGATAATTGAATACATTGTTTCTATTGTTACTTTTTAAAAACTGTTATCTCTTAGATTGAACCAGAATATAAAGAATAAAAGTTTTATTTTCCTTTACTTATTCTTTCTTTAGCACTTTTCCTTTATGTAGATCTAAGTTTCTGACCTAGATCCTTTTTCCTTGCCTTTAAAGAGTATTTTCCTACATTTCTAGCAAGGAAAATCTACTGGCAATAAATTTTCTCAATTGTTGCTTATTTTAGAAGGCCAATTTATCCTTCACTCTAGAATAACTTACAGACTACAGAATTGTATGTTGTTCCTCTCCGCAACCTTCTCCACTTAAAATATTTCACTCTGCTCTATTCTTACTTGCATGATTTCGAGTAAAAGTCGGATATAATTTTTATCCCTGCTTTTCTATAGGTAAGGTGTTTATTCCTGTTTGTTTTCTTTATCTTTCGGTTGCTATAGTTTTTACATAATATGCCTAGGTGTAGATTTTTGGCATTTTTTTCCTGCTTGGTATTCTCTGAGTTTCTGATACTATCTGTGGTTTGGTAAATGACATTAATTTGGGGAATTTTTTCAATTATTATTCTTCAAATGTTTCTTCTCTGCATGAGCCAAAATAGCTCAAATGTTTCTTCTGTCCTCTTTCCTCTATGTTCTCCTTCTGGTATCTGTCAGGCCTCTGGGCCCAAGCTAAGCCATCATATCCCCTGTGACCTGCACGTACACATCCAGATGGCTGGTTCCTGCCTTAACTGATGGCATTCCACCACAAAAGAAATGAAAATGGCCTGTTCCTGCCTTAACTGATGGCATTATCTTGTGAAATTCCTTCTCCTGGCTCATCTTGGCTCAAAAGCTCCCCTACTGAGCACCTTGTGACCCCTACTCCTGTCTGCCAGAGAACAACCCCCCTTTTTCCTTTATGTACCCAAATCTTATAAAACAGCCCCACCCCTATCTCCCTTCGCTGACTCTCTTCGGACTCGGCCCGCCTGCACCCAGGTGAAATAAACAGCCTTATTGCTCACACAAAGCCTGTTTGGTGGTCTCTTCACATGGATGTGAGTGAAATTTGGTGCCGTGACTCAGATCAGCGGACCTCCCTTGGGAAATCAATACCCTGTCCTCCTGCTCTTTGCTCTGTGAGAAAGATCCACCTACAACCTCTGGTCCTCAGACCAACCAGCCCAAGGAACATCTCACCAATTTTAAATCCGGTAAGCGGCCACTTTTTACTGTCTTCTCCAACCTCTCTCACTATCCCTCAACCTCTTTCTCCTTTCAATCTTGGCGCCACACTTCAATCTCTCCCTTCTCTCAATTTCAATTCCTTTCATTTTCTGGTAGAGACAAAGAAGACACGTTTTATCCGTGGACCCAATACACCGGCGCTGGCCACAGACTGGGAAGGCAGCCTTCCCTTGGTGTTTAATCATTGCAGGGGCATCTCTCTGATTATTCACCCAGGTTTCAGAGGTGCCAGACCAGGAAGGGATGCCTGCCTTGGTCCTTCACCCTTAGCGGCAAGTCCCGCATTTCTAGGGGAGGGGCAGGAAACCTGACCTCTTATCTCTGTGCCCCAATCCCATATTTCCATGCCCCGACCTCTTATCTCTGCTCCCTGATCCCTTATTTCTGTGCCCCGACCCCTTCTCTGCTTTTCTGGAGGGCAAGAACCCCCCACCCCTTCTCCATGTCTCTACTCTCTTTTCTCTGGGCTTGCCTCCTTCACTATGGGCAAGCTTCCACCTTCCATTCCTCCTTCTTCTCCCTTAGCCTGTGTTCTTAAGAACTTAAAACCTCTTCAACTCTCACCTGGCCTAAAACCTAAGCGTCTTATTTTCTTCTGCAATGCTACTTGACCCCAATACAAACTCGACAGTAGTTCCAAATAGCCGGAAAATGGCAATTTCAATTTTTCCATCCTACAAGATCTAAATAATTCTTGTCTTAAAATAGGCAAACGGTCTGAGGTGCCTGATGTCCAGGCATTCTTTCACACATCGATCCTTCTCTAGTCTCTGTTCCCAATGCAACTCATCCCAAATCTTCCTTCTTTCCCTCCCACTGGTCCCCTCAGTCCCAACCCCAAGCATCGCTGAGTCTTTCTAAATCTTCCTTTTCTACAGACCCATCTGACCTCTCCCCTCCTCGCCAGGCCGAGCTAGGTCCTAATTCTTCCTCAGCCTCGGCTCCTCCACCCTATAAATCCTTTTATCACCTCCCCTCCTCAAACCTGGTCTGGCTTACAGTTTCATTCCATGACTAGCCCCTCCCCCACCTGCCCAGCAATTTACTCTTAAAAAGCTGGCTGGAGCTAAAGGCATAATCAGGGTTAATGCTCCTTTTTCTTTATCCCAAATCAGATAGCATTTAGGCTCTTATTCATAAAATATAAAAACTCAGCCCAGTTCATGGCTCGTTTGGCAGCAACCCTGAGATGCATTACAGCCCTAGACCCTAAAAGGTCAAAAGGCCGTCTTATTCTCAAAATACATTTTATTACCCAATCTGCTCCCGACATTAAATAAAACTCCAAAAATTAAATTCCAGCCCTCAAACCCCACAACAAGACTTAATTAACCTCTCCTTCAAGGTGTACAATAATAAAGGCAGCCAAGTAGCAACATATTTCTGAGTGGAGGCAATTCCTTGCCTCCACTGTGAGACAAACCCCAGCCACATCTCCAGCACACAAGAACTTTCAAACGCCTAAACCGCAGTGGCCAGGCATTCCTCCAGAAACGCCTCCCCCAGGAGCTTGCTACAAGTGCCAGAAATCTGGCCACCAGGCCAAGGAATGCCTGCAGCCTGGGATTCCTCCTAAGCCGTGTCCCATCTGTGCGGGACCCCACTGGAAATCGGACGTTCAACTCACCTGGCAGCCACTCCCAGAGCCCGTGGAACTCTGGCCCAAGGCTCTCTGACTGACTCCTTCCAAGATCTTCTCAGCTTAGCGGCTGAAGACTGACGCTGCCCAATCGCCTCGGAAGCCCCGGAGACCATCACGGACGCCAAGCTTTAGGTAACTCTCACAGTGGAGGGTAAGTCCATCCCCTTCTTAATCAATACAGAGGCTACCCACTCCCCATTACCTTCTTTTCAAGGGCCTGTTTCCCTTGCCTCCATAACTGTTGTGGGTATTGACGGCCAGGCTTCTAAACCTCTTAAAACTCCCCAACTCTGGTGCCAACTTAGACAATACTCTTTTAAGCACTCCTTTTTAGTTATCCCCACCTGCCCAGTTCCCTTATTAGGCTGAGACACTTTTACTAAATTATCTGCTTCCCTGACTATTCCTGGACTACAGCTACATCTCGTTGCCACCCTTCTTCCCAATCCAAAGCCTCCTTTGCGTCCTCCTCTTGCATCCCTCCACCTTAAACCACAAGTATAAGATACCTCTACTCCCTCCTTGGTGACCGATCATGCACCCCTTACCATCTCATTAAAACCTAATCACCCTTACACGGCTCAGTGCCAAGATCCCATCCCACACCATGCTTTGAAAGGATTAAAGCCTGTTATCACTTGCCTGCTACAGCATGGCCTTTTAAAGCCTATAAACTCTCCTTACAATTCCCCCATTTTACCTGTCCTAAAACCAGACAAGCCTTATAAGTTAGTTCAGGATCTATGCCTTATCAACCAAATTGTTTTTCCTATCCACCCCGTGGTGCCAAACCCATATACTCTCCTATCCTCAATACCTCCCTCCACAATCCATTCTCTTCTGGATCTCAAACATGCTTTCTTTACTATTCCTTTGCACCCTTCATCCCAGCCTCTCTTTGCTTTCACCTGGACTGACCCTGACACCCATCAAACTCAGCAAATTACCTGGGCTGTACTGCCGCAAAGCTTCACAGACAGCCCCCATTATTTCAGTCAAGCCCAAATTTCTTCCTTATCCGTTACCTATCTCGGCATAATTCTCATAAAAACACATGTGCTCTCCCTGCTGATTGTGTCTGGCTAATCTCCCAAACCCCAATCCCTTCTACAAAACAACAACTCCTTTCCTTCCTGGGCATGGTTGGATACTTTTGCCTTTGGATACCTGGTTTTGCCATCCTAACAAAACCATTATATAAACTCACAAAAGGAAACCTAGCTGACCCCATAGATCCTAAATCTTTTCCCCACTCCTCTTTCCATTCCTTGAAGACAGCTTTAGAGACTGCCCCCACCCTAGCTCTCCCTGACTCATTGCAACCCTTTTCATTACACACAGCCAAAGTGCAGGGCTGTGCAGTTGGAATTGTTACACAAGGACCGGGATCGCATCCTGTAGCCTTTTTGTCCAAACAACTTGACCTTACTGTTTTAGGCTGGCCATCATGTCTCCGTGCAGTGGCTGCTGCCACCCTAATACTTTTAGAGGCCCTTAAAATCAGAAACTATGCTCAACTCACTGTCTACAGCTCTCATAATTTCCAAAATCTATTTTCTTCCTCACACCTGATGCATATACTTTCTGCTCCCCCAGCTTCTTCAGCTGTACTCACTCTGTGTTGAGTCTCCCACAATTACCATTGTTCCTGGCCCGGGCTTCAATCAGGTCTCGCACATTATTCCTGATACCACACCTGACCCTCATGACTGTATCTCTCTGATCCACCTGATGTTCATCCCATTTCCCCACATTTCCTTCTTCCCTGTTTCTCACCCTGATCACACTTGGTTTATTGATGGCAGTTCCACCAGGCCTAATCACCACACACCAGCAAAGGCAGGCTATGCTATAGTACAAGCCATTAGCCCACCTCTTAGAACTTCTCATTTCCTTTCCATCATGGAACTCTATCCTCAAGGAAATAACTTCTCAGTGTTCCATCTGCTATGCTACTACTCCTCAGGGATTATTCAGGCCCCCCTCCCTTCCCTACACATCAAGCTCAGGGATTTGCCCCCACCGAGGACTGGCAAATTAGCTTTACTCAACATGCCCCGAGTCAGGAAACTAAAATACCTCTTAGTCTAGGTAGACACTTTCACTGGATAGGTAGAGGCCTTTCCAACAGGATCTAAGAAGGCCACCATGGTCATTTCTTCCCTTCTGTCAGACACAATTACTCGGTTTGACCTTCCCACCTCTACACAGTTTGATAGTAGACTGGGCTTTATTAGTCAAATCAGCCAAGCAGTTTTTCAGGCTCTTGGTATTCAGTGAAATCTTTATATCCCTTACAGTCCTCAGTCTTCAGGAAAGGTAGAGTGGACTAATGGTCTTTTAAAAACATACCTCACCAAGCTCAGCCACCAACTTAAAAAGGACTGGACAATATTTTTACCTCTTTCTTGTCTCAGAATTCAGGCCTGTCCTCGGAATGCTACAGGGTACAGCCCATTTGAGCTCCTGTATGGACGCTCCTTTTTATTAATCCCCAGTCTCATTCCAGACACCAGACCAACTTAGACTGTGCCCCAGAAAACTTGTCATCCCTTCTATCTTCTGTCTAGTCATACTTCTATTCACCGTTCTCAACTACTCATACATGCCCTGCTCTTGTTTACACTGCCGGTTTACACTGTTTCTCCAAGCCATCACAGCGGATATCTCCTGGTGCTATCCCCAAACTGCCACTCTTAATTCTTGAAGTAAATAAATAATCTTTGCTGGCAGAACTATGCTGAATCTCCTTAGGCACTCTAATTAGATGTCCTGGGTCGTCTCAATTCTTAGACTTTTAATACCTGTTTTTCTCCTTCTCTTATTCCATTTAGTTTTTCAATTCATATGAAACCGTATCCAGGCCATCACCAATAATTCTAAATGACAAATGTTCCTTCTAACAACATCACAATATCACCCCTTACCACAAAATCTTCCTTCAGCTTAATCTCTCCCACTCTAGGTTCCCATGCCGCCCCTAATCCGGGTCAAAGCAGCCCTGAGAAACATCGCCCATTATCTCTTCATACCATCCCCCAAAATTTTCGCCGTCCCAACACTTTACCACTATTTCCTTTTATTTTTCTTATTAATATAAGAAGACAGGAATGTCAGGCCTCTGAGCCCAAGCTAAGCCATCATATCCCCTGTGACCTGCACGTACACATCCAGATGGCCCGTTCCTGCCTTAACTGATGACATTCCACCGCAAAAGAAGTGAAAATGGCCTGTTCCTGCCTTAACTGATGACATTGTCTTGTGAAACTCCTTCTCCTGGTTCATCCTGGCTCAAAAGCTCCCCCACTGAGTACCTTGTGACCCCCACTCCTGCCCACCAGAGAACAACCCCCTTTGACTGTAATTTTCCTTTACGTACCCAAATCTTATAAAACGGCCCCACCCCTATCTCCCTTTGCTCTCTTTTCAGACTCAGCCCACCTGCACCCAGGTGAAATAAACAGCCTTGTTGCTCACACAAAGCCTATTTGGTGGTCTCTTCACACGGATGCACATGAAAGTATCCATCATAAATTACACCTTTTGTAGTTTTACACTATTCTTGGATATTCTTTTACTTCTTTTTTATTTTTCACTTTTATTCCTCTTGATTTTTCAGTTTTGAATATTTCTATTAACATATAATTAAACTCACTGAATTTCTTTAGCTGTGTCTAGACTACTAATAAACTCATACATATATTTTTCATTTTTTAGTTTTTTAATTTATATCATTAAAAATTATTTATTAGAATTTATATGTATCGTCTTACATTGGACATCTGTTCTTTATTGCTGTCTACTTTTTCCATTAGAGCTCTTAGCGTATTTATCATGGTCGTTTTAAATTCTCAGTTTGAGAATTGCATCATTCCTTCCATATTTGAGTCTGGTTCTGATGCTTGCTCTGGCTCTTCAAACAGTGTTTTTTTTTGTCTGGTAGTGTGTCTTGTAATTCTTTGTTGAAAGCCAGATATGATATACTGGGTAAAAGGTACTGAAGACGAATAGAACTTAGTCATATGATGGTAAGGCATAGGGTGAAAGTAGCAATCTGTTGTCTTATGATTAAGTGTCATTCTTTTTGTGAGTCTGTGTCTTTTGGCTGTGACCTGCACAAGTTCTCCTCAGTTTCCCACCATTTGGTGCACAGGATGGCTAGGAGAGGCTGAAGTTGGTTATTTTTCTTTACCCAAAGTTGGTTAGGTTCTGATAAAAGCCCAGTAGTTTACTCTAGTAAAATAGCGTCTCTTGAGGATTGACCTTGTTAACAAGAATTGAATGCTCTGGTATATTTCAAAATAGCTGCCTTTTTTCTCCCTCCTGCTGGAATTCAAGGTTTGTTTGTTTGTTTTTCTATCTTCACTGTGAGAATCTTATTGGGCTCCTGAAAGTAAAACTCATACAGTGTGGGGGGCCTTACCTATGACTGGATACCCTAGAGTTTCTAACTCTCAGACTTACTCACACTGAGTTTCCAGCAATTTGTCAATCACAGTATAGGTTTTCCTACCTGGTTACCAGTTCCCATGGGTACTTCTGCTCATGCGTGGTTGTTCTGGAAAGTTTTGATTTTCTAAATCCACCTGTATGTATTTACAACTTTGGGAGCAGCAGTTTGCCCTGTGACCACAATTCTCTGAGGGATCTATGAAGAGTTGTTTCTTTTCAACTTGTTACACCTTTTGCTTGTTGTTGGGATGGAATAGCAGTTTCTAAACTCCTACATAGCAGGCCAGGAAACAGAAGTTTAATTTCTTTTAATTTTAAACTAAATATCTCAGGTAAAAGCTTCAAAAATTAAATAAATTTGAAGCCCTTATGACAGAATTATTTTTTCTTTTTGGAATAATTTATTTTTGGTAAGAAATGTAAGATTAAAAATGTATTGAAAAAAACATGAGTTTTCACCTTTATTCTAACTCCCAATCATATAAAATGAATTAGAAATTGGAAATTAAAATTAATTATCGTGTTTTATAGCTCATTCTAAATAGCATATTTTAAATGTGCGTATAGTTTACTCTTTCTTTCTCTGTAATTAATAATCATGCAATCCAGACAAATCAGTCATTATTGTAAGTTGTTTGTATAAGTTAATTTAATTTCTTCCTTTACAAGTTGTTGCCTATAATATAACATGTGTTTCACTATCTGGCAGTTCATTTAATAACATAGGTCACTACACTTTTGTGGGCAATTGGTGAATATTTAGTTATATTTATTATTGTACTGGATTTTAAGCTTACAAATACTTTAAATTTCTCTATCAGTATTTAACCTGCATATTTAAAACCAAATTGTTTAAAAGTCACAAGGGGAAAGAATTCACATAGTACAAATTATAAATACAAGCAGATAAACAGATGAAGTCATTTTTCATCTTATAGTTACTGATATGGTTTGGCTGTGTCTCCACCCAAATCTCATCTTGAATTGTAGTTCCCATAATCCCCACATGTCGTGGAAGGGACCTGGTGGAAGGCAGTTGATTATGGGGGTGGTTTCCCCATGCTGTTCTCATGATAGTGAGTGAGTTCTCATGAGATTTGACAGTTTATAACGGACATTTCCCCGCTTTGCTTGACACTTCTCCATTGTGCTGCCATATGAAGAAGGACGTGTTTGCTTCCCCTTCCACCATGATTTTTAGTTTACTGAGACCTTCCCAACCCTGCAGAACTGTGAGTCAATTAAATCTCTTTTCTTTATGAATAACCCAGTCTCGGACAGTTCTTTATAGCAGTGTAAGAATGAACTAATACAGTAAATTGGTTCTCAGAGAGTGGGGTGCTGCTATAAGGATACCCAAAAATTTGGAAGTGACTTTGATACTGGGTAACAGGTGAGGTTGGAACAGTTTGGAGGGTTCAGAGGAAGAAAGGAAAACAGGAAAGTTTGGAACTTCCTAGAGACTTGAATGGCTATCCCTAAAATGCTGAAGAAAGGGAGTAATTCAGACATATAGGAGAGACAGAGAGAGAGAGACCAGAAATGAAGAAGGATATTATATCTGGAGCTTAAATAGCAACCTTATACATGATTACTAAAATAACCTGTTGACTAACCCAAGCCTTGCCAATTAATTACTTAAACAAGATAGTCAACTACCTTGATGGATTCTTAGTAGCACCTCTGAAAGGGGAGGTTAAGAGCAAAATATTTTTGAGATTGTTGGATTCTAATTTAAGGCAGAACTTTCCATGTGGGAGGATTAATTATCACTGGCAAAGTTTCTTGCATAATATACAGTATTGGGGTTAGTAGAAACAGAATTGAGGGTTTGAAATGAATATTAAAGAATAAATAGTTTAATGAACACAGTTGAGTAACCTATCATTCTGATAAAAGGACCTTTTACTCTGATGAGAGCAAGTTGAATAACCTATTTTTCAGCTGTGGAAGATTTTACAATGAACAATAAAGTTATCTGTCTTCCTGGGAAAAAAAAGCCTTTGATACTAGATTTATGTTTCTGAGCCAGCCTTTATTTTTCACCTTTTCAGGCTATGTGTCCTTAGTCTAGATTTCAATTTGCACTATGAGTTAAGATTTGGAAATGTAAGGACCAGTTTTATATAATCCACTCTATAGCATGTTAAGGAACATATGTCCAATGCACAACAACATCATTGCTGTCTTTTAATGAGAATAATAACTATGCTTACATTCTACAAATATTGTTCCAGCTTTTGGATACAAAATGGATCAGAAAGTAAAAAGGAAAAAAATACGATGTTTTCTGTTTAGTCTAGTTCTTCACTAGGTTGAACATAACATTACTTTCTCAAACTATAAGATTGTTATATTTCTAAAAAATGTTTTGTATTTATAAAATGCCTAAATTTCAATATAAACTAAGAGTAACAGGATTTTCTAAAAACCACCCTTAAAATATAAAGAGATATAAAACACAAATAACAGGGATCATGAGCCTTTAAGAAGCATTCTTAGAGCGTTGCTTCTTGAAACCAGCATAAAATTACAATGCTCCTGTATTTTACGATTGAATGTGGAATCTTTTACTCTGAAATAAAAGAAGTGACCAAAACTGTGTTGTTATAACTGTTGACTGCCTTGTAATAACTAGAGGTATGAGAACCATTGGCTTCATTAGCTCTCTCTTCTCAGGAGATTCCCTTTTATTTTTTTAAGTATGGTTCCCCTGTGTGAAATTAATGACTTGTCAATCTCATCATTCAGAACTTGGTTAAGAGAAATTTTGTTTGTTTAACAATGGAAAGAGGAAGTGGGTGACAAATAGAGAAGTTATTGTAATTGCGCGCGCACACACACACACACACATAAATATATGAAGGTTTGGATTAGCATGGAGAACGTGATAATGGAAAGACACAAATGTTGCATGCCAGATACTAAAGTGTGCATAGCGAGTTTTTAATTCTACCATTATCTCCTTTGCTCATTTTTGCAGGCTAATGGATAAAAATAACATCATAAATCATCCTGAAATCATGCAGAAATAATTATCCTTTTTATTCTATTTTATTTTTACAATGAGTAGATTCATAAAAGTTTTCAGACCTGTGAAAGTTTTCATCCACATCACCACAGCCAGGCCTTGTGGAGTTCTAAAGCCCACCTTTGACACTTTTACTCTCTCTCACCTTCAGCTATGAAGAGATAGACTGTACTGTCACAGAATGTAGGGAACTTCCCATCACTGTGGTTGTCACACTTTGGCAGACTGATCACTTGATAAGGATATTGCTCAATGAAACATTGACGTTTTTATGCCTGAGATATTATGAGAATTTATGGTAGAATAAAAACATTTTTAAAAACCACTCTCCTCAGGATAACATTTTTTACTGTCTTATTTGCTATTACAGTTTAGAACAGATGGGATAAAGTGACCTAGAAGCCATGATAACTTTCTGAGATCCAAGATTGATACCGATCGTGACTATGTCAGTGGCCAGGAGTCGTAGCAATAACTCCAAAGAGTGGTAAAGACAGAGGAGGTTGAGCTAATGCCAGAGGCTGATTGCCAGTCCAAATGTCCTTGTGTGTCACCATCTGGCACAAGTGTTAAAGGTTGCCAACCCCTTAAGTTAGAGCATTCATATGTATCAGCCGGTTTCCTGTCTTCTCTGATCACCAACAGATTAGTTCAAATACTACATTTTATTAAAATATGGTGCTGAGATACTCTGTTGTTATGAAAATAACACTTATAGTAACTTGTTTAATTGTCCTGAGAAAATGAGTGTAACACTCATTTAGACAGTAAATCAATGCCCTTGTAAAACATAAAGGAAGTATCATCTTTTGTCCTATAATGGCTTCCTGGCTTCCTGTAATCATGAACTTGCATCTAATCAATAAAAAATACAACTTTGTTAGAACAAATTTTGAAAAAAAATCCCCAGACTTTCAATAACATATATTTTATTCTAATCCATTACTTTAAGGTTAAATTAATGTAATAATATCCTTATAGGTTTAATTTATCATATTTTGCAGGGCAAGCCATTGTCAACATTACTAAAAAGAAGTTCTACCCTGTTTCTTTCTATTATTATTTGATAGAAAACTCAGTTTGAAATTTTGACAACTGGGCAGAAATAAATAAAAAGTCTTTTTTTCTCACAAAGCATAGTAAAGAAATATACTGGAATTATGACATTCAAGGGACTCATCTCCATAAAAGAAAAATTAGCTCAAAAGGGAGATTATGCTAAAGAAAGCATGAAAAATTAGGCTGTTTTTGTGATTTTAAAAAATATCCTTTAATTTTAGTTTCTTAAAAGAAAGTGATGTTGGAATTATGAAGTTAGTGAACAAATTGAGTGTATTGAACTAATAATGTTTTGCCATTGCCCAATCTCGATATGAATATGCATATTTTATTGTTAAAATGAAAATGACTCTCCTCATTTGCATATATCTGGCATTGAAATAATATCATTGTAGACACAGTCAAAATTTATGATGCAAGTTAAAAAGTGACAAGGACAAAAGATGAAATTGGTAAAAGAGGAAATGATTGATTTTTTATGGCAATTTTTCAAAAAGCTCAAGGACTAAATATAGAATAAGTCATTTCATTTTAAAAATAAAAGTCTTTGAGGATTAGTTGAAAACTTCTTTCCAGGGTATCTGGAAATACAGCTGACATTAGTTAAGGCATTTATAGTAGCTGAATTCTGAGTGTCTATAACACTATTATACCAACATGTAATAGAAAACTGAACGGAGCCTACCATTATGAAAAAACCTTTAGTTATCAACTTGGTAAGATAAAATAAATAATAACTAACATTTGTATGACAATTTTCAGGTTTCAAATATTTTCCCAAATATTTCAAGAAGATAACAAATCTAGAGAACAAATATATTATCTTCAAGTACAAAGGAGAAAAGTTTAAATATAAATAACTTGGAAATGTGTCAATTTATACAATATAAATTAAATAATCTATTAGAAAAATTATTTTCACCATAATTATTCTTCCCAAAATGTTTAAACAAGACAATTTCTACAAGTATTTATTTTTGCCTTGATTCATTATATATATCTTGCTGAGACATAAAGCTGGATAAATCTAAAATCACATTCCGCTACTTGATAGTGGTAGGAATTGGCATGATTTAGAACTTTTTGATAAGTCTTTCTTCTTCTTTTCTAGTTCTATAATATAACTATATTTTTTAAAATATTAAAACATGTCTCTCAAACAAGTGGGACTCTGTCACAATTTAATTTAACTAATTAAATAAGGAGAGTATGAGATATGCAATTTTATGGATAAATAAAAACTTAGAATATGACTGCTTTATTAAATACACAATTGGTAAAAGTCCAATTAAGCCATAAAAACTATAAACATTGGCATTATCTGTTTCAACTGACAGGAATTAATACTGAGTCATTACTGGAGAAAGTCTGTAATTTAGCAGGTAGCATTACTAAATATGAGACTTTAAATTAATAGTAAATAATTAATAATACTGTGTCATTTTTCTAGACAATTTTCTAGACTTCTAGATTTGCCTTTCAATATATAAAGCTGAAAAAGATCTTTTTGCATTATCTAAGTTTCAGATAATTTTTGGACTATTTCTCACTTTGTGATCGTAAGTAATCTCTGAAAATTATTATTAACCACAAAAAGATTTGACTTGATTATTTACGTAAGTGTCACAAGAGCACTAATTAACCATATAGGGTTTCTTGGGTTTGCTCTACAAATCTGGAGCCATTCCATATTGAACAAGTTCAAATGTCAGAGAAGTAATTTGTCTGGAAATTTTGATACTGGATGACAGACAGGACTTGGAAAAGCCTCTCTTAATTTACTCTTCTATCCTGAAGCTAGGAAACTAATCTTAAGAAATCTTCCCTGCCAGATTTCACCTGCACTACTCATAAATTGGGTAAATTCCTCTTTTCTTGAGTTCCTCCAAATGTGCAAATGTCCCTTACCTGCCAGGAAATAACCACTTTTACCATGTGTGAAAATAGGACCCTGCAAACCAGGTGTCGAGTCAGAGCAGTTTGTGCCAACATAGTGACATTTCCATCTGCCACATGACAAAGCATTTCAGAAAATCCTTGGTGAATACAGGCTGAAAGCACCAGCTCCACACATAAAGTCAACCTTTATTTTTTAATAGTGGACTTGTCATGCCTAATTAAATGAGAATCATTATCAAATGTGGCACTTCAGTTTGGACTTTGTTACTAAATCAATTTGTACCGTTATATACTGGTAAATAGGAAGAGATTTATTGAAAGATGCAAATAACTCTATTGCCCTAAAATGGAAGGAGGCTCAGAAAAAGATTTGTTTCTGAATTCAGGATAAGGATGAGGATGAAGGGGTGAAGGAGTCAATGACAAGCAGATACCATTAAAAATGTTCTATTTCAGCTTTAAAAAACATTGTCTAATAAATGCAGGGTTAGCAATAGCAACTTCTTTATGTATTCATAAAAATATAACATTAAAAACATTATTAACAATATTCAAAAAAGTAACCACAATTAAATTCCACTCATTGTTTAGTCCTGAGTTTAACAGAAAGTATAGCATAAGAGTACATTTTATTTTTATAAGGTTTGAACTTATTTTATCACAAAGTGTTTTACTTAGTACAAACTTCCTAAATGTCTTATATAAGTTCAGTAAAAAAAATAAGCTTTTATTACTCATTTACATAGTATTTAAGATTTGAAAAGGTATACATAGTGTTAAACAAAATTGAATAAAATTCTGAGACACATTTTTATGCAGGAATTATATTTGTAGTGTATTAGCACGAACATTAAGATTTTAGTAACTCAAAAAATTAAGTAAATATTAAATGAAGTTAATATATGAATAGTCTTTGGATATCTATTAAATTCCCAGTAATATTAAATACCAAAACATTTATTACTGTGCATAATTTAAATGTATATATCTCACTTCTTATTTTTCTATATTTTCAAACACTATACCCTTGAGTTCTGTTACGAGTTCCCTTTATGTCTACACTAGATACATTCTTGTTTTGCTGGATCGTGTTTCAGCAGCCTGCTTTTGTGGAGTACCTTCACTTCCGGACTAATAAAATTTCTGTTTATAATGATTCTGTCAACTGGTCCAGTTTGAAAGTTGCCTAAGCAATGCTATTTTAGAAGCCTGTATTCAACAGACTAATTCTTAATTATCAATAGTTCAAAGTACCTGCTACAGTCCTATCCACAATGCACTGTGATTGTCCTTTTATTGGTGAATACACAAGTTCTAGCCTGAAACTTGTAGCAGAGCCTCGGGCAGTCATTAGAGGGAAGTAAAAATCTGTTTGATAGTGATACTAAATGACTGTGGTCAATTTATTACAGTCACCAAATATCAGAAGGGAAAAGATTAAAATTTTTTATGGGATACTGTATATAGGTATTTCCTAGAATTTGATCATTGTTTCTCATGAGGGATAGGAAGTATGGAATCTTTCAGGTACTAATAAAGTGTACAATTCCTAATATATTTATATTAATATTTTAGCTCGACAAACTTTACCTAGGGTAGCGTAAGCATCCCTTCAGATTTCACAATTCCTAAGGAAGTCTCACAATTGTATTGGGCAAATTTTAAAATAGGGAGCAAACCAAACAAATTAATTATTTCTAGTGTTTCTTTTTTTCTTTTTTCTTTTTCTTTCTTTTTTTTTTTTTTTTTTTGAAACAGAGTGTCACTCTGTCACCCTGGCTGGAGGGCGGTGGCACGATCTCGGCTCACTGCAACCTCCGCCTCCCAGATAAAAGTGATTCTTCTGCTACAGCCACCTGAGTAGCTGGGACTACAGGTGAGCGCCACCATGCCCGGCTCTTTTATTTTTAGTAGAGACAGGGTTTTACCATGTTGGCCAGGCTGGTCTCGAATTCCTGACCTCTTGATCTGCCCACCTTGGCCTCCCAAAGTGCTGGGATTACAGGCATGAGCCACTGTGCCCAGCCTCTAGTGTTTCTTTTTATAAAGTGAAAGAGCAGATCTGTATGCTATTCCAGGCCTTTGGGAAAACATAAAACATACCTTTAAGTGTAAAAATATTCATTATAATTTCCATTTGTTCTGAATGGAAAGCCTGATCTGGGGACAGCACAATCAAAAGATACATCCCAAGATATTTGGCCACTAGATTAAGGTAGGATCTTGGATGCATGGGCATTGTAATTTTAAGCAAGCTTACCTCTTCCATATGTGAGAAAACTTTGTTCTATTTTTAATAATGAAGGACATGATAAAGTCATCTCAATAAAGATAAAATTATTTTTGTGGATCATGGATTTTTTTGCTATCTGGGCAGATTGCACAGAAGGTAAAATGTTATTGTTTATTAACAGTAAGAAAGCCAAATTCCAGTTTGGCATTAATATTTGGCAGTTAGTGCTTCGTAACATTTTAAATATAAGCACATTAAACTGAGCCAACTTTGGCAAAAATATTTACACAACACTTTGTGTCTTTACAGATCTAGTATTTGTAAACACTATAAACCAAAGCAAGTAAAAATCCCCATTCTGCATATATGGTGAGCTTTCTCACCCATTCACATCTGGCTTTTCATTATCCTCTTTCATATTACTGAAAAGATACTGTAAGACTACTTTCTTTACATTTTGATTTACAAAAATACAGATTTTATTATTTTGTCTACATATTCATGCTCTTCCATCACCGTTTTTCCCAGTATTATCTCAATATCATATGAATTATAGCATTTAACCAAAACAATGATATCAAAAATGTCAATGTAAGAAAATTATTGTTAGTGTTTCATTGAGAAAAGTCTGTCATATGCAACCATCTTAGCAGACTATCGAAATTCATGAATACATATAATACATTTTTTACTTCTATATATATTTTATTTTTTCAAAGTGGGAAATGGGTATCTTCGCTAATATGCCTCAGACCTATAGTCGTGTAAAAACATATAAAAATAAGAAAAATGTACAAATTAGAAATTGTTTTGATATTCAGTATTACTGGGAAATTTTATAGATATCCAAAGACCATAACTTTATTTAATATTTACTCAATTTGGGGAGTTACCTAAAATCTGAACAATAATGGTTGTGCTAATACACTACAAATATAATTTCTGCAATAAAACATGTTTCTCAGAATTTTTATTCAATTTTGTTGAATGCTATGTATAACTTTTCAAGTCTTGAATATTATGTAGATGAGTAATAACAGCTTACTTTATTAGTAAACCTATATAAGATATTTAGGAAGTTCAGTCTAATTAGGACACTTTATAATAAAGCTATCTTAAATCTTATAAAAATAAAATAGACTCATGCTATCTTTAACAGTGATAGCAAGGAAAAGACATAAAGCTGATTTTTAAAAACTTTTTAAAACCAAGATTATTAAACCATTCTGATCCATTTCAATTAAGTGAATCTGGGTTCATTAACTGTTTCTGAGAAAGCAGTTTTAGTAAGAAGGATTTCATTTTAGCCAAGCACTTCATTATATTACAAATTATATTTTCTTAACTACTGTGAATTTTGGAAATATTCTGTAAAAATCAATCTGAACAGCACTCATTTAATAGAAGAGAGGTAACAATCAAATTTATGAATGCACTCCAGAAATAGCAAAATACTTTATACTCATTTAAAGAAAGGTAATGTCTTTCCTCAATGACAGATACAGAGACACGGAGAGAGCTTACATCTTCAGAGCTGCAACATTAGCCATAGATAAAAGATAAGCCTAGTCAACAATTCACAGAACTGGTCTCCTTAAGAGGAAGCAAAATTCTCAATTCATTTGAACATACTAATAGATAAAGAAACACATACACAAAGAAAAATAAATGCAGATCAGATCCTTCATGTGATAAAGACTTGATTTCCATTATTCACCTGATACAGATCATCATCAAATGGTAAGCCATAATATTCACTTTCCATTCACGTTTTCCACCATTGGAAAATAACTAGCCTGCATGAAGCAGAAACAAAAACATAATCATCAGCTGAAGAACAAAAAAACAAAAAGCAAAAGCCTTGAGACACAAGTCTGCAGTTCTATGCGGCTTGTGTCCAAGCTTAAATAACCCTTTACATGTATACACACCTCCAGTCACGTAGTTTATGTGGCTCCATCAGGTAGGTCCACTAGCATATGTCAGTGGTTGGCCTACCAAAATTTTAAACTTTAATTTTCAAGAGGTCCAAAAACATGACTACAAGTACATGTAAAATGGACATGTTTCAAATACTGTATTTAAATTGTTCATTAACAAGAGAAACAGAAAATACTGAAATTTATACAAAGAACATTTGAGAAGAGGAAAGGAGATGAGAGGAGGGGAGTGGTGGGGAGAGGACAGAAGAGGGATAGAGATTGAGTCATTAAAAATGTAATAACTGATCTTGTAGAATAAATTAGGCATAATTGTCTTAATCATTTCTCTTAAAGCCCTTAGTAAGCACAAAGCAGCTGAGGCCTGCCTGTTCACTAAGTATAACAACTGGTGTGTGTGTGTGTGTATACACGTGTGCATGTATATGTGCATTTTCAAGAAAATTTAATTTGAAGTCTATAAATTAGGGCTTTTTTTTTTTTTTTTTTTTTTTTGAGATGGAGTTTCACTCCCAGGCTGAAGTGCAAAGGCGTGATCTTGGCTCACTGCAACTTCCGCCTCCCAGAGTCAAGGGGTTCTCCTGCCTCAGCCTCCCAAGTAGCTGGGATTACAGACATGTGCCACCACACCCAGCTAATTTTGTATTTTTAGTAGAGATGGGGTTTCACCATGTTGGCCTGGCTGGTCTCAAACTCCTAACCTCAGGTGATCCACCCGCCTTGGCCTCCCAAATTACTGGGAGTACAGCCACTGCGCATGGCCAGGGCATATTGTATTCAGGACTCTGAAGTCCAGACGTCCCCAGTATAAAAATGTATACTTTTAATACAAGAGATAATTCATTTTATCAGTAAACAAATGGAAACAATAAGTATGACTTGTTACTATGGGCAAGTTACTGTGCAACTATTTAAAAATTGTTCTGTTCTGTAGATTCAACTATACTGAAAAGATTCAGAAAAGGAATTAGGGCAACGTCTCATCTCTTGGAGGCTGTTTAGTAGAAATTCATAAAAGTCCCTCACTAGATCAAGGAGTTTTTTTGTTAATTAATATGAGTGGAAGATCTTGGTGCACACGATCCTGGAAGACACCTGGCCAAGCATGAAATGGATGGGAACCAAAGAAGCACAGAATTAGACTAAACTGAGAGAGCTCGACAGAACTTTTCAGAACATTTGGCATAACTTCTTATATTATAGTTGAGAAGTTTGGAGAGAGATAGGTTAAATAACTTTCCTAAGTTACAAAACTCAACCTACAATGGAAAAAAAAATCACAAGCGTTATTCTCTCCAAGTCCACTTTCTTTAACTTTTTTTTGACAATTATATTCAACTGATGTTGTGAGAATACTATTCTCTGACAGAAATTCTCATCTGTATCTCAGGAACACTTCATGGAGAGGAATAAACCTGAGATAAAGAAAGTTGTTGTTTATTTTTGGTTTTGTTTTAATGAAAGCATCTGATTGAAGCCAATTTCAGCAGCCAGACAGAGATGGCAGACCCAATACTGATGTTTTGCCTGAACTGGCCATCTGCCTGGCAAAGGCAATCAGAACTACAAGTTGAAATAAGATGTATTATATGGTACAATCTGAGTTTCAGTTACATAATAATAATAATAATGTGAATAAAATCTAACAGATACAGAGGCAGTGTGTTGGCACAGGTTCTTTGCGTAGTTAATCTTATTTCACAGTAACTTCATGAGATAGACATTATGATCATTCCTATTTTTACAGATGAGGAAATGAGAATTAAAGAGGAAAAAGTATTAGACTGAACTGTTTTGACCTGTAATTTGACCTAGTAATGTCCCTGTTACATGAATACAAGTCTACCAAATCCCAGAATTACAGGATACTGGGAATTGCTTATTGTCTTACTACCTCAGAAGGTCCCTGAAGGAAAGGACCCATTGCCAGAAACTCAGTGACCAGGATTTCTGTTTTCCTTGCTATTGCACACATGTGTTGTCATTCTATGTACATTGGTATTCCAGCAACCCAGAGATTTCTGAAAAATGAAGTTCTTATTTTAAAGAATCTCTATATGTGCGAGCCATCTAAACTGTATAAGCCATTATCCAGGCAAGCTCTTATTTTACTCCCATCAGTTTCATTATTGATCTCATTAGATAGTTACTTAACGCATTGTTCTCTTTAAAATTTATTTTAAAACGAAGATAATTAGTTATCTGGGTCACATATAAATCAAGTTTTTGAATGTTTTGGTTTTCGAACCACAGAGCCTTGGCTATGTAACTCTAATATGATTATCGCTGTGTGATGACAGCTACCTGAATAACAGTCTTAATTGTTGGAATGGAAGTATGAAGAGGCCAACCTTAGCCAATTAATTCCTATTTCATTGCAGAAAAAAATATATAGCCAGTGGTTTAGATTAGCGTCAATTTTGTTGGGCCACTTAGGATTTCTTACATATGATTAACACCAGATAATTTTTTGGTTATTTATAAGCAACTAAAGGAGTTTACTAATATAAACAGATATACTCTCTTGCTCATTCATCATAGTTCCACACTTTTCATCTCTCTTGGAAATATAAATTACATCTAGGAGATTAAGAAATTTGGTATTAGAGTAATAGAGATTTAAACTTTTGCCTTTGTAATTGATGGCAGCAGTTAAAGGGGATGGCAACCCCACTTTCCTACTGTTTCATGGGCCACTGGGATCAAGCGAGGCAGTTATCTTTAGATGTGAAGAGCAATGGAAGACTAGTACATCAACTTTCAGCACTATCCCATTCAGACACCAAGCAAGTCTCACTTCTTTCACCTCCAAAGAAGCATCAAGTATCCTTGATGTCCATATCAGTGAACAATATTTAGAAATCTCTATCTCTCTTTGGCTGTTTCTTAGCAAAGATTCCCTGAATGTTTCCTTTATGAAAGCCACTATGAAAGGGAACATGTGTGGTAGTGGTTTTCCTCAGAGTTGTCGGAGAGGTTCTGTTGTCCTGAAAACAGAGCTAAACTAAGGGCATCACCAAAGACTGTCTGGTTTTATGAGTGCCTTTTGCCTATTGGGATTTAATTATGCTTGTTTATTTCAGATCAGATTTTCTCACTGTACTTTTCTCTCAAAGGAAAGGTTAGCCTTCAGCAGATAAATGGGAAACCTTGGAAAAATATCAGAAGAATGCTTGAATAATTTTTTAGGTCTACATAAGGAGAATACTATAAAAAGAAAATAGAATAGCACCTGTGGTAGTAAAGAAGCTATACTTGTGCGTATACAGCCATGCATCCCATACCAATGTTTGAAACAATAAATCACATATACAGTGGTGGTCCCATAAGATTATAATGGAGCTGAAAAATTCCTACTGCCTAGTGACATTGTAGCCGTCATAATATTGTAGTACAATGCATTTTTAATGTGTTTTTGTGATGCTGCACTCAATAAACATAAATATACTGTACTTTTAGTCATATGAATATAACACACAAAATTATGTACAGTACATAACATGATAATGACAATAAAATAGTATGTTACTGTTTTATGTAGTTACTATACTTTTTAATAATTTTTTAGAGTGTACCTTTCTAGATTTTTTTAAAAGTTAACTGTAAAACAGCCTCAAGCAGGTCCTTCAAGAGGCATTCCAGAAGAAGGCATTATTATCATAGGAGATGACAGTTATTGACCCCGAAGACCTTCCAGTGGGACAAGATGTGGAGGTGGAAAACAAGATATCGATGATCTTGATCCTGCATAGGTCTAGGCTAATGTGTGTGTTTGTGTTTTAGTTTTTCACAAAAAAAGTTTAAAAAGTTGAAAAAAATTAAAAATAGAAAATGCTTATAGAATAAAGATTTGAAGAAAGAAAATATTTTTGTACAGCTGTACAATGTATTTGTGTTTTGAAGCCAAGTGTTAAAATAGAGTCCAAAAGGTAAAAAAATTAAAAAACTTATAAATTAAAACTGTTACTGTAAGCTGAGATGCATTTGTATTAATATAACTTTTTAAAGTAAATTTAGTGTAGTCTACATGTGCAGTGTTTATAAAGCCTACAGTAGTGTACAGTAATGTTCTAGGCCTTCACATTCACTTACCCTCATGCACTGACTCACGCAGAACAACTTAGAGTCCCGCAACATCCATTTATGGTAACTGCCCTATACAGGTATACCATTTTTTACCTTTTATACCACAATTGTACATACATTTTCTATATTTAGATATTTTTAGATCCCTCAAATACTTACCATTGTGTTACAGTTGTCTACAGGATTCAGTATGGCAATAAGCTATGTAGGTTTATAGCATAGGAGCAATAGGCTATACCATATGGCCTAGGCATGTGGTAGGCTATGCCTTCTAGGATTGTGGACGTACACTCCATGATGCTTGCACAATGATGGAACCACCTAGTGACACGTTTCTTAGAATGTATCCTTGTAGTTATGCAATGCATGATTGTACTTATTAGAAGAGTATTTTTCAAATAGGCATTAAAGCATCTTCATATAAAGGTTTGCCATGATAATCACATTTCTTTTGGAAAGTCTGTTTGTTAAACCTACAGCAACTGGTTTCCTGTTTCCTGTTGCTGCTATAAACATATTTCACAACCTTAGTGGGCTAAAACAACACAAATGTATTGCCTTATAGTTTTGGATATCAGAAGTCTAAAATGAGTCAACAGTGCTACATTGTTGTGAAGTCTCTTGGAGATAATCTGTTTTCTTGCCTTTTCTAGCTTCTAGAAGCTACCTGCATTCCTTGGTTCTTGGCTCCATGCTTCCTTTTCAAAGCTGACAGGGAACATTTTCAAATCTCACTTTGCTTTCTATTCCTGCTTTTAGGAACCCTTGTGATTACATTAAATATACCTAGATAACCCAGAGTAATCTTCCCATCTCATGATCCTTAAATTACTCACACCTGCATAAGTCCATTTTGCCATGTAAGATAAAATAGCCATTGATTTTGGGGATTGGAATATTAGACATCTTTCAGGAGTCATTTTGTCTGCCTACCACACCAGTCCTTTATCAGTTGTTTCTCAACAACATATGGTGATATGTAATTGTTTTCTGAGTTACACGTCAACCTTTCTTGTTCTCACTTTTATGTTTATCTCACTAAACTCACTGGAATGAAAATGTTGTCATATCTAGTGGAAGAAAGAGAGAATAATTAAAATATCCAGAAGACATTACAGAGGAAGGAGTAAAGAGTGGATGAGAATGAGAATTAATAAACCAATATTTGGGTTACAAATACAGCTAAGGTAATAAATTTCTAGTGTAATGCTTTAATTACAACTTGTAAGATTATATTTTGTTAGTTTCCATTTGCTGTATAATAAATTATTTAACAAACTAAAACAACATACATTTATTATCTAAACATATTCATGCGTCCATGAACAAGTTAGTATGGTCTTCTGCTCAGAGTCTGACAAGGCTGCAATCAGGATATCAGTTCAACTGTGTTCTGCCTGATGGCTTCACTGGGAAATAATTCATTTCCATGCTCATTCATATAATTGGAAAATATATTTCCTTGTGAGAGTATGACGGAGAGACTCTGATTCTTATTGGCTGTTTGCTATGAGGTAGGAGGTGGGACTCAACTCAGAGGTGTGACTCCGACACCTGATCAAATTGAAAACTAGCTAAAACAGGTCTAGGAAAGCACTTCCCCATAAGACATGCCCACCAGTGGGCCATGTCAGTTTACCATTGCCATGGAAACACCCAGAAGTTACTACTCCTTTCCATGGCAGCAACCTGACAATCCAGAAGTTACCACCCTCATCCTACGAATTTCTGCATAAAACCGCACCCTAACTTGCATATAATTAAAGAGGGAATATATATATATATATGTTCCTCCAAGCTGCTCCTCTGGGCACATTACCTGTGAGGTAACCCTGCTCCACAAGGAGCAGTACCTCTATTGCTGCTGTACACTGCCACTTCAACAAAAGTTGCTATTTAACACCAACAGTTTGCCCTTGAATTCTTTTCCTGGGCAAAGTGAGGAACCCTCCCGGGCTAAGCCCCAATTTGAGGGGCCTGCCTGTCTTGCATCAGTTACAGTCACTCTGACAGTCTAGAGTTAGCCCCAGTTCCTGGCCGTGTGGTCTTCTCTATACACAGCTCACAAATGGCAGCTTCTTAAAGTCTAGCAGGAGAATCTCTCTATTCCAGTCTTCGAAGGAGGAGTCTTACCTAACGTAGTATAATCATGGTCATTATATCCCATCGCTTTGCTTTATATAATAATATAACCTAATTCAGGCAGTGGCATACAATCTCTTTTGCATTTTGGGGGGTGGGTAGGAGGTTAGAAATTATTTATGGATTCTTCCCACATTTAAAGAGTAGGAGTCATCTTAAGCTGTATCCACCACATAGACACATCGTTCCTTTAAAATAATACAGCATAGGTAATTTTTTTTTTTCTGAGATGGAGTCTCACTCTTGTTGCCCAGTCTGGAGTGCAGTGGCATGATCTCGGCTCACTGCAATCTCTGCCTGTTGGATTCAAGTGATTCTCCTACCTCAGCCTCCCAAGTAGCTGGGATTACAGACATGTGTCACCATGCCCAGCTAATTTTTTGTAGTTTTAGTAGAGTCGGGGTTTCTCCATGTTGGCCAGGCTGGTCTCAAACTCCTGACCTCAGGTGATCCACTCACCTCGACCTCCCAAAGTGCTGGGATTATAGGCATGAGCCACCACACCATGCCCGACCCAACATAGGTAATTTTTAATGTATTTTTATGCTCATACTATCATATAGTTAAAAATTAAAAGGTCATAAAGAGACAATAATTGACTATATCAAGAAAAAAGACAGAGGATGTCGAGCTTATAAGCAATTTGGTTATTAACAGTCCCATCAATTTGGAATGAAAATAAACAATTTAGAATGCTATTTTTTTTTAATCAATTCAACCATTTGTTCAAATGGCATTGTTAAGTGGTTAATTATATGTCAACTATCAAATGTTAAGTTACAAACATAAGCATAATAATAGTCACTGCACTCAAAAGTTCATAGTTTACTAAAATACACTGCTACTTAAAAACATAATATTATACAACATAGTCATACAATGGATGTGTTTTTGTGTTAGCACAAAAGAGGATAATATGAAACACCCTTGGTATCAGGAAAGGCCTCAGTGGAATTTACTTGGAGCTAGATTCTTAAGGATAAATCAACAGATTAGAGGAAAGATTGCATTAGAGGGATGCATGTTTCAGTCAGAGAGAACAGGACACCGAAAGTAAGAGAGCAAGTCATAGACTGGGATCTCCAAGAAACAGAGACTGAGATAAGAGATTTTGAGGAGGTATATAATTTGGACCTGATTCAGGCTGAAAAAGCTAGGTACTGGAAAAAATAAGATTATAAAAGGACACAGTAGTGAAAAAATTTATGTGAGAAATAAGGCTTTGACTTTGCAGGACCTTCTTCTAAAAAGCACAGAATGCCTCCCTGAGCTGTTTACCTGAAAGATGAAAAGTAGAAGAGTTTATCTCCTGACCCTCTATCCCCAGTGACTGAGAATTGCTCCAGGGATGGCTAGCTTTCCCCCTCGGCCCCCACCCAACCTTCCTGGCTGTGCTTGCTTATGGTCTGAGATGGTATTCATGGCACTAGAAAGATCCTGGAATGAAGCTGAAATGATCAAGAATGAATCATTCATGCTTAATCTATTGACCTTGCCAACACCATGCACAAGTATGAGTCATTCATGATCAAGAATAAGTCATTTATTCTTGATCTATTGACCATGCCAATACCTTGCCAATACCATGGGCAGTTTTGTGAGATGAACCTTCAAAAACTGCCCATGGTAGCTATTTCGAGGTGAAATGAGAAGAGAGCAAAGGGATATGAAGCAAGACACCAGAGATGTCTATTACCGAGACGAAGACAATAAGGGGTATTCAGGAATTTACAAGTAATCTAGTACAGCTGAAGCACTAGGTATGCAATGGAAACAGTGTAGAAAGAGAGTTTTGAATGGCAGTCCAGTGAGATATGAATGGACAGATAATTTGACCCAAAATATGATAGCAGAACTATAAATGGAAAGAGGGATTAAAAATAAGGCACTCATAATTTCACTATATAATTTATCAATATTTATATATTGATTATTTTTCATCTAGCATGATTCAATATATATGTTTCTGGATTGGCCATAAACACATTACTATAATATATGTCTGTGTGTGTATATAGACATATATAATGTGATAATATAAGCAGATGTTAATTTTATCCATTGAAAACTCATTTCTAATGATTTTATGAATCATTTATAACAAAAAGCTCAGTCAACATGATGCTGTGTGGCTTTAATAACGAGGTTAAAGTATCCTTATATCTTATTCCTGGGCCTTAGGTTACTTAACCTGTAGGAAGCCAGCCTCTATTTGAGAAGTTCATCTATCCTGAGACTGTTGTGTTGTGGTTGCAGGAAGTTCAAGCTGCTAGATGGACAGGTCAAATGAAGAAACAGATGCCTGACCACTACTAAGCTGTAACTGATACTGCAGTTGAGATACAAGATGTGAATCTAAAAGAAATCACCTCGGATGTCTAGCCCTGTCCTCAAATAATTTCAGCTCGGCTGTCTCATGACTACAACCATACAAGAAACCCCAAGTAAGGAAAGCCCCACTGAGCTCAGGCAGCACAGAAAACCAAGAAAGATGAAAATAAATCATTGATTTGAGCCATTTTCAGTCTACCACTAATAGCCAGAAAATAATAATCATAAAACAAACAAAAATGTGCTGATGATTTAGTATATTGCAAACATGAGAAGGACTTTGTAAACATTTACTTGTTCAATTTCCCAGCAATATATGACATAAACATCATAAATTTTATCTTTAAGATATATAATAAATGTAAGTTCAGGAAGTCTTGGCAACTTGCTGGAGGACGTAGAATTGGGCTTTGAATTCAGGTCAATCTGTATCTAATTCTGCTTTTAATCCCTTACCTATTAAAGTTTCAATAGCAATGTCCTTTAACAGAATTTATATTTTTCAAAGATATGTGAATCTAAAAGTTCATAGATGGTTGCTGGGCAAAGTGGTTCATGCCTGTAATCCCAACACTTTGGAAGGCCAAGGCAGGAAGATTGCTTAAGGCCAGGAGTTTGAGACCAGCCTGGGCAACATAACAAGACCTTGTCTCTACAACAAGTACAAAAAAATAATTAGCTGGACATGGTGGTGTTCACCTGTAGTCCTAGCTACTGGGGAGGCTGAGGCAGGAGGATCATTTGAGGCCAGGAGTATGAGGTTACAGTGAGCTATGATAGCACTACTGCACTCCAGCCTAGGTGACAGGGTGAGACACTGTCTCAATAAAAAAATAAAATAATGAAAGTTTATGGATAGGAAATACATTTCTATGGTATCAGGTTTTATATTTTTACTTTTAAAGTGGTGTATTTTTCAGTCATGCAGAGCAGGAAATGAATCTGTGAACAAGCAATAATGTCACTCACAGATATTATAGAAGCAAGTGCTTATATAAATCACTTTTCTAAATGTTTTATACGTATCTCACCTAATTCTCCTAACACTCCTATCATCGGAACTATTATTAGTCACATTTTAGAGATAAGCATTTGAGGCATAGAAGGATTTAATACCTCGCCCAGTTAGTAAGTGGCAGAGTCAGGCTCTGAACACAGGAAACCCGGCTATAAAGAAGCTTTAACTTAAGTAGCATATACCTTGCTGTGTAAATATATTGTAATGCTAATATTTTTAAAAAATTCTGACTCTTTGAAAGTTGATTGAGACCATCACCAAATACTAGTATTAATCTTTTGTAATTCTTGTACTCACAGCAGCCAACATATGGAAACAACCTAAATGTCTGTCGACAGGTGAATGAATAAAGAAAATGTGGTATATACATACAGCAGAATATTGTTCAGTCTTAAAAAAGAAGGAAACCTTACAATATGCAGCATCATGAATGAACATGGAGGACATTATGCTAAATGAAATAAGCCAGTCACAGAAGGAACAGACACTGCCTGATTCCAATCGTAGGAGATAACTAGTATTGTCAAATTTATAAAATTGACAAGAGAATGGTAGTTGCTAGTGGGTGAGCAGAGGGGAAGATGAGGAGTTATTGTTGAATGTGTATAAAGTTTTAATTATGCAAGATGAGTAAGTTCTAGCGATCTATTGTACAACCTTGTGCCTATAGTTAACAATGATGTATTGTGGATGTAAAAATTTGTTAAAGAGGATACATCTCATATTGTTTTCTTACCACAGTAAAAAAAAAAAGAAACAAATAAACAAGAATGTATATAGTACTGAAAACTGTATGTCTGATGATTAAAAATTAAGAATATCCTCAATACCACATAATTTACACAATAGATACAAAAGGTGTTGGCAACAAAGCATGTCTGTCAACTTGGCTTAAATTTTAATCATAATCTCTCAAAGTCTTGAGAGAAGGCTATGTTTTGTTCGTGTCATTGTTATTGTTGTTGTTTGACTCTAAAGAATAAATGAGATCTTGGTAAATTTTTGTTATATGCAATACGTATCTAAGGAACTACAAAAATCAACTTCTATTACTCTTGCCTAATTCTTTCTTAGTACATGATTAGATCTGTGTAGTACTTCATTGATCGTCTGCTGTGTAGGCAGCATAGGCTCAATGTTTATTGAATGCAGATTTACGATTTGTGAACCAAGAGATACAATGTTCTTTAATAGTATTAGAGTTTAGATTTCATGTGTCCTCAGTGTCAACAAGGACAGTGACATTTCTCCAAGACTTTTATTAGTGAGGTATAGCATCCGTGATGCTCAGTAAATGGAAAAGCAGTTACAATGTCAGGCTGAAGGAAAAC
This sequence comes from Homo sapiens, assembly GCF_000001405.40. NCBI lineage: Eukaryota > Metazoa > Chordata > Mammalia > Primates > Hominidae > Homo > Homo sapiens. The sequence continues at coordinate 48,233,194 of NC_000014.9, read as the reverse complement.
ATTGAAACCCACTTAGGAAACTTCATGTATAAAGACACCTGACTTTATTTTCTATTTCAAACCTGGGCTTGCCAAGTGTGGATTTACTGTGCATAAAAGCAGCAGTTTATTTGAATTGTGAAGTACTCCTTTAAAATGAATAGTTCTAATTGTATTATACAATTTAGCTCTAAAAGGCTATTATATTAGTGTGCTAGGGCTGCCATAACAAAGTACCAAAGACTGGGTGGCCTTAACAACAGACATTTATTTTCTCACAATTCTGAATGCTAGAAATCTGAGCTCAAGGTCTAAGTAGGGTTGGTTTCTTCCATGGTCTCTCTCCTGGCTTATATATAGCCTTCTTTTCTCTTTGTTTCCACCTGGTCAATCCTCTGTATGTTTTTGTCCTAATTTCCTCTTCTTCTAAGTTCACTAGTCATTAAATTAAGGCCTATTCATATGACCTTGTTTAACCTTAATTACACCTTTAGAGACCTATCTCTACATATAGTCACATTCTGAGGTACTGAGGGTAGGAAGTTTGTTGTGGCACTATTCAGCCAGTAAAAACTACCCACCCTCAACTGTTGCTCAATCTTGTCTACCATAGTCATCTCTTATAAGTCAGATGACCCACAATTTAGGAAGCTGATCCTGTGGTAAATCCTGTTCTCCTTAAATTGGTGAAAGCATAGATGTCAAAAATAGCCATATAGTAAAAATTAAGTGAAGGCATAAAATACCTTTTCAAAGGCTTCCAAAAGGTAAGACCTTTCTAAATATTTCTAAATTGATCTACCCTATTTTGCAGTTCCAACCATGAGGATTAATAACTGCTGTGGAATTTTTTATAAGGGCCAGACTAGAATTTTTAAATGATACCTCACATAATTATTTTATGAAAACACTGTAAGTTATTAATCAAATTAGGTTAGCTGTTTTTCAGCAAATATTCTATTCTTGGACATTGTGAATGAAGAATGCTAACCTTTGATTGGGGTTATAGGGCTTTACAACATCCGAAGCATACTAGTGCAAATTAAACAGTGTATCATCAGAAATATATTTGGGAAAAGGGAAACTATAAAGGCAACCAAAATAGGCTGCGTAAACTTTGCAAACTTCTGTGGCTGGCTAGAGCTGATGTACTCAGGATCTCCCAATATCCTGTTAATACCTCAGTGTCTGTCTTTTCCCCCTACATTCAAAGAATCTATGCAACCCCCTGGGGGCAAACCTGTTCTAAATCATATTAGCCTTTATCCCATTATAATTCCCTGTATATCCTAGTCTAAAGGAAATTTAATTGCCTTATTCAGTCACATAAATTCATTTTAATCTGACACATAATGTACAAAACATATATATTGTAAGATAATGTTCATGAAAGACTTATTTATCAAGGGAGAAAATATAATGTATACATATGGGGTAATGACACAAGATATAAACATGGTAACAGCAATGAAAGTTAAAAAATATATAGGATCAGAATTCTGAAAAAAAAAAGCTATTACCACTAATTCGGATATTTGGGAAGGATTGATGATGGAAATGGCAGTGGTAGCGAGTTTTGAATTGTGAAATAGGTGTATTTTAATTCCAGGCCAAAAAAAAAAAAAAAAAAAAAAAACAAGTAGCATGAGGTAAACATAAAGAGAAGAGTGAGACCTCCAGGAGGAAAAGTAGGATTTGTTTGGCTCAAGTAAATGGTAGATGAAAGGCAACAGAATTCAGACATGGGAACATAATCTTATGAAATAACTCCATCCTATATGTAAAGGAGAAAGTGAAAGTTTCAGAGAAGGACCGAAATATGCTTCAGAAGAATTAATGCTGTAGGAATACGTTAAATGGATTTGAACAGGATGTGCCAACAGCGGAGTACCATGGCACAGGTAAGCTGCATGGTAGGAGCCTCAGGAATAAGGGGGAAGGCCCTGAAAGGATACAATTACAAAAAAATTACAAACTATGAAGTCAATTGGTTATGATGATGAGGCAGAGATTTTGGTCCTGGCTGACTAACAAGATATTGCCTTTAATAAAAGCAGCAAGAAAGGTTAATTTTGGTACGAAAAACATGAGTTCAGTTCTAAATATTGTAGTAGTCAATATTTTTAGATGATTGTCAAGACTCACCACCCCTGGTGTGCAAGTTGTGCATAATCTCTCAGACTGTGAATGTGATTAATTTTATTCTTATGATTAGAATATGCTGTGATATGGCACAATTGACTTTAAGAAAGGGAGATTGTGCATTTGGGCCTCACCTAATCATAGAAACCTTTTACATGTAGGGCATTTTGTCTGGCTAGTAGCAAAAGAGGAAGTCAGAGGTTCAAAACATGAGAAAGACTGAATGGTTCAGTGCTGGCTTGAAGATTAGGGTCCACATGGCAAAGAATTCAAGTGGCTTCTCAAAGCTGAAAGCAGCAAGGAAGACCTAGCAAAGAAATGGGGACACTTAGCAAGGAAACGGGGACTTCAGTTCTACAGCCTCAAAGAGATGACTTTTGCTAATACTAAGAACAAGCTTGGAGTGGATTTTTCTCTAGAGCCTTCTGATGAGAACTCAGCTTGGCTCGTACCTTGGTTTTGGTCTTTTGATAACCAGTAAAGAGCCCACTCATGCTTAGCCAGACTTCTGGCCCATTGACTGTGAATTAATAAATTACTTACATTTTAAGCTGCTAAATTCATGGTAACTTCAATAGAAAATAAATGCAGATATATTGCCCTTTAGTTGTATGGAAAGCATTGAAGATAGAATTTCTCAACCTTGGCACTATTGACATTTTTGTACTGGATAATTATTTGTTATGGCGGTCTGTTCTGTGCATTAGAAGATGTTTAGCAGCATTCCTGACCTCTACCCCTAGATGCCAGTAGTATTCAATATTGTAACAACCAAAAATGTCTCCAGACGTTGTCAAATGCCCTCTTGAGAGCAAAATTTCCTCGGTAGAGAAGCATTTATCTTAGGGTAAAAACTAGCGGTCATTTATAAATAGGAGGTGTCTTAGTCTGTAGTCAGGTTGCTATAACAAAATATCATAAACATAGATAGCTTATTCACAACATAAATTTATTATGTGCCTGGTGAGGACCCATTTCTTATACATAGCGTCTTCTTGCTGTCTCCTTACATGGTAGAAGAGGCAAGGCAGATCTCTGAGGCTTCTTCTATAAGGGCAGTGACCCCGATCTCTAGAGCTCTGTCCTCATGATCTAATCACCTCCCAAAGGCCCAGACTCTGAATAACATATGAGTTTGGGGGTTAGGGGGTGGGGGTGGGAGGACTAGAACACTCAGACCATAGCAGGGCACTAGAGATCAAGGAGTTGTGGTAAAACATTTAGATTGGAAAATCAGCTGGGCGAAGAAAGTTGAAGGTGGGAAGTTTTAATAGATAAGATGCAAGAATTTTAAGAAAAAAGTTTGAAAGACATTTCTACTCAAGTATCATAAAAAGGAGAAATGATTCAGGCTGGAGATAATGCAGGCTAAGAGAAGAAACAAGAAAGAAAAGCCTTAAACAATCTAAAGCATAACTATCAGAGAGCTGAGAATAAAAAGTACGTTGAAATTGGAACTAAGATGTCATTGACAGATTTGTTTTGGCAGAGTGGCTTGGACAGAAGCTCAATAGAAAAGGAATGAATAAATTTTTTAAAAGGCAATAGCTTTTAAGAGGAAATGGGAAAATTAGTGCTTTTAAGGTAGGAGCATTGTTAGAGATAGAGGAGAAAGGACATAGGGAAAGAACTGAAAGAGGACAAATATTTATTGAGTATGTTCTCATAGTATCAAAACTCACCTATAACAGTTACCTTCCCAAAATCAAAGCAACCATAAGCTCTGTCTCTGTTTCTACTGTTGTTTATAGAAGCCTCTTGATGTTCTGCCAACTGAACATACTAGCTTTTTCCTGCCAGCCTGCCATTGCAAAGCCTTTGATGTTGGTTGGTTTCTTGCCACTCAACACATATGCCCCTATGGACTTGACACCTTGGATTCTTCCATTGAATCTCAACTTTGCTCTCACCTGACAATTAGTTTTTCTATTTACTTTTACTTCCAATGCTGAAGCCATGGTGTTGGATCCCAGCAATTTATATACTAAACCTGGTACCTGCTATCCTAGCCATAGCAAAACCCTCTGGGAAAATATTTTGTACACTGTATATAGAGGAAAATATTTTGTACACTGTATATCCATGCTGGATAACTACTTAATTTGTTCTCAAAATCTTCTTATGACATCTCTACACTATTTTTAGAGATCATAAATTAACTTGTCCAAACTCACATAGATAGCAAGTAAAAGCTGAAATTTGAACTCAGAACTATCTGACTCCACTGCCTATGATCAGTGCTCAAATTTCAAATGGAATATATGTTTTTTCAACTTGACAGTCTTCCGTGAAAAAGAATGGTGCCAGAGTCAATCTATGACCTGAGATATTATGTAATATTTTCATTAGTATTTAATTTGTGAACTGGAGCAAAACTTGGTTGAAATTGGTGTTGACATAATACTGAGTTAGGTGGGTGGTACATTCTTTTGAAGTAAAGGTCAGAGGTCATTACAAATTTAGCAAGCTATAAAATTAGTCAAATATGATTATACATCTATTTAATTTTTAATGTTATCACTTCTTTATAAAATAAAGAATTTTGCCAAATAGTTCATATTGACATTGTTTAAGAGCTAAGAGGATCCATAGATTCTGTTCAAATGACCCAAATACAGTGTATATATAACTTTCACAAAGTAGGAAATAATTTATATTTTATAAGTATACAAATAATTTAAAATATAATTATTTTTCTGGATGCATTCATAAAATATTTCTAAAACAAATTTAGAAAGATTTTAAATATTTATTTTTATCAAATTATTTTAAATGAGAAGAAGCTGCCATAGAGAATAGGTTGTCATTATTTCCCAGAACTTTTAAATGCGGAAAGACTCATTTTCAAACTAACTCATCAGATTACATGAAAAGTGAATTTTATTAACTTCCTGAGGCAAGGCAGAGCCCAAACCCAATTCTGAATAGGAGGTCTCTGTAGAGAAAATGAGAGAACAAATTGTATTGTTTATCTCTTAGACTCTTAAGTCTTAGAGTGGGATAGGTGGAGGAAGTCTTCGAATTAATTGATTTCTTAAGGTGAGAAATGATGTAAGCAAGGTGAGTTCTGAGGAGAAAAAGGATTGTTGCTAGGGACATAACACATTCTGCCACTGTATTTCCATAGCTGATGATGATATTAATAGTTATTCTGGTTTTTAGAGAGCACAGCTTGTTCATTCCATTAAAAAGTACGGATGGCTATGCTTCAGTTTGACACTCACTGTAAAGGAAGACAAAATGTTGGTAAGTACTCTCAGTACAAAGATATTGTAAAGAAACAAGTAACAACAGTAAATGAAATTCAAAAATGGAATATTAACAATAAAGAGAAGTAATAGCTCTTGAATTACCTTCAAATACTTCAGAGCTGTGCTGACAAATATGGTGGCCAGCAGCCATGGTGATTTTTTAAATATAAAGCAACTAAACTTAAATAAATAAAAGTTAACTTCCTTAGTCAAACTAGCCAAATTTCAAATGCTCAACAGCCACATTTTACTGGTGGTTACTGTATTGGAAATAGCACATATAAAATATTCCATTATTGCAGTATTGGATAGTGCTCCATTAGTACAACTTTAGTGGATTAAAAAAAAATAATGGTAAAATATTTGAAATTTAGGCAATTTGCAATCAAAAGATGAAAATATATGTTTAATTATATATTAATATATTTACATAACAATATTAAGTGTAAATATGGTAGTTTAAGAATGAAATGTAAATGTATATAACCTGGGTTTATTGGATCTTATTTAAATGATGCATATTTTTGGAAAGGCTATACATCAATTATTGAATGAAAATAAAAAAATAAATTGTATGTTGGCCTTCTGGATATTTGGAAAGTTCTGAATATTAATATGTTGAAAAATTTCATTTTGTATATGGGTATTTTGAGACTATATAAGCAGAACTTCAGATATAAATATATTCATCCTTCAAAGCATTTCTAACTTTCTTTCCACTGAAGGCCTACTGGATAAATGTTTATAAAGAACAGTACAAATAAAGACTTCATCTGGAAATTGTGGTCATAAGCTACTGCTAAAAGTGATTTGATTTATAAAGTAATAATGGTCTTATTTTAATAACATATTATGAAGCTGTTTTTATGATTTCTTTGGAAAGTACAGATCTAAGTATTCATGGTATGGTTTGGCTGTATCCCCACCCAAATCTCATCTTGAATTGTGGTTCTCATAATCCCCATATGTCATGAGAGGGACAAGTGGAGGTCATGGAGTCATGGTGACGGTTTCCTCCATCCTGTTCTTGTGATAGTGAGTGAGTTCTCATGAGATCTAATGGTATTATTAGGGGCTTTTCCCCTTTTTGCTCTCCATTTCTCTTTGCTGCCACCATGAAAAGATGGATGTGTTCGCTTCCCCTTCTACCATGATTGTAAGTTTCCTGCGGCTTCCCCAGCCCTGCAGAACTGTGAGTCAATTAAACCTCTTTCCTCTATAAACTACTCAGTCTCAGGTGTGTCCTTATAGCAATGAGAGAATGGACTAATATAATTCATAAGCCTTTTTCTTTCCCCTCCTTTTTAAGTATATTTCCTAATTTGCTTTGGGGGCACAATTCTGCTTGGAGAAATTTGTTGAAAAGCTAAGGCTTCTATCATAAGTACTTCAAATGGAAGCTGTAGGAATGCACGGAGAATTTAGGAAAGGAACATTGAAACGTTCTTTTATAACATTTCAATGTTTTTTCCTTGACATCTTGAAGGAATTATTTTGACCTACCCATGAAAAGAAAAGCCTCTGGTGTCCTGCTTCCTCTTCCTGCTATAATTTTGCTACCAGAATCAAGTTTTTTGAACTTGCATGAAACGTTGAACATCAAAACCCTGAAGACAAAGCATAGCATGGGTACAAAGTACTTTTGAATATCAGAAGATAATAATAAAGAAATTGTGAATGAAAGACATGTTTACTGGCTATTAGAAGGGCTCCCTTAACAATTTTGTTTCTCTATGTATGTGTCCTTGTTTTCTTCAAAACATCTCAGTTGTGTTTCTCTAACATTCTGAGGTGGAGCTTAATGTGCTTGCATTTTTTTTATACTTGTTTTCTGCAGTTGTTTTAAGTGAGTAGATTTCCTGACCTCTTGGATTCAAGAATGAAAATCAATTATCTCCTAATGAATCTTTATACCTCACATATTTCTGCAGTCACAAAATTAATTGGGTTTAAATTAACAAGTTATTTATTTTTCTTCAAATACTAATTACATATTTGGTCTAAGGAGTTTTGCAAGATGCTCTGAGAATTCATTTTATGGAAATTTTTTTAAAAACTGTCAGTCCTGAAATTTCAGCGTACCCTGAGGATGACCTTTATGAAGTCCAGTAGTATAAAGCTATATTTCTAAAATATGATGTCTTGGGTGACAAATGAAACTTTCTCTTCTACTAGATATAATATAAAAACTTATTTTCATTATATATGATGCAAGAAACCAATATGTGCAGAATATATATTTAATATTGTGTACATGATTCATATGCTGAAGAACTTCTATTTTGAAGAATTTAGTGTTACTTAACATACAGAAACTGATTATTTTCAACGTGTGCTTCAATCATATGCCTTTTGTATTTCTAACTTGTTCATTGATATATGTTATTTTTGCTTAAAATGTATTTCTGTGATTCTTTAAACAAAATGTGTTTAATGGATATAAAACACCAGAAAATGCATTAATTATTCTAAACAATTATTTGAATTTTTAAACTCTAACTACAATTGATTCTAGGGAAATATTTAAACCCAGGTTTTGTAACATTGCATGTTAACACTTCAGATATAATTTTGTTGCTTCATTATTTGTAAAATTTATTTTATTATTTTTTTGTGAAGCTTTTAATCCCAGAATTCTAATCTCAAGATTTGAATAAATCTTGACATTTATTACCTTCACCTTTTTATTATTCATGTCTATTGCTCAATGTAGGATTAGAAACTTCTTACTCCCAAGGCAGATTTTTTTTTTTACCTTTGGGTAGGAATGAAAGTTCTTTGAATTCAGCTAAAATCAGTTTATCTAAATTCATAGCCATTGGTTTTAGACCTTCCTCATATAAATGCACTAAGTATTAGAAGTCTCCAAAAGTGGATTTCTCATTACTTTGTAATCTTTTTGTTCTAACAAATGTTTATTGAGCATCTGGGATCAGATCCTAATGATTTAAAAATGAAGTGAACAGAAGATTTGATCTCTAGAAATTTAAAATCATTAGAACTAATTAATATTTAAATACTATCTGCCCCTACAAATTTTACTTTTCAGTTTCTTGTTCAGTTTAATATCTTGTTCAGTCAAATATCTTGTTCAGTCAATTCCTTTTCAGGTCTAGATGTCCTCCCACAATTAGAGTATTAATACCTGGTTAGTCTTCCCTCCCTTTTATCATCATCTTTCATTCCTTCCTTTCTTCCTTCCTCCCTCACTCCCTTCCTTTGCCCTTCCCTCTCTCCTTTTCTTTCTTCCTCCTCTTCCCCCACTTCCTTCCTTCTGCTCTTCAACTTAGTGGTTGCTGAACAGTGGGATGAATTAACTTAGTTATTTACCACGATAACCTCATTCAAATCAATATAAGTATACTTGTATATCTCAAATTAAAGCTTGAATTCAAGTGAAGTAAATTCTGTTCTTAAGCATTTATGATAATATTAAGTAATAAGTAATATAAACCCGATGATTATAGTAATTTTATAATTTGAGCTCCATTTTTCAGTTCATTTATGGTTGTCAAGAAAACACATTTATAAGAAGACTTTAAAGTAAAAGAAAAACACAAAATAAAACTATGAATTTTATAGTATATTCACATAATTGACTAATGCACTGCAATTCTCTTTTGATGTTTCATACATTGGCATTTTTAAAATAAGTTTGCATAGCCATATTTCTGGCTACAATTATCAATGGAAACTTGAAACTTCAGTACAAACCTATTAGAAGAGAAAGTTGAGAAAAAAACACATGGAAATAGAAAAAGTGTCCATGCCCTTCAACTGTGTAATGAACTGAGGAAAGTCAGCCAGTGTGTGCTAGTGTTGGAATATGCTAATACTTTGAATACTGCTAGGATAGGATTTTTCATTGTGGCTGATCAGCACAATGGCTCCAGGAAGACCATCCTGAGGAGACTGCTATCTGACTGTATGCTTCAAATTGCAAATTGCATCCTACATAAAATTCTTTCTTCTTTCCTAGGTTCAGATCAATTTGGTTTGATAATGCCACTATGCATCACTCTGCACAATTCTGTTAATCCTTTGCAGAAAGTATGAGAGTGTGAGAGATTGGAATATCTCAATAAATAGCTGATGTCTTCAGTGAAAAAAAAAAAGATAATTTTAATTAAAATGTCTTAAATTTTAGAAAGATAAATCTATATTGTAATAAATTAATGATTTAAAGTTTATAAAAATAAATTACTGCAGAAAGTAGCAAAGCTATTTTGGAATGCTTTTCTTAGAGTGTGCTGACAAATGAGGAAGGGTCATCCTAAGGGAGAATAATAAATGAAGCAACTCTCATTTAAGGTCTTTATAAACTTTTATTTGGGGAAGTGGGAGAGAAAAGTAAATAATAAATAGTAAGTTGTTAATTTCGGGACTGTTTATTAGTGTGGCATAAAGGGATTTTTACCTTTTGATTGGTAAATAGCTAGAAGTAAGAGAGAACAGTTACTAGACCTTCAAGGTTGTATGCCTGCTTCTAGGGTGTTCTTGCTGTGTCCAAGGGCTTATCCTCCTCCACAACCACAAGCCCAAGATGAGCCCAGCTGAGCTAAATATAAGACAAGCAAAATATTTATCTCAAGAAGGCCCTAGGTCCACTTTCCCCCATATCCCATACTTCTCTTCTTACTTCTATCATTTTCAATGCTTTTATTGCCGTGTTACAAAAAAACTGGCATCTTAAAACAGAGTACCAGAAATTTTCTTCATCAATAAGAAAAAAAAATAGTTCTATTGCATAATGTTTAACAAATTAAGTCCCACAAGAATATATTTGCATGTTAAAAAATAAGAAGTTCAGGCAGGGCACAGTGGCTCATGCCTGTAACCTCAGCACTTTGGGAGGCCGAGGCAGGCGGATCATGAGGTCAGGAGTTCAAGACCAGCCTGGCCAACATAGTGAAACCCTGTGTCTACTAAAAGTACAAAAAATTAGCCAGGTGTGGTGGTGGGCGATGAACTTTATATATATATAAAGTTCAGTACTATTGCTAAACAATAACTAACCATGATTTTTATATCACTTTTGTAATTACATAAACTTTTTTGATCCCAGTATTAATTATATGACACACTTTCCTCTGATCATCAGTGAAGTCACTGATTTTGAAACAATAGAATTTTTTTCCAAACTCCTTGTACAGTCATGCTGTTTTTATGTTTTTTTTTTTTTTATGACAAATGAGGGGATGCTTTTAACGGAACTTTTAGAATACTAGTATCCTAGTCCACATGAAAATATGACATATATTAAGTACAATTATTAAAATATACATAACTCTTTTTTAGGTTAATGAAAAGGAGGAAATATTTTGACAAAGAATACAGAGACCTGTATTGTAACTCCGACTTCATAAGTTAACAGGACCTTTAGTAACCCATTACTGGACATGCACCTCCTTTTCTATTTTTAAACTAAGTTCACTCCACCAATTAATTTCTTAAGATTCCTTTTGTAATGAAAATTCTATGTCTTTTATGTGAATTTATAAAGAAGCAGAGAATTATATTAGTAGCTTTAGAAGTCAGTTATTACCTCCTGCCATTTGGTTAGAATTTTAAATGTTGACATGTATTAATGATAGAAACTTGTAGAGGGGGATAAATACAAAGTTCATATTACAAGCTTCTGGCCAATTTTCTTTACCAAGAAGCTACAAGCAAAAGCTGGGAAAATTTACTTTTTTACACTTTTTTCTATTTATGAGGACTAACTAAAGTTATATTTGGGTTTAGAGGATGCAGTGGATGCTTAGGGGAAATCAAACAGTTATTTAAAAAGAGGAGGTAAGTGTCACTGTGGCAAGCTCTAATGGCAACTGTGTGTTCCAACAGCAAAGCTAGGTCACAGAGCTAGATTGTTTTGAAAAACAATCATAATCACAGAAGTGGACTGGTCAAGAGCAGATTACTGGAAGGCAATTTGGGCCCCCACGAAATATTTTACAATGAAGTTAAGAAATAGAGCCAGGACTGGACTCTGAAATTAGGTCTCAAAGGAGTATTGATACCTGTTTCATACCTGCTTGCCCCAGCCATCCTGCATGCAGACTGGTGCCCGAGAGAGATGGTTCTGTAGGCAAGCCTAAAAGTTATGACCCTACATTTGCAACTGAAAGTCACTCTTGGCTTGGAAGATCTAGGGTGATGAAATAGAGAAGGAAAGAGCATCCTTCCTCACATTTCAAAGAAACCCTAGCTTATAATAGCAGAGACCACTGAAAAAATGGCAGAGGTCGTGTTATACCTACATGAATTATTATGGTGTCTGCTAAAATGGATGATAAAGCCTCTGATTTCAACAGCTGAAGCAACAACACTGTCAGGATGCGTGAATTTAGAAAACTTTATCTCCACTGTGTATCAGGGCTTGAGGCCCAGCTAGGAATAGTGTTGAGAGCAAGAACAATTTCACTACAGGGATGGCAAACTTCAGAGAGCTGCTCCAAGAAAATTAATGTGGAGACTCAGTTTACTACTTTCATTCGCCTTGCACTCCCCAACCATGCCCCTGGAAACTTCTCACTTCCTGTCAAGTAAATATGATATAGGAGGAGCTATGTCATATTTCTACCTCTCTACTGGTGTCCAGCAGTGACCTTCATTTTCTATCAACTGAAGGGTACCAAATTCATACTTCACAGGTTTTGAGAAGCAGGGACAATAACAGCAAGAATTGCTTGGTTTCTCATACATCTGCAATTTGGCCGGTGGCCTCAGATTTTCTGCCTTCTATGGCATAGATTTAATTTGCTCTGTTAGCTCATGGGAAGGAAGACCAGAACTCACTCTAGACCCCTGTAGGGTTCCTTGAAAAAAATAAGGTTTTAAGAGGTTTGACATAGGGCTAAAAATCCTAATTTCTTGTTATGTAGGGCAGATGGAAGCTCAAAACTGCTACGTTTGAAAGTATAAATATGAAAATAACATTGCTTATCCATACTGGCGAACACGAAATATTGGAGCTACACACTAAAGATGTTAAATCTCATGCAGGTTTTAAACGCTCCCCACAGTGACAGATTCCAGACACTATCCAGAAGAAGGTTAAGAGAAATATGACTGGCGAAAGGAATTTACATATCATGACATCCACTGGTATAAGAGAGGCATGCCACATAGATGGTGGAGAATTCATTTAAAAGTTACAATAGTTGCATTCACCCATTCATTCAACAAACGCATGTTCTATACTTTGGGAAAAGCACTCTGCTAGACACAGGAGTTCACAAAAAAATGAATCAGACATGAATACTAGTCTTTAATCTTGTTTCACTGAATAGATTTTATATATATGTATATATATACATATATATACATCTCATAAGTACATAAGTATGGTTTTAATAGTTTCATAGAATATGGATATATATATGCAAATTTATCTATCTGTATCTTTTTATAAGAGTTTTTAAAGTCACCATCATTTTGGTGCATAAAGCTTATTTCCTGCATTGCTTTTAGTTTTTAATAAATATACTTGAAACTAAATCTTTGCTCAAATCTGTAGTTAATCCATTAGGTTAATTTCCAGAAAAATTGATGTATGGAGACAGTTTAAAGCTTTTGCTATTTATTGTGAAACTGTGTTACAGAAAGCTTATTCTACTTTATTCTCCAATCAACATGTATAAGATATTCCATTTTCTTCTATTTTTGCCAACATTGAGTGATACTACTTATAAAATTCTTTATAATTTCATCGTTAAAGAGTGGTGGCTCACTAACATTTTTATTTTTATTTCTTGGTTTATTAGTGAGCTTCAAAGTGTCTTCATACATTGTTAGCCATTTAAATTTCTTTCTTTATGCATTGCTCCCGTATGTCCTTTTAAAATTTCTGATTTTATTATTTTTAATTTGTAAAACTTTGTATTAACATTTGTTTACTTTAAATATGTTTTATACAGTTAATAAAAAGTGTGCCATCAGAAGAACATTTTTATTTATTTTTTTCTGTTCTTCTACAAGGTTCTCGCACTAAAGCTTTAGTATTTATGTATTTCTCCTTTACATTTCTCTGTGCCTTTATTCTAACTGGGTTGACAGGTTAGCTCAAGGGTAGCATTTTGTCATTGAGTTGCTTTGCCAGTTACTTGGTAAGGGGAAAAAAAAATTAATCCTGATAGAACTGAGTAAAATTCATTCTACATTATAATAGAGAAAGATTAGTTTAAGAAATTCAACTTTCCCTTTTTATTATTATTATAATTTAAGACATTCAACTTTCTAATGGAGGAAGTATCTAAGTATGTAATAGACAGCATTCCATATAGTGAGATAAACAAAAACATGTGGCTATAAAGGAAATTGTAACGTTGCTGATTGAGATGAGATACATTAATCTCTGTTAAGTGGAAGGAAATTACCACTGGCAAACAATTTGTTAGCAACTATACAACCAAGAGGATCTGCATGCCTGATTTAAGCTATCATATGAAGCAGCAAAAGTGAGATAGTCCTAAAATCTCGGAATGTTTTTGTAATACTCCTTTAGCATCATAGGAGACACTTCAGTCTCACCTAGGGAGAAATCCTGTCTAGTTTTTAATCAAACATGTGGGATGTTGTTACCCACTTTTGGTGACTCCCTACTTGAGTAGAAAATCTAACTTGTAGTGTACCCATTTATTTTATCCCAATTTTTCTGCTTATTAATAACAGTTGGGGTAATGGAAGTTTTTAACACATGGCTCCAGGGATGGATTAAATGTAGAAAATTTACCTCTTGGTTCTAATAAAGACAAACATTGCTATTTGGTTACCTGCTGCCACTGATAGCAACATATTGGTATTTTTCACTTTTCCACATTAAAACACATACTTTATTAGTGAAATATTAGAAATAAACAGAAGACAGTCATGGGAGGAATGCACTTTAAGTTTGTGAGGCAAATGTACATAAAATAAATATTCGTAGAATATTGTTATGCTCTCTAATTTCACAAAATGATATACAAAAGAAATGGTATTTTATTTATTTTTGCAGAATCATCCCATATGAAAAAATTACTAGGTGTGGCCTGCAGTCAACATTAAGGATTAGAAGAAACCCGTAAATATAAATCAACTGCTCTAATTCCCTATTTCTGTTCTTCAACACTAGTTTATATGTTTGTATGTGCTGCTATTTCAATCAACTTCTCTATATTTTGATTTAGTTGCCGGTTTAGTTGAGCACTGTCAGAGATCATGTAGTTCAGCCTTCTCATTTTACACATGAGAAGACAGATCTTAGAGGTTAAGTGATTTGCCCAGGGTTACACAACTAGTTAGTATCAAAGTAGAAGCTAAAATAGAGAGTTCCTGATTTCTAATCAACCTTCTTCACTTTACTATGTTGACTTCTAAAATAGTACAAGACCTTAAATTAACCTTCTAAATAGTTAACTTTTTTAAGATTAGTGAGAATTTCTGCCAAGCAAGTAGAAAATGGTATTGATTTACCTTGTTTTACTATTTCAAGTAAACTGTGTGATTTTTTTTCTTTATAAAACACACACGCACATACACACATAATATACAATATCATCATCATGAACAACAAAATCCCATCCATGGCCTAGAAAACTGCATATTTATTGCAAAACTCTAAAGTAATAGCTTATTATATTCAAAGTTTTTGTTTGTTTTGCTTATTTTAAATTTATGTAAACATTGCATCTTGTGGATATTTTATACTTGTTAAATACACACAAAGATGAGGGTATTAGAAATGTAAGACCTAGGCCGGGCATGGTGGCTCCTGCCTGTAATCTCAGAACTTTGGAAAGCCAAGGCAGGTGGATCACCTGAAGTCAGGAGTTCGAAACCAGCCTAACCAACATGGTGAAACCCCGTCTCTACTAAAAATACAAAAATTAGCCAGATGTGGTGGTGGGCACCTGTAATCTCAGCTACTCAGGAGGCTGAGGCAGGAGAAGCACTTGAACCCAGGAGGTGGAGGTTGCAGTGAGCTGAGATCACGCCACTGCATTTCAGCCTAGGCAATAGAGCAAGACTCCCTCTCAAAAGAAAGAAAAGAAAGAGAGAGAGAGAGAGAGAGAAAGGAAAGAAAGAAAAGAAAGAAAGAAAGAAAGAAAGAAAAAGAAAGAAAGAAAGAAAGAAAGAAAGAAAGAAAGAAAGAAAGAAAGAAGAAAGGAAAGAAAGACCTTTCTTTGCCTTTTCTGTTCCTCCTTCACATACCTTATAACTGTGGTCTACCTGTAACTTCCTACAAATCCTGAGATAACTTACAAAAGACCAAAATCAATCTGGCATAAAAATTAAAAACTTTATTGACCTCAAAATGCCTGCCAGCAGTATGTGAGCATACTGCAAAACATCAAGCCAAGCTTAGAGGTATGAACATTCCCAGAAGTGTGTAGGTATTACTACCTGAACAATATTACAATATATTTTCTAATTCCTTCCTAATTAACCTCTTCTTGCCACCAAAAGATTTAAAATAATAAGTTAAATAATTATCAAGAAAGGCATAAGGAGGGAAGATTCAGCATTTTCCTACAGGATCCCTGCACCTACTCAGACCATTTTCCCTAGAGTTTCTGAGAGCACATTATGATATACAATGCTTGATAACTAATTCTCTGGAAGATTTACTATTCTATAAATTTCTTAGACACAGATCTCAATTACAGCCACAGTTGTCCTGCTTGATATTCAGTATCAAAAACATTAGAGTGAATTCATCTTAAAATATACAGTGTTACAATGAAAATGATAAAAAGTCTAAAGTTTCTATCCTTAATTTTCATGCTATACCCTAATTTTAAAATGAGACTTGAGGTGTTAAGGAAATGCAGAATGGCTCCTGAACCAAGAAGGAAATGATAGATATTAAAGTAGGAAGAGAGATGAGTGAAAACCAGACTTGTGTGGTGGATCAAAGCACCCTGTGTACCAAAGAAGCTCAATGCTACAGATTTTTCAGAACTAGAAACTGATAGCTGTTGCTGTTTCGTCCTTTGTCTTTAAATTGTCCAGAATAATGCATCCTGCATTCTATTTTAATATACCACCTATTTTATATTGAACTTTCTTTGTATAGATTCTGAGTTGGAGAATTGCAAACAGAAAGTTTATTGTGGAATGTTCTTTGAGATACACATCCAAAAATAATAATGATTGGAGAAATAGGATTGAGCAAAGGAAAACACCAATCTTCAATGTAGTTGCAACTGAGGCTTCAGCCAGTCTGCTGTCAAGTTTTGGAGCTGGAATAACAATGTGGCCCCAAATTAAGGCAAAGAGAACATGTGTTATATTCCTTCATCAGTTAGTCATTAACTGTGAGCCACTGCCTGAAAGGGGGTGGAAACTTGAATGGGCTATTTTTTATGGATCAAGCAATTCTCAGTAAGGCATGAAGTTGTAATCCCTCTGAAACTAAGATAACCAGCACCTCTGAGGTGAATGGAACGCTTAAAACCTAAGAGGCTCCAGGGGTCCAGAAACTGA
This sequence comes from Homo sapiens, assembly GCF_000001405.40. Classification (NCBI taxonomy): domain Eukaryota; kingdom Metazoa; phylum Chordata; class Mammalia; order Primates; family Hominidae; genus Homo; species Homo sapiens. Next base: position 48,216,353 of record NC_000014.9, on the reverse strand, counting down.
GCAAGAGATCATGACTTTTTTATCAAGGTGACTACTCTCCTGACTATTCAGCCTTGATTTCTTTGGATGTTTTCATTAGGCACAGTAGTTTGTCTTCTCTCTCTGATTAATCCTGCCTTTTTCTCTTTGTTACAGGTTATCACCCAAGAGTATTTACTAGTAAAACTTCTACACAAAACTCTTTTCTTCAGAGTCTATAATAATTTATTCAGAGTCTATAATCATGAAGCCAAATTTAAGAGGTTTGTTATCAGTAGTGGACCTTAAAAGCAGATTCATAGATGGGGTTTTGGAGATCAGTCACTTACTGGCTTGCTGTCGATTGAAGTACCCATCGCTCTCGGTAATTAGAGTATGAATAGGTCCTGGCATAATGTAGCAGTGCAATTGTTAAAACTTCCATTAGTAGTGAACTGGAATGTGATAATAGTGGAGGGGATATGTTGCTTTGTGTAATATCTTAGACAGTTGAAAGGTAGGAATGAAATGGTAACTCAAAGGGTTATAGAACTCAGCAACTGTTGCAGTCAGCTATAGATTCATTAAAGAAAGATAATTGCAAACTTATATTTATTAACCACTAACACAAGGTCAAATGTTAAAACTAGAGGACTTCCTGGACAGCATTTATGGAAACCCTATTCTTTTCTAGCTGTATCTGAACGTCAGACAGCGTGAGAACCAAGCTCAAGACTTAATCATAAAGACAGAGAGTTTTATCACTTAGAGATCTAGCAGATAAACTACTTAAGGCTGTATTCACCTGTTCCTGATGCTATAACAAAATATTTTATACTTGGCAATTCTCACAGTTCTGGAAACTAGGAAGCTGAGATCAAGGTGCCAGCAGATTTGGTATCAGTAAGGGCCTTCTTGCTGCATCCTCACATGGCAGAAGGGATGAACATTTTGTCTTCACATGGGAAAGAGTAAGAGAGGGAGGCAGCTTTCTGAGGTATCTTTTACAGGAGTGTTAATCTAATACAAGAGCGTGGAGCCCTCTTGACCTAATCACCTCCCAGAGGCCTCACCTTCTGATACCATCACCTTGGTTTCGACATATGAATTTTGGAGAACACATACATTCAAACCATAGAAAAGGTGTACTTCTATCAGAAGGAAAAAGACCCTAAAAGGATATGATAGAAATCCAATATTGATGGTAAGTAATTCAGTGGATAAAATTGTTGGCAACGTAAGTATACATAACAACACCTTAAATATTTTGTTATAGAAGACTCAGACGACCTTAAGTAATTTATCTGCTAGATCTCTAAGTGATAAAACTCTCTGTCTTTATGATTAAGTCTTGAGTTTTGTTCTAACTCTCAACTTCAGATTTAGCCAGTCAAGATTCGGATTTCTATAAATGCTGTCCAGGAAGTCCTCTGGCTTTAACGTTTGACCTTGCATTAGTGGTTAATAAATATAAGTTTGTCATTATTTTTCTTTAAGGAATCTATGGCACATTGCAACAGTTACTGAGTTCTGTAGCCCTTTTAGTTACCATTTCATTCCTAGCTTTCAGCTGTCTAAGATATTACAAAAAGCAGCATATCTCTTCCACCATTATCACAATCCAGTTATTATTATAATCATTATTATAAAATTTAATATAAAAAGTAAATTATGTCTTGTACTTGAGCAACAACTAATGAATATATATTTTTAAAAATATATATGTGTAAAACATATATAAACTGTAAAATTTAAGTTTGATCACATCACTCCTCTGTTTTAAACTCTTCAATGCATTTTTGTGTTATTCACAGTAAAAATCAAAGCTCATAAAACAGCTTCAAGGCTCATCATTAAATTTCTATGATATCACCTCCTAAAAGTTTAGTTTTCTTCTTACCAATTCTATGCAGCTATGTTAATCTCTATGTGACTATAGAGTAATTACCTTTCATTCTTTGTATGTTTCTTAACTGTTAGGACTTTCAGAGCCAGTTTGCTTAAATAAGTAGGACTTTAGCTAATTGACCAAACTGGAGGTTAAATTATGACTGATTAAATATGAATACACCTATAACAAGCCAAGAAAGTACGTTTACCCACAGAAGATAAATGAATATCTGATAAGCACATTTAAAGATTCTCAAATCATTAGTCACTAGAAAAATGCAAATTAAAACCACATTAAGATACCATGTTATACCTACCTACTAGAAAGGCTATACTGTACATGTCAGGAGACAGTAAACTTTGATGAGGCTATGAGGAAAAGGAACCTTCTTACATGGCTGACAGAAATGGGTATATGATGCAGTCCCACTGGAAGTGTCTGACAGTTAATGGAAAGGTTAAATAAACCTGATGTTGTCATATGACCCAGAAATCCTATCTTTTGTTAATTATCCAAAAGAAATGAAAATGTATACCACACAAAGCCTTCTCTCAAAGTACTGGATCAGGGCATCCTGTGTACCAAATAACAAAAGTAAAAGAAAGAGGTCCTGATGCTTTTTTCTCCCCTATTAACACCATCCAGATTCTTTTTTTCTTTCTTTTTTTCTTTTTGGTGTTTCTTCTTTACAGTGTGTAGGATGATATTTGGCTTTAATTATATCACTCCAGGGAAAAAAATTAAGACACAGAGAAACTTTTCAGCTCTTATTTGCTCAAAGTATAGAAACTTGTGTGAATTCTATATAGCATAATAAATACAGATATTAAAAACTTAACGATTTCTTTGGTATTCTTGAAGACACCATACATCCTCTTGCCTTCAATTTTCATGTGGTCTCCATCCATATTTCTTTTTCTGAAATATACACATGACTGTTAACCTTACTTCCTTTAGATCTGTGATCAAATTCATCTGTGAGTTAACCTTTACTTATTCTCCTTCTATAAAAAATGTTCCTTTCTACCTGGCATGCTCCATATTCTACTCTGATTCCTCTTTCTTCATAATATTTATTACCACCTGAAATAGTTATTTAGTTGTTTATGTATCTCCTATATCCCTCCATGCTAGTCAATGAGAGGAAGGGCTCTGTGCAATTTTATTCATTGCTGTGTCCTTCATATCCAATCAAGTACACGGTTAGTGCTTAATGACCTGTTTGTTAAGTTAATGCTGAATAAAGGAAGAGCCACTACCAAGGACGTACATATCAAGGAGGCTTTACAGAGGAGCTGACATTTGAAATAGTTTTTGAAGAAAGAGTAGAGTTTTCTCCAAAACGGAGAGAAAGGAAGGAAGACTTTCCAGCTAGCTGTGTGGAAGAAAGGGAAATACAGTAAACACTGTCAGTGTCTTATGGCAATTAGGAGGAAGTTTGATGACTTGACAAAAGCAACTTCAGGAAGAAAGCATAAATTCTTCTTCAGTGTATTCATTAATATATGTAGTATGTGTTGGACTAAAATATATAATATTATCCACAATATATAAAAGATACATATTTCTAGATACATAATCTATATTAAAGTTTTTGGCTAAATCTCTGTTAGCTCTTTTAGGTTAGCCCTTTCCCGGCAGAACCGGTAAAAGGATTGCATTTTTTTGTGTGTTTGTACTATTACAGAATCCAGTATTTAAAGGATTTTGGAAAAGAGAATTTAAAATGAAATATTAGAAACTACTTCATTTTTCTTTCTCCTTTACAAATAAAGATGTAATTTTATAAATAGTGATGTAGGTAGTCAAATGGAAAACAGTTATGTTTCTTTTAAGTTAATGAAATTTAGTTTCAGGTTAACCAAATTAATTGTATTTTTAAATAACTATTTGAAAAGATAATTATTTAGCAAAAATATGAACAAGAATGTTGACATGTCTTTGTATTACTGTTTTAAGTGTTGGGAAATTTTACTTAACAGGAATCATCATGGAAGTTTTATTTTTGCAAGCCTAAAGACAAAAGATAATTACCAGTTGCATTACAGACAAATCTTCAATGCTCATTGACTTTTCACAAAAGAAATCTATTACTCACTTATGCCCAATTAAACATGGGCTGGTAGGAGGAAAGGGGCACATTCTCCTCAATCTTGTTCCTCTAGGATCCAAGTTGCCTCCATCTTGTTCTTGCCATCTCAACACATGACCTCCAAGTTTGTAGTTTCAGGAAGGAGTGGGCAGCCCATTAGCACACAGTGCCGTATCCTGAAAATAATGTACTTCATTTCCATTCACAATGCTTGGCTTAAATTAATTACAACATCCTTCTATCTTCAAGGGAAGCTAGAAAGTTTAGCCTGCCAACATGCCAAAGAAAAACAAAAACAGGGCACTTGGATATAGGTAAACACCTTGGGAAAAATGTGGCACTATCAGGGGCTTTTGTACAAAATTAAACGCTCTCTGCTCAATTTTCAATTATTACAATAATATTTTTATTCAACTTTTTTCAAAATCACTATTTTCTTTAAACATTATATAATTACAATGATCTTCTACTTAATCATTAAATTTCTCTGTTCCCTGCATAGGCTTTCACCAACAATGTACACTTTATATATTTTTTCCTTCTCTCCAGCTATACTATCTCAATTATTATAATAATTCCATATCTCATATTTTTAAAACAATAGTAAACAAAAATCCTAAAAACAAAATTATTGTTTAAAAGTGCTAGTCGAATCTTTTTCATAAAGGAAGTATCAATTATTCTGCAGATATTTGTTTGCTAACATGTTTATTAAAGTGGGGAATACAGAAAATTTAGGAAGCATTTACTATGCTACTATTTGGCTGAAATCAGTTCCACTAGGTGTAATAATTGGTAAATAACAAAAGCCATTATATAATTGAGTACTAACTTTTAGAGAAGAGAAAGGTAAATAGTTTATGAGTAATGAAAGCTTTGTGGAGCAGTTGGCCGTTTCCCAGAACTTTTAACAATATGAATTGTTGGGCTCAAGTGATGAGTGCTTTCAAAGTTTGGGTAATTAACAGAGGTGGGTATGTTCTCAGGACAAAAAGCAGAACAGATCATATCATACTGGTTCATCTACATTTGTAATTTAAATAAAAATTAGCCAAATATTCAGATCTTTCAGGTCAAAATAAATCTTCAATCTACCATTGTGGTTGTTGATGGTTAATTCTAGGAGCAAAGACTTTAAACCTCACTTATAAAGCAATTAACAAATTTACCACTTTTCTTTCAATTATAAATATAGCTAAGGTGAGATAATTTATTCTGATCTATTATTAGATGCTATTTAAATATCTAGATTCTGAAATATTTACACATTACAATATGAGAACAAAGATCACTGCCTTATTTAGTTTCCAAGATATCCATATAAGGAAAATCAAAAGAAAAAAACAAACACAAGAATTCTACTAGTTTTATACACTATTTTTCAAGTTGTAATTATTATGGACATCTTTTATAAAGAAGTTTAAGTCATCTCCAGAAATGAAATTATTTTAATTTTAACAGAAAGCATGTACAAAATTTCTGTTCGGGTACCCAAAATATAAAAAATAAAATAAAAGCAAGCCCTCAAGAAATTACTTGGCAGGTTTATTTATTTATTTTTTTTATTTGGTCACTTGAACTGCTTTTCCAAGTTTAGTAAAGATCCACCTTCTGTATCCAGATACAAATTGCTTCTGGACAAGATAATATTCCCAGCTTTACAACCACTATACATGTTTACAGGTAGGGATTACAACACGTGGCCATGTTTATTTCTAAAATGCCCAACTAAACATTAGAGCCCTGTCATTGAATCTGAGACATGGCTGTTAGTACAAATTTTGTTGATTTTGACATTTTCCTGATATTCCATGGAAATATAGCTACTCTGGTCGGAGGTGACCATAAAAGGTAACTTCATGTTCTAATAAAAACTAAAACAACAAAGTACTAAGCTCCTGCTATTTATTCATGTCAGTATAAAATTTGTCAAGCAATTACTGTAATAGCAAACACTAAAATTATCTACTGAAATGTAAAAGAAAACTTTAGTATAACAAGGGGCAAATAAAGTATAGTTATTTTACTTCTGATAGTCAAGTATTGATTTTTGGCTGAAACCTTTACAAGACTTGTAGTCAAAGAGTAAGTATCCTGTTGACTGGACTATGATAAGCTTCAGGATAGGAGTGAATTTCTTAGTATGAAGACTTTTACTATTTCAGATGAATATTAATACAATAAATAGGAAATATCTTTCTACTGTTTGATTATAATATTCTTTAGTGTCATAGTGTCCTATTGCCATTATTTAAAATATGTATAAACATTTCCAGAGCAATTCCAATAATATAAAAAATGAAAGAGAATTCAAAAGAAAATATCAGAGAAACACAGTACAGAATTACTGATTACCATGTGCATATCACAACTGATTTTTGCTTTCTATAACTAATCAATAATAGATTGTCTTCAAGGCTAAAATATTATCAAAGTTGACTTTTTCAAGGTGATCTGACTGTAAATATGTAGAATGCAGCTTTCTAAATGTTTTTAAAGATTTCAGTTAGATTAACAAAATGGATACCTGAAAACCCATAAATGATCACATTACTTTACTGTGAAAATGATCACAGGTCCAAGAAACTTCTGGATAACAAAATAACCATCAGGGCAGAAAATAAAGAAAACAACGATTATACTTGCAGGTGCGCCATATTGGTGAGATGAATTTAAGTATACATGTTTATTTCCTCAAAAAGATATATTTTACAAAGTAGATAAACTACTGCAAATGAAAGCATTGAGTTCATGAATTGAGACTTTAGAGAATACAGTTGACCCTTGAACAACACAGGTTTGATTGGTGTGGCTCCAATGATATGTGGATTTTTTTTCAATAAATATTTCAGAAACCTTTTTGGAAATTTGTGCCAATTTGAAAAAAACCTTGCAGACAAACCCATAATCTAGAAATATCAAAAAAAACAAGAAAACAATTATGCCATGAATGCATAAATATATGTAAATACTAGTGTATTTTATCATTTACTACCATAAAATATGCACAAATCTATTATAAAACATTAAAATCTATCAAATCTTAGGCATATAAACACTCCCAGACTTTACATGGCACCATTCACAGTTAAGGGAAATACAACCAAGCATAAAGATGCAGTATTAAATCAAAACTGCATACAATTAACTGTAATACATTCTGTACTCCTATTGCTATTGCAGTGAACTCAAGTGTTGGGAGCATCTGCTTAAAATGCTATGAGATATTAATCATGTCCAATTGTACACTGAGCAGTTTGCCTATTCAGTAAAATGCATATTGCAGTAAAAGTGATCTCTCTGTGCTTCTCTTGTATTTTTATCGTGTTTAGTGTAACACTGCAACCCTTGAATAACACCATTGGACCCCTACGAAGTGCCAGTAGTGATGCTGAAAGTGATCCCAAGCAGAGAAAAATCATGACATTACTAGAAAAAGTTGAATTGCTTGATGTGTACTGCAGATTGAGGTCTGTAGCTGCGATTGCATGCTTTTTCAGACAGGTGGTTCATCGTGTAAACGGATGATGTAAACTTATGGTACTGATAAACACAAAACAGTGCAGACTGTAAATGTATTTTCTCTTTCTTATCATTTTCTTAATAAGAGTTTTTCCTCTAGCTTAGTTCATTGTAAGCATAGAGTATATAATACATACAACATACAAAATATGTGTTAACTGTTTTACGTTAGCAGTAAGGCTTCTACTTCTGACTAGAAGCCTTACTTACCGCTAACATACAACATTTGATTAACACATATTTTGACTTTTGACTCTCCTAAAACTTAATTACTAACTACTATCTATACTTAAGTTTAGGGAAAGTCAAAAATTATACAAAAATTTTCAACTGTGTTGAGATAGGTACCACTAACTTCCAATTTGCTTGAAGGTCACATTTACTAGCTTTTTAGTTTGTTATTTATCATCACACTTCATTAACATGATATAATCTAAATCAAAAAAAGTGTGTGTTTTCAGCATGTTAGGTACTATGAATGCCTAACATGGTACAGTGTGTTAGGCACATAAGACATATGACACCATCCTTGACTTCAAGCTGTGTAAAACCTTAGTCAAGAATAAAAACTTATATTTGCAGAAACCATAAAGTACATTATAAAGCACATCATAATTACAAACCAAAATATAGGTTTCAGATGATGCCATGTTTGAAGTTAAAACATAGGAGAAATCAATGTGCCCCAGAGTGCTTCAATAGGAAAAGCCTCCTGGCTGAAGAGAGACTTCAGAGACATCCTGAAAGATAAATTAAGATTGGCTTATGGGAGCAGAAAGAAGTTGTCCAAGAAAGTAGTAATTCCAACATTTATGTTACCTAGGGTGACCTAAGTAGCTAACTAACAGTATACAAATGGAAAAAAATCATCCCTAAAGTATGAATAAATATACGAAAATTCATAATCGTAGTAGAATCAAACTTAAGAATGTCTCATATTCTACACTATGATTTAACACATTTAGCTATAACCAGAAGAAACAAACATGAAAAAATTAGTAAAAGAGAAACCAAGAATACAAAAATTCCCATGCACTCTTACATGATAAGAAGGTACAACTTAAATAAAGAAAATTAAATGTGATTAAAAATTAACAGGAAAAAATGAAATAGAAAAAAGTGAATTCAATACCAAGAAGAATGGTTGCTATTACAGAACTGGGACACTGACATATAGATCCAAGGCAATATTAAAAAAATACAATCATGTCTTCATGTGGAGAAGATTGACCCTATGGACATCACAGTCCCAAACATGCTGAAGACAAAACACAATTTTATTTATTTTATTTTTACTATTTTTTTTTTTGAGATGAAGTTCCGCTCTTGTTGCCCAGGCTGGAGTGCAGTGGCACAATCTCGGCTCACTGTAACCTCAGCCTTCCAGGTTCAAGCGATTCTCCTGCCTCAGTCTCCTGAGTAGCTGGGATTACAGGCACCTGCCCCCATGACCAACTAATTTTTTGTATTTTTAGTAGAGATGGAGTTTCACCATGTTGGCCAGGCTGGTCTTGAACTCCTGACCTCAGGTGATCAACCCACCTGGGCCTCCCAAAGTGCTGGGATTACAGGTGTGAGCCACTGCGCCGGGGCCATTTTTTTGAAGTTTCTATCAGGAGAAGAAATCTACGAGACCCTGACTGTTCCTGTATGCCATTGATGAGTACGCTAATAATTTAAGACCCTGACAGCTTTTAAATCAGACCTTTTTTCATGGTTGTTTTTGTAGTGAATGAACTTGAGAGATAAGTAACACATTACCTTGGATAGAGAATAGGCTTGCCTCTACGCACCATAAAACAAGTGAAACCCCAAGTTCATGTCTCCATTACTGTAATGAAACCGACTGAGTGTACAGACATCTATAGAGGCCCTTTGTGTTGCCTACCAATGGGACATGGGGGTCATGGAGAATCAAAGCACACGAACATCAAGCTGTGGACACTGCTTTCGCTGTTAAAAAGTTTGTCTCTGACACAGGAGTCTCGTCTTTTGCCACGATTCATGAAACATTAACAGGCCATCAAATCATCTTGTAAGTAGACTAAAATCTTAGACCCACCCTGAGAGTTTCTGGATATTAAGACTTGAAGTTACACAGTTCTCTTCACCCAAAAAATAATATAACCAAAATAAAATCACAACAAAATAAAAATAATAGCAATGAACATTTATGGGGTGCTAACTATAAGCCAGGCATTGTGCTACATGATTTACTTATGTTAATTCTTTTCTCATAAAAATCTAACAGGTAGCCACAATTGATTACTTCCAATTTTCTGGTGGAGAAAATAATACCCTAGGAGATTTTATCACCTGCCCAATATTACACAGGTCATAAGTGAAAGAATTGGAATCCATATGTAAACACTCTAGTTCCAGATCCAGTGTTCTTTCCTACCAGGCTATATCATCTTAATTAGTGCACAACTAAACATTCCAGTGTTTTGATACTAATGCTATTGATTATAGTGTTGATTATAATGAAAAGTATACACTAAAATATATTATTATTGTTTGTTGATTGCTCTCACCTGTGGCCAAAATCTATGGTCCTTTTTCAAAATGTGTTAAATGAAATGCAATTGAGCATTCTTACAGTTTTTCCTACTGAAACTTCTTCTTTCAGCATTATTCTGTCTCCTAATTATTTGATTCCATTTATAATTCAAACGTTTATGCTTTTAAAGACTTTTAGATCACTAAACAGATTTATCCTTGTTTATTCAAATGTTAACTTTATTTATGCAAATATTTGTATAATTTTTCATAATTGACTCATATAAAAGGTTCAGGATTCTCAATTAAAGTAACAGAATAAGAAACCTCTATAAATAAGCAATCTTCCATATTTTAGGGAGTAAAATCTTACATGGCACATAGATACAGGAATCGCTGTTCTTAAACTGACATCTTTTTGTACTGCAAGTTATTTAAGAAAATAGGAATAGAGTTCCAGAAAGAATAACTATCTCTGGGAAATGATTCAAGATAGCCTTAGGCTAAATCTTTGACATTCATTTTTTTGCTCAGCGTAAAGGTTCTGATGGTAACATAAAATAGGCTGTGCAAGCTCAGAACTGATCTCAGAAAGAAATGTGAGTATGAAGGGCCAATAAATTAAACTAAATGAGGTGATTTAAAAAAAAATAAATGGTTCTTGATATCTTTATAAAAAAGAAAAATGAGCTATTGATACTAATCTGCCATCTCTCAACAGACAACTATATCAAGGATCTAGGAGGGGATGCACTCCAATTACTGCTGTTAGCAGTGCAATGCTGCCATTTTATTTTTTATCAGTCATTAGTACAGCAAAGTACAAAGTGTACCTATGCTTTGTAAGCAATGACACATAATGCGTATTTTTTTGCATTGCAATAAGGAAAATAAATGCTATGTGTATAAAATAATCCATTTTTAGAAATTAAGCCATTTGTAAATTGACATGATACTGTTCAAATGTTCCCTTAAGTGTATCTGTCTACCTGAAAAGATCATTGAACTGACAGTTTTATTTGAGTGCATTGCTTCTGTCTACCCCAAAGAAGAGAGAACTAGTTTCTTATGTTTAGTAATCATATTAGGATATCTTAGAAAAATATATTTACAGATAATCTTTTTTTGGTCATGTTTCTTCTAAATAAAATTAATTTTGATGACTGGCTCTTTAGATTTATTTTTTCTCTTATTTCTCAGGAGACTGTGGGGATTTAAGATGCTTAATAACATGCAAAAAACATATAGCTGGGAATGGGAGCAATAAATCCCAAAAGTGAATCAGGAGAGATGATGAGGGGCTTCCACAACAATTAGCTGAAAAATCTAGAGTTACTGAGGGCAAACATCAATTAAGTTTTGATGAGACTTACGATTTTCATTTTCTGATGATTCTTAGCTTTCTCTGTGAGTCGCCGTCATTCTAAAGCTTACTCTTTATATGGGCTCAAGATAGCTCCAATAGGTACCATACGCACACTTCATATGATCTAAAAAAAAAGATTTATTCTGTAAAATATTGGAGATCATTTTGACTGAATCGTCTTATGGCACATATTCAACAATGTGCTAAAGGAACTGAGACTGCACTGGTAAGTTAAGAACAAGTTGTGTATTCCCATGGAGTATCTATCTTGGAGGCTGGGATCAATCCTATGCAGAGTAGCTTTTTGCAATGAACAGATTCAGTGTGTGGCCTTGGAATAAGATATTTTGGGTAGAATAAGTCTAAAGCAATGAGCAGGCTTTTATTTAATAATTGGTAAAACATAGGTTGAGAGTAGCAAATAAATTACCCACATTCAAATTTTAGGAAGCTGCATAGTTGGGAATCAAAGACAATTATTTTCCAACTCCAAAGTTTGTGTTTCCTTTTCTTTTTCTTCTTCTTTTTTTTTTTTTCCAGACAGAGTCTCGCTTGTCACCCAGGCTGGAGTGCAGTGGTGTGATCTCGGCTCACTGCAACCTCCATCTCCTAGGTTCTCCCTCCCTAGCCTCCTGAGTAGCTGGGATTACAGGCGTGTGCCACCACACCTGGCTAATTTTGTGTGTGTGTGTGTGTTTTTAGTACAGACAGGGTTTTGCCATGTTGGCCAGGCTGGTCTCCAACTCCTGACTTCAGATGATCCGCCCAACTCGGCCTCCCAAAGGGCTGGGATTACAGGCATGAGCCACCACACCCGGCATGTGTTCCCTTTTCATATGCAGCATTGCTTCCTACAAAGTTCACTAACTTTTTCTGGGACTACTCTGGCTGTTCAAGGAAAAATGGAGTGCAAGTGTCCTCCATGTGGGTGAGTCGATCATTTCCCCCAACTTGTGATCATTCATCTGAAGAAGGTGTTTGAGATTATTCTTAGTTAGTTAAAATTACCAACTACTTAAAATTCTATGCTCACAAAAGCATGTTACTAGATGCCATGGAAGACACAAAATTTTTTTTATTATACTTTAAGTTCTAGGGTACATGTGCACAACATTCAGGTTTCTTACATAGGTATACATGTGCTATGTTGGCTTGCTGCACCCATCAACTCGTCATTTACATTAGGTATTTTTCCTAATGCTATCCCTCCCCCAGCCCCCGACCCCCTGACAGGCCCTGGTGTGTGATGTTCCTTGCCCTGTGTCCATGTGTTCTTGGTGTTCAATTTCCACCTATGAGTGAGAATATGTGGTGTTTGGTTTTCTGTCCTTGTGATAGTTTGCTGAGAATGATGGTTTCCAGCTTCATTCATGTCCCTGCAAAGGACATGAACTCATCCTTTTTTATGGCTGCATAGTATTCCATGGTGTATATGTGCCACATTTTCTTAATCCAGTCTATCAGTGATGGACATTTGGTTTGTTTCCAAGTCTTTGCTATTGGGAAGATACAAAAATGTTATATGGCCTTCCAGAGACTTAAATATAAGGACACATACACTGAAACAAAATTAAAAACAGCATACAATAGTAATACAAAACTGAAAACTGTTACTTTATATGTGATTATGTGTCTGGAATTGGTTCCTTCCAGTGAGTTCTTGGTCTCGCTGACTTCAAGAATGAAGCTGCAGACCCTTGCAGTGAGTGTTACAGTTCTTAAAGATGGAGTGTCTGGAGTTTGTCCTTCAGATGTTCTTATGTGTCCGGAGTTTATTCCTTCCGGTTGGTTTGTGGTCTTGGTTGACTTCAGGAGTGAAGCCGCAGACCTTCCCAGTGAGTGTTACAGCTCTTAAAGGTGGCGCATCCACAGTTGTTTGTTCCTCCTGGTGGGTTCGTGGTCTCACTGACTTCAGGAGTGAAGCTGCAGACCTTTGCAGTGAGTGTGACAGCTCATAAAGGTAGTGCGGACCCAAAGAGTGAGCAGCTGCAAGATTTATCATGAAAAGCAAAAGAACAAAGCTTCCACAGCATGGAAAGGGACCCGAGTGGGTTGCGCTGTTGGCTGGGATGGCCAGCTTTTATTCCCTTATTTGGCCCCACCCATGTCCTGCTGATTGGTCCATTTTACAGAGCACTGATTGAACCATTTTACAGAGTGCTGATTGGTGCATTTACAAACATTTAGCTAGACAGAAAAGTTCTCCAAGTTCCCACTTGACCCAGGAAGTCCAGCTGGCTTCACCTCTCAATCCCCCCTCTAAACAGGACACCCCAAGTGCTGTTAGTAACTGGGTGATTACCACTCTAGCTACTTCCACTGGATGGGGTGAAGAAGGGGCCCTGCAGTTGTAGTGTCCTCCAGAGGGGAACTCTTTAGGCCAGTGAAAGGGCCAGCGGGTCAGTCCAGGGGACCATGGTAGAAGTTGTTAGTTGAGCGCATTTGGTGTTCTACTTGTAAGACCATCTGTAGCTTGACGGCCTCGATTCTAGAGGGAACAAATTTAACAAGGAGGTTAAAAATACAGTGCCTGAAGGTGAGTAATAGCAAGATGGCTGCCACGGGACCTAGAAAGGGGAGAAGCCATGTTGCCCAACTCCAGAGTTTGGTGTAAGAGTTTGTTCTTTTCATTTTCCCATACTCCTAGAGTACTTGCCAAGGTAGCTCCAGTGAGTGGCTGGAAAGGAGTGTTGGAAGCAAACTGAGTGGCTCCCCGTGTTCTATTTTCCCACTGGAGAAAAAATCATTTTGTATCTACTAGGAACCATTCGAGAGAGTGATTGAAATAGGGATGAGAAGGCATTCACTAGTGGTGGGGGTTCATGCAGGGAATACAGGGGTCAATGGTCATGCAGGGAGTATGTTTGCCATTACAAAACTTGGACTGTTTGTTAAGCAGGGAGGAGGTGATGATTTTGAGGGGCCCTGAGAAGCCGTCTGAATGGAGCTACTTGTGTGACTCGGAAGTTACTATGATCAGTTGGGGCTTGAAGTTGTAGGGTATAATTATACTGATGTGGTAGTAGGTGCCCCAGAAGCAGGCCTGATAACAGGCTGCGATGAATGCATAAAGGGGCTGGGAAAGTTAAGATGATATTCGTAGTTACAGGACCGTGTATGGGCTTTTCATTGCTTGTGTAATAGGTGAGGTTGGAAATGTAAGAACGTGAAAGTTGGATTGCACGTCCTCGTCCTGTTAGGGTATTCTTGGTCCTATCAGAGATGGGGAAGTCGGCTAATGATTGCATATTTAGAAGTCAGAAAGGGGCTTTTCCTTCATAATGAGGGTGGTAGGTTAAGTCGGTAAAGACCCAATTTTTTGCGGGAATGGGAGTGGCAACGTAAGCCGAGGTTGATAGAGAGATACAAAGCCAACAGTTATTTGCCAGGGAAGGATTGGACTGGTTTAACAGAGAGTGGGTTAAGTTGAGAGTCTTGTAGAGGTAATTAGGAGCTAGTGGAAGGGGATAGGTGATTGTATGACGTATCCAAGGAAGCAGGAGGGATAGATAGGCAAAGAGTAAATAGGAAGGTAAAGAGGTGCTCTGGAACACGAGATCATTTTATCCAGGCTGAGTTAAAGGTAGGAGTAAATTGCTGTCAGAAGGAAGGAAGACAGAAAGAAGGCTGATGTGATTAGGATGTTCGACCCAGCAGGAGCTACAGTTTATAGCCCTATCACAAAGAGTATGGTTAGTATGCTGCTTAATAATATGATGAAATAGTAAAATGATTCCATTAAAGGGGTAAGGAGAGGTGTTAAAGATTATGTGGTTTTCACTTATCTTTTTTAAGGAGGAAGGGGTTTTTCTTCAGGATCAGTGGTAGGAGCCTTTTTAATCTGGGATGTTTCCTTCCCACATAGGAGATGCAAGTCTTCCAACTGTTCGCAGGTGTATCGAGGCTGGTCTGGCTGATCTTGGGACTCCTGAGCTGATGGTCCCACAGGTTCCTCAGGGGGTGTCCAAAATTTAACTCTGGTGTGGTGAATCCAAGATTCCACTCCTGCCACCTTAACTGCAGTGGGGGTAGAGAGGATTACTGAGTATGGTCCTTCCCACAGAGTCGATAGATGGGGAGATAGAGGGGAGAGATTTGACCAACACTAGATCTCCTGGTTGAAACAACTCTGTTCCCTTTTCTCTGTCACATCCTTCAGGTAGGTTTTTAAGGTTTTGTTGATATTTTGCCAAAAAAGTTATACCTTTGACCAAGTTGGCCGTTTCCTGATCAAGTGGGAGGTCATTTGTGAGAAAAGGTCATCCATACAGCATTTCATATGGACTGAGCCCCATTTTGTGAGGAGAATTTCGGATTCTCAATAAGGCCATGGGCAAAAGAGTAGGCCATGGGAGATGAGTTTCTTGTGTTTGTTTCCTTAAGTGCCTCTTGAGTGTTTCATTTGCCTTCCAGATCTTCCCTGAGAAATGTGGCCTCCAGGCTCAGTGAGGTGATGTTGTATCCCTAGCACCCTGGAAATTCCGTGAGTTATCATGGCTTTAAAAGCCAGATCATTGTCACTCTGTAAGCTTTGCGGAAGCCCAAATCTAGGAATTATTTCATGAATTAGGGTCACATTTAATCACTTCTGAGCATTCTCAGTCTTGCAGGGGAAAGCTTCGATCCAATTTGTAAAGGTATCAACACAGACCAACAAGTATTGAAATCCCTTTGACTTAGGCATATGGGTGAAGTCTAACTGCCTGTCCTCTCCAGGATAGTGACCTATTCTTTGTTCCCCCAAAGGGGCTTATGAAGGACCAAGAGATTATTCCTTTGGCACACCTCACAGGCTTTGATTACCTGTCGGATGATCCAGAGGAAATGTGGCCCTGTAAGTAAGGATTTGGCCATTTGATGAGTGTTTTCAATACCCATATGAAAAGTATAATGGAGGGTTTTAAGTATTTTCCACTGGCTGGCCTCAGGTATAAGTACCTTTCCTTCTTCTGTCATTAACCACCCCGAGGGGAGAAAACTATGCCCCTGTGAAATTCCCCATTCTGTTTCAGTCGGGGAATACTGGGGCTTAATCTCTTGGAAGGGGTTGTTCCATACCAAGGGTCCTTCCGTAGGTATTTCTAATGGGAAGTTCCTCCTGGCAGCAATTTTGGCCTCAGCATCTGCCCGACAGTTTCCTTCTGCCTTTTCTCCTTCACCTTTCTGATGGCTTTGGCAGTATAAGACTGCCACCTCCTTGGGTTTTTGCACTGCATGCAATAACTCCATAATTTCCTTGTGGTATTTAATGGGGTTCCCCAGAGGTTAGGAACTCCCTTTCTTTCCATATTGCAGCATGGGCATGTAGGATTAAATAAGCATACTTGCTATCTGTATACACATTTATTCTTTTTCCCTTTCCCAGTTCTAAGGCTCGGGTAAGTGCCACTAGTTCTGCTAACTGGGCGCTGGTCCCTGGGGGAAGAGGCTTACTTTCAAGTACTGTTACTGTGGCATAACTTGCCCTTTGCATCCCATTCTCCACAAATGAACTTTCATCAGTGTATAGGTTAAGGTCAGGATTAACTAAGGGCACTTCTAAGAGATCCTCTAAGGTGGCGTAAGTCTGGACTATAATTTGTTGGCAGTCAGGCTCGATTGGTTCCCCATCCTCTGGGAGAAAAGCGGCAGGGTTGAGGGTCGCACACGTGTGTATTTGAAGCACCAGTCCCTGAAATAGAAGTGCCTGGTATCTAAGTAGGTGGTTGTCTGATAGCCATAAACTATGCACCTATAGTCCCAGATACTCGGGAGGCTGAGGCAGGAGAATCGCTTGAACCTGGGAGATGGAGGTTGCAGTGAGTGGAGATTGCGCCATTGCACTCCAGCCTTCATCTCAAAAAAAAAAAAAAAAAAAAGTTACATAACATTAAAAAGAAAGAAAGAATCATGACTTTGAAGACAGAACAATAGGTATCACCAAATCTGAATAAGAGAGAAAACAGACTGA
This sequence comes from Homo sapiens, assembly GCF_000001405.40. Lineage (NCBI taxonomy): Eukaryota > Metazoa > Chordata > Mammalia > Primates > Hominidae > Homo > Homo sapiens. The sequence goes on along the minus strand of NC_000014.9, from coordinate 48,199,075 downwards.
ACAAGAATGACTCAAGGACTCTGATAAAGATCTAACATTCAAGTTACTGACATTCAAAAGGAGAGGAGAAAGAGGTCAGGGCTGAAAAAAGTGCTAAAAGAAAGAGTTGCTGAAATTTTCTTAAGTTGGATAAAAGACAAACCTATAGATTCAAAAAGGTGAGCAAATCCCAAGCAAGGTAAACCAGGAGAAATCAATGCCAAGATACATCTTAATGAAAATTCTAAAAACTGAAGTAATATATTGATAGTAACAAAAAGAAATGGAACTTTGATTAGGCTGAAAAGGATGCAACAAATCACGGGTTTTTTTGTTTGTTTTGTTTTTGTTTTTGTTTTTGTTTTTGTTTTTTTGAGACGCAGTCTTTCTCTGTAGCCCAGGCTGGAGTGCAGTGGCATGATCTTGGCTCACTGCAACCTCTGCCTCCTGGGTTCAAGCAATTCTCCTGCCTCAGCCTCCTGAGTAGCTGGGATTACAGGTGTGCACCACTGCACCCGGCTAAGTTTTTTGTATTTTTAGTAGAGACGGCGTTTCACCATGTTGGCCAGGCTGGTCTTGAACTCTTGACCTCAGGTAATCAGCCTGCCTCGGCCTCCCAAAGTGCTAGGATTACAGGCATGAGACTCCACGCCCGGCCCAAATCACAGTATTTTTAATGAAAGTTTAACTGTTTTGAACAATATTTAGAACAATATGCAAGTTAAGATAACATGCTTCACACTTGAAGGAATTGGAATTCAAATTATTTTCCACTGCAATTTCCCTTTTATGAGAATAATAGTTGCATAGGACTTCAAAAATGTAAGTACTCCCAATAACAACATAGAAACAAACAGACATAATAAAATATAATAATATAGTTTACCCCAAAATATTGAGAATATTTAAAATGTAATCAATACAAAAATGAATGGTTTACATTCTTTTCTCATTCTGTTATAAAAACGGTATATTTTACACTTGTAGCATCTCTTACTTCAGACTAGCCACATTCAAATGTTCAATAGCCACATGTATCCTGTGGCTACTATATTAGGCAGTGTAAGTATACAGTGATGGCACAGGAAACAATGGCATGAAAAGCAATGATGTAGTTTGTGGCTCATATTAAAGCTGTTATAAGACTTTCTAGTATCAAAATATGCCTCTCTGACAAGTACTGCCAATGAAAATATGCCAGTATTATTTTTTAAATATTGAATAATGCCATATAGTCATTTTTACTGGGACAAAATATTTAAATTGTAGACAACAGATAATGCACAACAATGTGGTTAGTGAATTCTAGGATTTTCATTTTTGTGCTTATGTTTATTCGCTGGATTGACATTGCTTTTGCAAATATTTCATAAATTATATCTCTAATTTATGATCATTGTATAATCCTGATATATTAGAGATTTTTTAAAGCATTCTGAAATCAATTTGAAAATGCAAGGTTACTGTTTCCTCTTTAAAAATGTAGATATAAGATAGTAGTGCATTAAAATTTTAATTCAGCTGTGACTGGAAAAACTTTACTGTAATCTTTAGAGATTTTGAGTTTCTGTCAAAAAATAGCTAAAATTATTTTAAAAACATATTTGAACATCTAAGATATTATGAAACATATAGGTATTTTGTATTCAATGTTTAAGAAATTGTGAATTAAATACAATCACTGGTTCCCTGTAAATTTAACACACATTAAGATAATGTTTTGTAATTCATCTAAAAAATAAAAATATCCTAGTGTTCATTTTAGAAACTTCAGATCAGTTTATTAGAAGAGTATTGACCAAATACCATACCTAAAAATCTCTAATTATTTATAAGCACTTATTTGTATAAAGATTACCTCCCTATTTTGTGACAGCAACAAAAAGAAATGTAGCAATGAATTAGATAATGAGACAGACAATATTGCTCTTTCATCTGAAATCACCATAGCAAATTTCATGCTAGTCTAACTGCTTCATAGTGCTTTACTGTCCTCTTAGTAAATAAATATCAAATTTGAACTTTATTCAATAAAATTAGACTCACTTTTATCCAGTTGATACATTGAGTACATTTATATGTTTTTATCTGCAAACAGGGTTTCATTAATGGATACAATTTAAAAACAAGGAATTAGATGATAATCATGTAATGGCTGATCCTCAATTTAATTCAGTAGGCATCAGTTAACTAACATCCTGGCATCATGGAAACAGACAAGAATAAAAGGAAAAAGAAAAGGAAAAAAGGGAACACGTTATTAAGAATGAATTTGTGTTTCTATAAAATGATTTTTAAGGATTTGATATGACCTATACCTAAATTTAAAGACTTTGACTATTACTACGCTCACGCTAAAAAAAGTGTGCTTTAAAATAAAATAAAAGCTCATGCTAATGCAGAGGGCGGGCATGTAAAATCCTAGCAGCAAGGAATTTGGCTATATCAACCCTCATTAACTGAAAATTTGGTGACAGCTTTCTCACTAGCATAAAGGAATATCTCCAGAAGAAAATTCATAAGGTAATCTGGGACAGATAAAAGAGTGGGAAAATAGTATATCTAAAACAGGCCATCAAAATACGACTATTTCAAATGTATAGCAATTCTATGCTTCATCCTTTCCTGTTCGACTAAGATTTCTGATATCTCACAAAAGATTACAGCATGGCAATCTAACAAAGCTAACCTGCATACTTCTGCTACACTAATGGGTACTTTTTCATTGTGTGATTCTTTAAAAATTCTGTCAAAGTATCTTTGCAAAAAGGGTACAAAAAAGGCAGACATAGTTCCTCATTTATGTTTTGTCACTTAGTTACTTTTGATGTGCAAATGTTAAAATACTCTGTGTTATATCATTTCTAAAGCTGTACTTGAATATTCAGAAATAAATAAATAAATGAAGCCATGAGAGTTTCATAAAGCATTAAGAGCAAGCAGAATGTGGGTCACTAATCAAGGTGTGACTGACCCAACCAAATACCTTCGACTGACCCAACCAAATACATTTATCATTTCACCACTAGCAAGTTATTTCCTTTGATAAAGCATTGCCCTGTTTTCATAGCGCTGTTTTAAAATGTAAGATCGCTTGAGAGGGAATCATACAATGTCTATAACACTAAGTTTATTATTATATTATTAGGGCAGCTGAGCCCAGCAAGCATGAAAGGCCTCTGAAATTAGAAGGAGGAGCTGAAGATTGAGCAGGAAAAGTATCAAGGGTAGTGATTAGGAGTCAGAAAACATATATTGCCTTCATCATATTTTTCTGAGTGCTGACCTGAATGTCTCAAAAAAAAAACATAAATAAAAATACTACCAATTTTTAAACATTTGCATTTACATGGGGATGAGAATAGTGTGGGGGATATGACAACAAATATTCAAACAGCAGTTCCCAGTCTGCACTGCATGAAGTGCCTAAATATCCAAAATAGAAGATTTGTAGTCTGATTGGCTTGAAGAACCAGTACACATGGTTTGGATAACAACAGCCACTGAGAGGAAATCGTAGAGAAGAAAGAGACAGAGAGCCTCTGGAATTCTCCCTGACTTTCTTGTGGTCCATCATTATCATTGCATTTTTACTGAGAAATTGCATATTTACATTGCAAGCTCATCAGATTATGTACAATGGTGTGGATAGTAAACTACAGGATTTTCATTTTCATGCCAAAGTTTGTGAGCCAGACTGGTGTTAGCTGTTGGCACAAATATTTTCATTAATTCCTATTTAAGTTCTAAGTATATAATGGCTCCTTTGGAACATGTGGAATTTTCTCTGAGGTGCACAGGAAATAATTTAATTATGTCTGAATTTTAAGTTTACACAGGGACTAATAGGAGACAATAAGGAGTCCAAATAATTCTTCTTATTAGGAAAATATCTATTTACTACCAAGTAAGTCTTGCCACTATTCTAAAAAGATGAGGCGATAGGTAAAACAGTAAAGAATTATAAACAGAACTTTTGGACTGTATCTATAAAATGTAAAAGGAAAGACATTTCATGGTGTATTTCATTTTTTATGTTCTATGCAATTAATTGTCACAGTTATTTACATCACTATGCAACTGATTTGGTTTTAGCCCCTGTTAGCTTCAGAATGAGAAAACTGTGTATGCAAAGGTGGTAATTTTGAAAATGCAACAACGTATTTATATCAACTAGGGATTATCTCCATGGTTTAAAGACAGAATTATTTTGTCGTTTTTGCAAATATGCTAATTGTGCCTTGTCATTGCAGATTTCAGAGAAGAAACTGTTACCTAGTTAGTTTTTTAATACATACTGAAACAAGAATTTAGACTCAAGTTCCTTATACTTAAATAGTTGCAAACCAAGAAACAGAATGATAGAATAAGAGTCTTCCTTTTGAGCTTCAGGTTTTTGAAAAAAAAAATTTCTAAAATAAAATTTATCTTTTTAAATAACTACCTTAATGCGTTTATTTCAATGTTATGAAAGCGATTTAATCATCAGGATAAGCAATATTCAAACATTTCCTATTTGGTAGTCCCTTAGAAGAAGCCAGGAAAATATTTGTAAGGTACCTTATTTTTTATACCAGCAACTGAAATAAGATTTGAAAAGTACCTGAAGATAAGAGCTCCTAAACTACATCCAAAACATTACTGGAGAATCTGTAAATAAAAGGGACTCATTCCCTCTAGGCTGCTTGTGTTACCGGCAGTGAGTCTGTACCGGTCTGTAGCAACCTCAATTCTTGCCTCCTCAAAAGAAAGAATTCGACTGAGGGGCGTTAAGGCAGAAGGAGAGATAGGGGCAAGTTTTAGAGCAGGAGTGAAAGTTCATTTAAAAAGCTTTACAGCATGAATGAAAGAAAGGAAACTACACCTGGAAGAGGGCCAAGTGGGCGACTTGAAGGACAAGTACTAGTTTTGACCTTTTAACCTGAGGTTTTATACTTTGGCGTACTTCCGGGGTCTTTTCCCCTTGCGATCCGCTGTCCGCATGCGCAGCACCTGCTAGTACTTGGAAGATGGGCATGCGCAGTGTGCTTACTGGCGTTGTAGGCATGCTCACTTGAGGCGCTCTTCCCTTACCAGCCAAATGTCACATACCAGTTAAGGGGTCATTTTGCCTTTTAGTGCGCATCTGTAAGCCCACTTGCCAGACTCCTGAGATCTTATTGGGAAGCTGCTGGTCACCCGCTTTAGGTTTTTTTCGTGGACTTGGACTTGCACCTTTCCCTGGAGCAAGCTGTGACCAATTATTATTCTAGAGAGACAGTTAACAACTGCCTGACGATCACCTGATGGTCACCTGACATATCTGGTTTGGATGAGATGACCTCTCCTACCCTGTTTATGTCTGACTGGCTACCTACTGTAACATTCGAATGTTGCCTTCTCATAAATAAATGTTAATATAATACCTTAACATACATCGCTTTCACTATTTCAGTCCTAGTTGCTAAATAACTTTATAATAAATAATTGACACCATTTTCTTTAACTGGCAGATCTCCTGAAATAAATTTTTTTTTCTAAAAAACCAGCATGAAAAGGAAGTGTGCTGAAAGCTCTTAATGAAAAATGAGTCCCAAAGAGCAGATTTTTTTTTCCCAGCCTAAAGGATTGCTTTTTAGCGAAATTATCATTGTTTTTAGTTTCAGTTATTTTCTCTAATATGTATTTGTGTATAGACACAAACCCACACAATAATACAAAAACACTTTCTCTAAAGACAACAGCTAAGATACAAAAAAAGTATTTTTCAAATTAGGTTAGCGATCCAAATATTCTTTTGAACATATCACATATTTTTTTCTTGATAAACATGCTGTTTCAGAACACAAAAAAAGCTCCAAAGTGTGAAGTTAACACTAAATTTCCTTCCTCATAGAAGAATGGCCATATTTTTCCACAGAGCCTCTTTTACCCTGTGAAGAAAATTATTTTATATTTCTTCACTAGAGTCAATGTTTTTTCTTTTTTTTTTTTTTTTTTGAATTTTTTTTTTTTTTATTATACTCTAAGTTTTAGGGTACATGTGCACATTGTGCAGGTTAGTTACATATGTATACATGTGCCATGCTGGTGCGCTGCACCCACTAATGTGTCATCTAGCATTAGGTATATCTCCCAATGCTATCCCTCCCCCCTCCCCCGACCCCACCACAGTCCCCAGAGTGTGATATTCCCCTTCCTGTGTCCATGTGATCTCATTGTTCAATTCCCACCTATGAGTGAGAATATGCGGTGTTTGGTTTTTTGTTCTTGCGATAGTTTACTGAGAATGATGGTTTCCAATTTCATCCATGTCCCTACAAAGGATATGAACTCATCATTTTTTATGGCTGCATAGTATTCCATGGTGTATATGTGCCACATTTTCTTAATCCAGTCTATCATTGTTGGACATTTGGGTTGGTTCCAAGTCTTTGCTATTGTGAATAGTGCCGCGATAAATATATGTGTGCATGTGTCTTTATAGCAGCATGATTTATAGTCCTTTGGGTATATACCCAGTAATGGGATGGCTGGGTCAAATGGTATTTCTAGTTCTAGATCCCTGAGGAATCGCCACACTGACTTCCACAATGGTTGAACTAGTTTACAGTCCCACCAACAGTGTAAAAGTGTTCCTATTTCTTCACATCCTCTCCAGCACCTGTTGTTTCCTGACTTTTTAATGATTGCCATTCTAACTGGTGTAAGATGATATCTCATAGTGGTTTTGATTTGCATTTCTCTGATGGCCAGTGATGATGAGCATTTCTTCATGTGTTTTTTGGCTGCATAAATGTCTTCTTTTGAGAAGTGTCTGTTCATGTCCTTCGCCCACTTTTTGATGGGGTTGTTTGTTTTTTTCTTGTAAATTTGTTTGAGTTCATTGTAGATTCTGGATATTAGCCCTTTGTCAGATGAGTAGGTTGCGAAAATTTTCTCCCATGTTGTAGGTTGCCTGTTCACTCTGATGGTAGTTTCTTTTGCTGTGCAGAAGCTCTTTAGTTTAATTAGATCCCATTTGTCAATTTTGGCTTTTGTTGCCATTGCTTTTGGTGTTTTGGACATGAAGTCCTTGCCCATGCCTATGTCCTGAATGGTAAGGCCTAGGTTTTCTTCTAGGGTTTTTATGGTTTTAGGTCTAACGTTTAAATCTTTAATCCATCTTGAATTGATTTTTGTATAAGGTGTAAGGAAGGGATCCAGTTTCAGCTTTCTACATATGGCTAGCCAGTTTTCCCAGCACCATTTATTAAATAGGGAATCCTTTCCACATTGCTTGTTTTTCTCAGGTTTGTCAAAGATCGGATAGTTGTAGATATGCGGCGTTATTTCTGAGGGCTCTGTTCTGTTCCATTGATCTATATCTCTGTTTTGGTACCAGTACCATGCTGTTTTGGTTACTGTAGCCTTGTAGTATAGTTTGAAGTCAGGTAGTGTGATGCCTCCAGCTTTGTTCTTTTGGCTTAGGATTGACTTGGCAATGCGGGCTCTTTTTTGGTTCCATATGAACTTTAAAGTAGTTTTTTCCAATTCTGTGAAGAAAGTCATTGGTAGCTTGATGGGGATGGCATTGAATCTGTAAATTACCTTGGGCAGTATGGCCATTTTCACGATATTGATTCTTCCTACCCATGAGCATGGAATGTTCTTCCATTTGTTTGTGTCCTCTTTTATTTCCTTGAGCAGTGGTTTGTAGTTCTCCTTGAAGAGGTCCTTCACATCCCTTGTAAGTTGGATTCCTAGGTATTTTATTCTCTTTGAAGCAATTGTGAATGGGAGTTCACTCATGATTTGGCTCTCTGTTTGTCTGTTGTTGGTGTATAAGAATGCTTGTGATTTTTGTACATTGATTTTGTATCCTGAGACTTTGCTGAAGTTGCTTATCAGCTTAAGGAGATTTTGGGCTGAGACGATGGGGTTTTCTAGATAAACAATCATGTCGTCTGCAAACAGGGACAATTTGACTTCCTCTTTTCCTAATTGAATACCCTTTATTTCTTTCTCCTGCCTGATTGCCCTGGCCAGAACTTCCAACACTATGTTGAATAGGAGCGGTGAGAGAGGGCATCCCTGTCTTGTGCCAGTTTTCAAAGGGAATGCTTCCAGTTTTTGCCCATTCAGTATGATATTGGCTGTGGGTTTGTCATAGATAGCTCTTATTATTTTGAAATACGTCCCATCAATACCTAATTTATTGAGAGTTTTTAGCATGAAGTGTTGTTGAATTTTGTCAAAGGCTTTTTCTGCATCTATTGAGATAATCATTTGGTTTTTGTCTTTGGCTCTGTTTATATGCTGGATTACATTTATTGATTTGCGTATATTGAACCAGCCTTGCATCCCAGGGATGAAGCCCACTGATCATGGTGGATAAGCTTTTTGATGTGCTGCTGGATTCGGTTTGCCAGTATTTTATTGAGGATTTTTGCATCAATGTTCATCAAGGATATTGGTCTAAAATTCTCTTTTTTGGTTGTGTCTCTGCCCGGCTTTGGTATCAGAATGATGCTGGCCTCATAAAATGAGTTAGGGAGGATTCCCTCTTTTTCTATTGATTGGAATAGTTTCAGAAAGAATGGTACCAGTTCCTCCTTGTACCTCTGGTAGAATTCGGCTGTGAATCCATCTGGTCCTGGACTCTTTTTGGTTGGTAAACTATTGATTATTGCCACAATTTCAGAGCCTGTTATTGGTCTATTCAGAGATTCAACTTCTTCCTGGTTTAGTCTTGGGAGAGTGTATGTGTCGAGGAATGTATCCATTTCTTCTAGATTTTCTAGTTTATTTGCGTAGAGGTGTTTGTAGTATTCTCTGATGGTAGTTTGTATTTCTGTGGGATTGGTGGTGATATCCCCTTTATCATTTTTTATTGTGTCTATTTGATTCTTCTCTCTTTTTTTCTTTATTAATCTTGCTAGCGGTCTATCAATTTTGTTGATCCTTTCAAAAAACCAGCTACTGGATTCGTTGATTTTTTGAAGGGTTTTTTGTGTCTCTATTTCCTTCGGTTCTGCTCTGATTGTAGTTATTTCTTGCCTTCTGCTAGCTTTTGAATGTGTTTGCTCTTGCTTTTCTAGTTCTTTTAATTGTGATGTTAGGGTGTCAATTTTGGATCTTTCCCGCTTTCTCTTGTAGGCATTTAGTGCTATAAATTTCCCTCTACACACTGCTTTGAATGCGTCCCAGAGATTCTGGTATGTGGTGTCTTTGTTCTCGTTGGTTTCAAAGAACATCTTTATTTCTGCCTTCATTTCGTTATGTACCCAGTAGTCATTCAGGAGCAGGTTGTTCAGTTTCCATGTAGTTGAGTGGCTTTGAGTGAGATTCTTAATCCTGAGTTCTAGTTTGATTGCACTGTGGTCTGAGAGATAGTTTGTTATAATTTCTGTTCTTTTACATTTGCTGAGGAGAGCTTTACTTCCAACTATGTGGTCAATTTTGGAATAGGTGTGGTGTGGTGCTGAAAAAAATGTATATTCTGTTGATTTGGGGTGAAGAGTTCTGCAGATGTCTATTAGGCCTGCTTGGTGCAGAGCTGAGTTCAATTCCTGGGTATCCTTGTTGACTTTCTGTCTCGTTGATCTGTCTAATGTTGACAGTGGGGTGTTAAAGTCTCCCATTATTAATGTGTGGGAGTCTAAGTCTCTTTGTAGGTCACTGAGGACTTGCTTTATGAATCTGGGTGCTCCTGTATTGGGTGCATAAATATTTAGGATAGTTAGCTCCTCTTGTTGAATTGATCCCTTTACCATTATGTAATGGCCTTCTTTGTCTCTTTTGATCTTTGTTGGTTTAAAGTCTGTTTTATCCGAGACTAGGATTGCAACCCCTGCCTTTTTTTGTTTTCCATTGGCTTGGTAGATCTTCCTCCATCCTTTTATTTTGAACCTATGTGTGTCTCTGCACTTGAGATGGGTTTCCTGAATACAGCACACTGATGGGTCTTGACTCTTTATCCAACTTGCCAGTCTGTGTCTTTTAATTGCAGAATTTAGTCCATTTATACTTAAAGTTAATATTGTTATGTGTGAATTTGATCCTGTCATTATGATGTTAGCTGGTGATTTTGCTCATTAGTTGATGCAGTTTCTTCCTAGTCTCGATGGTCTTTACATTTTGGCATGATTTTGCAGCGGCTGGTACCGGTTGTTCCTTTCCATGTTTAGCGCTTCCTTCAGGAGCTCTTTTAGGGCAGGCCTGGTGGTGACAAAATCTCTCAGCATTTGCTTGTCTATAAAGTATTTTATTTCTCCTTCACTTATGAAGCTTAGTTTGGCTGGATATGAAATTCTGGGTTGAATATTCTTTTCTTTAAGAATGTTGAATATTGGCCCCCACTCTCTTCTGGCTTGTAGGGTTTCTGCCGAGAGATCCGCTGTTAGTCTGATGGGCTTTCCTTTGAGGGTAACTTGACCTTTCTCTCTGGCTGCCCTTAACATTTTTTCCTTCATTTCAACTTTGGTGAATCTGACAATTATGTGTCTTGGAGTTGCTCTTCTCGAGGAGTATCTTTGTGGCGTTCTCTGTATTTCCTGAATCTGAACGTTGGCCTGCCTTGCTAGATTGGGGAAGTTCTCCTGGATAATATCCTGCAGAGTGTTTTCCAACTTGGTTCCATTCTCCACATCACTTTCAGGTACACCAATCAGACGTAGATTTGGTCTTTTCACATAGTCCCATATTTCTTGGAGGCTTTGCTCATTTCTTTTTATTCTTTTTTCTCTAAACTTCCCTTCTCACTTCATTTCATTCATTTCATCTTCCATTGCTGATACCCTTTCTTCCAGTTGATCGCATCGGCTCCTGAGGCTTCTGCATTCTTCACGTAGTTCTCGAGCCTTGGTTTTCAGCTCCATCAGCTCCTTTAAGCACTTCTCTGTATTGGTTATTCTAGTTATACATTCTTCTAAATTTTTTTCAAAGTTTTCAACTTCTTTGCCTTTGGTTTGAATGTCCTCCCGTAGCTCAGAGTAATTTGATCGTCTGAAGCCTTCTTCTCTCAGCTCGTCAAAATCATTCTCCATCCAGCTTTGTTCTGTTGCTGGTGAGGAACTGCGTTCCTTTGGAGGAGGAGAGGCGCTCTACGTTTTAGAGTTTCCAGTTTTTCTGTTCTGTTTTTTCCCCATCTTTGTGGTTTTATCTACTTTTGGTCTTTGATGATGGTGATGTACAGATGGGTTTTCGGTGTAGATGTCCTTTCTGTTTGTTAGTTTTCCTTCTAACAGACAGGACCCTCAGCTGCAGGTCTGTTGGAATACCCTGCCGTGTGAGGTGTCAGTGTGCCCCTGCTGGGGGGTGCCTCCCAGTTAGGCTGCTCAGGGGTCAGGGGTCAGGGACCCACTTGAGGAGGCAGTCTGCCCGTTCTCAGATCTCCAGCTACGTGCTGGGAGAACCACTGCTCTCTTCAAAGCTGTCAGACAGGGACACTTAAGTCTGCAGAGGTTACTGCTGTCTTTTTGTTTGTCTGTGCCCTGCCCCCAGAGGTGGAGCCTACAGAGGCAGGCAGGCCTCCTTGAACTGTGGTGGGCTCCACCCAGTTTGAGCTTCCCGGCTGCTTTGTTTACCTAAGCAAGCCTGGGCAATGGCGGGCGCCCCTCCCCCAGCCTCGTTGCCACCTTGCAGTTTGATCTCAGACTGCTGTGCTAGCAATCAGCGAGATTCCGTGGGCGTAGGACCCTCTGAGCCAGGTGTGGGATATAGTCTCGTGGTGCGCCGTTTCTTAAGCCGGTCTGAAAAGCGCAATATTCGGGTGGGAGTGACCCGATTTTCCAGGTGCGTCCGTCACCCCTTTCTTTGACTCGGAAAGGGAACTCCCTGACCCCTTGCGCTTCCCAGGTGAGGCAATGCCTCGCCCTGCTTCGGCTCACGCACGGTGCGCACACACACTGGCCTGCGCCCACTGTCTGGCACTCCCTAGTGAGATGAACCCGGTACCTCAGATGGAAATGCAGAAATCACCCGTCTTCTGCGTCGCTCACGCTGGGAGCTGTAGACCGGAGCTGTTCCTATTCGGCCATCTTGGCTCCTCCTCCAATGTTTTTTCTAAATTCTACACTGACTATAAGAACATGAAAAAAAATGTAATTGCTTTTTTCTTCTTTTTCTCATTATTCTTCATGTACACTCTATCATGTTTGTTCTATATATTTATATTTTCCTTAATAGATATCAATCATTTTATAATAGAAATGCTTAATAAATAAAAATATAGCATCATGAATATTGTTAGACCAATATTATTCATAATATCCAAACATTTTCCAGGATAAAAAAATAAATTTATCATAACAAGTTTTAAACAGAATATTCTGCTTTGACAGATTTTGTTAATCTGTTAATAACCGTTTGATTTTGTAACACTTACTTTGGTTTTCAATTAGCAATGAAGCAACAGAAAACCATCTGGGCTCTGCTAAGGTTTTGATGATATGACACATTGTTATTAGGAAAAGTAATATTAGTTTTCTTTATTTAATCTCATCATGAATTTGCTCTCATTTTATTTAACAATATATTCACAACTATTATTTTCTAAATGCTTTAGTTGTTCTCACTGTTTATGTTCAATCAACTAGGAAATATAGATGTGTATATATATATGTCTTATGTTATATAAACTTGCATAATGAAAGGATGCTCTATTGTAAAGATCACATGTAATAAAATAAAATTCACTGAATATATTTTCTTAGCATTTTATTTTCACCTATTTTATCTTCATTTAAATCTGACATCCTTTATACCAACATTTCTCACATAAATTATCCAAATATTTATTTTTAGAATAGTAAAGTGATTTAATTTTTATTGAAATAATAAAATTTTCAAGAAATGTCATGCTAAAATGTGAATTACCTGGGGTATATCCTGCAATAATCAGACCGATTTTAATTTAAATACTCCATATCCTCCCTCTCATCTCTACTTCCTTGCCATATACGTAATAAGGAATCAATATATGCTTTTTTCAAAAATTGTAATTCAGGGAAGATAAAATAACTATTTCTTATTGGGCACTTTTGGATCCACATAAGTAAAACATTGTAACAAATCTAAAAGAAAATTTGACAATTTATCATGTTTTATTTATTTTCAATAAGACATTCAATGTCTGCCCAGCTTCTCTAATTAAAAGAAACTTATATCTACTGTAACAGCATCTTTTTTCAGTAAAGTAAATAGCCAAAACAGTTCAATGTTAAATGAACTCAATTTATGTGAATGTATTTTAGTAAATTTGGGTTTTTTTCTTAAGTAAATTTAGAAAGCTTCTTCGTGAAATTAATGAGACATGTAAATAGGCATAAAGAGAAAATGATCCCAAGCAATACTCACATATACAGTCAGAAGACTTGCTTGGGAAATTCTGTCCCAGAAGATAAGTTTATTCTTTAATGAAACAAAGTCTGCAATTTTTTGATAACTTATCTCTTATAAGTTGAAAAAAATTGAATTTATTCAAATGTAAAAAAGGTGAATACTGTAACACTTTGTTACACAAGATTACATTCTCATTCTTCTAAATTCATTAAATCCTAAAATTTTGTCATTTTTATTTCAGTATTAAATTTGCCTAGCATAAAATTTGTATATATCCGTATATGCTGTGTAAATATTACAAGTAAAAAATATAAAAGTATCTACTATCTAAATTCAAGATAAACTGATATTAAAATTATTATCAACTATATCAACATGTGCACTTTATTAGTCTGAGATTAGCCATTTACAATGATAGGTTTAGGAATCCAAATATTATGTCAACTTCCTGTAAAGCAAGCTGTGGAATTTTATTCTCCATTATTATTTTTTCATTCTATCTCTTCCTTCCTCCTTTTCTCACCAAAAGCAAAAAAGAAAAATAAATAAAGTAAAATAAATGTACTGGGAATGGAATCTGGAAACTTGTTATTGCAATCCTGTAGGTTTAGCTGAGCAAGATTTTAGTATGTACTAGCTACATGGCTTGGGCAAGTTACTTAATTTAAGTGACTGCTGGTTGTTGTTTTGTTTTAATTTTGCTTAAAAAATGGATTAACTGCTACTGCTTTATTTTCAGTTTTAAGATCATTAAAAACAGTGAGAAACCATTGTGAGTCATACTTGGCATTCAGTCTGTATTTTTTACAGATAATATTATTAATAAAACATTTTCATATGCTCTAATTTTTTATTTATAGTCATTTATAACAATTATAAGAATTATAAATCAAATGTTCTAGCTCACAAAAACAACTTGATGTGTCAGATAACACCCATTTCATGATGGACAGCTCAGGCTGCATGGTAACTTGATGATCCACGATTAAACATTCAGTATCTACTATGGCTCAGTACCATAATTGCAATTAGAGCTGCCAAGAGCTTAGTCTCAAAAGAATAGTTGTCTGTGGAGAATGGCACAACTTCAACCATCATTGGATCTCCTGGAACGTGTAGCCCAAGTGGCATAGCAGCTTGTACAGTAGACTGGACCTATTGCATAGCCTTCTCTTGTTCTGAGATCCACTCAAAAAATAGCCATTTTTTGAGTCACATGGTAAATGGGTCTGTGTCACACAATGAAATGACAAATATGTTGCCTCCAAAAGCATCATGTCTCTATTTGGTCCTAGGAACAGCCAGATGCAACAGCTATCCTTCACCTTATGTATTAGTCCCTTTTCACACTGCTATAAAGAATACCTGAGACTGTGTAATTTATAAGAAAAGAGGTTTAATTGACTCACAGTTTCGCATAGCTGGGAAGGCCTTAGTAAACTTACAATCATGGTGGAAGGCAAAGGGGAAGCAAGGAACGTCTTAGCTGGTGACAGGAGGTTAGGTCTGCCAAACACTTTTAAACCTTCAGATTTCCTGATAACTCACTCACTTTCATGGGAATAGCATGGGGAAACCACCCCCATGATCAAATCACCTCCCACCAGGTCCCTCCCTTGACACATGGGGATTACAATTCTAGATGAAATTCAGTGGGGACACAGCCAAACTATATCATTCTACCCACAGCCCCTCCCAAATCTCATGTCCTTTTCACCTTTCAAAACTGATAATGCCTTCCCAGCACTCCCTCAAAGTCTTAACTCATTCCAGAATTAACTCAGAAGTGCAAGTCCAAAGTCTCATCTGACACAAGGCAAGTCCCTTCAACCTATGAGCCTTTAAAATAAACAGACACACACACACACACACACACACACACACACACACATTAGTTACTTTCAAGATACAATGGGGGTACAGGCATTGGGTAAATGTTTCCATTCTAAATGGGAGAAATTGGCCAAAACAAAGGGGCTACAGGCCTTATACAAGTCTGAAACCCAGCAGGGTAGTCATTAAATATTACAGCTCCAAAATAATCTGATATGACTTCATGTCTCACATCCAGGCCACACTGATACAAGGGGTGGGCTCCCAAGGCCTTAGGCAGCTCCACTCCTGTGGCTCTGCTGGATACAGCTCCTGCAGCTGCTTTTACAGGCTAACATTAAGTTCCTGTGGCTTTTCCAGGTGCATGGTGCAAGCTGTTGGTGGATCTACCATCTGGGATCTGGAGTATGCAGGCCCTCTTCTCACAGATGCACTAGGGAGTGCCCCAGTGGAGACTCTGTGTGGGGGCTCCAACCCCAAATTTCCCCTCTGCACTGACCTAGTAGAGTTTCTCTATGAGGGCTCTGCCCCTGCAACACACTTCTGCCTAGACATCCAGGCATTTTCATACATCTTCTGAAATCTAAGCAGAGGTTCCCAAACCTCAACTCTTGGCTTCTGCACATCCGCAGGCCCAACACCATGTGGAAGCCACCGAGGCTTGGGGCTTACACCTTCTAAAGCCACAGCCTAGCTATACCTTGTCCCCTTTTAGCCATAGCTGGAGCTGGGGTGGCTGGAATGCAGGGTGTCATGTCCCAAGGCTGCACAGAGAAACAGAGCCCTGGCCCTGGCCCATGAAACCATTTTTCCCTCCTAGGCCTCTAGGCCTCTGGCCCTGTTATGGGAGGGGTTGCCTTGAAGATCTCTGAAATATCCTGGAGACATTTTCCCTGTTGTCCTGGTAATTAACCTTTGGCTCCTTGTTACTTAAGCAAATTTCTGCAGCTGGCTTGAATTTCTTCCCAGAAATGGGATTTTTTTTTTCCTTCCTACCACATGGTCAGGCTGCAAATTTTCCAAACTTTTATTCTTTGCTTTCCTTTTTAAATATAAATTCCAACTTCAGATAATCTCTTTGTAAATGCATATGACTGAGCAATTTCAAAATCAGCCAGGTCACATCTTGAATGCCTTGCTGCTAGAAATTTCTTCTGGTAGATACCCTAAATCATCTCTCTCAACTTCGAAGTTCCACAGATCTCTAGGGTAGGGGCAAAGTGCCACCAATCTCTTTACTAAAGCACAGCAAGAGTGGTCTTTGCTCCAGTTCCGAATAACTTCCTCCTCTCCAGCTGAGACCACCTCACCCAGGATTTCATTGTCCATATCACTATCAGTATTTCAGTCACAACCATTCAACAAGTTTCTAGGAAGTTTCAAAATTTCCTTCATCTTCTTATCTTCTTCTGAGCCCTCCAATCTGTTTCAACCTGTGCTGGTTACCCAATTTCAAAGTCACTTCCATATTTTTAGGCATCTTTATAGCAGTGCCCCACTCCTGGCACCAATTTTCTGTATTAATCCATTTTCACACTGCTAAAATAATACCTGAGACTTGGTAATTTATAAGAAAAGAGGTTTAATTGACTCACAGTTCTGCATGGCCAGGAAAGCCTCAAGAAACTTACAATCATGGTGGAAGGTGAAGGGGAAACAAGGCAAGTCCTACATGACAGCAGGAGGTGGGGGGATCTGCCAAACACTTTTAAACCATCAGATATCATGAGATCTCACTCGCTGTCATGAATACAGCATGGGAGAAACCACCCCCATGAGCCAATCACCTCCCACCAGGTCCCTCCCTTGACATGTAAGGATTACAACTCTAGATGAGATTTGGGTGGGGGCACAGAGCCAAGCCATATCACCTTAGAAGGAGTATCTTTATATGCCCCATGCCATTAGACCTCTAGGTATTTCACTGAACTAGAAGGCTCCTGAGTTTTTGTAGTATTTATATTTCTTATACACCAGTCTGGTTATTTTAAAAGTGTGTAGTCCTTCCCCCTTAGCTTTCTCTCCCACTCAGCTGTGTGAAGCAGGGATTTGCTTCTCCTTCGCCCTTCCACCATGACTGTAAGTTTCCCAACCAGGCTGCATGTACAGTCTGCAGAACTGTGAGTCAATTAAAACTCTTTTCTTCAAAAATTACCGAATCTCAGGTAGTTCTTTATAGCAATGTGAGAATTGACTAATACAAGTTAAGATAAAACAAAGATATTTCTAATTTTATAATATAGAGAATTGAGAATAAATGCCTTCCACCACAGATACTTCTAGTACTTTATTAATCCCAAACATTAATTTGCCACATATATCTGAGTGCCTATTTTGAGCTAGGTGCTGTTCCAGATTTTGAAAATATAAACTAAATCCTTCCTTCTTGACACATACAATCTCATTCGTGAGACAGTTAAAGAAAAATAAGTAAATAAGTTAAAAATGAATAAATGAATATAAATGAATACATACATACACACATTATACATAAATTATATAATATGTTAGAACATAATTAGTAAAATAAATCAGAGACCAAAATATAGTGTGCATGAGTTAGAATTATGATTTTATATGAGAGGAAATCTCATTAAGAAATATTTGTATCAATACTTAAAATAGTAAAGAGGGAGCTCCAGGGGTAAGTAAAGAAAAAGCATTTCAAGCACAGGGAAAAACAAGTGAAAAGGTTCCAACACAGCGAGAGGTTAAGCCAGCTGGACTTCCTCGGTCGAGAGGGGACTTGGAGAACTTTTCTGGGTCTAGCTAAAGGATTGTAAATGCAGCAATTAGCACTCTGTAAAAACGCACCAATCAGCACTCTGTGTCTAGCTAAAGGATTGTAAACTCACCAATCAGCACTCTGTAAAATGGACCAATCAGCGCTCTGTAAAATGGACCAATCAGCAGGACGTGGGCAGAGACAAATAAGGGAATAAAAGCTGGCTACCCCAGCCAGCAGTGGCAACCCGCTCCGGTCCCCTTCCAAGCTGTGGAAGCTTTGTTCTTTCACTCTTCACAATAAATCTTGCTGCTGCTCACTGTTTGGGTCCGTGCCACCTTTAAGAGCTGTAACACTCACCGCGAAGGTCTGTGGCTTCATTCTTTAAGTCAGCGAGACCAAGAACCCACCAGAAGGAACCACCTCTGGACACAACAGGACCATGTTCTGTCTTTTTAGGGATAGTAAAGAGGTCAAAATGGTCAGAAAAGATGAAGGCAAAGTAATAAAAGGAAAGGATGAAAATCATGTAGCTGTATGTAGATTTAAGGATTTTGGCTTTAAAATGATTCTATGGGAAGTCATTGAAGGCTTATGGGTAGAGAGGCTGACACACATGATCTGAGTTTAGTTAGAAATAGAAATAGAGACGAAAAAGAAAAGAAGGCAAGGGAGAGGAAGGAAAAGGAAGAAGGGAAAAGAGAGAGTGAAGGAGAGAAGAAGAAAAAGGACAGAAAAAAGCAGGGGATGGGGAGATGAAAGGGAGACCAGCAAAGTCTATTGCAGTAATTACAGCAAAAAGTGATTTTGACTTGTGGCAGAATGGCTGAAATGGAAGAAATTAAGTATTGGCTGGTCTCTGAAAATAAAGCCCTCAGAAATTCCTGAGAGGTATGAGAAAAGAGAAATAGATAACCTCAAAATTTTTGGCCTAAATAGTTACCATTTTCTGAGATGAAGTCTCATTGAGAAAAAAAATTAGAGAAAGATCAGTTTGGATTCACAGCTGTTAAGTGTAAGATGCTTATTATACATCCAAGTAGAAGATAAGTAGATAGGCATATGAGTTTGGAAAACATAGAACAGTTCCAGGCTAGAGAAGGCATTTGGGAGTCATTCTCAGGTGAGAAGAAACTAAATTACTTTGCCCAGAGAATGCACGAAGATAGTGAATAGAAGAGCTCCAACCAATGAATATTTTATGTGAAAATACAGATGTTGTGTAAATGTCAAAAATGTTTGAAAAAAGACAAATTCTTGAAAAACACAGATTTTCAGATGGACATAAGAAGAAGCAGAATATATGAGTAAAAAACTTAAAAGGAAATACGAAAATGTCCACAGTACTATTACTCATGAACTTCATACTGAAACAATCCATAGGCTAATCCACATTTGGTACATTCATATAATACAATATTTGAAAGCAATGAAAATTAGCAAAATCATACAAGAAAACAACAGCTTATGTGCACATCACAGACATATTCAGCAGGAGAGGCCCAACTTGTACTAAACAGTTCTAGTTTTATAAAGTTCTCATGCAGATAAAAGTAAATTACAATATAGATTAATAGAATATTTGTTTCACCTGTGTGCTGATAATAACAAGGTATGCTGGTGTATTAGTCTGTTTAAACACTGCTATAAATAACTTCTTGAGGCTGGGTAATTTATAAAGAAAAGCAGTTTAATTGACTCACAGTTCTGCATAGCTGGGGAAGCCTCAAAAAACTTACAATCATGGCGGAAGGTGAAGGAGAAACAAATACCTCTATACACGGTGGCAGGGAGTGGGAGACGTGTCACACTTTTAAACTGTTCAGATGTCCTGAAAGCCCACTCACTGTCATGATAAAAGCATGGAGGAAACCAATCCCGTGATTCAATCACCTCCCACCAGGTCCCTCCCTTGACTCCTGGGGATTACAATTCAAGACGAAATTTGGGTAGGGACACAAAGCCTAATCATATCAGTTGGCAATGTTTTCTCCTTCGATCTGGGTTTGATTACTCAAGTGGTTTTATTTAGTAATCATTTATTAGACTTTACAGTTATTTGTAATATTATGCACTTCTCATGTTAGACTTCTAAAACTTATTTTAATTATGAAAAAATCAAAACAATCAAATAAGAAGTAAAACCAACTAGAAATATATTAAAAGTAGTATTATGTGGAGACTAGCCTTATGAATTATTAAAATATCATATGAATCTAGCATAATTAAATAGGATTTCTAGTGGCATCATACTGGTATGTTAAGAAAAAGACAGAACATAGGTACCTAATGGGAGATGTAAGAGGATTAGTAGACATGATGGGAAAGTGAAATACACAATATGGCTGCAGAAAATGCCTTTATAAGAAAAATACAAACCCAGAAAGAATTGACATGATAAACCTCATTACATATACTTTGAAAATGTCTGAATAAACCAAATCAAAACACAATAGACAGATAGGATATATATTTGCAAATTATGATAGACAGATATATAATTTTTATGGTTCACTAAGACAAATATTAACAACCCAATAGAAAAATATTTAAAACTGCAGAGTCCTTAGTAAAAGAAATGCAAATATCTTTTGAGTATAACATAATATCTTCAATTTGACTCATGATCAGACTTTCAAATTCTTTTCTGTATTTTATTTTTTATTTTTTGAGATGGAGTCTCACTCTGTCACACAGGCTGGAATGCAGTGGTGCGATCTTGGCTCACTGGAACCTCTGCCTCCTGGGTTCAAGCGATTCTCCTGTCTCAGCCTTCTGAGTAGCTGGGACTATAGGCATGCACCACCACACATGGCTTTTTTGTATTTTTAGTAGAGACAGGGTTTCACCATGTTGGTCAGGCTGGTCTTGAACTCCTGACTTCAAATGATCCACCTGCCTTGGCCTCCCAAAGTGCTGGGATTACAAGTCTAAGCCAACACGCCTGGCCACTTTTTGTATTTTATAACTATGTATTTCCCACACAATATGAGAAAATTTAATGAAACTGGAAAACAATTTTATTTTAATCAGATTTGTAACTTGAGTCTTTCTGTTCTTGGAAAAATTTTGCATTAAAGTTTGCTATTATGTTGTAGAATTCCTGAAAGTAGCAGTCTCTCTATTTTACCCTGGGAAAGCTTGAAAGGCCTTGCTTTCAATTTTTAAAATGCAACAATCAGTAGAACATTTTATTTATACACACAGAGTTGCTAAACATTTATGCCTATTACCTATGATGCATGTTAGCATATTCTGGTCTATCCGATCCCCATCCATCCCATCTTCTTCTATCCTATCCTATTCAGATTTATTAAAATAATTGCTAATCTCACGGTACTGAGTTGATGTCATCTGACTGTGACCCACATTTTGAATAATATTGCTTTATCACATGCTGTATGAGTTTTATTTAGTTAAAATATAGATAAATATAATTTTGGGGATAGAGTAAGGATAGTGTTATTTATGACTGTTTAATTTGAAAGCCTAATATAGAAAAATGCAGCTATGATCAAAATATTCCTAGAGAAATACCAGTTTAGTACACAACCTTTGATTCAGTGAGTACATAATTGACTTCAATTAAAGTTCTATAACATAAATGTGTACTTTCTAAACGTTTATGTGCAGAATTAGTTATCTTTTTGAAATAGATAACATTTTAAATAATTGTATGATTCTTTAGAAGATAACAAAATGGTAGATCAACATATGTATGTATCTTTTGTAGAAAAAGATGATAATAGTTTCATATTAATGGCCCAAGTAAATGAACACATAAAGCTTTTTCAGAATTGCAATCTCTAAATTATAAATAAAATAAGCATTAGTGAAATTAAATAGGATGGTGGCAAATAGTTTTTCTGTTCCAAAAACACAAAGTAAATCCCTTTACTCTCTGTTGTTAAAATCATAAGTAATGACTTCTCACTACACATCTAAGCATTAACATTTTCCTTGTGCTTTTAACTCTTTTATGACAATATAAGAATTGCCATAGTTCAAAGTTTATAGACATTTCCTGTGGCCCATTTCCTACTTTCTGTTATTCCAAGAAATACTGTTACTCTGAATGAAGATTGGAAATGTCACTTCATATTTCAGCCTTATATTATCAAGACTGCTATTGAAATATTAATATATTATTGAGTAAATTTGTTTCATATCACTAGAAAAATAGGGGGTATATTACTAAATGTAGCTTAAAATTAAAAGAGATGATGCATGAAGCCATAACTTCTTCATACGATGAGATAGGGAAAGGCAAGCTGTAAAAGCCCTTGTGAGGAGAGTAGCGAGAGTTGTGAGAGTTTGTGAGAATTGATTTCTATTACATGCTTCTAAAAATATGACTTAAAGTGATTTCAGAAACTTTTAAATCACAATATGTGTATTTTCTTATATTAAAATCATCATACAATATAATGCTTTGGTAGTAAAATTGATAGATTAATGAAGGTATAACTCTTAGGAATGTATGAAATTCTGTATTTTGTTGTTTTTGACATATGCCCTATTTTTTACTTTGAAAAGCATTAAATCTATTAAAAAGTTGTAGTAAAAGTCAGATTTTAATGACAGTCATCTACCCGCTACTAGAAGTCACCAGTTGTTAACTTTATCACATTTGTTTTCTTTCTTTTTTTTGTAAATATACAAAAGCAAATTGCTAACGTGGTGGTTTTCACTCCAAAATATTCAATCATGAACCTTCTAAGATCAAGGACAATCTCCTTCATAACCACAGTTTCCTTTTCCCACCAAGCAATTTAACTTTGATAGAATAATATTATATGACATGAAATCCATATTTAAATCCCCTAATAGACCATACAGTTAGTTGCTATTTTTATTTTGTTTTAATACAACAAGAATTACACACTGCATTTGGTTGTATATCTCTTTAGCCTTTAATTCTCTTGACTATCCAGACTTTCATGACATTGATATTTTTTAAGAGTTCACGCCATTTGTTTTGTAAAATGTCCCACGATCAGCTGGGCAGGGTGGCTCACACCTGTAATCCTAGCACTTTGGGAGACCAAGGTGGGCGGATTGCCTGAGCTCAGGAGTTTGAGACCAGCCTGGGCAACACGGTGAAACCCTGTCTCTACTATGATAAATAATTAAGAACAAAATTAGCCTGGCTTGGCAGTGGGCTCCTGTACTCCCAGCTACTCAGGAGGCTGAGCCAGGAGAATCGCTTGAACCCAGGAGGGGGAAGTTGCAGTGAGCCAAGCTCGCACCACTGCACTCTAGCCTGGACAACACAGCGAGACTCTGTCTCAAAAAAAAAAAAAAAAAGTCCAATGATCTAAAATTGTCTTTTCATTAATTCATGATCATACTGAATTTAAATGTTTACAAAGAATATCACAAAAGTGATATAATCATTCCTTGACATTATGTGTATCAGGAGACACAATGTCAGTGTTTCCAGTTAATGGGAAGGTTAGTTGGTTAATCTGTGGTGTTATTTTCTCAGAGGACAGGAATATCTGCTTCATAGTAACTATTCACACAATGGCCTAGTGTCAGTTTATGGGTATTTGCCTAATCAGTTTTTTACATTGCTGTCTACAAATTGACTATGCATTAATTATATTATTCTTCTATATTTATTCATTTATAAAATTTGGTGAAGATAAGGCTTCTTCCCCCATCACCACTTTGTTTTTTGCTTGT
Source organism: Homo sapiens (assembly GCF_000001405.40). Lineage (NCBI taxonomy): Eukaryota > Metazoa > Chordata > Mammalia > Primates > Hominidae > Homo > Homo sapiens. Next base: position 48,175,548 of record NC_000014.9, on the reverse strand, counting down.
TACTATTGACTAATGAAATATTTTCTAATGCAATGCACTTTAATATATTCTTGTACATTTCTATGCTGAATTTGTCCTAAATGTGGCTAGTGGAAACTCAAATTGACTTCTGTCCCATTTCATCTTTTAGTACTTTTTTGTTTTCTAGCACAGGGATTGTTCCAAGCTAATTTTGTTCTTTCTCTGCCCCTAAAAATCACTGGTTATAGATAAATAAAATCTGAGGATTAAACTAGTTTTATGGCTACCCAATTGTCCAAGTTCAATTTATTACAAGGTCCATCTTTGCCTCAGTGATTTATCATCTGCTACATCGCCACATGTGCATGGGTTTGTTTCCGGATTTTCTGTTTGACTGATCTGCTTGTCTAATCGTTTGCCATAGAAACACTCTATTAATTATAGAGGTTTTATAGCATGTATTAATGTCTGATAGTACTTGCAGTTTTTTTCCATAAATGTTTATCTTGAAATTTCTGCATGTTTGCTTCCTTACGAACTTTAGTAACCACTTGTCTAACTCTGTAACAATGTCTATCAGTTAAATTTGTAATCTAATTTAGAAAGAACTGACAACTTCATAATGGTGAGTCATGCAAGAAAAGGGAATAACTACATTTATTCTAACTATTTTTGTGTTTTTCAGTCATGCATTAAACTTTTCCTCAGACAGTATTCTCAAATTTCCTATTGAGTGTATTCCTAAGTTTTCATTTTCTTGTTGCTATTGGAAATGAGTTATTTTCAAGCATTGGGTCATCTCCTGGTTATTATTCTTTAAGTTAAAAATATTGGTTACATAGGTTAATTTTTTATCCTGCCTCTTTACTAAATATTTTTATAGTTTGAGTTATTGTATCATTGATTGTGAAGGATTTTGAGGGTAGACTATAACACCATATGCAAATAGAGGTAGTTTTACTGTTTTACTAATTCTTATGAGTCTAATTCAGTATCTGTGGTAATGTGTTGAGTTGAAGTGGCAATAGTGGTCATCTTTGCCTTGTTTGTGATCCCATTGGGAATACCTCATTTGTTTCCACATTGAATAAGATGCTGTATAGATATATACAAGTCATGTTAAGAAATCAGTAATCAGTTCTTATATCCTGACTGTTGTTCAGGAGTGGATTCAGATTTTGTTGAAGATGTTTTCAACATCTACAGAGATAATACTTTTCTTAGATCTATTTACATATTTTATATATTTATCATAAATTTGGGGTTCTTGAGCAAACCCTGAATCCTAGAATAAATTTCACATGCTAATGACGCATTTTCCTAAAATGGTGTTATATTACATTTGAAAACTTTTTTTTTTTTTTCAGACAGGGTCTGTCTGTTGCACAGGCTGGAGTGCAGCAGCATGCTTCTCCGCCTCCTAGGTTCAAGTGATTCTCCTGCCTCACCCTCCAAAGTAGCTGGGATTACAGGCGCACACCACCATGCTCAGCTAATTTTTGTATTTTTAGTAGAGACAAGGTTCACCATGTTGGCCAGGCTGGTCTCAAACTCCTCACCTCAAGCGATCCACCTGCCTCACCCAGTCCCCAAATTGCTGGGACTACAGGCATGAGCCATCCCGCCTGGCCCATTTGATAACATTTTATATGATACTTTTTAAATGATATTCATTAGTGATACTGTTCCATAGTTTCCTTTGTGTGTATACTTTTTATCAGATTTAGAAACTCAAACATAATATATTGCAGAAAAAGTGTTAGGATTTTTCCTTTTTTCAATGCTCTGGGATAATTTATACAGAGTTGATACTGTTTTATAAAGTTTTGCTAGAATTTATTTGTAAAATAAATTAAACCTGACACATTTTTATAGGATGACACTGTGAAAACCTACTCTATTATTTCTATGGAAATTTGCCTCTTTAAGCTTTTTCTTCCTAATGAGCCACCTTTTGTATTTCCAGACTTTGCCATTCTGAGTCAGGGAGTTTTCATAGTCTTCAGCTATCATGTCTTCTAATTGTTTTCCAGCATTGCTATTTTTTTCACACGTGGTTAGTCTCAAATAGAAGAATCTTTTCGTCAAAAGACTTGTTGTGTCCTAGAACTTGCAGAATTTTGCTGAGGTTTTCAGCATGTAGATTTTTTTTTTTTATAGAAATGGCATTGCATTTTTCTCACTTTTATATTAATGATATCAGTTCAAAAAGAAGTAAACACATAGGCTAAGTCAATCATCTATGATCGTAAGTTAAAAAAAACTTTACTTCAAAGGGGAGAATGGTATAATCAACAGAAAAAAGTGTATCAAATTCATGCTTACAAGAAAATATTGGTCATTGTTACCAGTTGTGCCCAGAAACAATTTGAACTCCAAAAAACAGAAAAGGAAGAAAAAAAGAAACTTTTCCACCCACCTTACTATGATACTTCCTAAATATGTGAGTAGGCAGCTCTGAGATCTTCATTCTGACCTGTACTCTCTCTGTATAAGACTAGACACTCTCACATGACATGGAATAGGATAAGTAGTAGTAAACAAGTTCTGAGGTGTTTTTCCAGCAGCAACATTTATATATATATATATATATATATATATATATATATATATATATATATATGTGTGTGTGTGTGTGTGTGTGTGTGTGTGTGTGTGTGTTTGTGTATAATCTTAGCCTTTTCTAATCGATCATAGCTGTTCATAGATGATATCTATACGAATGTATCCTTAAACCAATAAGAAAATAAGAGTGCATCATTTTTAAAGTTGACTTGTTTAGAAAATTTGAAATGCAGACTGAAGACATCTCTATTATATTGCAAAAGTAGTCAATGTTTAGGACAAACCTATACCTAATAATATAGTAAAATTAGATATTAACAATTATGAGGCAATCAATTATCTGGTATTTATTTACTTTCTAATTTGCTATTTAATGAGATGATTTTTTAATCCTTCTTATAAAATAAAATAGAAAAATGCATTTTAGTCATAATGGTACAGTCATATTGATTCATAATAGCTATTTTCTCCAGGTATTAGTGACATATCCACGTATTTGAAAATATATCCATAACTAAACTACTGCTAATTATTGATCACTAGATTCATCAATGACCCAGTAACAAGAATGGGAGACTGAATACTCGATATTTTCTGTGCATCTTTTTTTTTTCCTATTGTTTCTCTGAAAATTTTAATTAATATTTTTCTGAGTTCCAGTGTATCACAAATAAAGCTTAAGTTTTCTTTGACTTAAAAAATATGGAAGAGAATGAATACTTGCTTACTAGACCACATACCTCAAGTTCTAATACTATCTGAAGAATCATATAAAAATATTAACATTTCAATTAAGGCTAAAAATTCTAATGAAGACTGTTATTGATTCATAAAAGATTATCAAATATTGGGAACAGAGTTGCATTTAAGGCTCCTTATTGGATGAAAACAAAAAATAAAATATTAAGTTAGTGGTTCAAAAATGACAAAATAAGAAACTTCTTTGGTTAGTATATTTTGTTCCGAGTACAGACTTTGAAATTTTTTAAAAATGCATTATTATGTCAACATTGTCACTTTTAGCTGTGTGACACTGAACAAGTTATTATTTTTCTTCACCTGTAGAAGGCATGTTAAAACTTAATTTAAAATATAAATTTAATTTATTAAAGCAATTAATGTGGATTTGCAAGCATGCAGTAAGTGCTCAACGAGTATTACAATGCAAAACTATTTTTACTTTCAAAACCAAATAAAATTAGACATCTTGAAACACTGAGTTTCTTTAGTTAATTTGAACTATTTTAACTCTCAGTAATGTGTTTATGTAATGCATTTTAGAATATATTTCATTATATTTACACTAGCTCAATAAATTGGACATGATCATTTGCATAAACAGAGTAAATATGTTTGGTACATATAATTTTGTTTAGAAACATACAAGAAAGTGATGACTGACATTTTTTAAATGTAAAGTAACCATGGTATACGATACACGCTATAAAATGTACAATATTACTTGCTATACCACATAGAAAATTTTGTTTACTTTTGGAAAAACATATCGCACTTTAATTAAGAAAAGTTTTAGAGAATCACTATGCTGAAATTTTGCTTTTCTCATTAAAATAAAAAGCACACTAAGCTGTTTTATTAGTAATGTGAATAATACTATTAACAGCAGCTAATTATTTAAGGGAGTAAACTTGGAATAGGGTGAACTTTAATGCACAGTACACAAAACAATAATGCAGTGCATACTAATCAATTATTTAACGTAGGATAGATTAGTTCATGGTTGCCAAGTATTTCTATAAGGATACATAACGCAAAGCAAAGCTTGCGTTATGTATCTTTATATGTTAATAGTAAGAGGTAGGGAGAAACAAAATCTGGAATAGTTTGTATTATATACTGCTACTTGTAATACCCACCCACAATTTTAGAATGCTTCAAGGACCTTCACAAGCTGTTTTGAGGGTCATTTGGTAAGTTAAGCATACATAATCTAAATGTGAGTGTTTCAGTTCCAGGCTACATCAATTATTACAAAAAAGGCACATATAAATGCTTAATATCTTTTTGGAATGTAGGATACATAAGAAACTGTTAATAGTGGGAAGTTGGCAAAGCAAAATGGTAATGTTAAATTTCATCAATAACAAAGTCAAATTATTATTTGATTTTTAAAACCTGTTTATCAGTAGATAACTCAGTTTTTAAAATAAGGAACAGACAAAAACAATATTTATTTGCGTCATTAGCTAGTATGCTTTAGTCTGTTCTAGACAAACGTTTTAATATAAGCCTGAATTTATTTAGCTTGGAAAAAAACAAACTAGTACCAATCAAGAATTACAAGTCAATTAATTTAAAAATACTGCATTTTTCTAAATTACCCTTTGTTATACAGACACAAATTAATTTCTTCTAGCTAACTATCTAAAATGCTATGTAGTGAGAGCAATTTCATCACTAAAAAGGAGGTGAATGTGAGGAAAATATGTAGTTCTGTAAATCCATACCTAAAATTTGCTATAGAGGTCATGGCCAGGCTTGTTGGCACCTGCCTGTAATCTCAGCACTTCGGGAGGCCTAGGTAGAAAGATCTCTTGAATGGAGGAGTTCAAGAGCTGCCTGGACAACATAGCAAGACCCCATCTCTACTATATATATTACCTGGGTGTGGTGGTGAGAGCCTGTAGTCTTAGCTACTAGGGAGGCTGAGGAGAGAAGATCACTTGAGCCCAGGAGTTTGAGGCTGCAGTGAGCTATGATCGCACTAGTGCCCTCCAGCCTAGGTGAGAGAGCGAGACCCCATCTTAACAAGAAAAATTCACTATGGCCTAGCATGAATAAACTCTTATCCCTGAAAACATCTACCACTAGCTTTAGAGATTACGTGATCATATCCTGATAGGATTCCAAAACACTCTCTAGGACTAAAGTATCTCTGAAATAGATGTGAAACATGCTAACATAAAAGGATTTATTTTTAACATTCTTCTGCTGCAGAAGTCAGAGGCAGGTTGACAGGCTTTGGCATAGTAAAGCTGAGACTAATAAATTCACATCAGCTTTTTTGAGGATTTTCAAACGTGATTTTTCATTCTTACAGAAAAGAGAACAAAAAATTATTGTCATTTTCTTCTCTACACACACACACACACACACATTCTTATATAGAACTAGACTCAAATTGGTCTAAGAAAAAGAAATACCTGTGCTAATCAGATTCTACAATTTTAATGGAAGCTTAATATATGCTAAAATTATCCCTTAGAAACTCACCAAAATACATATAGATGACAATAAGAACCAGAATGTTTAAGAAAACATTATGAGAAAACGAGGAGATATATTAAGTGAATTTTTTCTTTTTTAACTTTTATAGATTGAGCACCTTCTATAAAGATTCTCAGGCTGAATATATATGCATACATACTGGAAGGCAGGAAACTTATGCAAATAAGTATCATGGTGCAAATCTTCAAAAATATAATCTCTTAAAGTCAAAAGTTCATTCCCACACTAACGTAACTGGAATTTTTTCATTATCAATAATTATAAAGGGCCTGACTACCATGTTTGTGTGCTAACAAGTTGGACTTCCATGGCCTCCTGGATACTGGTGGAAGACATGAGATTCCCAGGTAAGAAATATGTGTGTTTTTTATTTTATTAATCAAAATTATGTTTTATTTCATTAGGCTTGGGGGTAAAGATGGTTTTTGGTTACATGGATGAGTTCTACAGCAGTGAATTCTGAGATTTTAGTGCACCCATCACTTGAGAAGTGTACACTGTACCCGATATGTAGTCTTTTATCCCCCACCCCACTCACATCCTCCTCCCACCGGGAGTCCCCAAAGTCTGTTATATCACTCTGTACATCGTTGTGTTCTCATAGCTTAGCTCCTACTTATAAGTGAGAATATACAGTATTTGGTTTGCCATTCCTGAGTTACTTCCTGTAGAATAATGGACACCAGCTCTATCCAAGTTGCTACAAAAGACATTATTTCATTCCTTTTTATGACTGAATAGTATTGCATGGTGTATATATAGCACATATTCTTTATTCACTCCTTGGTCGATGGGTACTTAAGTTGGTTCCATATCTTTGCAGTCGTAAATTGTGCTGCTATAAGCATGTGTGTACGTATGTCCTCTTTGTATAATTCCTCTGGGTAGATGCCCAGTAGTAGGATTGCTGGATTAAATGGTAGATCTATTTTAGTTATTCAAGGAAACTCCATACTGTTTATAATGGTTTCCCACCAGCAGTGTAAAAGTGTTCCCTCTTCACCACATCCATGCCAGCATCTATTGTTTTTGACTTTTTAATTATGGCCATTCTTGCAGGAATAAGGTGGTATCTCATTGTGGTTTTAATTTGCATTTTGCTGGTGATTGGTGATGCTGAGCATTTTTTTCATGGTTGTTGACTATTTGTATATCTTCTTCTTTTGACAAATGTCTATCCATGCCCTCTGCCTACTTTTTGTTGGGATTATTTGCTTTTTTCTTTTTGTTTTTTTGCTGATTGTTTGAGTTCCCCTTAGATTCTGGATACTAGTTGTTTATCAGATGCATAATTTGCAAATATTTTCTCCCACTCTGAGTTGTCAAATTACTACTCTACTGATTATTTCTTTTTTCGTGCAGAAACTTTTTAGTTTAATTAGGTCCCATTTATTTATTTTTATTTTTGTTGCATTTGCTTTTGGGGTCTTAGTCATGAATTCTTTACTCACGCCAATGTCCAGAAGAGTTTTTCCAATGTCATCTTCTAGAATTTTTATGGTCTCAAGTTTTAGATTTAAGTCTTTGATCCATCTTTAGTTGCTTTAGTTGCTTTTTATATAAGGCGAGAGATGGGAATCCAGTTTCATTCTTCGACTGATGGCTTGCCAGTTTGCCCAGCACCATTTATTGAATAGGGTGTCCTTTCCCCAATTTAGTTTTTGTATGCTTTGTTGGAGATCACTTGGCTGTATTTGGCTTTATTTTTGGGTTCCCTATTCTGTTCCATTGGTCTATGTGCCTATTTTTATACCAGTACCATGGTGTTTAGTATTTATAGCCTCGTAGTATAATCTAAAGTCTGGTAATGTGATGCTTCCCTCCAGAATTGCTCTTTTTGCTTAGGATTGCTTTGACGATTTGGGCTCTTTTTTTTTTTTTTTTTTTTACTTTTTTTTGTTGTTGTTCCATATGAACTTTAGGATTATTTTTTCTAGTTCTGTGAAAAATAATGATGGTATTTTAATAGGAATTGCATTAAGTCTGTAGATTGCTTTGGCTAGCATGATGACCAGTATTGCCCAAAGCAATCTACAGAATCAATATCAATCACAATATTGATTCTTCCCATCCATGAGCATGAGATGTGTTTCTATTTGGGTATGTCATCTATTATTTCTTTCAGCAGTGTTTTGTAGTCTTCCTTGTAGAGATCTTTTACTTCCTAAGTTAAGCATATTCCTACGTATTTTATTTTATTATTTTATTTGTACAGTTGTTGTAAAAAGGGTTAAGTTCTTGATTTGATTCTCAGCTTAGTCGTTGTTGGTATATAGCAGTGCTACTAATTTCTGTACATTGATTTTGTATCCTGAGACTTTACTGAATTTGTTTATCAGATCTAACAGCCTTTTGGATGAGTCTTTAGGGTTTTCTAAATATATGATTATATCATTAGTGAACAATGACAGCTTGGCTTCCTTTTATCCAATTTGGATGCCCTTTATTTCTTACTCTTGCCTGATTGCTCGGGCTTCTAGGACATTGGTACTATGTTGAATAGATGTGGTAAAAGTGGGCATCCTTGACTTGTTCCAGTTCTCAGGAGGAATGCTTTTAACTTTTCCTCATAAAGTATGATGTTTGCTATTTGTTGGTCATACTTGTTTTCTGTTACTTTAGGTAAGTCCCTTCTATGCCCAGTTTGTTGAGGGTTTTTATCATAAAGAGATGATGGATTTTATCAAATGCTTTTCCTGCATCTATTGAGATAACCAAATGTTTCTAATTCTGTTCATGTATGTATGATATTTACTTACTTGCATATATTAAACCATCCCTGCATCCCTGGTATGAAACTAATTTGATGATGATGTAATATCTTTTTGAGGTGCTGTTGGATTTGATCAGCTAGCATTTTGTTGAGAATTTTTGTATCTTTTTTATCAGGGAAATTGATCAGCAGTTTTCTTTGTTTTTATGCCCTTTTCTGGTTTCGGTATTAGGGTGATAATGGCGTCATAGAATGTTTACTCTTTATCTATCTTTGGTAACGGTTTCAGTAGGATTTGTTCCAATTTTTCTTTGAATGTCTGGTAGAATTCAGCTGTGAATCCATCTGGTCCTGCACCTTTTCTTGTTGGTAATTTTTAAATTACTAATTCAATCTTGCTGCTTGTTATTGGCCTGTTCAGGGCTTCTATTTCCTTATGGTTTAATCTAGGAGGATTGTATGTTTCCAGGAATTTATTCATTTCCTCTAGATTTTCTTTTGATAAAAGAATAGCTATTCCTTCATGTTTTTGGTTTCCATTTGTGTGTAATATCATTATCCACTTCTTTACCTTGAGTTTATATGAATCCTTATGTGTGAGGTGAATCTCTTGAAGACAGCAGATATTTGGTTTGTGTTTTCTAATCCATTTTGCCATTCTGTATGTTTTAAGTAGAGCGGTTAGGCCAGTTACATTCAACATTAATATGGACATATGAATGTGAGATACTGTTCTATTCACATGTTGTTACTTAGATACTTTGTGTTTTTCATTGTTAAAATTATTTTTTAACTAACTTTAAAGGCAAAACTTATATATATTTATTATGTAGAACATGTTGTTTTAAAATATGTATACATTGTTGAATGGCTAAATCATGGTAATTACCATATATATTGCCTGATATACTTATTTTTGACACTAACGCTTAAAATTTAATTTTTAAGCAATTTTTAAGAATACAATATATTGTTATAAACTAAAGTTGCCATGTCATACAATAGATCTCTTGAACTCATTCCTTCTATCTAACTTTTATACTATTTGCCCAACATAAAAGGACTTTATTACTCACAACATAGCAAGCAATTTGAGCATTGTGTGTGTCTAGGTTCTCCTTACCCCCCAAATCCCATGGAGGTGATACGGAGGCAGGATCAAGTGAATGTTGTATGTACAGTGAGTTTGCATTACAGCTGAGGAAGCTGGAACTTTGGAAATCCCAGTATTTTAGAGGGAGGTGCTAGCAAATCTGCTTAAACTTTGCATCAGAGGAAGACATGATCTTTATTATCTTGGACAGCAAACAATTCTGAACTTTTCCTCAGAAGGAACCACTATCTCTATCTTCCAAGGCTGTTTGCTCTATAGTCATCTTTGAAGAGATAGTTCTCAACATAATCTCTAAATACCTCTGTTCATAGATGCACAGAATCTATGGAAAATTATCTCCCAACACATAGTTCCCAATATTCTTCTAGCAACAATAGGATTATTTTGCCAGGCGTAGTGGCATGTAATCCCAGCACTTTGGGAGGCTGAGGCAGGTGGGTCACCTGAGGTCAGGAGTTCGAGACCAGCCTGATCAACATGAAGAAACCCCATCTCTACTAAAAATACAAAATTAGCCGGGCGTGGTGGCACATACCTGTAATCCCAGCTACTTGGCAGGCTGAGGCAGGAGAATCACTTGAACCCGGGATGTGAAAGTTGCAGTGAGCCAAGGTCGCACCATTGCACTCCAGCCTGGGCAACAAGAGCAAAACTCCATCTCAAAATAATAATAATAATAATAGGATTATTTATCTTTTGAAAGAAGTTCATAATTGGAATATGATTGCATATAGATTTTCTCAATATTAGATTTGTCTGAGGTTTATGACAAATAACTCTTGATTATCTATACACAAAGGACATGATTTGATTTGCTTTTTAGACTGGAGAAAATATTATTTATCTAGAATCTGTTGAATTAATGATCCACTAAACAGAATAGTATCAGCCTCCACCCAATGAGGATCCAGTTATTATAATGATTCTAATAAGTTAATTTAGTGATTAGATACCTTTAAATAAATATATAACCTGAGTGAGACTTGTACATCTTTTGTGTCAATTATATTTTGAAGTTATAATAAACAGTAATCTGTCTGTGAATTGTTATTCAAAATTCTCCCAATGTTTGTCTTGACAAGGAAAACAGCAAAAAAGGTAAAATCTATTCTTATACACATAAAATATTTTTAAAATCTCCTTTTCAATTTCTATTACTCTCTGGGTAATTGAAGTATGTGAATATCCAGACCATCAATGTCTATTTTTAAATGTTCATAATTTTGCCCATATTACAAATATGAAGTTAGAAGATTTTACAATATGTAAACAAAACAGAGAAATTGCCTAATAAATATGGAATTAAAAAGTATTGGGAAGGGATTGATTTGCCTTACATTTTCCCTTTGATTTTCTTTCCCAGAAAATCAATATAATAATATTTGAAGATTAATTGCTAGTGTTTGGCTCTTTAAGAAACATATTTTCCCTTTTTTCTTCTATTCCTCATTTTCTCCCTGTATTTGCTCAGATTTACATAGATTGGTTGCCAAAATATGCTTTTTTAAGAAATTTAATTTAAGCTTCGTACTTTCTCAGGGAAAAATGATAGAACATAACACTATGGCTTAAAAGGTAGTTCACAGCGGGCAAGGTAAAAATAAGGTCTGAAAATGAAGCAATTGCTTTTTGGATAAGGGTAATCAGAAGAAGCCTGGTGGTAAATAAATTAAACTCCAATAGAATATTCTGAATAATAAGTGAGGGGAGGCATATACTACTCTATTAGTGAGCGTCTTCCGGTTGAGTTAAGATGAATAGACATTCTGTTCTATTTGAAAGTGCAATACATAAGGAAAATACTTAAAATATTGTTTCTCTTTTTATAATTTAGAAAATCGTGCCTATGTTGCTTACTTTTCTGTGAACATTAATCAGCTTAGTAGTAGCAGTTAAGGTGCACAGAGGAATGAGGCTATACAAAACTAGATGTGGTCACAGACTGTTCCTGAAATATGCTGTCATGCATATGTGAATATGTATTTTAATTTTTCTATGACCTTTTTGTTTCTAACCATTATTGTATTCTTCTGCTTTCCTTCTGTTTCTTCAGGTTGGAAATTACATGCTTCATATCTAGGTTCTCAATTATGCCTGCTTCAATTTCTGGATTTTCATCATTCAAGAAATGACTCAATAAATCCTTGCTTGGATTTCAATAACTACCCCAGAAATGTTTATTTATGTCTTTGATATTTTCTTAAAATACACTTAGAATAGCCTCCATGTTCTACTCTGTGTCTCTGATTGATATCATTATAGGCCAAGTAACCACATAAGATGATGATCTTAACATTTTAACTCCTATATACAGGTAAGAAGAAGTGGAATGAATGAAGTGAACACAGGTTTGGTTTTACATGGGACTGAAAGGCAATTTGGCTATTAAAATAAATGTATTAGGATTATCAGACTGTTTAATAAGTGTTCAAATTTTAAGTTGTCTTTGAAAAGTAACAGAAATAAGCAATAGAAAATAACTAAGAAGGAAAAAGACTGCTACTTTTATAGTTAAGAAAACATTTCTGTATTTCCAGTGGTAAAAGTTTAATGTTTATAAGGTTATCAGAGAAATAGGTTTGAAATGTAGTGCATTCTGATAGCAGAGGAAGGCAGAGGCATATAGATTAACTTTCAAGGTGACAGTAGTCATATTTTGAATTTCAACCTTCATATCTGAATGGTAGAGCCATTAATACTCATAGATATCTCAAAAAATTTTTTTCTATTATAGACCTGAGCATAGCACATTTGAAGAGCTTCCTAGAAACACTGCAATCTGATTGTGGGGGAGCTACAGACAAGCTTTCTGGACTTTAATTTATTGCATCCAAATCCAATCTATTGAAGGCAATATTCTTGTTTAACTTTCCAAGTTGCTTATTTATCTGACCAGACTTGAGTACTATAAGGTAAGGTTTACAGTTTTTTTCCTGAATACTAATACAGTAAAACAGAAAGAAATATGTTTGAAAATGAACCATTAAGAAGCCAGAATAACACATGCAAAGAATAATGAGAAAATACATGAGAATCAGGAAAGAGTTATTTGATATATTTTTCCATCCTAATAATTGGAATTTTATTTTTAGCTTTCCATATTTTATGTTTGTATTATTGAAATGCATTCAATATATGTTTACTAATGATTTGTGGTTTAGTCACTGAACAATACAGAGATCCTAGTCTCGATAACCTTAAGATTCAGTAGGAATCATAAAATATATGTCAGCAGAGGTATGGGGAAAATATAAGATAGATGGATAGATAGATGAGATATCAATATATAATATGTATAATAAAAAGCTAATATCATCTGTTATATTAATTAAACTATAAACACAAAATAAGTTACATGATGTAAATGAGTTCACTAATATAAATGCATCTTCAACTTTCCAATTATAAAGTGAATGTAAATTAAAATAGTGTCAAGTATATCAAGAGCCGTTAACATATTCATGTTTTCCATTCCTAGGAACTTCTCCTAAAACATCAATCCAAACAATAAAAGGTTATTTGGCTAAAATGTATTGTATCGTAAGAGTGTTTAAAGAATCTGAATGTTGAATAACAGCAGAAAAAAACTAATTTTTGTGATTCAACTCAATGAGATATAATGCTGTCTTAAGGATAGTTTTAAAAACTGTAGTAACAGAAAATGTATCCTAAAGCATCAATCCAAACAATAAAAAGTTATTTGGCTAAAATTTATTATACTGTAAGAGTGTCTAAAGAGCCTAAGTGTTGAATAACAGCAGAAAAAACTAATTTTTATGATTCAACTCAATGAGATATAATGCTGTCTTAAAGATAGTCTTAAAAGCTGCAGTAACAGAAAATGTGTTAAAATATTAAGTAAATGAGACTTCAATTTTACTAAATCAGGATAAAATTGTTTTAGAATTAAGAGGCTTGCAAAAATAATCCTAAAAAGATATAGCAAGCTAATAATAAAAAACGCTGAACATCATTTCTAAGTTAAAATATGTAACATGCTACAGTAATTTTCATTATTTACTGAAAATGTTGTGTTTATTATTTCCTTTTAGTAAATAGAAAAAAAAATCTTAGTCTCTCCCAAAATTTATTATTTTATATGATTTTAAGTTGCTTAATTGCACATTCTTTGGGCAACTTTCTTAAGATTAACAAAAATATTTGTTTAATAGATATTTGTGAGTTCAAATGTTCCTTATTGTTGGATAGAATAAATAAATTCTATGTTTAGTTGTACCCATATCTCAAACAAATTCCCTGTAGATGTAAACCTTTGTCATTTACCTTTTTCTATATTTGTATCTATAGCCATACTATATCTTTCTATATCTTTGTACCTTATTGTGAATTGTCAGATCAGCATTGTTCACACCCACATCTGCATTCTCCCCTACATTGCATGGGAAAGCTTTGTAGATGCATTTTTTAGAATTTCTTGTCAGCAGGACTCCAGGTTGGATTGTGCTAATGAGAGAAATTCACATCAGATTTGGAAGTCAGAAAAGAAGATATTAACTTCTTCTGGCAGTGGTGAGCAGACATATGATAATCATATAAACTTATAAGCTCATATGAGATTCACTCACCTTGATGCTGCAGAATGGGAAGATCATTAGAACCAGCTTTGTGCAATTTCTGTAGCTTTCTCACCTCCTGAAAAGCAGTGACAAATTTCTCTGACCCTTATTCTCCAAGCCCTTCTGATATTTTCCTAAGCACGCCTAATTTTCTGTGTTATAATTCTTTTCTGTTAAAATACCTAGAGTATTTGGAAATATTTAGAATTATTTTCTGAAACACTTTGAGTATGACCTAATCCTGATAACAATTTATGTCTATGTCAATAACTATCTCTCAGTGTCTATCCGTAACTATGTCTATACATAGTTGTCTGTTGAGGATAAGGAGTTACTCAGAAATGTTAAAACTAATACTAGAATTCCCTTTTAAACAATGATTTCCATGAAATCAAAAAGTTCAATTCATAGATGACTAAAGGCGTCTCTAAAATATTTCTTACAGCAAATTGTTATACCTCACAATTTTACCCAGTGGTATGCAAACTTATGTTTAAAGAAAAATTTTAAATAATTACTAAAATGTTATATTAAAAAGAAACTATTGATTTTAGTTTATTTCTGATTCTGTTCATAATCAAAGAAGGAGCTAGAATTATTGGTAAGAGTAATATTTTAATATTCACTTTACTTTCTTGGAAATCATTTGACAAATTTTAAATTTATAGTTGTCGTTACATTTTTAGAGTACAAAATCCAGTAACTGTACTCATTGCTTATGAGGAGAATATTTATGGCTATCATTTAAAACACCATATTGGCAGTTAATTCCACTGTCCAGGTCTTTTGATTGGAATTTAACATAGTCCTTGAGAAATGACAGCTCATTCATTTAAGTGGTAATTTCTTAAAATAGAACAAAAATCACAAATCTTTAAAAAACCTCCAGTAGACTTAGGAGTATGTAAAGTATTGGGATAAGTATCAAATCTGCATCAACTACAAAGTAATTAAAATCTCTTGAAAGGGATAATTATATTGACTTAATTATTTCAATGTTGTGTGTTGTTCCAGACTACCAATATTAAAATATTTCATACCAGACTATCACTGTGTGTCTAGGGACTTAAATTACATTAATCTTGGACCCTACAGCAAACTGGCTGCCCTTTATACTCCTTTTTACTCATATCTATGCTCTTTAACTACCTCACATGCCTTCTCCTCAACTGATTTACAATTCTCAAATCACTCTTTGTTCTCTTATAGCAAACTATAACTAAAATTATTTGCCAGCATCTCTCACTGCTACAATCTCTTAAATATCTTTATTCTGAGTATCTTTGTAGAATATAAATTTAATCATGCCATTTCCCTACTTCAACTTTTCAACCTTTCAAATTCTAACCCTTTGCTCTGAAGAAATGTTTAACGTCTAAATACAATTGGCAGCACTTCTGCTCACGTTCTTACTTAGCTACCACACCATATTACATTTATAACTACCACACTCTACCTGTTTTAGAATAACTACTAATTATTCTCCAAACATGTGAAGTTATCTTCAGAACAACCCTAGAATTTCACATTCAGTAAAGCCGATTGAAACTGAGATGGGTGGGTTTCTAGAAGACATAAACAGGCCTGTAGCCACTCACGCTTCAAGCATTGGGTGACCACTAGTTCTTTCTAAAAGAAATGGAGTACAGCTTTCCAAAGAAGTGATAGTAAAGGGTATATCTGCATAAGTGGTTGTTGACTTCTGAGAGAAAGCACAGTTCTTACCCACAAAGAAGACACCTGATAAATTAGTTCTTATTCTTTAGGCCACAAGGTGTATTTGGCTTCCAGAATGCCTACAATAAACTCTTACATTTATGGTTAACTGATTTTTGACAAGCATGCCAAGACAATCCAATGGGAGAAAGATTAGTTTTTCAGTAAAGGATGTTGGGACAACTGGATGCCTACATGCAAAAGAAGAAAGTTGGGCCCCTTCGTCACCCCATACACAAAAATCAGCTCGAAATATATCACTGTCCATAGTTTTACCCCCTTATTACATCATGATCACACAGCAGCTGTTAATCAACTCTCTCTGGGAGGTGCTGTCCCAGAACTGTAAGATCCAGAGTGGCAGATCAGAACCCACAGAGCCAAAGGACTCCAAAGTGCTTGAATTTTCAGTTTACCCTGGCAGCCTAGTACTCCAATAAAGCTAAAAACTTCCACAGAATTCGAGGATGTCAGGAGAAAAAAAAAAGTTTCAAACCTAGGAAGAGAGGATCTAAGGCAGAACTTAGTTGTGTGATCGTAATTAGCTACTTTTGTAAAGTATGAAATATTTTTAATAAAATGTTTGACAAAACTTCTAATATACTTTGATGACATTAAAATCCCCTTCTGAGAAGTCATATTTTACCCTTCCAACTGAT
Source organism: Homo sapiens (assembly GCF_000001405.40). Lineage (NCBI taxonomy): Eukaryota > Metazoa > Chordata > Mammalia > Primates > Hominidae > Homo > Homo sapiens. Next base: position 48,158,994 of record NC_000014.9, on the reverse strand, counting down.
CTTCAGTATGTGAGGAATCTAGTAATATTACTATTTACATATTTATTTTTATTTATATTTAGATATTTAAAGGTACAAAGACTTTAACCAAACTTATGATTATTTTATAAATCATAAAATAAATAAATCCTTTCTTGTACCTAGTCTACAGCTGTTAGCCTCTCCATCTTCTTATAAAATAGCTTCTACCAAAGATACATGCTCAAAATGTATCTTTGGTAGAGGCTATTTTGTAAGAAGTACCCTTTATATGAATTTGAAATAACGCCACATGTACTAACAAACAATTCAACCAAGAAGTTACTTTATCGGGTTGTTTTGATAATTCCAATGTCTAGGTTAATAAATTAGTATCCCAAAGAAGTGGAATTAAGGTCATGCATCTACAAAAGTAAAATTCGACTACTGCAAGAAAGCATAGTGGGGGACATCTAAAATAATTGCTTAATCAGGTGTTATCGTATTAGTATTCTTTCCATTACATGGCTTGCTTAGCTTTATTGTTAAACTTACAAAATATTTATGTTTTCCTTGCATTCTACAAACTAATTATAATCTTTTGGTTCATTCATGGGTGTAAATATTTAAAAAATCAATGACTTCTTTATTATAATTTTCTTATTAACATTTTATTCTATTCTTAAATTATTAATAAGGCTGTTGCACTTAATAGAGATTTGGAATTCATAGACCAGCAAAAATGGATTCTAGAATTTGAGATTACTAGGCAATTTTAGTTTAACTGAGATATATGAGGACCAACATGGTAAGATTTGGCCTTCATGGCAATAACTAGAAGGCACGTCATGGAAGTTGTAAAAGTTGTTTTAAAGATGATCTCACTCTATGGACCTGAAATGTGAAAAGAACAAAGTTATTGAGGTATTTAGCATACCTGTGGAAATGTACTTCTACAGGTGGTTCTTCTGTTGATTTACAGCCTTCACAACTTTCAGATAATGGAGAGGGAGTGCATTTTCCAAACAATGAATCAAAAGGCTAAGTTGTATTGGTCAACGAGGCCTAGCAGAAGAAATGTCTGATTAATTTAAAAGTCCATTTTGATAAAACAAATTTACTTAATAGTAGCTGTATATTTGATTTTGCTTATTTCTTTGAAAATATTATTAATACATCATTAAGATCAAGCCTCCTTTGAGGAGAGGGACCAATGAAAAGCTGAGGTATTTGCTTTACTTTTTATTTTAAAATAATTTTAGAATTTTAGAAGACTTACACAGATAATGGCACAGGTATAACCCCTCACCTTACTTCCTCTAATTCTAGCATCTTACATAACCATGGTCATTTATCTGCTAATTTTGTTTTTATGAGCACATGTTAGTGGAGAATTTAGGGCTGCTAGGATAATCATCTACTCTTTCATTCTATGTCAATTTATTCAATGATTTGGTATTCCCCTTAACTAGATTAAATTAGGGAGTATCCCAAAGAGGTAGTGCCTGGCACTGTTATTGATGCTGGGGATAGTGCAGTAAACAAAATAGACGAATTCCCTGCACTCATGGAGATCAACCCTAAGATGATAGACAATCAACAGATAAAATAAATAATACAGTATAATGGATTTTGCTGAGTAGTATTGACAAAATTAAAGCAGGGAAGAAAGACCAAGTTGCAATTTTAAATACTGTGGCCAGGAAAGGCCTCACTGATGTTACATTTGAGCAAAGATATGACAGGGTTTTATATATGAATTATAGAAATATCCTGAGGAGTGCACTCAAGGAAGAATGAACAGAATAAAGATTGAAGACCTGAGACAAGATCATGAGTAGAGAACTCAAGTAACAGAGAAGAGGGCAGTAATCACTGGAAAAAAATAACAATGGCATGCCAGGCAGGCTCCTGCCTTTTGTCTTCTGTGCCTACTGTTCCCTCTGCCTAGAACACACTTCTTCCAGATGTACACTTGGCAAAGTTTTAATCTTTTCCAAATCTATGCTCAAATCTCATCTTCTCAGTGAGGCTTATTTTAAACACCCAATTTAGTATCACAGCCTGCCTTCTCCTTTATCCACCATTAGCACATAGCATCCTTCGTCCCTCTTACCCTGATCTACTTATACTTGTCTTCACAGAATTTACAGAGTATAAATTGTATGCTTTAAATTATATTTATTGTTTACTATGTTTCATTCTTGCTTGAATGCAAGCTTATGAAGGCAGGCATCACTCTTGATTTTTCCTGTGATATATCCTAAGCCTCTAAAAAGAGTGCCCACCCACCTGAAAATATTTGATTAACCAATCAATAAAAAAATGGGGAAGAAATAAATATTTGTTGAAAAAATAAATGAATGGATGAAGGGCTTTAAGCAGGTGAATGGTGTAATGACTGATATGTATTGTGCAGAATAACCTATAAGGGGATAATTGCAGAAGCAGGGAGATAAGCTATGAATGGAAGGAAAAGATATTGGTGGCTTGACCAAGATAGTACCTGCAGAAATAGTATTGGGATGGTCAGCATCTGGATATACATATTTGTTGATAGATTGGATATAATATATAACGGAAAGAAAAATCAAATATCATGTCAAGGATTTTTGTTGAAATGGCTAGATAGTATTTCATTTTACTGAGATGGGGGTTGGAAGAGATTAATGATGGGAGGTGGAATCAGTAACTTCATACTAAATTTCAGCAAAAAGATGAGGTTAGACAGAGTAAAGAAGTGCAAGCATTAAGGTCTGGACACTCCAGTGTCTGGAATTGAGGAGATTAAGGAGAGAACAAAAAAGCCTGAGGAAAAATAACCATTAAGGTAAGCGAATGTTTATTAAAAACATTGATTTGAAATTAAAATATCCTCCCAAATTTTTATTAGCTTGAGACTTATTAAAAGGGGGGCATATAAGGGCATTTAATCTGAAAAAAAGGAAAAGTGACACAAAAAATTTTAAACCCCATAAACCTAATAATCCACTAAATATTTTGTGATTTCTTCCGACTTTTGTGATCTCATTCTAACATTAAATGCCTGACCTAAAATGTGCTTACACCTGAAAAAGATATAACTTGCTCATTCAAGTGTATAGCCTTTAGTGTAATACTTCTATCCACAGAAGCTTCAAATATTTATTTATTGATACATGGCACTACATTATTCAATCCTCAGGTCACAAAATTCTGGGCATTTCAATTAATTTCTCCTGTTCAGACACATTTTAATTGATGATTTCAGAAACTAACAGTAGCATAGGAGCCTACAGGGAAAAGCCTATCATTGCAAATAACAATAGATGTGGTAACCTAGCACTCTTAAGTCATAATGATTGGAACTTTATTTTGATTCATAAAGGTTGTAAGTGAAAATGAAAAATCAATTTAGAAGGTATTATTTAAAGTTACCATTTTAGAAAAAAAATCATATATTTTAACCTGACATGTATGAATGATTATTATGTTGACTGCAAATTAAGTTTTTATTACATCCCAATTGACAGAAACTTTGACTGTCTTCATGGAAATTGCTTTGATTTCCCTAACATCATGGCAATGATGATATAAATTTCTTATAATGCTACACTGCACCATAGCCTATTATAGAATGTCCACTACTAAGAGACAGCAGGAAATAAGATTCTCTTCCTATGCCATTCCAGCTGTATAAACTTTAACAATTTACCGATTCAACTTCTTATTTTCATGTATAAAATGATCATTATTAGTTTATTCAATAAATATTAAGTTTGTGATTACTGCATGCCAGCTATTATTCTGGACTATGAAACTATTGTAAAGTGAAAGTTGTAAACAGGACAGATGAGGTGCCTGATCACACAGAAGTTCATTTTACAGTAGTCAAAAGACAATAAAAATACTAAGAAAGTATCAGCTACTGATAAGTCATAGGGGAAAAAAAACAAAAAAAACTAAAAAAACTTCAGATGCAGTGTTAATTAAAGCACTACTTGAGGGCATCCAAATAAGAGAGGGGTTATAGTAAGAATATCACCAAGGAGGCAGCAGTTTTACAAGTGCTGAATTGTAAAGAATTAGTTATAATTGGATAACATGAAGATGGATGCTTAGAAGTGAAAGATGGTAGAAGATGGACAAAGAAAGCAGAGCATGTAGGTGGTTGAAGAAAAGCGAACAAAGTTTCAATTTTATTCTATAACAGTTAAAAGCCATCAGAATTTTATTAATTAATAGACTTTAGATCAGTATTCAATTTACAGAAAAATCTAACAAAAAGTACAGAGCATTCCCATAAAACTCTTCATCTTCTCACCTGCCACCCACACAGTCTGCCCTATTATTAACATCTGTGGCATATTTGTTACAACTAATGGGAAAATATTGTTACATAATTACTAATTAAATTCCATAGTTTACAGTAGGGTTCACTCTTTGTTTTGTACATCCTATGGGTTTTGACAAATGTATAATGCCACATATCCACCACGGCAGCACCATGAAAATACTTATTCCCTGTGTCCTACCTATTCAGCCTTTTATCATACATTGATTAATCATACATTAATGTAGCCTTTTCAAACCGCCTTTTTTCTCTTAGCATACGCTTTGAAGATTCCTCCATATATTTCATGGCATGTAGCTCATTTCTTCTTGTTGCATAATATTTCCTTGTCTGGATGTGTCATGGTTTCTTTATCCATTTACCTGTTAAAGGGCATTTTGGTTGCTTCCAGGCTTTGGCAATTATAAATAAAGCTGCTATATCCATTAGTGTGCAGGTTTATGTGTGGACATAAATTCTCAGCTAATTTGACTGAAGAATAAGGAGTAAAGTCGCTGGATTGTTTGTTAAGACTATATTTAGTTTTGTAAGAAACTACCAAATTCTTTTCCAAAGTAGCTGTAGCATTTTGCATTCCTATCAGCAACAAATGGGAGTTCCTGTTGTTCTGTATGCTTTCCTTCATTGGGTGTTGTCAGTGTTTTGCATTTCAGCTCTTCTAATAGATGTGTAGTGGTATCTCATTGTGGTTTTAGTTTGCAGTTCTCTGGTGACATATGATGTCGAGTATCTTTTCATATGATCATAGGCCAACTGTATATGTTTGGGGGGAAGATGTCTGTTCAGATATCGTGTTTATTTTATAATTCAGTTGTTTGTTTTCTTATTGCTCAGTTTTAAGAGTTATTTCTATATTTTGGACACCAGTCTTCATCAGACATATGCTTTGCAAGAATTTTACCCAAGCTAGTGGTTTGTCTTTTTCCTTCTTTTAAAAGTGTCTTTGCAGAGGAAGTATTTTATTTTAATAGGGTCCAACATATCAAAATTTTCTTTCATGGATCATGTTTTAGGTGTTATGCCTAAATATTTATCACCAAACTCAAGGTCATTTAGATATTTTCCTATGTTTTCTTCCAGGAATTCTACAGTTTTACATTTTACATATAAGTTTATGGTCCATTTTGATTTGACATTTTGTGAAAGGTGTAAAGTCTGTGTCAAGATTTTCTAAATTTTTTTTGCATTTGGATGTCCAGTTGTTCCAGAACTATTTTTTGAAAAGACAATCCTTTCCCCCATTTAATTGCCTTTGCTTCTTTGTAAAAGATCAGTTTAATGTTGGGAACCTATTAAAAAGGTCAATTGATTACTGAATTCTTGTTTTTCAAATGTTACTGCACCATATAGAGAATGGATTGTTATAGCGATGGAGAGAAGATAGATTAGTAGAGATTCTGGAGGATAAGTCAAAAGAACTTACTGGTATTTTGGGATGTGAGGAAGAGAGAAAGCAAGAAATCAAGACATAATAAGGCTTTAGCAGTCTGAAAATATTCAATTGAGACAGACAACCTCTTAAAGTTACAGTTAACTCAAGGCTCTATGACTTTAATATTACTGTGAAATTTATGAGTTGTAAAAATCTTAAAAGGCTTGTTTATTAATATTTTTACTTTTATTTTTGTATTAAACAATTGATTATGTATTTTTAAATTTTACTTTATTTTAAATTTTATGTACTTTTAATTACTATGAAGTTGGTTATTCTACTAACATACTATGACCTAGGACGGTTAGGAGACATGAAAAAATACTTTGAGAAGATGTATCCTCAAGTTATTAGCATGTTAAATACCCTAATTTCTTTTCAGACTGACAGGAGCAAGAATGATGGGGCATATTTGCTTTTGATATTACATTTAATAATTTCTTGTGATGAAGATCACAATATGTTGGGTTTTTTTGAACTATTTCTGGCAATTTTTCAAACAAAAAAATTGATACTCTATGTAGAGTCTTGTCACTGTTGATTAGTATGTTTAAAATAATTGAAGAATAAAAAGACATTAGATTTTAATAGTAAGCTCTGCACAAAGTGAAACTTGGAAAGAGATTTATCACACTAATGATAATAATCTTGTACAAAATATAGTCCACTTACATAACTAGTCAAAACCACAAAGGAGAAAATAATAGTTACTGCAACTCTGAAATGAAATATCCATTCTCTAGGGAGGTAAGGTCTAATAATCAGAAAAGTTTCTAAAAATATTCCTTTTAATTTTCCTTTTATTTTGGATACTCTAAAGCCGTCATATTTGTAAGCTTCTTAGTCACATTCACTTTGCTACTATTCACCTAGATTACAACACAGGTTCCTATAGGAGATTATGAGAATAACAGTACCTGAATTGTGGTATGGCTTTCCCATATTCTTCTCCTTAAACTTTTTATATGAGTCCAGATTTCTTTTTGCCAATACTTGTCATGAAGCAATCAAAAGATATGTGTTTGCCATATTGTGCAGACATGAAATTTCCTAAATTCTACCAACATATTTCACCTGTTGTAATACCTGTGATCTCTTAGTAGGTTTATAAATAATAGCATGTCTGTACAGGTGACTGTGTAATATTTCTACCCAAAAAGGCTGAAGAAGGAAATATGTACTTTGTGCAAGTCATGTCTTCATAAAACAAAAGCTATTAAAATGTTATGCTGTTACTATTGTTATTTATTTATAGTTATGAAAAGCAGAAATAAGCACCACCACAAAAGTGCCCCCAGAAAGTTTGTGTTCTGAATGTTATATGCTGGAGAACAATTTAAAAGTCACATAGTTTCAGCTACTAATCTTATGCATGAGTCCCTTCTAAGACATTTAGTTCTGTGGCTCTCAAAGCTGGATCCAATTAGGATAATCCCATGAATTATTTAAAATTACAAATACATAGTTTCTATTCAGAAAAAAATGAATAAAAATATTTTGAGAGATGGCCTATTTACCAATATATTCTAAAAGCTCCCCCTTTGAGAATAATGTGCCACAAGAGTTATGAAACACTGCCCTTACTTATACTTGTAAGCACAAGTTACAGCCATTTCTACACCCATTGTCTAATGTTATGTGAACATGACTAATTAGAGAGCTTTGAAATCTCCAAGGATCAATAAAAATTTTCCTGGACTTCTTAAATGGTGGTGTGAGGAGCTCAGTGAATGCTCTCCCTGGGAAAACCACCATTTGTGTAATGAAAATTATTACACACACATACACACACACACACACACACACACATACGCATCTACTGTATCAGTCTGTTCCCATACTGCTATAAAGACATTCCTAAGACTGGGTAATTTATAGAGAAAAGAGGTTTAATTGACTCACAGTTCTTCAGGCTGTACAGGAGGCATAGCTGGGGAGGTCTCAGGAAATGTACAATCATGGCAGCAGGTGAAATGGAAGCAGGTAAATCTTCCTATAGTGGAGCAGGGGAGTGAGACAGCAAAGGGAGAAGTGTCATACATTTTTAAACAACCAGATCTTATGAGAACTCACTCACTATCACAAGAACAGCAAGGGGGATATCCACCTCCATGATCCAATCACCTCACACCAGGTCCCTTCTCCAACATTGGGAATTACAATTCAACATGAGATTTGGATCCAGATGCAAAGCCAAACCATATCATTCCACCCCTGGCCACTCCCAAATCTCACCTCCTTCGCACATTGCAAAACATAATCATGCCTTCCCAACGGTCTCCCAAAGTCTTAACTCATTACAGAATTAACTCAAAAGTCCAAGTTCAATGAGCCTGTAAAATAAAAAAAATCAAACTAGTTCCATTCAAGATACAATGCAGGTATAGGTATTGGGTAAATGTTCCCATTCCAAATGGGAGAAATTGGCCAAAACAAAGGGGCTACAGGCCTCATGCAAGTCTGAAACCCAGCAGGGCAGTCATTAAATCTTTGTTTTTGTTTGTTTTTGAGACAGAGTCTCACTCTGTCACCAAGTCTGCAGTGCAGTGGCACGATCTCGGCTCACTGCAACCTCTGCCTCCAAGATTCAAATGATTCTTCTGCCTCAGCCTCCCAAATAGCTGGGATTACAGGCATGCACCACTATGCCGGGCTGATTTTTATATATTTAGTAGAGATGGGGTTTTGCCATGTTGTCCAGGCTGGTCTCGAACTCTTGACTTCAGGTGATCGGCCCACTTGGCCTCCCAAAGTGCTGGGATTACAGTCATGAGCCACCACGCCCAGTCCATTAAATCTTAAAGCTCCAAAATAATCTTCTATGACTCCATGTCTCACATCCAGCCCACACTGATGCAAGGGCAGGGGAGCTCCCAAGGCCTTGGGCAGCTCCACCCCTGTGGCTCTGCAGGGTACAGCTCCTGCAGCTGTTTCACAGGCTGGCATTGAGTGTCTGTAGGTTTTCCAGGCAAAGGGTGCAAGCTGTTGGTGGATCTACCATTCTGGGATCTGGAGGATGGTGGCCCTCTTCTCACAGCTGCACTAGGCAGTGCTGCAGTGGGGATTCTGCATGGGGGTTCCAACCCTAACTTTCCCCACTGCACTGCCCTAGAATAGGTTCTCCATGAGGGCCCCACCCCTGTAGCAGACTTCCGCCTAGACATCCAGGCATTTCCATACATCCTCTGAAATCTAGGTAGAGGTTCCAAAACCTCAAGTCTTGCCTTCTGTGCACCTGCAAACCCAACACCACATGGAAGCCCCCAAGTTTCAGGGCTTGCACCCTCTGAAGCCATGGCCTGAGCTGTACCTTGGCCCCTTTTAGCTGTGGCTGGAGCTTGAGTGGCCAGGATGCAGGGTGCCATGTCCCGAGGCTGCACAGAGCAGCAATAGCCTGGCCCTGGCCCACAATACCATTTTTTTTCCTCCTAGGCCTTCAGGAATGTGCTGGAAGGGGCTGCTATGAAGTGCCCTGGAGACATTCTCCCCATTGTCTTGGCTTTTAACATTCAGCTCTTCTTTACTTATGCAAATTTCTGAAGCCTTGAATTCCTCCCCAGAAAATGGGTTTTTCTTTTCTACCACATGGTCAGGCTGCAAACTTTCCAAACTTTTATGCTCTGCTTCCCTTTTAAATGTAAGTTCTAGTTTCAGGTCATTTCTTTGTTTATGCAAATTAGTGTAGGCTTTTAGAAGTGGCCAGGCCACATCTTGAATGCTTCGCTGCTTAGAATTTTCTTCCACCAGATACCCTAAATAATCTCTCTCACGTTCAAAGTTCCATAGATCTCTAGAGCAGGGACACAATACGTCCAATCTCTTTGCTAAACTATACCAAGAATGACCTTTATTTCAGTTCCCAATAAGTTCCTCATCTCCCTCTGGGACCACCTTATTCTAGAGCTTACTGTCCATATCACTATCAGCATTTTTTGTTAGAACCATTCAACAAGTCTCTAGGAAGTTCCAAACGTTCAGTATTCTTTCTGTCTTTGTCTGAGCTTTCCAACCTGTTCCAACCTCTGCCCATTATCAAGTTCCTTAGTTGCTTCCACATTTTAGGTATCTTTATAGCAATGCCTCATTTATCTGACACGAATTTTCTGTATTAGTTCATTCTCACACTGCTATAAAAACATACATGAGACTGGGGAAATTTGGAGGAAAGAGATTTAATTGACTCACAGTTCCACAGACTATACAGGAGGCACTGCTGAGCAGGCCTCAGGAAACTTACAATGATGGCAGAAGGTGAAGGAGAAGCAGGCATAATCTTCACATGGCACAGCAAGAGAGAGAAAGAGTGAAGGGAGAAGTGCTATGCATTTTTAAACAAGGTTTATGTTATCTTTTTATACTCTTGAAATATTTTAATATTCCTATATAATTTGAAAACACATTTACTATAATTTATAAATTTAGGAGAACTATTTAAATGTAGAAGAAATATACTTTTAAAATGCCTTAATAAGAAACAGAGAAATAATAATCTTATAACTATTAAATGAATTAAGCAGTGAAAACTTACCCAAGAGAAAGCCCTAAACAAATTGGATTTTTGAGATGAATTTAACAGAATATTCAAATTATAAATAATTAAAAACATGCAGAAAGTATTTTAGAGTATAAAATGGAGGGAAAACTCTCAGGCAAATACAAACTTAATACCAAAAGCCAACAAAGACAACGTGAGAAAGGAAAATACTGGCCAATTTCAAACTTTGAGATGTAACAAATGTAGATAGAAAAATCATAGACAAAGTGTTAGTAATCCAAATCCAGTGACACATAAAAATAATAATGTATCATATTCACGTTTGTTTTTTCCTTCTAGAAATTTGTTTGTCCTAACATTAGAAAATTAATAAAAGTGATTCAACACTTGTACAGAATAAAGAAGGTAAATTATGTCTCTAAATACAAAAAAGCAGTTAAAAATAATATTTATTTACTTAAAAATTCAATGTAAAAGCAGAAAAGTTGAGTTGCTTAGCTTGATAACTAAATCCCCAAAACTATGATAAGCATCATAATTGAAATTATAAATTCTTGAACTATTTCTCTCTATATTTGGATGCAAGACAAAGATGCTGTATCCGTTTTCAAATTATTGCCTCTCAACCCCAAAAGCACACCTCAACATCTGCTTTTGGATGGGTTATGACTTGACTCCTTAAAATACATTCCTCTTTTACTAGGTGTATCCCTATTACCTTTTGCCAATAAAAATCACCAGAAGGAGATAGGAAAGAGGAATAGAAGAAAAATATTTATTTCTGATTTGATCAACAAACATTAATTGAGAACTTACTATGTTCTTGGTCACTCTCTTCTGCTGTACTATTTATGTTCACATCAATCTCATACAATCTTGACTAATAGAGTTACACTGTCTTGAAATAAAATAGTGTAAATGTGCTTTGTTCTTTTTTAAAGAAGATAACTTTTACTATTCTGGATTCTTTGAATTTCCATATAAATTTTAGAATCAACTTCTTAATTTATGTATGTTTAAAGCTGTTGGAATTTTAATAAGAATTTTTATAAATTTATTAATTCGTCGGGGAAACTAACATCTTAACAACGTTAAAATTTCCAATACATAAACATGGTCAACTCTTTTCATATAAATCCTCTTTAATTTCTCTTGGTAGTGTTTTGCTACTTTCACTGTAGAAGTCTTACATGTATTTAGTTATTCCTATTGATGTAATATTTTTGATCATGTAAACATAATTTTATTACATATTCCAGTTATTTGTACTACTAAATAAAAATGCAATTGATTTCTGTGTATTGACTTTACAGCCTACATTCTTACTAACATCCTTTACTATAATTCTAGCAGTGGGTTGGTGTTTTGAGGGTTTTTTTGTAATTTTTATTTCAATAACTTTATGGATACAAGTAATTTTTGGTTGCATGGATAACTACTAAAATGGTAAAGTTGGGCTTTTAGTGTACCAGTTACCCAAATAGTGTATACAGTGTACCTAATAGTCGATTTTTTATCCCTGCCCCCTTCCCACCCTCTGCCCTTCTGAGTCTCCAGTGACCATTATACCACTCTATATCCCTTTGTGTACCCATAGCTTAGTTCCCCTTTATAAGTGGGAACATACAGTATTTGGTTTTCCATTCCTGAGTTTTTAAAATTTTTAAGCTTTTGATGCAAACTGTCTTCTGTATTAAACACATTCTTAATTCTTCTATTCTAATCTCTCTGTTTTTATTCTTGCCTTACTGCACTACTGATACCTTTCACAACAATATTTAATAGAAGTTGATATGCAATAGAAGTCACAAAGTTAAGCATCTCTGCCTTTTCTTAATCATAAAGGAAACACACTCAATACTCTATTACTTTTTTGTTTGTTTGTTCGTTCATTTGTCTTTAAAGATGCAGTTTGTCAGATTGCTGAAATTTTTCTCAACTCCTGCTTTGCCTTGCTAAAATGTTTATGATGGATAGAGTTTAATTTTACCAGATGATTTTTGTTTCTTCTTTGAGATGATCAATTGTTTTTTCCTCCTTTATCTTTTAATGTGAAAAAAATTACATTGACTGAGTTTTTAATGTTAAAGCAATCTTGATTTCTTGGGCTAAACTCCAATGGTCATTGTATATTTTTATTTATTTGTTTTGCTGGATTGTACTTGCCAGTACTTTGCCAAGGACTTTTTTTTTTTTTTTTGATGCTGTATTTCTGAGGGAAATTGGTTTAAGTTTTTGTCTCACAATGTTTTAGTCAGGCTTTAGTATCAGATATATTTTGACTTGTGAAAATTATTGGGAAGTGCCTCTTACTCTGCCATCACAACCTTGAAGGCTACAGATTTCACACTTAATAAGAATAACATGGAGATACACAGCTTGACTGTAGAACACTGTGAGACTTGAGGAAACAATGTGATATATTAGAAATGTAAGACTACAGATTTTATAATCAGATAATTCTACTAATAGTCATAGTTACATCCACTACCAACTAGCTCTCTGATCTTGGGCAATAATCCTGAGAGCAATCCCCAAATATTTCCTGCATTCAAGTATCCTTCACAGTCTGCTTTCTAGGAACCATAATCTGTAACATGAAATGTACCTAAGATGTTTCATTATGGCCTCTAGAAGTTGGAAGAGGAGTTCAGTGGTTTTCATGGTTCTAAGTGAAAGAACACAAAAGTTATTAAATGAACAACAGTCAGAGGCACTTCCAAGTCAAGGAGACAACCAGCCCAGGAAAGAGGTTGTGGAAACAGACTGAACAATAAATAGTTCTCAACAGTGGAGCTGAAACTGAACTGAACACCTCTTCAAGAAAAGGCCACCTGGTATCTAAGTGTAAATAATTACCTCAGCAGAGGCTATCAGACCAGTTGCCAAACCTCAGGGGTCCAGGGATACCTCTCCACCACCAGCATGTGGCCAGTCATGGAGCCATGGAGATTTCTGCCTCTCCTATCCTGCTTCTGGTCCCCGACAATGAAGCACCCAGGTCTTAGGTGGGGATAGGAGTACCTCCAAGCCAGATCACACCCTCTGCTTACTACAAGCAGGGATACCTGTGCTGCAATAGAGAATACGAGATAACCTCTGAATCAAGTTCAGGATTAGAGATTTTTAATGAAAAAGAATGAGTTCTAAATACCAAAATTAGGCCACTATAGTAGCCAAGAGTTACTATTAGACCACTATGGTAACTGAAAATTTATGGAGTCTGGGAAAAAAGATGTGGCAAAAGGACCTAGAATGTAATGAAAAATTGGAGTTCAACAGAGACATTATTGAAGGACAGTTATTAAAGAAAAAAATATATATTTATTGATGAACTTTTAATAAAAATTATTTGTTCTGTATTTTCTAGGAAAGTATATATAAGGTTGACATTATTTCTTCCATAAATGTTTCAGTAAAAGCATATATGGCTGAAATTTCCTGCATAGAAGGTTCTTTTTATTTAATGATTTAAGCTTTTGTTAGATATAAAGTTATTCAGCATTTTTTTCTTTTTGTGTTAGCTTTTGTTAACCTGTTTTTCTAAGAATATTTCTGTTTTAACTAAAGTGTCAAATGTGTTACCATAAATTACTTGCTCCTTTCTTATTATCTATTTGATGACTGTAGAACCTAAAGTGATATATTCAATTTAATTCTTGATATTGTAATTTCCTTTCTCTCTTTTATCTTATTCATTGTGTGTGTGGGTAGGGGGCAGTTCTCAATCTTATAATCTCTTCAAATAACTAACTTGTCTTTGTTACTTTTCTCTATTGTTTTAATTATGCTACCAATTGTTTGTATTTCCTTTGTGTTAAATAGCACTTTTGTAACATCTTCACATAACTGTTGACATTTTAATTAATCATAATCTTTAAAAAAGTTTTACTAAGGCAGATATTGCAAAATTTTAATTCAAATTCTATCTTCTATAACAGGTGTCAGCAAACTATAGCCTGAAGGCCAAATCTGGCTTTCCTCCTATTTTTAAAAATGCTTTGATTGAAACAGAACCAGGTGCATTTGTTTGCATATTCTGTCTGGTTACTTTTGCATTATAACAGTAGGCAGAGTTGAGTAGTTGTAACGACAACCTTAGGGGCCTGCAAATTCTAAAAAGTTACTATTATTGATCTTTTACAGAAAAAGTTTGCCACTCTCTCTTCTGTTCCATATGACATAGGCCGTAAGCATATTGATTAATTGTAACTAAGAGGTTTAGGAAAGTTGATTTTGAGTTAGACGTATTGTTATCTTCCCTTTACAAAATTTATTTCCACCTGTAATATTCTTATTGAGAACCTCAAGAAGCATAAGTTGAATACCTTACTCCATGCATGGCTATGTGCTAGGGTAGGAAATACATGATTCACCATGTTTCTTCACATTTACTCATGTTTGTATTTAACATAAGGAATATTTACAAATGTACAAAGCACCTCAAAGGCATCTCAAAGATACAGAGACTAAGAGCAAATGTTTCTTGAGCAGGTAAGTTAACGCTCTTAGAGAAGTTGATATTTGATGAGTAAGGCTTTACCAGCTGGATGAGAAAGTATCAGGGCAGGAAGAGTCAGCAAGGACATGAGTATGAATGGATGCAGTGTGGCCTACCGTATATCTCACCTCACCTCTGTGTTCCCCACTCTCTTGCACATGGAGTCTTCTATATTCCCACTTCTTTCGGGCTTACTGTAGCCTATTTTTGGGTGGCACTCCCTTTGCTTAAAAAGTACAGGGATTGACTGTTAGGTTTATTGTTATGGCTATGTTGTGAATCTTTTTTTTTTTTTTACATATTGGGAACTGACATTTTAAGTTATGCATTGCCTGAACACTTTGAATATAAGACAATATAATTTAAATATTTCTTTACATAAAACTGTTCAATCCTAGGAAATAATACTTAGATATCACTTAAAAAACAAACACTAAACTGATTATTTTAAATAAAATGCACCACTGTATTTGAATTCTGATTTTGTTCAAGAAAGAAATGGGCTATCATATGTGGCTACATGGGTTAACTTTCAAGTAAAATGTTTCTTAACTGGTAATTCATACTTTTAACAGCAGTCCTTTTCAAATTATATTTCAGGAAATATTGCTATCAAATAATATATTAATTATCTTTTTGTTTAATGAAATGAGCTAATGGTTAACATTATGCAGCCAAGTAAGTATGAGGAATTCTTACACTCTACACTCTATTCTTGCTTGTATATTCTGCTAACTTGCTTATTAAAGCCTCTATAAAGTCCTCAAGTAAAGACTATTTGGCTTAACTCAACAGTTGCTAAGTAGATAGAAAATACTGAAGTCTTTTTTGACTTTCCAAATTCTTTTTGGCTTTAAAAAACAAGACTGGAAATCACAGCTCTGCAGTACTACTTTTTATTGTCTATGTTCCAGAGTATTTGGCATTAAAAAAAGTTATTTTTCTTTTTCCTATTAAATTTCTTCGATTCGTCCCACAATTCTTTAACCTTGAATTATTCCTTTTCGTTCACTCTTAGTTGCAAAAATCCTTTTGTTGTATATTTATGAAAAGGACCTGTAATTTTTTAGATAATATAGAATAAGATATAATTATTTTTAATTTTTGTATTTAAAAATTATATGCATTACTTTTTCTCTACAGAGTTTCTGATATACTTTATAAATATTTATATTTTGATGAGATGAATGATAGTTTATTGGTCTACACACAGTTATTTGCAAATAATCTTACTTAGGTAAAAATAAGTAGTAAAATTATATTTTAAAAAAGAAATCTGGAAATACATGCAATAAAGTGTTTGACCAATGACACTTCGGTAGATGATATACTAGTCCATATGTACAGCCTTTTCTCAACTTCAAAATAATGAATTCTATCTTTTCTTTTCAGCTGTGTGTGGTACTGTTAAAGCAGTTAGACAGACCATCATTTCAAACTTCTAACCTGGGAAATCTTAATATCAATCCATGAACTCAATGAGCCTCAGTGGACCTCGGGTTCCCTCCTTCCCATAACTCTCTAATGGATGGCAGAAGCTGGAAGGTGATAAAACGCAGCTGATCTGGGACTAGCTCCAAATTCCTGCCACCTCTCTTAGTTGTTTTTTTCTTGGAATTTGAACTTCTCTCTCAGGAGCTGTTTTCCTTTCAGAGCCAGTTTTCTTTTCTCTTAATCCATTAATTTCTCCCCTCTCATCAGAGACCTAAGTGTACCATTCTCTGATGGGTTTCTATTTCCAGATACTAGTCTGTGCTTACCAGGATTTATTTACTTACTTCTCAGGCCTTTTCTGCTTCTCTCGACTTCTTCCTAAATCCCTGCTACATTTTTTTTTCTCTCTTTCTGCTTTCCTGGAACCTATGTGGCAAGGCCCACATCTGAAGTGTCATGACAATAAATCTCTCAGTTATGCCTCCTAAAGCATGAGTGATATACCCCCTTATTTCACTGGTCTCACGTCCCAGCTAATTCAAACTTTAGTTCTCAACTTTAATGTCACTTATGAGAATAGTGTTTCCTGATCCTCCAGATTACAGTTGAAAACTGCTGGTAATATGTTCAACGTATTATAATAATATAATCATATACTATAATGATATTATATAATTATAATAATATATGTATAATTATAATAATATATTGAACATATACCAGCAGTTTTCAACTGTAATCTGGAGGATCATAAACTAATATGTGTTATAAAAATAATAATATTAAGTGGGCTGGGTACAGTGGCTCACGCCTGTAATCCCAGCACTTTGGGAGGCCAAGGCAGGCGGATCACGAGTTCAGGAGATCGAGACCATCCTGGCTAACACGGTTAAACCCCGTCTCTACTAAAAATGCAACAGATTAGCTGGGTGTGGTGGCGGGCAGCTGTAGTCCCAGCTACTTGGGAGGCTGAGGCAGGAGAATGGCGTGAACCTGGGAGTCCGAGCTTGCAGTGAGCCAAGATTGCGCCAGCCTGGGTGACAGAGCGAGACTCTGTCTCAAAAAAAAAAAAAACATAATAATAATAATAATAATAATAATAATAATATAAATAAATAAAAATAATAATATTCGTGATAAAATAAGTGTTAGACTCTTAGATCATCTTCTTCATATTACTTATCAGGAAGATGACTTTATTGAGTGTTATTCTATATCATCATAAGCACCTCACCTGCCTTTTTTAGCACTGTATCTTCAGTATTTAGGGTAGTGCCTAGAAAATAATCAATGTGCAATGAATATTTGCTGAGTTAATGTTAAATGCCAGGATTACATAATATAATTTCTCTTTTCTTAAACTAGAAAATGTACATTCATTATTCTTATTTTTAAAGACATATATCGCATATATTGTTTTTTTCTGAACCATTAATATGCTATACCACTTTAGTTTATTCTAATAAAGACTTTGCAGGTCTCAGTTCACTACGAAAGCCTGACTGACTCAATATAACATACAATTATCAGAATGAATAGAGCCCTGATTCATATTCTATTTGGTATGTGCTTCTTTGGTGCCTCTGACTATGCTTTATTCTACTTAGGAATATTGAGAAAATCTAAGGAAGTGGAAGTTTGCAAAATTTTAACTGGGTTTAAAGGAGAAAAACAAAGCCAAAACCTTACAAATAGTAGCCCTTGCTCTGGGGTCACATTCATTTCTGAACCTGCAATCCTTTGGGGAAATAAATGTTAGGGAGCCGCCAGGCATTCCAAGTCCTAGTGAAAGTCCTGGAAAAATCAGAGTCAATCTGGAACTCCCTTGAATTCTTCTAGAGAGACTCATACACTTTACGGTAACTCATGAGTGTGTGTAGCTACTTCTTAATGTCCTCGGGGAGTATAGTATTGAAAGCAATTGCCACAACAGTACTTGCAGGGGAAAGATGCTGATCTATTGATTCTGGGTTATGCTTTATGGTTCAACTTCACTTTCCTGTAAGGTTTCTGGCTGATACCTAAAGTGATGTTTATTTGTGTTTCATTATGAACTTTTTCTCACCTACATTATCTACAATATACACATATATATACAATATTTTCTACAATATATACATGTCAGTTTGGAATTCTTAAAAATATCTACAGAACAACTCCACTAAATTCCTGAGAATATCCCTGTATCTGTCAATTATAAGCCATTTTTTCTGTCCTATGAAAAGCAGAAAGGTAGCTAAAAAGAGAAGTAGAATATGACATCTGTAGCCAGCAATAGTTAGATTGAATTCTCTAATGGAATTTCATGTTACAATATAACCAGATCTTGTGTGCAGTACAACAAACATGTATGTTTGAAGCATTACTTGGATAAAAGTAAACTGGAAAATTTCCGAGTTCACTTAGGAGAAAATTATGAGCTAGTAAGCAATGAAAGGGGTCAAAGTTCCAATAACAGCTCTAGGAACTCAGCCTCAAGTCCAGAATAAGCTGAGGAACTGAATCTGAATTTCCTGTATATAACCAGGGCCCCAAAGTAATGAATGTAGTACCAAGTGAATTATGCTACAGTTCCCACCACACACACAAAAAAATGCCAGTAATCTCCATTAGTGACAACATCACTAATTTAGACCCTCAGGATTCCCACAGATTAAATTGAATAAAATATTCATTTAAAATTAAAACAAAAAACAAAAAGAAATAAAAATTTTAGGGATCAAATCAGCAAACAACATCATACAATGAAGACCCAAAGATTTCAAATATTGGAAATACTAGATATGGAATATAAGTAGTTACATAGCAAATGGTTAAAAAGAAAGGATTTTTTAAATAATCAGAGTATAATAGAATACTGGAAATAAGCAGAAAATACATAAAAATGACCAGAGGTTTATAAATAGGTGCTATACACTGAGATTTAAAACATCAATGAAGGGGTTAATTGATAGATTCTTTTTAGAATAAAACATAATATTAATGATCTTAAAGATATATGTGCTTTTATGGTTTGTTTGTTTTTGAGAAAGAGTCTTGCTCTGTAGCCCAGGTTGGAGTGTGTTTGTGGAATCATAGCTCACTGCAACCTCAAACTCCTGAATTCAAGCGATCTTCCCACCTCACCCTCTCTAGTAGCTGGGATCACTGGGATCACAGGCACCACCATGATTGGCTATTATTTCTCTTTTTCTTTTTTTTTCTTTTTTAAGTAGATGGGAGGTCTCACTTTGCTGCTCAGGTTGTTCTTGAACTCCTGGGCTTCAGCAATCCTTCTGCCTCAGCCACCCAAATTGCTGGGATTACAGGCATGAGCCACTATGCCCAGCCTTCAAGATATATTTAAATACATCATCCTAAATGCAATAGAGAGAAAAGTAGATAAAATATATTCAAAAGAAAATAATATATATTTACGATAAAATGAAAAATGTAAGTCTGAAAGAGAAAAAGTCAATTATAGAATTCATGAAATTAAAACATTCAAAGAGATAAATGGCTGAAATTTTTCCAGAACCGTTGAAAAATATATAAATCTACAATTATATGTACCAGGATATATATCAAATAGGATATCTAAAAATATCTATATCCAGATAAATTTTAGTAACAAAGTTTTAAAAAAAGCATAGAAAAAGTTTTAAACACAGGTGTCTAAAAGGAATATAAAAGAAAGACTGATGATGGTTGCTTCAACAGCAACAATGGAAGAGAATTAAGTTGAATAATTTTTTCCAAATGCTAAGAAAAACATGTCAATCTGAGATTGTATTGTGTAGCCATGATAATTCTTTCTAGAATGGATGTGGAAAGAAGATATTACCATGGAAAGAAAAGCTGAATTTATCACCAATAGATCTTCTGCTAAAGCATATTTTTAAGGTATACTTAAGAAAGAAAGATACTGATTCAAGAATGATAAAATACACAAGAGTGAACACTGAGCAAAGACACTTATTATATATGTGTGTATACACATATATGTATATAGACAAAAGTTTTTAAACAATAATAATCAAAATAGTAATAATGATGCATAATATTTAGATTTAAGTTTAATGACAAAAAATATCCAGACAATAATAGAATGTATGTCAGAAGGGGTGATTCAAATTAAGTGTTCTAATGTCCCTGTTTTATTTAGAAGATAGTTGATACCCGCACATAATTTAGATTTTATTTCTAGTATGCAAGGTAAAATTTCAAAGATGACAATTAAAAAATTAGAAGTATGATATAATTTCAAAATTGGTAGGAAAATGCGTGTGCTACAAATCCAACAAAAATACAAAGCAAAATGTAGTTAGGGAAGAAATAAGTCCAACTATACTGATTATCAAAAGAAAGTTAATTGAAATATGAGTTAAAAGGTAGAAATTGTCTGATGGTATAAAAATTATGTCCATGAATAAGCCATTTATGAGAGACTACTTTATATAAGTAGGCTGAGAGTTAAAATAACAGAAAATATCATTCCAAGTAGATACTCAGAATGAAAATTAAGATCGCTATATTGATAATATACAAGTACAGTATAATGCAATGCAAACAGCATTAATAAGGAGAAAGAGGTGCACCTCATATGTACCTAAATATCTTAATTAATGAGGCAAACAGAATAAAATAATAAACATCATTAATTAATGATAAAAAATTATACAATAAAAGACAATTAACAAAGTCAAATGTTGGCAATTGAAAAGATATGCAAAATTGATCAACTCTTAACTAGATTTACAAGGGGAAAAAACAAATCTCAAATCAACAATTTCAGGAATAAAAGAGGAGTTGTCAGTTCAGAAACTAAAAATGTTAAAATAATTATAAGTAAATACTGTGAACAATTTTTTACCAACAAATTTGAAAATTTAAATAAAATAGAAAAAGTCCTAAAAAATGCCACTCATCAAATTTGACATAGATGAAACAGAAACTCTGAATGGTACTATATTGTATTAGTCTGTTCTCACACTGTTATAAAGAATTACCTGAGACTCAGAAATATATGAAGAAAAGAGGTTTAATTGACTCACACTTCCTCAGGCTTACTAGGAAGCATGACTAGAAGGCCTCAGGAAACTTTCAATTATGGTGGAAGGTGAAGGGAAAGCAAGGACATCTCCACAGGGCAGCAGGAGCGAGAGAGAGTGAAGAGGGAAGTCCACACACTTTTAAACCATCAAATCTCATGAGAGCTCACTAACTATTATGAGAACACCAAGAGGGAAATCTGCCCCCATGATCCAATCACTTTCTCCCAGGCCCCTCCTCCAATTTGACATGGGATTTGGGCAGGGACACAAATCCAAACCATATCATGTATCTGCTCAAGAAATTGAACATGTTTTCAGAAAACTTTCCTTCAAAAAAAAAAAAAAAAAACCAAAGGTGAATTCTATAAAACATTTAAAGAAGAGATAACACCAATCTTGCAAAAACATTTTGAGAGAATAGAAGATGAGTAAACATGGCTCAACTTGTTTTGTGAGATCAGCATAATCCATGTACCAAAACCTGACCAAAACAGTATGAAAAAAAAAGTACAGATCACTCTTCTTCCTAATATGGATGCAAAATATCTTAAAAATATATTGATAAACTAAATTGTAGAAAATATATAATGGATAATACTTCGTAACTCAATAGGGTTTGTCTACTGACGAATACAAGGTTGTTTGAACATTTGAAAGTCAAAATAATTTGGTTTATTAAAAGGAAAGCAAAGAAAATCACATGACTTCTTTAATAGAAGCATTTATAATAAAATCTCAACAAAAAAGAAATAGAAGTGAACTTCATAGAGAGACCTAAATTCTTAAATCTGATATATTATTTAGTCATAAAAATTTAGTTTAATAATACTAAACAAGAAAGAATTTATAAGACGAATCAAACTCCAGATTCATCCTAATACGACATTGACTTTTATAGTAACTGGGGATATGTTGCCACTTTAGTTAATTTATGAAAAGAATAATACGGTACACTCTTTGTTCTCATATTTTACACTTCTGGAAAGTATTACAAACTGTAAGAGTCTTTCAAAGTCATTTATTTCAACTCACTCTTCTATTTTGCACTAATTGTATAAAATGCCAATTCTGTGGTCATTCAGGGTAATAAATCAAAACATTTTAAGATTACTGATTATATAGAATGTTTATTTGTGTATTGAGTAGTTATGATATTGACACCATCAAGCACAGTGCTAAGTGATATGGAGTTACTTACTTAACCTCCACAACACCTTCGGGAGGTAGATACAGAAATCAGGAAAATGAGGATTAGATAACTCTCAGATGATTTGCTCTGAATCCCACAGTTAGGAAATACAAATTTAAGTATTAAAACTCAAGTGTGTTTAAAACCAAAACCCGAACTTCTAGATAATACATCTGATGACACAAACCATTACCTACTTCTTGTTGAAATTAGTATTTAACTGAGTTAATGTCTACAAATGTCAAAATTCCCATTTTACAAAAAGGGAAACTGAATGCTGCAGTGCTTGTGCCATGTATGTGCCATAAATAATTCATATAAAAAATAAATGTAATATCTAGGGATATTATGAATCATAATAATAAAGTGAACACTTACAGTCACATAAACTCGGTTAAAAACTAGACAAGTAACAACAGCTAAAGCTACACCTGTGTTTCCTCCTGCCTCTGCCCTGGCATCTTTCTCTTGACTTTAAAATAAGGTCACCACTTATGCATATACACATTGCTTATTCTTGTTATTGATTGAACTGTATTAAAATGTTACGGTACTCCCTGTGCTCTGCTGCACCTTTTTTTTTTTTTTTTTTCTGGATACAAAGGTTCGCTCTTGTTGCCCAGGCTGGAGTGCAGTGGCATGATCTCTGCTCCCTGCAACCTCTGACTCCCAGGTTCAAGCTATTCTCCTGCCTCAGCCTCCTGAGTATCTGGGATTATAGTTGCATGCCACCATGCCCGGCTAATTTGTATATTTTTAGTAGAGACAGGGTTTCACCATTTTGGCGAGGCTGGTCCTGAACTTTTGACCTCAGGGGATCCACCGACCTCGGCCTCCCAAACCTCTAGGATTATAGGTGTGAGCCATTGCACCTGGACCTTTTTTTTTATTATTTATTTTTTTGACAGAGTCTTACTCTATCTCCCAGGCTGGAGTACAATGGCTCAATCTTGGCTCACTGTAACCTTCGCCTCCCGGGTTCAAGCAATTCTCCTGCCTCTGCCTCCCAAGAAGCTGTGACTACTGCCGTGCACCACCACGCCTGGCTAAATTTTGTAATTGTTATGTATATGTATAGATACAAACATATACATATATACACCCATATATATATGTATGTATGTATGTATGTGTATGTGTATATATATATATATGTTTAGGAGTCTTGCTCTATCGCCCAGCCTGGAGTGCAGTGGCATGATCTGCAACATCCGCCTCCCAGGTTCAAGCGATTCTGCTGCTTCAGCCTCCCGAGAAGCTGGGATTACAGGATTACAGGTGGGCATCACCATGCCCAGCTAACTTCTGTATTTTATCTTTTATTTATTTATAATTTTTTATTTCTATTTTATTTATTTATTTATTTTTTGAGACAGAGTCTCGCTCTGTCGCCCAAGCTGGAGTGCAGTGGCGCGATCTCATCTCACTGAAACCTCTGTCTCCCAGGTTCAAACAATTCTCCTGCTTCAGCCTCCCGAGAACGTGGGATTACAGGATTGAAGGTAGGCATCACCATGCCCAGCTAATTTTTGTATTTTATCTTTTATTTATTTGTATATTTTTTATTTCTATTTTATTTATTTATTTATTTATTTGAGACAGAGTCTCGTTCTGTCGCCCAGGCTGGAGTGCAGTGGCGCAATCTCGTCTC
The DNA here is from genome assembly GCF_000001405.40 of Homo sapiens. Taxonomy (NCBI): domain Eukaryota; kingdom Metazoa; phylum Chordata; class Mammalia; order Primates; family Hominidae; genus Homo; species Homo sapiens. Next base: position 48,134,968 of record NC_000014.9, on the reverse strand, counting down.
ACTGAAACCTCTGTCTCCCGGGTTCATGTGATTCTCCTGCCTCAGCCTCCCTGGTAGCTGGGATTACAGGCGTGCACCACCACACCCCGCTAATTTTTGTACTAAAAGTAGAGACAGATTTTCACCATTTTGGCCAGGCTGGTCTCGAGTTCCTGACCTCAGATGATCCGCCTGCCTCACCCTCCCAAAGTGCTGGGATTACAGGTGTGAGCCATGGCGCCCGCCTGTTTTTTGTTTGTTTGTTTTGTGTTTGTTTTTGTTTTGAGTCTACTGTGTGGCCCAGGAGTGCAGTGGTGCAATCTCGGCTCATGGCAACCTCTGCCTCCCAGGTTCAAGCGATTCTCCTGCCTCACCCTCAGTAGCTGGGATCACAAGCGTGTGCCAACATGCCTGGCTAATCTTTGTATTTTTAAGAGACCGGGTTTCTCCCGTTGGCCAGGCTGGTTTCAAACTCCTGATCTCAAGTCACCCTCCCACCTCGGCCTCCCAAAGAGCTGGGATTCCAGGCGCAACTTCTTTTTTAAATTAACTGTTTCAGTTTCATCCAAGTTGTTGCATATAGCTCTATTTATTTCACTGTTGTCATTTAAAAATATTTCATTGCTTGAATAAACCACAGTTTATCTGTTTATTTTTCCATCGTTGAATATTTGTGTTGCTTTGGGTTTTTACTATTATGAAAAAATCTGCTTGGAATATATCTCCTGGTTCATATATGCAAGAATGTCTCTGTGTTTCTATATATCTGCAGGCTGAAGATATATGCACAGTTTCACAAGATAAAACCAAATTGTTTTGCACAGTGGTTGAATCAACTTACATTCCCACCAGTGATGTGTAAGAATCCCATTTGATTAATCTTGTCACCACAGTTTGTAATCTTTAGACCTCCTTTCTTCCATCATGAATTTAGTGCATATAAGTGTTTTTCCTTATTTATGCTCTTAATATGAATTATAATCAGACTGACCATATTTTCATAGATTTCTTCTCTATTTTTATTTCTTCTGTGAAATATTCACAGTTTTATCTATTTCTCTCTTGTAATATTTTCTTCATGTTAATATTTGATTTCTTTATATATTTTGAATATTAATATATTAGTTGAAATATTTTCATGTTTTTGGCTTGAGATATTATTTTGTCAACACTTTCTCAGCAGAGAAGTGTTTACAATATATTCCATTTAAATTTTGCATTATTTTCTTCTACAATTACCAGTTTTATGGATTGTTTAAAAAAACTCTCATTACTAGAGATGTAACTTATTTTTATATGTTTTAAACTTTACCATAACCTTAACTTCATTATAAATATAATAATCATATGACTTATAATGTAAACCAGGTTTACAATTTTTGCAACAAACATCTTCTTACAAAAATTTATAATATCAAGAAAGTTGAAAAATTGTGTTATTTAATATCCAATTAAATATCCAATTAAATTTCCAATATATAACATATATCTATCATTTAAATGCCACGATTTTTATTTTAGCCTTGATTTATTACTTACATATCCATTAATTATCTTATTTGTTGAATGTACTTTAAATATGTTGCAGGCAACAGTACAGTTTACCCTGAATAACTTCAGCATAAATACCATTAACTAGAATTTGATATTTGTTTACAGTTATTATTTTTTCCCTTAAAACTGACATACAATGAAATTAGTATATTAAGTGCATCATCTGGTGAGTTTTGGCTTATGCATATGCTTATGTAATAAATTTTTTTTTACAGTATACTTTTCCATTGTGTGAAGATACCACAACGTGTTTATCCATTTGCCTCTTCATGTCTATGTGGGCCAATTCCAGGGTTTGCCTATTTTTTATTTAAACTCTTAAAAACATTCTTATACAAGTATTTTGGTAAACAGGATTTTATTTTGATGGGGCACATATCCCGGTGTAGAATTTCTATCTTTTAGAGCTGCTAAATATTTAGTGTTATATGAAAAGATTAAACATTTTTCCATAGTGGTTGTTCCATTTTATACCCTCGCTACCAATGTGTAAGAGATCTGGTTGCTCCATATGTTTATATTAGGTCTTGAAGTTAGGTAATGTAAGTCTTCTTTTCTTAGGGTTATTCTGGATATTCTAAATCCTTTGAGTTTTCGTACAGATTTTGGCATCAGTTTGCCAATTTTATTAAAAAAAAAAAACCTGTGGTATTACAATTGGCATTGTAATGAATGTACAGATCCAGTTTGGGGTAAATTGCCATCATAATAATATTGAGTTATTTGATCTATAAAATTGTCTATCTCACTACTTACTTGAGTATAAAATTTTTCTCAGTAATATTTTGTTGTTTTTAATATACAGAACTTTATTTTTCAATATTTTCTTTTCTGATGCTATCATACATTGAATAGTTTCAGCTTTGTTTTTTTAATTTTTATTTATGTTCCAGGGTACATGTGCAGGATGTGCCGGTTTGTTACATAGGTAAACATGTGCCATGGTGGTTTGCTGCATCTATCAACCCATCACCTAGATATTAAGCCCAGCAATTAGCTATTTATAATTACTAGTATATAAAATTACTATTGATTTTTGCTTCCATCCATCTTTCAAAAGTCACTTTTTAGTACCCTCGGTTGTTTTGCAGATTCCTTGTGATTTTCCATACAAACAATTATATCCGTGGCAAACATGATTGTTTTTACTTCTCTCTTTCTGAACTTTATGCCTATCATTTATTTTACTACCAATTGCAAGGCTGACTATAGAGGAGTGTGGGCATTTTTCTTTATCACTTAGAGGGAAAGTTTTTGGTCTTCACAATTTAGTGTTGCCTGTAGAGTACTTCATAGAAGGAACTAAGTTCATCCATGTTGTATCAGTAGTTTATTTCTATTTTTATTATCTATTTCTATTTTTTATTTCTATTTTTATTTCTATTTTTATCAGTAGTTTATTTTTATTATAATTTAAGTTCTGGGGTACATGTGCAGAATGTGCATGTTTGTTACATAGGTATACACGTACTATTGTGGTTTGCTGCACCCATCAACCCGTCATCTACATTACGTATTTCTCCTAATGCTATCACATTTACAAGAAAAAAACAAATCAAAAAGTGGGCAAAGGATATGAACAGACACTTCTCAAAAGAAGACATTTATGCAGCCAACAAACATATGAAAAAAAGCTCATCATCACTGCTCATTAGAGAAATGCAAATCAAAACCATAATGAAATACCATCTCACACCAGTTAGAATGGCGATCATTAAAAAGTCAGGAAACAACAGATGCTGTAGAGGATGTGGAGAAGTAGAAATGCTTGTACCCTGTTGGGAGTCTAAATTAGTCCAACCATTGTGGAAGACAGTGTGGCGATTCCTCAAGGATCTAGAACTAGAAATACCATTTGACCCAGCGATACCATTACTGGGTATATACCCAAAAGATTATAAATCATTCTACTATAAAGACACATGCACACGTATGTTTATTGTGGCACTGTTCACAATAGCAAAGACTTGGAACCAACCCAAATGCCCATCAATGATAGACCTGATAAATAAAATGTGGCACACATATACCATGGAATACTATGCATCCATAAAAAAGGATGAGCTCAAGTGCTTTGCAGGGACATGGATGAAGCTAGAAACCCATCATCCTCAGCAAACTAACACAAGAACAGAAAACCGAACACCGCATATTCTCACTCATAAGTGGGAGTTGAACAGTGAGAACACATGGACACAGGGCAGGGGGCATCCACACTGGGGGCCTGTCGGGGGTGGGGGGCTGAGGGAGGGATAGCATTGGGAGTTATTTATATCCTACTGCTCAAGGTCATCGCCAAAGTCTGATTGCAAAAATTCAAAAAATTTCAACCTCAGGCATAAATGGGCTAATATTTCTTCAGTATTTACCTGCAGCATATGTTTCCTGTTCACTTCAGTTAGTTTACCTGTAGCATGCCTTTTCTGTGCATTTCTCAGTTAAATGCGTACTTTCATGCAGTGAGAGATAAACTTGGCTATGGGGCCACCAGTGTTCCATTTGCCATCATTTGACAATACCTATAGAACAGTATGTTGCTTTTCCCTTATTAATTTTCACTCTTATTATCACCTGCCAGGAAAGTGTTGATAAACTGTGTTTCATTCTTATTTATAATAGGAATAATAATTTATAATAATAATGCTTTGTAAACTTTTGCATGAATGGTTTCTTTTTCCTGTTTTACTGTGTCATTGTATCACATGCTACCAAATGACAGTTGGTAGTACATGATTGTATTCGTCAATGTATGTGTATTTCTAGGTGTCTAACAATTTCTTTGGCTATGTCAATCACTTAATTTTGCAGGAGAAAAATATAAGAAATCGCTCATTCTAACCCTGATTTCAATAAGAGCTTTTCATGTACAAAACCTGGGAATAAAACTCTTAAGACATAAATACATAGACATCTCCATTTGCACACACTAGCTGAACTTATTAATAGTATATAAACATTTCTAGATTACAAATTTAGATTTCTGTTTCTTAGTTTTTGTGCTTTGCCTGTAGTGTTCCTCAATATTACAGTAGCTATAGAAAAATTCAGGCGTTTTATGCTTCAGTACTTAATAAGTATTAGAATAGTTTATAAAATGGTCTTTTGAAACTTTGGATCGTCACATTTTAAAAACTACAACCTTGTGTAATGCAGTTAAAGGAATAAAAACTATCCATGAAAGGGAAAGGTTAAGTGAGGAAACCATATCACAAATTATCCATAACTGAGATAGGCTTTACTCATGGTAAGCAGATAATTCTTGTCTTTATCCACACTGCACTATATGCAAAACCTGATTAAGAGTGATAGATGTGTCCCACCATGTTCTGATTTCAGCTGAACTCATATCTTAATGCTTTCTGTTGTATAACAATGGTCATAATGGAGGAGTAAATAACTACCTTTTAAACAATTCCAAAGTATCAATAAAGTTAAAGCAGTCACATTTTTTAATTTGCTAAATGAATTATAGTCAAATGAAAATTTTATATGTATCTATGGTAAACATATAGTTTGCAAATATAGTACATATTGTGGACATAAATACACACAATAAGTCCAAATTAAACTGTGAACCCACTAATAAATCAGTCATGGAGGCTTGTTTTTTACTTATTAGAAACCAAGTATTGAGTTCAGGGTGGGGGACAGCTAAACTGTAGTGTACTTGTTTTCTGCCTTCAAAGGCCAGTGACTGAATTTGAGAGAGTCAAGAGATTGTAGAGAACTGAAAAGGGCTTTATTCAATATTCATGTCTGTAGTACCCTACCCTAGAGAACTATTACTCATCCCTGCTCTGTTTCACTCAGGTATGGGAAAATAACATGTTTTAGCCAATGAAATATGAACAGAAGTAATGTGTGTCACATCTTATCAGAAGTTTTAAGAACCAAAAGGTGGTTTGCTATTATTCTCTTTCACCCTGCTTAGAGAACTGTATATTCTCACACCTCAGGCTATTCTATTATTCTGGACAATTTGTAGCGGGAAAATAGCATGGGAGATAGGCATGCTTTTGGTTTTGAAGGCCTCTGAGATTTTAGGACTCTGTTACCACAGCATAACCAAGACTATCATGACTAATACAGTTAATGTGAAATGCATAAATAAACATGAAAAAATATCTAATATTTATGTTCTTATTACTTTAAAATTTCAGTGGAAACATATGTTTATGCAATGAACTTAAATGACTCGTATAGGCCTATATTTTATTTACACTAAGGTAAATATGATGGATCCCCATTGTTTATCCTAAGTTTATACAAAAGTAAAAACTTAAAATGATTCAAAATGCACTTTTTCAAAAATGTGCTATATGTTTTAAAAGATGTACATAAATATAGGGTTTTTATTCACCCAAAATTATATCATATTCTTCATGTTGATCTGCATTTCCCCATTCATGTGTTTTAAGGGATGTGTACAATTCTCTGCATGAGACTGTTAATTTCTTTAGGTCTCAACATTGGGTTTTTCCATCAAGTAAAAGTCAATTTCTATGTCATGGTAGTATAAATTCATATTTCTTTGGGCAATCGTATACACACACATTTTTGTTAAAATATATATTAAATAGAACAGAGGCAGACTTTCAAGTAAAATTGCACATATTTTGCAATTTCTAAGCATCAGAATGTCATCATATATTTAATAAAATGATAGGGATGGCTTTCTTGTGATCCTTGAGTGACATTTTCTTTTGAAATTTTAACTTGGTTCTTTCTGTAAAATTATGAGTGAGATCTGAAAAGAATATGAGGCATGTGCACTTTCTTACTGCTGTTTAACAGAATGTGTACAAAAGTGTTGAAATAGGAAATAGGTTGTGTTTTAAGAGAAGAATAGAAGACAGAGAAGAAAACAAAAGGCAATTTTTATACTGACTATAAATTATACCATTTACCTAGCAAATATTTCAGTAAAGTCCTTTGGGTTAAAAAAAAAAAATCCACCAGCAATGCAAAGACGATTAGAAATATCTGGATTAAAACAGCTTCGATTCATTTATCTTAGAGAAAGTGAGTGATGAAAGAATGGGCTGGGTTACTGATAGCACTGAGATTAAGTAGCTTGAGTCAAAGTCCAGAAACTGCATTACAAAGTGACTCGGCATTGTGGGCCATGGGAAATAGAGAAAGGCCTTAAAAAATGAACAAGAGCCTTTGCAGGGTCATGGATGAAGCTGGAAACCATCATTCTCAGCAAACTAACACAAGAACAGAAAACCAAATACTGCATGTTCTCACTCATAAGTGGGAGTTGCACAATTAGAACACATGGACACAGGGAGGGGAACATCACACACCGGGGCCTGTCGAGGGGTTGGGAGTTAGGAGAGGGATAGCATTAGGAGAAATACTTAATGTAGCTGACGGGTTGATGTGTGCAGCAAACCACCATGGCACGTGTATTCCTATGTAACAAAACTACATGTTCTGCACATGTACCCCAGAATTTAAAGTAAAATTTTAAAAAAAAAAGAAAGAAAGAAAAAGAAATGGCAGCTGATGGCAGTTTGCATGCCTGCAGAAAGGCCTAGCAGTACGCTGAGTCTGGGAGGTTACTCCAAGGTCTGTCTGTCCTACAACCTTGGGGCGACTGGCTCTTGGCAAAGGGCCTAGCAAAAAAAAAAAAAAAAAAAAAAAAAAAAAGAAGAACAAGAGGTCATGAAAACAAAGATGAGATTCTGAAAGTACATGAAGCAAACACTTTAAAAATAACCTGTGTAAAAGAATGTTACACGTTGCCTACAACTGGATATACAAAAGCCCACAATTAATAAAATGGTGAAACTTATTTATAAGTCCATCTGAGTCTTTCAAGAAAAAAAACCCTCACGTGAAAGAGAGGGAAGCCTTATTAGTTAAGGGACCTATATTCATATATATTTCCTTAATTCCCATTAATTTTGTTTTGAAACAAAATCAGTTGTTCATTTTAGCAGTAAGATGATTACTGCAGAGATAGAAATGTATTTCCTCTCTTATCTGAGCGATGCCATTAATCATTTGTATAAGCTCAAAATTAACATCCATAGGAGAGATAACAAATAAACTGCATTTTTATTTATCTCTCGGCAAATATTGAGATTAGTTTTGTGAAATCTTCTAGAATTACTCTGGATGATAAAAATTCTGGTTTAGAAATAATTTCAAATGGCATGAGTAAACATGTAAATTAGTCAATAATCTACCTATACTAAATAGGTGGTATTTCTTTTTACTGAGATCTAAATTACTAAGTATTTTAAAGTCATGCACAGGTATAAATGAGAAAGAACACTTGAAAAGAAAGAGGAAGCACAAATCATCTCTTCCTGTGGTTTTCAAATCACAAGTTTCTTTTCATTACTTTAGTAACAGATTTATTCAAAACGCTGCCCATCAACAATTCTAAGTGACCGCTTTGGGCTGTGAAATAGTATAGTTTTAAGGATTCTTAAGGAACTCTCTCATTGCAGATACTGTCATTCTAAGGTAGCCAAGATCTCACCCATAGCATCAAAAAGAATTGGTGTTGTCTGATAAATGAATATAGTAAAACTATGGCAGGGCTGAAGACACTGAAGTTGGAGGCACTGAAGGTGGAACATATATAGGAAATTCAAAGCATCTGCTGCCTCTTAGAAACTTTATTGATTTAATACCTCACGAAATCAAATGAGCATGTCAAATGTGAAAGCTTCTAGAGTCAAACTGAGTCATTCTATGGCAATAGATACGTTATATCTAGCTTTATCCTTTCACTGCCAAAGCCTTTATTCTCTTCTATTTATGCTTCTTGAAGTTAGAATTGGTACAGGACTCAGCTCCTCTGAATCTTCTCTGAGACACTCAGTTTCACCCTTCTTGGCTACTAATGTGGCTTTCTTAGGACCATCAGGTTTTCATTATAAATATTCCTGCTCTAAGTTATAAATTCTGAGATGGAAGTGAATTTGAAGACAGATTGAATTCTAAATGAAATCTGTAGAGAAATAAACTTCTAAAAAAAATTTTATTTTGCATACTTAAAACCTGACACAAGCTTCTCAAGTTTTGCCAAATATGCCCTACTTTGTTGTTGTTGTTCTTATTCATTCTTTTTCCCAGAAAGACCTTTTCCAGGATAATTATTATTGGAAGTCCATTTATCCTAAAACATGGTGCTCCTTGTCCTGATTTTACCAATTAGCTGCTCTCTTTTTTATTTTGTACTTTTTTCATAATTCTAAATTTTTCATTTGATTAGGTATTTCAAATTCTGTGACTATCGACTGACTCTAAAATCTTTAATGCAAAGGCTATAGCTTCTTAATTTTCATATTTTTCTTATATAATTTTTTAGTCCTAGAAAACCACATGGCCACTGAGTAGCCACTTAGCCGTCCTACTTAACAGTTTCTCAAAAAAAGAAAATAACTACTTCTCATAGAATAAATGTTTCTGACTAATTTAGAGTACCTTTTCTTTCAGGTAATTAGCTGCTTAATTCTTTGCTAGTCTTGAATCCTTCTTTGACTGCCTTGAAATCTGATCTCTGGTCTTTGTGGCCTGATAAGAACCACCTTCCCAGACGCCAGCCTGACCTTTGCTAAACCCTGAACCAGCTGTCCACACAGCTTGTGTCTGGCCTGCCTTCAGTCAACCTCTGTGCCAGCTGCTTACATGTCAAATAACACGATATATCCTTCCTACCCCAGTCAAACTTCCTGGTTGTGCCAAGAATTCACACCACGAATTTTCAACCGGTTTCCAAAATTTTTGATAAGTTACAATTTCAGACATTAGTCCACTTTTCTTTCTATTGAATTGCCCCAGCTATTTTCACATTTTCAATAGTTCACAATTTCTAATTGTGAACAGAATTTCCAATCATTTATCTTTGTTCCTAAAAAAGCTGCTATAGTGATAGCTTTCTATGATCCAACTAGTCAACTTAAAATGAGGTCAGAGATTGTGTGGTGTTCAATAACTAGCATACTGCATTGAACATTTTATAATTTAATATATTCAGATGATTAATCTGGCTTAAACTTAGGTCCCTGATTCTTCCCACTGAGTTCGCATGGCTTTGAGTATCCAATCACACTGTGCCAAATACATGTAGCAGTTGTTACATTAGCGTTTATTGAGTTAACCAAATAGATTTACATATCTTTTTGTAGAACTATGTACAGTAAGCATTAAGAATTCCTATTTTGCATGTAAACTACTTGGTTTGACCACTTACTAGACACAGGACCATAGGAAATCTATTTAAACCCTCTGTTTTAGTTTGTTACATGTAAACTGGGCATGACAGTAATAAGATATACCACATAGAGTTTTAAATATCACAATGAAGTCATATATATGTAATTTATATTATAATAATAAACAATAACATTTTATGTCTGGATATATATAATATATAGTGTTTATATTACATATTATTATATAAATTATTATATCATATTATTATATATGTGTGTTTACACACACACATATATATACACACACATAGAATTATACATATATAGATGAGAAATGTGGTCAAAATTATAAGACTACTTAGAGTAGATTACTATAATAGAATCTAGACTAGATAAGTGGTTATTGCATGCATAAATACTAATGATAGGTGTGGTGAGAAGCACGTGACCACAGCACGTATTTTGAAGATAAAGCCAGGGAAATTTTCTGAGGCATCAAACATAGGAATGTAATAAGGGGATAAGAATGACATCAAAGTTTTTGTGCTGTTCTTTTGGAAAATAATATTTCTATTCTATTCCGAAGAAGACTGTGACAGTAGAAATAGGAGGAAGAGGGTACTGGGAATAGGGGTATTTGGGCTCAATATTAGGAGTTTGTGTTAATATGTTAAATTTGAGATATATTTTGGCCAATCATCTAGTTACCTAGCCATATGATAACACTTCCAGGAACAGAAAGATTTCCAGTAAACCCTGAAAGATAGCATTGCTGCATTTGAACCTTCTGTGGCTTTATGTTTATGTGTAAGATCCAGAGTGGTAGTCTAAGGAAAATTATGTATGGGATCAAATCTAGAATTCAGTGATATCCAGAAAAATTGGCTTCTTTGTTTCTTCTTTGACTATAATTTTGGTGTTTAGTTATAGTGGGAAATGTACTGCATTATGCAATCTTTACACAATCTTTTTTTTGGTTGTTAATTTAATGTACTTCCAGTTCTTCACGTATTGACCCCAAATTTATATGGGATTTAATTAATTAATTTAATTTAATTTAATTTAATCTCATATAAATGGAATTCCATTTAATTAATATGGAAATTTCATTTAATTTATATGAAATTTATTATTATGATAACTAATGTATAAATTTAATGGTTTTCCATGTTCTGTTTTGCAAGCTTTGTATATTTCACTTGTTTTATATGATTCTTCAGAATAATAACTGATTACTTTGCAGTAACATCTGTCACTTTCTTAGGTAACCAAAGATTAATTTATCGAAATTTTTGATGCATTTAGCTTTACAAAGATTCCCAATTGATTGAGGAAGAGTAGAAATAGACTCTTCATTTTCTATTTTAGGTAATTTTTCTCATGGCTTATTTTTATCTGCAGAATGTGAATTGTATGATGAATAGGAACCTTTTTTCTACAACTGCTTCTCAGTAATGACACAGCCTTTCAGAAAAAAAAAGACAAATAATATCAAATTAGCATTAATATATTACCTTTCAAGATGTTGTTACATAATACTAAATTAAATGATTTGTTATGTGGTACCAAATAAAATATGATACGTTATATTTTGTAATATATATAAATAACATAAAACTTATTAATTATAATAAAATTATTTCCATCGCTGAGCAAAAGAAAATCTGAATCTTGCTCAACATCCTACCATTTTCCAAGATTTCTGATATAGCTTTGTACAGAGGATACCTGAGACGAAAATCCCTTTAGAGCAGTAATAAGAACTTTGGGTACAAAGTCCAGAGAAGGGCTCTGGTGAGATGATTTGGAAAACATGAAGACACCAATAACTCTTAGACTATGGCTTACATTTAAAGCACCCTCTTCAATCACTTTCATTAGGTCCTACTTTAATCTTAATTTTTAATGTCTTATAGATTAAAACGAATTGCCAATTTCTAAGTACAATCATGTGCTGCATAACAATGTTTCAGTCAAGGATGGACAACATTATATGATGGTGACCCCACAAGATTACAATGGAGCTGAAAAATTCCTGTCGCCTAGTAACATCAAAGTTTTCCTTAATGTTGCAAGGCAACACATTACTCGCATGTTTGTAGTGATGCTGGTATAAGCAAACCCACTGTGATGCCAGTAGTATAAAAGTGTAGCATGTACAATTATATATAGTACACAATACATAATATTCATAATAAATGTTTCTGTTTTATGTATTTACTATATTATACTTTCTAACATTATTTTAAAGTACACTTCTATACTTATAAACGTTTTAAATAATAAAGGAGTAAGAAAAAAGAAAAAAGAATTTGAAAAAATGTTAACTGTAAAGCAGCGTCAGGCATGTTTTCAGGAGGTATTAGAGAAGAAGGCATTGTTATACAAGATGACAGCTTCATGTGTGTTGTGTGTTATTGCTGCTAAAGACCTTCCAGTGGGACAAGATGTGGAGGTGAAAAACAGGGATACATATGATCCTCACCCTGAGAAGGTCTAGGCTAAGATTGTATCAATTTAACAAAAAAGTTTAAAAAGTTAAAAAAAAGGAAATACTTTAAAAATAGGAAAAGCTTATAGAATAAGGATATAAAGAAAGAAAATATTTTTGTACAACTGTACAGTGTGTGTTTTAGGCTAAACGTTTTTGTAAGAGTCAAAAAGTTTTAAAAAATGTTAAAAGTTTATGAGGTAAAAAAGTGATAAAAACCATTTAAAAGATTTAATGTAGCCAAAGCATCTAGTGTTTATAAAGTCTACAGTAATTTATAGTAATGTCCTAGCCCTGTGTATTCCCTCACCATTCACTCACTGACTCACCCAGAGCCATATCCAGTCCTGCAGGCTCCATTCACAGTAAGTGCCCTATATAGGTATTTACCATTTTTTATCTTTTATACCATGTTTTTGCTGCACCTTTTCTATGTTTAGATAGGTTTAGATAACCAAATACTTACCATGATGTTACAATTGTCCACAGTATTCAGGACAGTAACGTGCTATACAGATCTGTAGGCTAGGGACAGTAGGCTATACCACATAGCCTAAGGGTGGAGTAGGCTATATCATCTAGGTTTGTGTAAGTACACCCTGTGGTGTTTTCACAATGACAAAACTGCCTATCGTTGCATTTCTCAGAACATATCCCCATCACTAATTGGCACTCAGCTGCAGTTGATCCCTTTTAATCATCCTGTTTCCCTCATAGATTTAACATTTAATTATGATAAAGGAAAAAAAATTGAAATGTTTCCTGAATGAGTTAATTTCCTGTAGCCAATAAACTGCATGTATTAAATTTTAAATTAATTTAAATCAAGTAGAATATGATCTATTTTGCATGTATTAAAAACGTAACTGGACCATGAATTATAAAAACCATAGAAGGGCAAAATTATTTCTTGGAAGCACATTTTTAGCAAAAAGATTATTGTGATGAATTTTAAAAATTGATTCAGTATCTAGAGGAATTGAAATGTGTTACATAGATAGAAATTGTGGAAAGATGTTATCTTTATTTAGGCTTTATAGGACATAAGTCTAAGTGGTAGAGGAAAATATGAGAAAGAGAAAATACTAAAGAAAGTTACAGCTGGAGGAACAAGAGAATATCAATATGAAGTTTATAGTGACCATTTCCATCAAAAGATTTATGTTTGCATTGCCTCTGACTTATGAGCTTACTATCCTAGAAATCAGCAGGCATATGTAGAGTCCTGCAGCCAACCTCAGACACCTCAGCAGGCAAAATGATACAGAGATATTGAATCAAGTCCAGAGAAGGGCAATTTAAATGATTAAAGAGACAGATATGTGCTCTTGAAGAAAGATAAAAAAAGAGTGTGGCCCAGCCATAAGTCAGAAAATAGGAACAAAAATCCTGAATTCTAGAACTAAAAGAACTTTCAACGCGCGTATACAATACCACCATTTGACAAACAAGGAGACAGTTTCAACAAAGTGACCTTCCCAAAGTTAACTAGCCAATGAAGGGTGAAAGTAGATTTCTGAAGATTATGTTAAGATGCCTCATTGGTCATCTCATGCAATAAACTAAGTTAAGATGAATAAAACTAAGGAAGAGGAGGCAGGATATTGTAGAATAAATTATATATATATATGTATGTGTATGTATATGTATATCAAGATGGAATCTCTCTCTGTTGCCCAAGCTAGAGTGCAGTGGTGCAATCTTGGCTCACTGCAACCGCCTCTGCCTCCCGGATACAAGCTATTTTTTCTGCCTCAGCCTCCCCGGTAGCTGGGATTACAGGCACCCATCACAACACCCAGCTAATTTTTGCATTTTTAGCAGAGACGGGGTTTCATCATGTTGGCCAGGCTGGTCTCGAACTTCTGACCTCAAGTGGTGCATCAGCCTCAGTCTCCCAAAGTGCTGGAATTACAGGCGTGAGCCATCCCATTGGGCCAGAAGAAATATTTTCAAAAATGTATTAAGGGATTAAATTTCAGGTGTATATTAGGCCCAACTATCTCAAAACAAAAGCAGTTTTTGATTAAAATGGGGAGTTGGGGAAAAGTCAGTAATAAATAAATGTTAACAATTCACATACTTTTCTATAATTTATTTTTAAAAACAGTGACATAAATAGCTAAATGAATGTAAAGCTCATGTATTTTCAGATGTTATCTGTACCATTTATATATTTATATATGTAAGTATATAGGTTAGTTGAAAAATGTAGGGTGGAGCTTGTGTTATAATTCGTATTAAAACATTTTTATTTTTGATCATTGTATTTATGAATTATCAATTGTGTATGTTTAATACTTTTTAGAAAGAGCCTATATTGAGTGACTTCTGTGCTAGATACTATATTATTATCTCATTGATAATGTATTATAACTCAATTCTCAAATTAACAGATTTCCATCCACATTTACAGATAAAGTAGCTAAAATATTTTAAGAAGACAAGTAACGAAATGTACCTAAGGGTATATATCTAGAAATGTTAAGAAATTTATTTATTTATCTATGATACATATATAACATATTTCTATCTATGTGTGTGTGTGTATGCATGTATATATACATACAGGTATGTATGGGTGTGTGTATGCATATACACACATACTCATCTATACATAAATATGTATACATGTATGTCATTTATATCTATCTACCTATATCCTGATAAGAATTTTCCACCTGCTTCAGATGATAGTTAAAAGCTGGCCGGACAAAATTCACATTGAAAAGCTGATCTATAGATTTAAATTACAATTCCGATGTGTGACAAAAGACCTCATAGACGATACATCACTTTATCCAAGAATGATTCCTGAAAATAAAATTCAGTAATTTTATTTTCCTAAGAATAATTTCTTAAGAAATAAGAAATAATTGAAACAAATTTGAATAAGAAAGAATACTCAAATATCAAATTACAGGGTGATAATCTGCCTCCACATAGGTCCGTTTTGTATTTGAAGGTTATTGAAGGGAAGAATGAAAAAATATCTACCATATTAGAACCTTATACGCAAATTTTACATTTATCAGGAATCATATCTAATCATCAAAATTGCAAGCTTTCAGATAAATCCCCAAGAAACATGTAAAATATGATTACGTAAAATATGATGCGGCTTGTATAAATTATAAATGTTTAACAAACAAAACTTTTACAAGGAGTATTAATTGAAGAGTGTTTAGAATTAAATATCAAATATGTAAAAATTATCGGCTGATTTAAATGAAGCCAATAACATTTATTTTGAGAAATAAAGCTTGGTATTTGGTCTTGATATTTATATTTAAAATGGAAATATGCTAAAATAATCTGCATTCATCTCATGAAATTTTGGAAATATTTTATAAATACACTGCTTAATATATGTATTTTGAGTAGAAACATAGTAATTTTATATGTCAATCTGCAAATTCTGAGGAGAAAAGTAAGTGAAGAATATGTGATATTTTCAAAATTAAAATTGAATATATTATAAGACATAAACTTGATGTATAAATGAATTTATATGCTAAACCTCTCTGGCTACAAGTTTTTCACATATGCTCATAGCTGAACTCATTACTATCTACTGAAAAGCCTAGAGAAAAAAAAGTTGAAACAAATAAAAATGCTGTCTTTCTATTTTTAATGTCACTCTCAAGTTTAAAAGCAGCCATGAGGTTATAACCGCTATCTTCATTTCTGGCCTTTAATTATTCCCTTTTTTTTTTTTTTTTTTGAGACAGAATTTCGCTACTGTTGCCCAGGCTGGAGTGCAATGGCATGATCTCGGCTCACTGCAACCTCAGCCTCCCGGGTTCAAGCGATTTTCCTGTCTCAGCCTCCTGAGTAGCTGGGATCACAGGTGCACACCACCACGTCCAGCTAATTTTGTATTTTTAGTAGAGATGGGGTTTCACCATTTTGGCCAGGCTGGTCTCGAACTCATGACCTCAGGTGATCCACCTGCCTCGGCCTCCCAAATTGCTAGGATTACAGGCCTAAGCCACCGCGCCTGGCTTAATTATTCACTTTTAATTAAGCAAGAAAACTTATTTTAATTAATGAGCTCAAGCTTACAGAAAGAGTGTGAGTTTTTTCTACAACTTCCAATCATTCACCAGCAGATTGATATAGTCTGGTTTTATTTCTGATCTCCATGGCCTAGTTCTACCCAAGACATACACCTGCATCTCTGGAATTCTAGGTCTGATTTCAGGTTATTTTTGTAAATGTTGATGAAAATCAAATGTACTTGAGTTGAAAATAAAACTCATATTTTTCCATTCAAAAAGTATTTATTGAACTCCCTACTCAATGCTATGTACTACATGAGAGACTGGGAATATAAATGTAATATAGATATCAATGATGTATGCAAGATGCTTAAGTTCTGCTGGGGTGGGACACAGATGAGGAGAGGGTTAATCATACCTACTTAAGAAAGGAAACCGGGCTGAGCAGAAAATGAAGTTAATCATCATCCTCATTTTTCTAAATGCACATTATATTAGGCATGCCATTATTTTAAAACAACCATGCCATTATTTTAAAATCTCCATGGTAGAGATTTGTTGTGGTATATTCCAAAATTACCCAAATGACAGCACAGATATGGAAGTAAGCTTTATAGCTTAGAGAGATAGCTGCTGCTTCTCATAGCAAAAGTGAGCACGCAAAAATGTAAAGATAGGATTCATTAGAACATGCAAATATTTGTTTCAGATGAACCACTATAGGAATAAAAAAGACATGAGCACTTACAACCTGTGCCATATTCAAACATTGACATTTTTCCTCATTATATGTTTCCTTTCTTATAATTTCGTATGTCAAAATTTCATAAGTTAATATATTGCAAGATGTGATTATGTCAATGTACTATTTAAAGAATTCAACTTTTTGGCTGGGTGTGGTGGCTCACACCTCCCAGCACTTTGGGAGGCCGAGGCAGGCAGGTAACTTGAGGTCAGGAGTTCGAGACCAGCCTGGCCAACATGGAGAAACCCCATCTCTACTAAAAATACAAAAATTAGCCAGCGTTGTGGCAGGCGCCTGTAATCCCAGCTACTTGGGAGGCTGAGGCACAAGAATCACTTGAACCTGGGAGGTGGAGGTTGCAGTGAACTGAGATCAGGCCACCACACTCCAGTCTGGGTAATAGAGTGAGACTCAGTCCCCCCAAAAAAAAAAAAGGAATTCAACTTTTTTCCTTCTAATTTGTGTGCAACTTTCTAGGTACATTGGGAAGAATGCAGTACAGGGACTGGAGAGACATTTATACTAAGAGTACACCAACAGCTGAGAAAAATTTAAGTAAATGTAGACTGGTTAGAACTAATGTTTTATGGCAGGCTTCCGCTAACTTAGGTGACTTGATGTTCATTTGTAGTTAAGTTCTTCCTTCCTGAAGGTATTTCTGCTGTAGCTCACCAAGGAATCTGTTTCTACTTGACCTATTATTCTTGCCTTTAGACTTATGGAAACATTAAGAAAAATGGTTCCATATCGTCATCAAAAATAACTTGTTATTGGGCGTGTTGGCCTGTGCCTGTGGTCCTAGCTACTAAGGAGGCTTGAGGTGGGAGAATTGCTCGAGCCTGGGAGGTAGAGGTTGCAGTGAGCCGAAATCACACCACTGTCTCCAGCCTGGGTGACAGAGCGAGACCTCATCTCAAAAAATAAGAAAAATAAACTTTTATTGTCAAGTCTGATTATAAAGACAATATATGTTTATTTCAGGAGATTGGAAAATACATACACACACACACAACAGGAAAGCCACCAAAAACTCATAATTTTTAATACTTAAAGATACATATACTTACAACTTAAACAAATATTTTATCATATGTAGGTATATATATCTGTGCATATACACATACGTTAATATTTATGTTTATAACTTTCAACATTAAGAATATTACTAAGAAACTAGTCACTAAATGTGAATGATGACAGAAACTACATATTCTTACTTTCTAATCTCTTTCTAATTCTTGTTTAGTTATTTATTTTTGTTGCATTTCCCTAAATCTAGTTTGCAAATTTCCTCTTTATCTTTGGTTTATAGAACATTGTCCTTGGCATGTTTAAATTTTCTTATGCATAAAGTTGATCTAATTAGAGTTTTCTGACATTTTTTTATGGACAATTCTCAGCCCTTTTGTTTTCCTCAAATATTGCTTCCGTTCATTATCTTTCTCCTTTCCCTATTATATTTCCATCACTCATAGGTTAGATTTTTTTTTAATTATACCACACAGCTCTCTAACACTGTTTGTTTTTATTTTCCTTTTTTGCCATAGTTTGGAAATTTCTAATGTCTTTTCTTTGGGTTTACTAATCCCAGTCTTTGTTAGTTCTACTCTGCTATTAAACCCATCCAATTTGTTTTCAGTTGACGTATTTTGAAGTTTTAAAATAGACAATTCATATATTTAATAGATTGTAACTCTTGACATTTTCAACATTTTTTACATTTACCCCATTTTTCTCTCACTGTCATTAGTATGTTAATTTTTTATTAATTTTAACTTTTGTCTATGATCTACAACATACAGATTATCTTTGTGTGAATTACTATAAACTATTAAATGTGTCAAATTGTTCTGCTTCTTTATATGTTAAGTATTTTTATTTTAATGTTAGATATTGAGTATGAAATGTTTTTGAGTTTCTGGATTACATCGCCTTCTTTACCTACTGTTGCTCTGGCATGTAGTAAATTACCCCTAAATCTCTTGGAACATATCAAGACATATTTTCAGGCTTAATTTGGGTGGATCTAATTTGGTTCTACCTAAGTAGCGTGTGGTCCTTTCTTAAAGGGTTTGGCTCACCTGGAATATTCACTAAAATGTAGAATATTTGTCTGGTAAGAACTCTAATGCTCCCCCTGCACTGTATGGCCTCTATAACTTCTGTTTTACCCTTGGCCATCTAGCAGCTGTTCTTGTAGTACATATACACAGATTAGGGATTTTTAAGGAAGCCATGAAATATTTTCACATTATTTTTGTGCTCCTTCTCTGCAATGGTCCCTTAAATTTCAATTGCTTCTCTACCACCTGGTCCCTTAAATTTCAATTGGTCTGAGAGTCCTGAACTCTAATCTCTGCTTCCACTGCCCAGCAAGGTTGCTATTCTCTGCGTGGGCTTTATTTTCTAGCACTAGTATATTTGAAAAATGCCCTAACTGAGAAATCCAGGGTCAATATGGAGTTTATGCCTAAAAACAGTTGTTTTATATATTTTGTTCATCTTGTAATTATTTAAATGCAGGAAGCTGAAGTTTAATATCGGCAGTACTACCAGAATTTATAAATATTTAAATAAAATCATTTTAAACTCTTTATTTACTTAAGTATACCTTGAACCCTTCAACGTATTATTCTGTGAGGGAAGTCTTAAAAAGTAATACCTTATTAATAAAAAAGGACCAACTTTGGTACCTTCATCTGACTTCTTATATTAGATAAATTACTCCTAACTTTAACTGCAGGTTAGAATCATCTGACTAGATTTTTAAAACTGGATGCCTAGATAACACCCTAGACTAACTAAGAATACATTTATGGGGTCAGATCTAAACATAATTAATTTTCAATACTCTCCAGATAATTGTAATATTTATTCAGTGTTGAGAATTACTCTTACAGATGAAACACACTGATCCATTTAGCAAATTCACAAATAATCTTTGAAATATGGCCTTAAACTGTCTAAGGGCGGGGGAGGAGAAGTGTACATAATGTATACTGACTAAAAATCAAATGCACAAGTCTTTTTATGTGTGTTCCCAGTTGGCAAATACTTTATTTAAGTGCCTCAGTATTGAGGAAGAAACACAGAAGCATAATAAAACAGTTGTCATTTTCTGAACAGACAGGAAAGAGATGCAAAAGAAAGAAGAATGATAAAATAGAGATTAGCAAAGGAGTCAAGGTGAAAATAGGAGATGGATGTATGCAGTGTCAAATACAAATTGGGTTTGGGGTTAACTATGGGTGCAATAGTGGACCCCTAATCTTGTGAGACACACTTCCTAATTGGTAGAGATTTTATAAAATTTAAAGAATAATAACTACTAATTATTTGATATCAAATCTCTCCATATGTCATCTCTCCGTATACACTTTATTAACTCGCTTATTATTTGTAGATGAATTTAAACGATTTGTGAAACAAAAATATAGGCAGCATCCTTAAAAGGAGTATTCCTCTGCAGCAATAACATCATTACATGGCTGGCGTCATTTAAAAACAACAGCTAACCTCTTCCGTGATTACGACCTAAAAGATCTGAAACAAAAGTATAAGGAACTTTTCTTCTACATATAATTCACTGCTGTCGTTGCTAAAATAAATAACCCATAAGAGAATATTTTGATACATAGTCAATGGAAAGTAATCATGTTCAATTTGATTTAATACGTCTTCCAGCTGGCTCCGTAATTCAAATGCAAAATCTCCAACTCAGAAAAGGGTTGCACATTCATTACATACTTTGAAGGACTTTAAGTCCAAAGACCATTTAATGAAAACATGGATCACAGGAATCTATGTGCAGTCATGTGTTCTGCTTTGAGAGACAAAATGTGATGGGAGGCTAAGGCAGGAGGATTGCTTGAGGCCAAGAGTTATGGAACAGCCTGGAAAACATAGGCTCGTCTCTACAAAATTAAAAAAAATAAATAGCTATGCATGATGGCTGCACACCTGTGTTCTAACTACTCAAGAGAATGAGGTTAGAGTATCACTTGAGCCCAGGAGGTCAAGAGTTGCAGTAAGCTATGATCATGCTACTGCACTCCAGCCTGGACAACAGAGGTAGACTCTATCTCCGAAATAAATAAATAAATAAATAAATAAATAAATAAATAAATAAATATGAAGAGTAACGTTGCCATGAACAAACGTGTACACTGAAAATTATAAAGATTTTAGAGCAACGAGAAGCTTCTGGAAAAACTGGAATAATTAGGGGAAAATACCAAGAAAAAAGTTTATTTGAGTAGGACTTTTATTTAAAAGACTTTTTTGCAAGTCATGCTGAAACACGATCTTAAAAACCTACCTAAATATCTTCACTAAGTTTGGTGAGCCAAGATTAAAATCAATTTTCATTCATTTTTCAGGTTAAAACCAGCCGTTTCAACCAGAATCAACACAGTATATATTTATATATGTTAATACATGAATAAAGGACTAACTATATCTTTATACCCTTTTAGGCTGTGAAATAAAAGCCAAAATATGTGCTATTTACTTACCCATCTCCTTAAACTCCATAACCCAATTAAATCTAGCTCTTCTTCATTTGATTCATTCAAAAATATATTCATGTTATATTTTCTGTCATTTGGCCACTGCTCTGGGATAAAAATTAAAAGATAAGAGTTTCTCTTCTCAAAATTCTTACTCTCTGAAATGGGGAACAGAAAAACAACACATACAGTAGCAAAATAGATTCTCTATTTAAAACAGTCATAAATTGCTATTGGCTCAAATAATAGAGAAAAGAAGGTTGAGGATGTGTAGAATTTCTGAAATAAAATGCTGGAGCTGAAAGAGGCATAAAAAATAGGCAAACAGAAAGACTGTTGACTTGTTTGAAGAAAAAAAGAACTGTGCATAATCTAATCAGTGAGATAATACAGACTAGACCATTCAAGGAATTGTAAACTTCATATTAAATTAGGGTTAGGGAGCTCCAAGGAATGATGAAATCTTAACTGGAGAGATAAACAATGCTCAAATCTTAAGGAGCTTGTATACTACACTATACTATACTATGCTATACTACACTACACTACACTATACTACAATATACTATACTATACTATACTATACTATACTATACTATACTATGGAGTTATACTATATTACAGAGTTTCATATGCATCCTATGTATAATTGGAGTCATTGAAGAATTGTAAATGGATGTATTAAAATCATGAAATTAGTGTTTAAACATATTTACACAACCAATCCTCATTTCAGCTCTAAAATGTAAAAAGCTGGGATGTCATTATCTTCATTCTTACAAGGACGACAACAAAATGCTGAACAAGCTGAATATCAGTGATGTTCTTATACGTATCAGAAATGTTTGCAGGATAAATCGTCACCCTAAAAACTGGAAAGACAGAAGATAACAAATTGCAATCGAAATGTGCTTACCTGGAGCAGAAGCGTCTGGATCCACAAACTGAACACTTACATGGTCATTTTGAGACCTAGAGACTGAGCTTGTGCTAGTGTTAACTGTAAGAAACTCCTGGATGTCACAATCTTAGGTGGCTCCAAAACTTACATGGATTTTACTTCAAGGAATTCCACCAGGATTTCACATACACACGCCAAGAAAAACTGTTTTTTTGGCTCTGGAATGGGAGCAAGGAGGGGAAAAAAAGAATTTTGAAATAGGCTAGAGCTGTATCAATGATAAAGACCTGCTCTCAAAGAGAAGTAACTTACCCAGAGCGGAATCTTTCATAGGAGGAGAGGGAAATATCCAGTCCTCAGCCTCATCTGGTGTTCCTGTCTCACATAGCAGGTAGGGAGCTATAAAGCACCTGATAAGTCGCAGCCTGCAGCGCATACCTTCTGAAAGACTAGGGTTTAATCAGATTTTAGAATGCTTCCCCTCCCCAACAAATTACCAATATCAAAAACGAAAGAGAGGTCATCATTACTGATCCCATGAGCATTGAAAGGATATTAAAGGAATACTATGAACAGCTCTATCCCCATAAATTCCAAAACTTTGATGAAATGGAACAATTCCTTGAAATATGTATCTCTATGGAAGTCACACGGATGATGAGTAAGTTTTGTGGCTGACCTAGGAAAAAGAAATATGGGTACTATTGCTTAATCTGCGAAATAAATTAGGGGGACCTGATAAAGCATTTGTCGAAAGATAGGTAGAAATTAACAAGAAAAAATATTGAGGACATTTTGAATTGTAAACTGTAGGGCCACTATATAGAAAAATGTCACATTTCTACCTATTCCAGTGATACCTCTGTTTGATTCTATATATTCCAATATCTATTCCAATGATCTTAAACTTCAATTTTTCTCATCCACTGACTCCCTTGGTCATGTTATTGGCTCCATAATCTCAACTTCAAGCAAACTTTTCTCTGATTACACACTCTTATCCTCCTAGCTCATTTCCTCTGTACCTCGACTTTCACAATTCTTTGATTTCTGAATCTAGAATAACATATTTAGGGAAAAACTTTTAGCAAGATTCATTCCAAAGTTTTAACGCTCACTTTTTTGTCATTCTTACAGTCACCATCTTTCCCCTTAATGTTCATCCAAAATAACTGCTGGCATTCTTAAGGAGTTCCACCTCCACCAAGAGTCATCTGTGTATCAATCATTGTTCTACTAATTCCACATACATGTGGGAACATGCTACAAACTTTTCACAGTGTTACACGTCTTAGCTCGAGGCAAATACACATCCTTCAAGTTCTTGGCTGATTAGTGACTAAGTGGTACATGAAAAACAGATTTATCCCACCTATTCCATGTAAGCAAAAATTAAGAGAAGCTAGTCAACATTCTTAAAATTAATTTTCATTAATGTTATTCTAATTAATAAGAACTAAAGATAAAAGTAAAGACTTTTTCCAGAAAATCATTTTCAGCTCAAAATGGAGTGTTAGCATTTTAAAAAATACTTTCATTAAACTAAAAATACATAATTTGATACTAATTTCCAGTTTATATTCAAACCCATTGCAGGTAATGAATTTCAGAAAAGAAATGTTTTTAAGTAGGAAATCCAATTATATAGTCACATACAAAATATGATTTGAAAAAAAGAACTGAGATGAAGTGGTCTACCAAATTTTAATTCAGAACTAATCATTCTATTTGCTCCACTGTTTCTCTTGCATATCCCTCATCCTCCACCGCACTGTCACCATGAAAGAATTAGAATACAAAGTTTTTCTATACTGTATCTCCTATTTGGTAGTCTCAGATTAACATTCCTGGGTAAACGAAAAATTGTCTATTACAAATTTGATGAGAGCAGATAAAAGGAATTTAAGAAAGATATTGAAAAAATGGCCTGCTCTTAATAAATGCTGTGAGGATTCTTACAAAACAAACAAACTTTTTATTTTGATTATGCTTGCTGTATTTCTCATGATTCCCTCCAGGAGATTCAGTGCATAAATAAATTTGTCCATAAGATTTTTTCCATCCTCCCAATTTTATGCTAAAGGGAAAGGCACATAATTTAATATATTATAGTACAATGGTATTAGACCTGTGCGTTTAAAGCAATGTGTTTCATTATTATTTTATAAAACATGAATCTAACTATTTCTGTGACATTCAACAGGCTAGATTTGGGGTATATGTATTTATTCACACAATAATCTTAATATTAAAAATTTGGGTATAATTAACAATAGAGTTAATGTAAAATTTTATATTAAACATTTAGAAAAATATGTTAGTTTTTCATATTTCTAAATACTAAATTTTTAACACTTTATTTCAAGAATAGATTCTTTGAGGCATACTTTAAAACTTTTTCTGAATATGTATTTATGATATTTATTTCATTTAAATATGATATTTAAGTATGGTTATTATATTTAATTTCAAGCAGCATTACATGTAAATTTGTGAACTTACTGATGCTTTCATCCACCACACTAACTCTTTGGCATTTTAAGATTTAACACATATAATCCAACCCATTCTGAAGAAATGTGACTTTCTCCTACAAAGCAGCCATGCAGTTTATAATTCAAAAACATTTCTAACATTCTGGTGATAGTTAACATCATCAAATAGATGACTTTTGTGCCATCATGGTATTCACAAATGTGGAGACTTTTATTTTGTGGTCTATCCTTCTCAAATGTCAAAATGTACTATTTATTCAAATGCCTGCTGGGTGGTTTGCTGTCACCTCAAAATGAAAAAATGCACTCATCTCATTCCAAATCTGTTATCCTTTATGATCTTGTATATTGTTAATGGCAACATAAATTTCCTAAATTGCATTCTCATTCCTCTCCTTCATGCTGTGTTAAATCCGTCACTAAGTCCTATAGAATCCTGCTACAAAGTGCCATTATTGTTGCCTCTTCCTGAGATTTTTCTGTGAGTTCATTTTCTCCTCCAAGTCTTGTTTTTTATCATTAACTAACAATCTCTTTCTGGATGTCTTGATTGTCCACCCACAGTGGAAGTTACTGCATCCTAAACTATATTCAATACTGACTGTAAGATGAAGGAAGAAGAAACACCTGCCAAACAAACAAACAAACAAACAAAACAAAAAACAGGTGGCCTCCAGAAGCTGGAAAAGGCTAGGACCTGTTGCTCCTTTAGACCTTCCAAAAAAGAACACAGCCCTTCCAAAACCTTGAATTTAGCCCCATGAAACCCCTGTCAGACTTCTGATCTAAAAAATTATAAAATTTAGTCACACATCTACGAAGAACTTAATTCTGCTAACAATCTAAAACAGAAATCCCAAACAGCCTCTGGGAGAAAAAACAAATACTGCCTTGTTGACACCTTGTTTTCACCCTGGTAAGACCCCCATCAAACTTCTGACCCACATGAGTGTGAACTAATACATTTTTGTTGTTTTAAGATTCCAAATTTCTGGCAATTTGTTACAGCAGCAATAGGAAACTATTGCCATGACAAAAGCAGACAAGACACTGCTAATACTTCATCGTGCAAAATTTTTGTGTCTATTTCAGCAGCACAACATTAAGAAGATGCGTGATTTCCCAGGATAATAGATATTGGACATTGTATTGAATTTTTATTGCTGCATAACAGATGATCACAAATTTATGACAAAGTTGCACCCATTTCTTAAGTTATATATCTTTAGCTCATTATTTGGGAAAACGTGTGGTTGGGTTCTTGCTCAGGATTTACAAGGCTGAAAACAAGGTGTTGCCTGAGCTGTGTTATCTTTTAGAGGTTTGTATAAGGAAGAATCTGCTTCCAAGCTCATTCATTTTATTGGGAGAATCCAGTTCCTTGCAGCTGAAGGGCTAAAATTATCATCTTTTTGCTGGATATCTCTATTCTTGGAGTTCACCCACCTTCCTTGCCGCACGGCCCCCACCATTTTGAAATCTAGCAGTGGAGAGGTTTCTCTACATTGAGCCTCTTTCACTGTCTTAATCTCCTCCACTAGGAAGAGCCCATTAATGTCTCAACTGACTAGTTCAGGCCCACAAAGATAATCTTCCTACTTTAAAGTCAGCTAATTTGGGAACTTACTTACATCTGTAAAGCCTTTCACAGCAACACCTCGAGTACTGTTTAGTTGAATAACTGCAGAGGCTATACATATCATGAGGCAGGAATCTTGGTGCCGTCTTATAATTCTGCCTATATCAAATTTCTAGAAAAATATATATCTTTTAAAATTTCTTTGTTCTTCTCATGGGAATTGCCCTTATATTTATGTTTCGGATTTTAGCAATAACACTTAATGTTTGGTCCAAGAGTCCCAAGTATCATCCTTTTAAAAATATGTACAAATTTAATATTTATGATGAAAGTAAATGTGTTTACTATATTGCACTTAAAATTATGAATATATGTTGACAAGTTGTAAATTCTAAATGTCACTTGCATTCAACACGTAAGAAATACCTAGGCTTTGCTTATTCAAATGGCAGATGAATGAGGCAAAAATAGTTTTGTGATAGATATAAATGATAGACACAGATCCACAATTACTGTCTCTAAAATCTCATTCTTCCTGAAGTCAAGTGGTTCTGAACAATGCAATAAACATTTAGGCTGATAACATTTTCTTCCTGGTCTGCCCTCCATACAGATAAAGGTATATAACCACAAGAGCATGCAACCAGGGAGTCAGCGTGTCAGACAATCTTTGGTTCTCTAACAGAGAATGCAGTTAACAGTAATGATGTCAGCATTTTGACCCAGCAGAGGAGACAATTTTCATTCACATGCATTAGTGTGAAGCATAACCTGGCTATCTGGAGGAAGATTTTTCCCATGAAAGCAGTCTTAATATGACTCCACATAATGTGCAGGCTTTGAAAAAATAATTCCTGTGGGCTAAATAGTGTTTTAATCTGTTGACAGAATTTTAATTTTGGCCTTCTGAAGAACCTCTGAAGAAGACCCTGTGGAGAGAGAAAGCAGGTCAAGAGGAAATTAAAAGTAGAGATCTTACTTTTTCACAACTAGGATAAATCTGTTAATTAAGCCAACCCAGAAAAATGTAGGCAGTTTTTAACTTACAAACTGCTGAAAGTTTGCTATCAAATAAATTGATTAGCAGTACCATAATCAAAAGCTCTGGATTAGTAGTTGATTTGTGGAATCAATTAATAGAAGCATTTATCAAATATATTTGCCTCCAGAGATGACAAATTCATTGCTCTGTGTTCCTGGAGATAAGAAACCTTGGACTCGGAGATAGGCAATGATTCCTAGGGATATGGCTTTTATATGAGTTTGTTTTTTCCTGATTTCTTATTTCAGGAAATGTGTTCTTGAATATCTGGACTAATTTTTCCTTTTTGTGTGTATAACATTAATGAATGACGTGTAATTTTTTTACCAGATAGAATATCTTTCACATTAATTTATTATACCATTCTACTAGATTATACTGTTCTATTAGGGTCAGTTTTACTTTATCATAATTAAGACAACATTTTAAAAAATCATTTTAATGTATTATGAAGCAACATAAGCAATACCACATTTCTATTTAATGCCAACCTTAATGCCAACCAAAGGAAGCTAAAACTACCCCGGAATTTTTGGACATAATACAAAAACAGATTCTCATTTTTGTGCACATAAATATCTCACAATATTTCAAAATTGCAATTGCTTTTTAAGTAAAAGTGAAGAGGAGTTTCCAGAAAAATTGACTTTTTAGTTATTGTCAGTTTATTCTGCCTAAATAGTCCAGTCTCATATTCATACATGGTAACGGCTCAAAATGACCAATCAGGAAGTTACATCTTGGAATTGGAACAGATCATCTAAAATCAGGTTCTGCTAATTTTAAGGGAAATTTATTTTAACACAGACCTCTCTATTATACTTCCACATTATATACATTACATGAACTTTCTTAACTTACATAAAAATATTTATTAAAAATTGGATATTGATTTTTATTCCCAGCCAACCTGGAGTGACAGGGACTGACTTTATCTTTCTACCTGAAATGGCTTATAAAACAGACAAACTATTTAAAACAACAGTACAGTTTTTACTGTATGAACATTAGGAAATTAGAAATAGTGATCCCTGAGTGACAGAACACAAACAAGATGAGCCCTTTGATTTCACTAGCTTACTACCTAAAGAAAGATTCCACCTGCAGCAAAGATAGAGGAACCCAGGCAGAGCTATAAGCTGAGGAGCTGGAGCTGAAAGTCCTGAGTAGCCAAAAAGGCTGGAGTTCATACTAAAGAGTACAGAAGAATGAGCTGCACATATAGAGACTCCAGGAATCTGCAGAGCATTTCTCTCCAATCTTCTAGTATATATAAGGATTGGAGGAAACTACCACCAAGGAAAAGAACCACTCAAAATAATCAGAGGGAAAAAACTGCAGAACTCAACATATAGCCAGCTATAGTACCAATTACTGCCACTCAGATTAGAAAGACTCAAAATTCACCAGGCATTGTAATATAGGAGTTAAAAGGAAATTATTTAGGCAGATAGTGAAAGTATAGCAGTCCTTGGTAAGGCTTTCCTTTTCATGAAAAGCAGTCCCCAAATCATTTTATTTTCTAATAGAGAGCAGCCAGTAAAATTGAGCTGCAGACATAGACAAGCAAGCTAGAAGATTGCACTGGTGAATGCCAGCAGTTGTGCCAATAGAAGGCTACCGGGGACTAGGCATGTTCAAGGCGGTAGCTCCTTGTTCCCTTCTCTTTGCCAGCCACGTGTACAGTAAGGAGCAGACAACATGGCACAGGCCAAGTGGAAAGTCCATTTGCATAAGAAGATTAGGGTGCGATGGCCAGCCTTCCCTGTGGCTATGTAACATCACAATTGGTCCAATCAACCTGTGGGTCCTATGTAAATCAGACACCACCTCCTCCAGCCTGTTTATAGAATCCGGTGCACTCCACCTTGGGCTGGAATTTCCATTCGGGCATACCTCTCTCGCAAGAGAGAGAGCTATTCTCCTTTCTCTTTCTTTTGCCTATTAAACCTCCGCTCCTAAAATCACTCCTTGTGTGTGTCCATGTTTTTAATTTTCTTGGCACGAGATGATGAACTTTGGGTATTTACCCAGACAATAATGACGCTTCATTTGGATAGAGTACTCAGAAAGGTAATGCCTTAGTAATCAAAAAATTAGTTCCAGAGTACATGCTGTTCACATCACTTAACAATTCTTAAAAATAAAGCCTGAAAAAATCAAACTGTATCTAAGTAACTTAGCTGTATGCTGGAATAAAGCTTAGGAATATTTATTAAAATAAAAATAGTCTAGCACTTAACAAGTTTCATATTGTCTGTTATTCAATAAAAAATTACCAAAAATACAAAGGTGTAGGACAATCCAACACAAAATAAGGAGAAAAATCAGTCAATTGAAACAGACCTAGAAATGACACAATGATGGAATTAGTAAGCAAGGACATACAAAGAGTTATTACAGATGTATAGTATATGCTTAAGAAGCTAGAGAAAATATTAACTGAATTAATAGAGAAAAAGAAGATATTAAAACAGAACCCAAATCAAACTTCCAATTATAAAAACTACAATATTTGTGAGAGAAAATATATTTTTAGATGTATTGACAGAAGAAAAGATATTGCAGGAAAAATAAGATTGGTGAACCTGAACCCAAATAAATAGACACTATCCAAAATAGAAAGCAGAGAGGAAACAGAATGAGAGAAAACGTGAATAGAGTATCAGTGAGCTGTGCAACAATGCCAGGTTGTCTAATGTACATGGAATTGGAGTCCCTTCAAAGGGAGGATGGAAACAAAAAAGGCGAGATGATGAAAAAACTATGTGAAGAAATTATGGCAGATTTTATTTCCAAGTTTGAATTTTAACAAACAATAAGGCCACAGGTCAAAGTAATTCAAAAAACTCTCAGTACAAGAAACATGAAGGAAACTACAACTATGTTGTATAATAACCAAAATGCTTAAAACCAAAGATGAAGATGGTATCTTAATAGAAGTTCAAGGAAAATGATACATCACTATAGATAACCCATATAAGGATGACAGCAGTTGTCAGGATAAAAATGCCAGATAGATGGTATTGGAGCAACATCATTAAAGAACTGAAATAAGTATGTTGAAACTGCCTTTCCAAAGATTATCACGGTGAGAGAAATCTGATGTGGCTGCCTCCATCTTGCTTCTAGGGTCCCAGGCTGACTGTCTTTGCTCATTCCTGGGCATAGGCCAAGTTAACCATGGGAGGAATTTAGTTTATAATTTAACTTTGAAGCAAGGATGCTAATAGCCCCTCCCTAAAACTGTCCCCGCTTTGTTCAAGGGCTGAAACTGCCTTTGTAAGACTAAGGAAAGGCCACAAGATTAGTTTTATAGCACGGGCCTGAATTCTGCTAAGTAGTTTCCATAATGCCTTACTGCCCCAGGATTCATGTGGCTAGAGGTCACAAGATTTGTGACTTCCCCAATTGCTCTTATAGATAACATCACTACTGTAGAACCTAGGATTGCTCTTCAGAGATGGTTTTCAGACTGATCCCACCCAGACTTGTGGCTCGTGACTCAACCAGTCCTGTGGCCCCCCACCTAGGGGTGGACTCAGCTCACGAGGTTCATTTTCCACACCCCTATGATTGTATCTCCAGCCAATCAGCAGCACCTACTTTCTAGTCTCCTGCCAACCAAACTGTCCTTGAAAAACCCTAACCTTTCAGATTGATTTGAGTGATGACTCCAGTTCTTCCTTGTGGCCAGTCTAGAACTAATTAAATTCTTTCTTTACCATGGTGTAAGTGAACTTGTTTTGTTTGTGAAGTGGGCAGGAGGAACCCATCAAGTGACTCCACTGTCAAAGTAGACTTTTGTACCATCAGAATATACTTTTCAAAATTTAAGGTAAAATAAATATTTTTCACACATGAAAATGCTGAAGAAATTCAACACCAGCAAAATTCAATTATTTTTTTTTAAATGTAAGAGCTTTAGGCAGGAGAAAAATAATATCATGTAAATGACATAAACACTTCAATCAAAGGCAGTGATGATCAGATTCCATGAAGAACCAAAACCCAACTATATCCTGTGTTTATGAATGTTATATTAAGCAGAGAGAAACAAAGAGATTCGTGTTAAATCAGAAGCTGGGAAGAGAATGAGGTACTGAGATGTCACCCTACATGTACAGTTATACTCTAAATAGATAGGTGTATTGATAGACAGGTACGTAGATATATATATTCTAGCAGAAATAGTGTACTGAGTCAGAGACCAGAGCACATAGTTTATTTACTCAAAGCAAAACAGAATGGAAAGTAACATTATCACAATGGTCCCCCATACCTAGCACCCTGCAAGTGGCATGAAGAGAGGCAAATGGATAATCCTATCTCTATGGTAGGAGCAAATTACAGGAAACATAAGTGTGAATCTGAGAGTTAGTGTAGAAGAGAGGCAATTGTTCTCTCTCCACTCCTGATAAAAGAAAAGAAACCTTTGCTTCCAAATACAAGTCCTCCTCTAGAATAGAGAGTATCCTAGGTTATCACCCTTTGCAAATCAAATAAGTATCTCCAAGAGGAAGGCAAGACTATTATCTTCCAAGTTTAACCTCCTTTGAAATATAAATGTATAAGGAGATAGTCCCTACATCCAAGAGAGACAAGGGAAGTTGTCTCTCTGTGAGTGTGTGTGTGTGCACGCGTGCGTGTGTGTGTGTGTGTGTGTCTGTTTTGGGGTGGAAGATGGATATGGTTTGGCTCTGTGTCCCCACCCAAATCTGACGTTGAATTATAATTCCCAATGTTGCGGGAGAGACCTGATGGGAGGTGATGAGATCATGGGGGTAGATTTCCCTCATGCTGTTCTCATAATTGTGAGTGAATTCTCAGGAAATCTGATGGTTTAAAAGTATGTGCCACATACCGTCTTACTTTCTCTGTCTTCTGTTCCACCATGGTAAGATGTGCTTGCTTCCCCTTAGCCTTCCACCGTGATTGTAAGTTTCCTGAAGCCTTCCAGCCATGGTTCCTATACAGTCTATGGAACTGTGAGTCAATTAAACATCCCTTCTTCATAAATTACCCAGTCTCAGGTAATTTTTTTTTCAGAGTCTCACTCTGTCGCCCAGGCTGGAGTGCAACGGCACGATCTTGGCTCACTGCAAACTCCACCTGCCAGGTTCAAGCGATTCTTGTGTCTCAGCCTCCCAAGTAGCTGGGATTACACATGCGCCACCACACCCAGCTAATTTTTGTGTTTTTAGTAGAGATGGAATTTCACCATGTTGTCCAGGCTGGTCTCAAGCTCCTGACCTCAGGTGATGCACCCACCTTGAACTCCCAAAGTGCTGGGATTATAGGCATGCACCAGGCCTCAGGTAGTTCTTTATAGCAGTGTGAGAATGGGCTAACACAGAGATCTTTGTTTATTTGTTTTTTGAGTGTTTAGACACAAATACTTCCATAATAAAGAAAGCAAGGGGCTGCAGGTTCAAAACTCATGCCTTTAAAGAGGAAATGTTTCTAGGAAAATGGAAAAAATACATGCAATGTCTTTAGAGCATATCAATTTCCATGGCTCAGTTGGCCAGAACTTTCCACGAATGCAGAAATGCAGGGAATATTTGACTTTCCACATCAAAAAAAATGGAAAAAGATAAACAATGCTAACATCATTTCAATGTTAGAAAAAGTAACTTGTCCAGGCATAGTGGCTCATGCCTGAAATCCCAGTACTTTGGGAGGCCGAGGCGGGTGGATCACCTGAGATCAGGAGTTCGAGACTAGCCTGGCCAACATGGTAAAACTCTGTCTCTACCTAAAATAGAAAAATAAGCCAGGCATAATGGTGCACACCTATAGTCTCAGCTACACAGGAAGCTGAGGCAGGAGAATCGCTTGAACCTTGGAAGCGGAGGTTGCAATGAGCCGAGATAACACCACTGCACTCCAGCCTGGTCAACAGAGTGAGATTCCTCACAAGGTCAGGAGTTCGAGACCAGGCTGACCAACATGGTGAAACCCCATCTCTACTAAAAATACAAAAATTAGCCAGGTGTGATGCCACACACCTTGTAATCCCAGCTACTCAGGAGGCTGAGGCAAGAGAATCTCTTGAATCCGGAAGGCGGAGGTTGGAGCGAGCCAAGATTGTGCCATTGCACTCCAGCCTGGGCGACACAGCAACACTGTCTCAAGAAAAAAAATAAATAATAATTTTAGAACAAAAAATATTATCAAGAATGTAGAGAATCTTTTCATAATGATAAATAGATTATTTATTTTAGTGGCTACAATAACCTTAAATATTTAAACATATAAGAAAAATTCTACCAAATACAAAAAGCAAAAACTGAAAGAAGTGCAGGGAGAAATAAATAGAGCTACAATTACAGTCAGAGATTTGTAATGCCCTCTGTCAATAATTCATAAGGAAATAACTCAGAAAATTAGTACGAATATAGAATGCTTGTATCCTGAGACTTTGCTGAAGTTGCTTATCAGCTTACAGAGATTTTGGGCTGAGATGATGGGGTTTTCTAAATATACAATCATCTAATCCACAAACAGAGACAATTTGACTTCCTCTCTTCCTATTTGAATACCCTTTATTTCTTTCTCTTGCCTGATTGCCCTGGCCAGAACTTCCAATACTACGTTTAATAGGAGTGGTTAGAGAGGGCATCCATGTTTTGTGCCAGTTTTCAAAGGGAATGCTTCCAGCTTTGGTTCATTCAGTATGATATTGGCTGTGAGTTTGTCATAAATAGCTCTTATTATTTTGAGATATGTTCCGTCCGTACCTAGTTTATTAAGAGTTTTTATCAGGAAGGGGTGTTGAATTTTATTGAAGGCCTTTTCTGCATCTATTGAGATAATCATGTGGTTTTTGTCATTGGTTCTGTTTATGTGATGGATTATGTTTATTGATTTGCATATGTTGAACCAGCCTTGCATCCCAGGGATGAAGCCGACTTGATCGTGGTGGATAAGTTTTTTCATGTGCTGCTGGATTCGGTTTGCCAGTATTTTATTGATGATTTTTGCATTGATGTTCATCAGGGATATTGGCCTGAAATTTTCTTTTTTGTCGTTGTTGTGTCACTTCCAGGTTTTAGTATCAGGATGATGCTGGCCTCATAAAATGAGTTAGGGAGGAGTCCCTCTTTTTCTATCGATTGAAATAGTTTCAGAAGGAATGGTACCAGCTCCTTTTTGTACCTCTGGTAGAATTCGGCTGTGAATCCGGCTAGTCCTGGGCTTTTTTTGGTTGGTAGGCTACTAATTCCTGCCTCGATTTCAGATCTTTTTATTGGTCTATTCAGGGATTTGACTTCTTTCTGGTTTAGTCTTGGAGAGTGTATGTGTCCAGGAATTTATACATTTCTGCTAGATTTTCTAGTTTATTTGCATAGAGGTGTTTAGAGTATTCTTTGATGGTAGTTTGTATTTTTGTGGGATCAGTGGAGATACCCCCTTTATCATTTTTTATTGTGTCTAATTGATTCTTCTCTCTTTTATTCTTTATTATTCTGGCCAGCTGTCTTTCTATTTTGTTGATATTTCCAAAGACCAGCTAAAAATCGTAAGCATTCCTATACACCAATAATAGACAGAGAGCCAAATCATGAGTGAATTCCCATTCACAATTGCTACAAAAGAATAAAATATGTAGGAATACAACTTACAAGGGATGTGAAGGACCTCTTCAAGGAAAATTACAAACCACTGCTCAAGGAAATAAGAGAGGACACAAACAAATGGAAAAACATTCCATGCTCATGGGTAGGAAGAATCAATGTTGTGAAAATGGCCATACTGCTCAAAGTAATTTACAGATTCAGCGCTATCCCCATCAAGCTACAATTGACTTTTTCACAGAATTAGAAAAAACTACTTTAAATTTCATATGGAACCAAAATGGCCTGTATAGCCAAGACAATCTTAAGCAAAAAGAACAAAGCTGGAGGCATCACGCTACCTAACTTCAAGCTACCCTGTAAGGCTACAGTAATGAAAACAGGATGTTACTGGTACCAAAACAGATATATAGACCAATAGAACAGAACAGAGGCCTCAGAAATAATGCCACACATCTGCAAACCATCTGATCTTTGATAAACCTGACAAACACAAGCAACGGGGAAAGGATTCCCTATTTTATAAATGGCGTTGGGAAAACTGGCTAGCCATATGCAGAAAACTGAAACTGGACCCCTTCCTTACACCTTATACAAAAATTAACTCAAGATGGATTAAAAACTTAAAAGTAAGACCTAAACCCTAAAAACCCTAGAAGAAAACAGGCAATACCATTCAGGACATAGGCATGGGCAAAGACTTCATGACTAAAACACCAAAAGCAATGGGAACAAAAGCCAAAATTGATAAGTGGGATCTAATTAAACTAAAGAGCTCCTGCACAGCAAAAGAAACTATCATCAGAGTTAACAGGCAACCTACAGAATGGGAGAAAATTTTTGCAATCTTTCCATCTTACAAAGGGCTAATATCCAGAATATACAAAAAACTTCAACAAATTTACGAGAAAAAAAAAACAAAGAACCCATCAAAAAGTGGGCGAAGGATATGAACAGATACTTCTCAAAAGAAGCATTTTTACAGCCAACAGACACATGAAAATATGTTCATCATCACTGGTCATCAGAGAAATGCAAATCAAAACCACAATGAGATACCATCTCATGCCAGTTAGAATGGCAATCAGTAAAAAGTCAGGAAACAACAGATGCTGGAGAGGATGTGGAGAAATAGGAACACTTTTACACTGTTGGTGGAGTGTAAATTAGTTCAACCATTGTGGAAGACAGTGCGGCGATTCCTCAAGGATCTAGAACTAAAAATACCATTTGACCCAGCAATCCCATTACTGGGTATATACCCAAAGGATTATAAATCATGCTACTATAAAGACACATGCACACATATGTTTATTGCATCACTATTCACAATAGCAAAGACTTGGAACCAACTCAAATGCCCATCAGTGATAGGCTGGATAAAGAAAATGTGGCACATATACACCATGGAATACTGTGCAGCCATAAAAAAGGATGAGTTCATTTTCTTTGCAGGGACATGGATGAAGGTGGAAACCATCATTCTCAGCAAACTAATGCAAGAACAGAAAACCAAACACCGCATGTTCTCACTCATAAGTGAGAGCTGAACAATGATATCATATGGACACAGGGAGGGGAACAATACACACTGGGGCCTGTCAGGGCATGGGGGGCTAGGGGAGGAAGAAATACCTAATGTAGATGACAGGCTGATGGGTGCAGCAAACCACCATGGCACGTGTGTACCTATGTAACAAATCTGCACATTCTCCACATGTACCCCAGAACTTAAAGTATAATTTTTAAAAAATCAAAAACAAACAAAAAAGAACTATAAAATAAAATAAAAAAGAATATAGAATACTTGAGCACCATCTTTAATAAACCTGACCTAACCAGGCTTTATATGCACGCTCCACAACAGCAGTGTACACATAGCTTTAAAGTTCACATAGAACTTATCAATAGTGATCATATTTTAGATCATTAGGAAAGACTCAATAAATTTCAGAGGACTCAAATTATACAAAGTAATTATCTAAACAAAATGGACTAAATATAAAAACCAGTAACTGGAAGTTCTCTAGAAATACTCAAATATTTGGAAACAATACTTTTCTAAGTTGTCACGGTCCAAAAAAGAAGTTGAAATTAATATTAAAAAGTAATTTTACTGAATGAAAATGAAAACAAATGAAAATAAAAAAGATCACAAGATGCAGTTGCAACAGTCTCAAAAGGGAAATTCATAGCACTAATTGACTACATTAGAAAAGAAGCAATATCTAAACTTAGTGACCTTAAATTCCACATGAAGTAACTGAAAAAAAGAAAAGCATATTTTAAAAAAGGTAAGCAAAATAGAAAATTTAAAAGATTCAAATGCAAATTGATGAAATATAAATTAAAAAAATATGAAAAAATTATTTGCAAAGTTTAGTACCTTGATAAATCTCTAGTCAGACTATAAGAAGATATAAATTATAAATAAAGATTGAGCATGTCTAATGTAAAAATATTAAATCTGAATTGCTCCAAAATATAAAACTTTTTGAGCATCGATTCAAAACCACAGGTGGAAAATTTCACATCTTATGGGATGTGTCGTAGTCAAAACACACATTTCATTGATAATCCCCAAAGGACAAAAGACCCTCCCAATCCCCTGTAGCTGTGATGTATCTTTTCTGTACATGCCCAGATTCCCCCATGCAAGCACTTCCACAAAGGGAACAGAATGTACACAATGGCACATATGCAGGCCAAACACGCTGACAACAGGTTTCTCACCATTCCTCATGTGGGGCCAAGACCCTTGTGCATTACTCACTGTGTTCTTTCTTTTATCCTCTCCTCTGTGGTGTAGAGACACTGTTGAAATGTCAACATGGTCTGCAAATACCCCTATGAGTAATAATGGTAAGAAAAGAGGAAGGATGCTTATCTATAGCACAGAAAAATTAAGCCATTAAAGAAATTGCACAGTGTTAAGTGTGAAATGCCTCACAGAAGAGTATGGTGTTGAAATGACTATTATATACAACTTGAAGAAACGGATAAACTATTGAAGTTCCATGATGAAAGAGGTAAACAGAAGTTAATAGAAAAATATGGAAGCACTACATAAAGGTAAAAACAAAGGTATCAATCAGGTATTGAAAAAATAAATCCATCAGTGTCATAGCAAACGCCTGACATTTAATGGCGTGCTGATCATGAAACAAGCAAAGATCTATCACAGTGAACTGAAAATTGAAGGGAAGTATAAATATTCAGCAGGCTGGTTGCAGAAATGTAAGAAAAGACAAGGCATTAGATTTCTAAAGAGTTGTGATGATAAAGCATCTGCTGTTTGTGGTGATCACAAAGCAGCAGATAAATTCATTGATGATGAAAATCTGACATTAGAACAAGCTTATAATGCCGATGAAACATCACTATTTGGGCATTATTGCCTTGGCCAGACACTGACTGCAGCTGATGAGACAGCCTTTACAGGAATTAAGCATGTCAAGGACAGAATAACTGTGCTAGTAAGTAATAAATGTGCTAATGCAACAGGCAAACATAAGTGTAAACTTGCAACGATAGGTAAAACTTGCATCCTCATTGTTTTCAAGGAGGGAATTTCTTACCAGTGCATTATTATGCTAACAAAAAGGCATGGATCACCAGGGACATCTTTTCTGTTTGGTTTCACATTTTGTACAGACAGCTCATGCTCCCTGCAGGAAAGTTGAACTGGACGATGAATGCAAGATTTTGTTATTCCTTAACAACCGTTCTGCTCATTATCCAGCTGAAATTCTCATCAAAAATCATATTTATGCCACACACTTTTCCCCGAATGAAACTTAATTAATTCAGCCATGTGACCAAGGCATTATTACATCAATGTAAAGTACATATAAAAACATTTTCTTAAACATTATACTAGCAGCAATGAACAGAGGTGTGGGTGTGGAAGGTTTTCAAAAGGAGTTTAGTGTGAAGAATGCCAAATATGCTGTTGTCAATGCTTGAAACGCAATGACTAAAGACACAGCTGTGCATGGCTAGCACAACCTCTGGCCTGTGACTATGTTTAGTGATGATGATGAACAAGATAGTGACTTTAAAGAATTTTGTATGTCAAGTGAGAAGAAAAAATGGCATCCGACATCTTTACATATGTGAAAATATACCTTCACAGCTTGTCAGTAAGCTGTAAGAAGTGGATGCTGAAGAAGTTTTTAAAATTAATAACAAGTGTCCATTTGCTCATTCATTGACTGATGGTGAAATTGCCAAAAT
Source organism: Homo sapiens (assembly GCF_000001405.40). Lineage (NCBI taxonomy): Eukaryota > Metazoa > Chordata > Mammalia > Primates > Hominidae > Homo > Homo sapiens. The sequence goes on along the minus strand of NC_000014.9, from coordinate 48,095,680 downwards.
GCTTCTGAATCAAGGTGATAATGATAACAGAGATGATGAAGACAATGGTGTTATCACTGCAGAAAAAGCGCCTAGAGATAACGATATATTTTGTATATTTGTCCCCACCCAAATCTCATGTTGAATGTAATCCCCAATGCTGGAGGTGGGTTCAGGCAGGAAGTGTTTGGATCATGGGGCAGATCACTCATGGCTTGGTGCTGTCTTCATGATAATGAGTTCTCACGAGATCTGGTGATTTCAATGTGTGTGGCACCTCCCCTCCCACTGTCTCTCTTTTGCTCCTGCTTCAGCCGTGTGAGACACTGGCTTTCCTCTTCATCTTCTGCCATTGAAAGTTCCCTGAGACTTCATCAGAAATCAGGCAGATGGCAGCACCATACTTCCTGCAAAGCCTGCAGAACCATGAGCCAATTAAGCCTCTTTTCATTTTAAATTACCTAGTCCCAGGTATACCTTGATAACAATGCAAAAAAGGACTAATGCAGATAACATGATGAAAATGTGTGATGGGCTTATTGAAGACAAGTACAAGAAATTATGCCAGGTTATAAAATCAAAGAGGGACTTCTAAGACAAAACCTATTGTTAATTAGTCAGATAACTCTGGGGAAAATATTTTAAAAATCACCCAGAAGAATGCCTCCTAAACGAACCACCTCCTGGTCCCTCAACTGCTTCTGATGTTTCTTCTCAAAAAAAAAAAAAGGCATTCTACCATAACCTTTTAATTAAAACACAGAATTGTAACTAGAGACTGAAAGCCTGCCATTGTTTGTTATTGCTTTATTGCTGTTGTTTGACAGCTGACACAAGGATTCTGGAGATGAAGCTGTGCTGCTTAGTTACCCTGCACCTATTATTTTTTCACTGTATTAGTGGTATGACATATTTTTTTACCATTCAGTACTTACGTATGAATTATTATAAGAAAATGATTGCTTATTAGTAACATATAAATTCAGTGTCAGGAACGATGGTGATGTCACACAACCACAGATTGTCCTTATGGGTGGCTGAGATAATGAAACGTTTAGTTTCTGATGGTTTAATGCAAACAAACTTTGTTTCATATATAAAATTATTTAAAATGTTGTATAAAGTTATATTCAGGCAATGTGTAATAAGGCATACATGAAACATAAATGAATTTCATTTTTAGAGTTGGGTTTTATTCTTAAGATAACTCCGATTGTCTATACAAATATTCCAAAATCAAAAAATAAATGTAAAGCCCAAAAATCTCTGGTCCCAAACATTTCAGATAAGAGGAACTCAACTTGTATTAGGGAAGACATATTAGGCACCACAACAGATTCTACAGAGATTAAAAATAACAATAATGGTATAAACAACTTTATGTTAATACATTTAAAACCTGAGATGAAGTAGACAAATTCCTTCAAAGAGAAAAATCAGGAAAACTCACTTCAGAGAAATCAATAACTTGAATATCCCTAAATTTATGGCAGATTGAATTTGTACTTTAAAATCCTCCCAAAAAGAAAAATCATGGTTCAGATGGCTTGACTGGGGAATTTCCTCCAGTTGCTAAGGGAAAATTACCCATGCTCCTAGCTAAAAACAAAACTTTTGTTGGTGCACTAGATTCCATCTTTTTAATGTACCGAGGAAATCTTTCCATCGACTCTTTCTTTGACTTGCATCATAAGTTCTCCCATTCTACTGGATAGTTCTTAAAAGGAAGCAGACATACTGTTGTTTATCCCTACTTTTAAGAACAAAAAAATTTCTTTACACGTATTTCTCCTATCTCTTTCTCCTGCCCCATTGCTTTCCTTCTATTCACATAACGTCTTCTTGGAAATATTGTCCATACTGCCGCTGCATAACAAAACTTTAAGAGATGATGGAAATCCAGGGATTAATATCATTTCATTTCAACAGATTTAAAATAGAAAAAAATTGATAATGTCAAATGTTGTTGACAATGTAGCATAATCTGAATATTTTTAACATGTGACTTTTTACAATGCTTTGGAGAAAGAGAAAATCAACACTTAACAGATGTTTTTGTGCTATCTTCTCTGGCCCCACCATTTTGTTGCAAGTAAGCTTGGCTTCCAGTTGCCAGCATCTGCATATTTTTGCATGAGAGTTTTATCTACATATACCCACTCCAGGAATGCACAGCACAGCACACAGGCAGGGCAGGCCAGCAGTGCTAGAGAATTAATGGCCCTCGGAGCAGCGTTCAACCAGTAACAGGAAAGTTGGTATATAAATGCTCCAGCTCCCCCACACTTAGGGCTGGATATTTCTGAAGCCCAGTCACATGCTACACTGGTTATGACAGGTTCTCAGTAGCATTAAGTACCAGTTATCCACAATGGTAACTTCCTTGAAAATTCACCCATTACTAGCTGAATAATGACTGAATTTGTTTCCTTTTGTATATCTTTTTTCTGGGATCACCTTCCAGATAAACTACTCATACTTGGTTCCTTGTTTCATGGCCTGCTTCTCAAGAACCCAAACTATTATAGGCATTTTCAAACTAAATTTGAAGATGCAAATATCAATAAAACAGCAATTCCAATCCTAGGTATTTACCTTAGAGGATCAACTTCTTATGTGCACTGGGAGACACCTCCAAAAATTTCACAATATTCCATTTTGTGTTAGCAAATAAATGGAAAAATGACAAAGGATAAATAAATTATTGTCTTCATAACACTACCCAGCTAGAAAAATTAAAGAATTATAGTTACAAGTACCATAAAGCAAAAATCTAAAAGAATGCTCAGTCAAAAAAAAAATGCAGAATGAATGCATTGTGATTCTCTTTTTATAAAGTTAGAAATGCAAAAAATGAAAAAAAGTGTTTAGGGCTACTAGCATATGTGACATGTAATAATACTAACATATGTGATAATGCTACCAAGAAAAGCAAAAAATAAAAAGTGTAAAATTTAGGATAATGGTTACCTCTGAAGAAGAAAGGAAGTAGATTGGAATGGGGCATAAAGGATCTTCAAAAATGATAATAGTTTCTTAATTTAAATTAAGTGGTAAGTACACTGCTGATCATTGTAACATTATTTTTTCTAAATTATGTAAATTTTATAAATAACACTTTGTGTCTACTGAATATTGAAATTAGAAACTTTAAAAATTGAAACGTTTGATCAGAAAGGTAGTTTCTCTGCAAAATCAGTTATATATCTGCTTGAAAGTAAATATGTATTTGGTTCTATGTTATGTAACATCAAGGAGAAATTCAGTTTTCTATTAAAACTAGCAAATGTTTGGATTTTAGCTTACATCCCAGAAAGATTGGAAATTTGTTTTCTGACTAATCAGCCAAGGGTAAGTAATCGTTTCTGGGTTTTGGCTACCATCTGAAATTATATCTTCAACAATACACTGGATATAGATTTGTATTTTCTCATCTGGGAAATACTCTCCATATTAAATTTTGACTACATAGTATACAAAATACAAACATACTGAAAGACTACAGAATACATTCAGCATGCAAGGAAGGTTATAAAAGCAATGCTGGTTAAGATGGACTTCATGGATGGAAAAAAAAAAAAAAAGACCAAAGTTTCATGTATCCAAGGGTGCAAGTGATTTATTTATCTATTTATTGAGACAGAGTTTCACTCTGTGCCCAGGCTGGAGGGCAATGGCGTAATCTCCTCTCACTACAGCTTCAACCTCCTCCAGCTCAGATGATCCTCCCACCTCATCCTCCAGAGTAGGTGGGCCCAAAGGCAAATGCTACCACATCCAGTTATTTTTTTTTTCTAGAGACAGGGTTTGGCCGTTTTTTCTGGCCTGGTTTCAAACTCCTGGCCTCAAGCGATCCTAAAATGCTGGGACTACAGGTGTGAGCCATCGCACCCTGCCTAGCCAAGTGATTTAAAGGTTGAATATAACATTTTCTTCATTTAAAGTCTTCTCTTTTTGCCAAGCCACCCTAAACGTTTCTGATTGTCTGTGATTTGTCTTTGCGTGAACATTTCAGTAACTGCAAAAACACATAGCATGCTAGAGTCTCATGGAGCACCTAGTGATTCAGCCCTCTCTGTTTATTTCCCTACCTCTGTGAAAACACAGTATTGTTTCTATTTCTTGAATTGCCCTTTCTACATTTAGAGCTATTTTTCTGATTATCGAGTCATTTTCATCTGTAAAATAATACAAAAAGCCATGCATTTACCACTAAACTTATGATTGAATAGAGACAAATAAGATAATAGGTGCTAAAATGCTTTGTAACCAGCGAAAGCCTCTACATACAAGCAAAGCATTTGGCGGGGGGTTATTTTATTGATTCTTGTTTAGGGTGATGCAAAAGGACATTTGTATTCCTCCTACTTGATTGTCTAAATAGATAAATAATTTAAAACTCAGAAATCTCACCCTTGCAAAATAAAAAGCAGCTAAGTATTTTTTAATATTAAATAACATGTTGTTAAACTCAGCACCTCAGAAACTGAGCGATAGTGAATATTTGTTGTTGGATACTGCTGTTGTTAATTGGTTATACAGTTTTCTTTTCACCCCACTTCCTTACATCACACCTCCTTTCTCTTTTCCATTTCATTTTGTGGGAGTAGGGTGGCTCCATATTTGAAGCATCTTGCCCATCTGAAGTCCAGGGGTGAGCACGTGACATAAAGTGGTGAAACAGATGCTCTCTTTCCTAGGATTCTTTTTATTGATCCAAGTAATGCATGAATTGGAAAGATTGGTTGGAAAGTTACCACCTGCCTAAAAGTTTCAAGCCTGACACTGGGTTTCTAATCATCACATCTTCCCCAGTTGATCCCACAGCCTTCTTGGCAATACTCTGAAATATCACCCCAATAACTTAGGTTTAAAAAGAGCATTTTATATGTTTAATTCCATAGCAATGACAATAAATTGGAGCAATAAAACAGAGAGTGTCCAAAAATGATTGAAACAGACCAACAGATGTTTGGAGATAGAGAAAAGCAACTAAATCATTTGGCTGACTATTGTCTTTGAATGCTGGTTATTGTTTTTGGATTATTATTGTCTTTGAATGTCTTCACTTTTGTTCTTTCGGTTAAAAGGTCACTGAGTAATGTAAAATGTTCAAATCTGGCTTTCAATGGATACCATACATACACAATTTTCAAGTTTTTTCAAACATAAAGTTTTTCTCTGGAGAAATTTTCTAAAATTTGTCTTTTCATCCAGGATACTTAAGAAACATTAAAGTGCACAGTGGCATAACTAATAAGCCACTCATTACTCATACAAGTCTATTGCTTGGGCAATCAGGGTACCAGGTATTATAAAATTGCTTTGTTGGGGATTTATCTTACTAGGGATGAAAGTTTATGCAGCATTTCTAAAATTATTTATAAAAAATAAATTTACGTGTCACTTTGTGTCTGCCAACATATTTTTCTAGCTCTTACAACCAAAGTACAGTCATAATGACCCAGAAATGCCCAGAAAATGTTCATTAAAATTGATTTTCCTGTCCAGCCATTGCCAGTGAAAATGTATGAAACACATATATTTCATTTAGAGGGCCAGTTTTCTTCTCCTGTAATGGAACATCCTTAATAAAGTGGTTTTTAATAAGAGGATGTTTTTAAAATGGGACAAAGCATAGGAGCTCTGATTTTTAACATAAAGTTAAGGACAAACTTTTGCACAGACAAACGGCAATTTTTTGAGTTTCTGGTTTTGAGTTCTAATATTTCAAGAGATGTGGAACATATTTCTACATCCAATAATTGCCTTATTTTCTGGTTTTAAAAATTGTGATGAGCAAAGTTAGAAATTAACTGATAGCTGGACGGCAAACTGTGGTAGTAGAAGACAAGAAGGAAAATAAATGATACACTTGTCATTACCTGGGAGCTTAAATTTTACAGATAAGGAAGAACAAGAGGAGTAAAAACAAAGGAGATTAACTATTAACGCTTGTAAACTAATTGGCATAATAATTGTATACATGTGTAGTCAGAAAGAAGTGGGCTTTGTAATTTTTTTTTTTTGAGTCGGAGTCTCGCTCTGTCGCCCAGGCTGGAGTGCAGTGGCACGATCTCTGCTCACTGCAACCTCTGCCCTCCAGGTTCAAGCAATTCTCTTGCCTCAGCCTCCAGAGTAGCTGGGACTACAGGCGCGCACCACCACGCCCGACTAATTTTTGTATTTTTAGTAGAGACGGGGTTTCACTGTGTTAGCCAGGATTGTCTCGATCGCCTGACCTCGTGATCCATCCGCCTCCACGTTCCAAACCGCTGGGATTACAGGCGTGAGCTGCGGCGCCAGGCCATAATTCTCATTTTATTTGTGAAAATCTCAATCAAGAAGATAAGGATGTCATAAAACCTCTAGTTGCAACATCAACTCAGCAATTGTATATATTCAGTGTGTAAATCTTAGAGGTTATTTTAACTAGAAAGTGTTAACCTTCTTCTGATTGTCACTGCTGTTTACCTACCACAACCGAAACATAGACATTACGTGGTAAGTGTGCTGCAAAGTATTTTGCTCTATGTTCACACCTATGCATATGCATTGGTCCTGTTTCTGAATTAAACTATTTCTGTTTCGTGTAAGTTGGTTTTCAGACAAGAAGGACCTGCCTGCTCAAAGTGGACTATAGGTGAGGGCTATAATGGAGGAAAGCTGTGAGGGCACCAAAGAATAAGAGGTGTCCATTTAACAAAAGAATTTGACTTACCTGATAATAGTTTTCAGGTGAACGAACTGCTTGACGCACCTCTCTCCAGTATTATGAAAGAGTAGCTTCCAACTGATCCATTGTGAGATTCAGTTACAGAAGACAACAACATAATGCTAGAAACTTGTGGTATTTTTTTCAACTTAAAAACATAATCATATTTCTTTATTGTATTTGCCCCAAGAACATCTAGTTTCAAAACTGAAAATAGCGAGGTGATGCCACAATTCTCCAGCATCTTCAACTGTACTCCACAGGGTGCTTGCTTAGAGTTTTAATCCCTGGCAGTTTGCTTTGGCAAAAAGCTCTAAAGACTGTGTGTCAGCCACAGAGCGTAATAGGAAAAGCGAATATGGTGGTTTACCAAATTAACAAGAACAGCTATCTTCCTTGACAGATTGCTCTATTTAATTATAGCTGTTGGGGATTGAGTCAGCTGCTTGAGCAACAGGAAAAATCAGAGGGTCATTAAGATGGTCTATTAATTTTCTGCCATGGGTAGCTGCATATCCATGATCTGCACATGAGGTGTGGCAGAACACTTTCCAAAGTACTGGCCTTTAAAACTCTTATGGTATTTTCTTAAAATCCCTGTGGTAATTTAAGAAATAAGAAAACTTATCCCAAAATTTGCATTTTGGATGCAAAGAAAAAATAGTTTAAATTCATCCGGTAGAAAATTTTCAAAAATAAATCTGAAAATATTTTTTAAAAAGAAAGAAAATAAGTTCAATATATTACTCTCTTCTGATAAAACTATTAACTGCTCTCACACTGAAAAAATAAAGGACACATTACATTCAACGACATGGTCCACCACTTCGTTGAAAAGACCACTTTTATAGACATTAAAATAAATGTTTGGGGGGAAAAAAAAGCCCTCCACTGATTGCAATACAAAGAGACCAAAGAACTACCATAGTTGGAGTTATCACATTCTTTGAAATACACTTTTGGGAAAAAAAATCAAAGCATTCATTGCATATCAGGAAAATCACTGGAGCTAGAGCTGTGATGGTATTTATTTGGTGACATTGTAAACTCTAAAAATAGCCTAAAACAACAACCACTTTGTGTAATTTAACAATCTATAGGAACGTCCTCCAGTGCCCTCTCAGTGGCTTCAGAATGCTGTAAAGATTTCCAAGTCCTAGACACCAACATGGAAAAGAAACTAGAACTCGAGTTGGCAATTCATGACTAATGAAGGTTGTCCTAAAAGTTCTCAGACCTTGAACTCCTGGAATAAAAAGTTGTTACTATCTCTGTGACAGCACAGATCGCTTTTCTGCAGACTGCGCTCAGAAGCTAGAGCTCTCTTCACAGATGCCAAGATTGGATAATTAGCTTTGCTAGAATTGAGGATTGAGAAGGGAGGCAAATATCAATTTAAGGGAACTTTCTAATGGATGTGTCTTCCTGTACAAAAGAAAATACAATTTCTATTTTTCAAGAATGGGAGAGCATTTAAATAACCTGGTAGGAGAAAAAGAGGAAGTAAGAACAATGGCAGCACTCTGGTGATCTTATTGTACCAGATGCCTGGAAAAAAATGCAGAGCTCAGAAGTGATCTAAGTTCCTAGAATTTAATATGTGAATTAAGCAATGTAATTCTTTGTTAAATAAAATTATACCCAACATTGTTAGGGTTTTAAAAAGTATTTTATATATATAAATATATATACAATCTCATTGAAACTGACTTGCCATGCATAACACAATTTCAAGAAAACTTTCCAAACCTCTTTTCAAAGTGATCTAATTTGTTATTTATACTGTAAGTTTTAATAACCAATTTCCCGTTATTGAAAATATCTCCAAAGCAAATTTTAATTACATTGCTTCCATTTTGTTCTTTTATACAATCACAATGAAAATTATTTATCTTCATAAATGAATTAATCCTCAATGAACTAGAAATAATAAATTAGCCAAACACCTTAATCTAAATGAGTCTGGCCAAAGAGGTATAGATGTTGAACACTTGTTTATACATGTGTTTATTTACTCAACATAACTTTGCACTATGAAATTATTAAAAACTGCATTTTAGAGGTTTTTAAATGAAATTCAGTGTTATATAAAGATCAGAATGATGCCCTGAAGGCTCACTGCTTTCCCTTTCTTTGATTATCAAGGAGCTGCCACAGCAAACCTGAGTTAGCTCAAAGTAAAACAATTTGGTAGAAGCACTGAGTTTCAGAAGTTCCCCTTATTTAACAAGTCCCTTTTCTAGATCAAGGAGATCCCAGTCTCCCAGATGTCTTCTGCCCTGCTTTCTTTACAAATATGCAGTTTTACGTGGATTCAGTTCCTCTTCTGAAGCTTTCTCTGTGGTTCAACTGGTTCAGCAATACTCAGTTGAAGTATATCTCTCTGTATTACAATGGAACAGTGGGGAAATATGTGCACTGTGGCTTTTGTTTTGTTTTGCTGCTTTTAAATTTCTTCCAATAAGCAATAATTTACCTTTACGTGACTTGGTTTCAGTAGCTCCCCTGTATATGAAACAGAACTATGGAATGTACACTTGATTTCGATGCACCATCTCCCGCCTCCCTGCCAAATTATTGGATGTAACAAAATACTAAAAATATAAATTTTCAACAATATTTTTTGCTAAGGCCAAAAAAAAAAAACTTAGCCTTTTTTGCATAGAAACTTCGTTCAACCCACAGAACTTAACCCACAGAACTCACTTTATTGAGGGCAGAGATATTCGTATTACAAAAAGCATTTGATTTCATAGACAAATATGACACCTAAAATAGGGGGAGTTACTAGTTTGGTAGCAATGATCTGGTCTTCAAATTAATATGTAAAAATATCTTGTAAATAAGTTTTAGAGTAATAAAATGCTACTCCATATGTTAAATTGAAGACAGTTGTTTTTTGCCCGAGAAGTTAGTATTCAGTATGACTTGCAACTCAGTAGAATAATCTATTTAAGTATATTGCTGTAAATAAATATTTTATATAAATTTGTTAAGAAAATATAATTTTTAAAGTATTTGGCAATTATTCATACTTTTCCAAATGTGACTTAGATTAATTATTACCAAGGACATAATGAGATTAACTAATACTTTTTAAAAATATGATTTCCATTTACCTCTTAATAGAAGCTATTCTATTCCAGCTATTATGTGGAATTTGATGCAAATTACAAACTGTTATATATGTAGTAGAAATAATTATTTTTCCTAAGCAATTGTGAATTTTTGAAATAAGTATTATTTTGAAAGGATTCTTTTTCCCTAATCAGCATACGGAGGGATGAGAGGAAGAAAGAGATGAGATTTAAAGCTGTATTTACTGAGCAGAATTTTGAAGGAAGAATAAGAGTTATACAGAGAGCGGGGAAATATGATCTATACACTAAAGACAGTAAGACCAAAATAAGCTCTATACCTTTAGAAAACAAAAGTATAATTTGAGACGTCAGTGATACAGTTTGGATATTTGTCCCTGCCCAAATCTCATGTAGAAATGCAATCCCCAATATCAAAGGTGGTACTGGATGGGAGGTGTTTGGTTCATGGAGGTAGATGCTGCATGGCTTGGTGCTGTCCTCGCAGTAGTGAGTTCTCAGGAGATCTGGCTGTTTAAGGTATGAAATACCTCCTCCCACTCCCTCTTGCTTCCATTCTCCCCGTGTGAGATGCATGCTCCGCCTTCTGCCATGAGTAAAATCTCCCTGAGGCCCCTCCAGATACTGAGCAGATGCTGGTGCCATGTTTCTTGTACAGCCTGCAGAACCGTAAGCCAATTAAACCTCCTTTCTTTAAAAATTACCCTGTCTCAGTTATTTCTTTACAGCAATGCAAGAATGGCCTAACACACATAGTATGTTGCACTATGAGGAGCAGTCATGGTGAAAGTAATGTTGATTAAAGTGAGATGTTGAATAGCCATATACTGTTTCATATACATAGATTTATCTACTGGAATGCAGAGATTGTGGTTTTTTTCCTTTAGTCAATGCCTAGAAAATAGTTATTGTGGTTGAATAATACTTTGAAGCTATTCTATTTTTGAATAGATTTTTGAAGCATAGATTTTTAAAAAATTAAATAAGTATACGTGAAAGAATGGCATGAATATATTTAATTTTGGAGAGGATCATGCAAAGGGAAATAATAAGGAGAACCAGAAAAGATACAGGTTACCAACAGATCTAGGTCAGGGCAGGCTTCAGGCCCTGCTGGACGTACCAAATGGTGGTGGTTATATGAACAGATTTCTATTGCCTAATATAATGGCAAAGTGTCCAGCAGATGTGCAGGAAAACACTTTCAAAAAACTTTTTTAAGATACCTGTTTAAAAGCATCAGAAATATTTGAAGCAATATTCAATAAAAGGGACTATTTCTGAAATGTGAGAATTACAAATTGGTACACTGATTGTCAGCATCTATTTCCTCCCTGGAGATATTTTCTATTTCTGGTGAGGGCAAATTGATGAGAGTCTAGGCTTTGTCTGGACAGAGGGCTCCAGCTGGGGGCCAGCAGGACCAGGAGAATTTTTAGTGGTTTTATAGAGCTGGAGTAACAGAATTGGTACATACAATCACTTTACACCTCAAGATATTTATCAAATTCCTATGCTACAGAGCACAGGAGGTCAAAGGGCTAACATTACAATCTCAGGAAATTAGACCATCGTTTTCTAGTGCTGAAGAGAAAAGATTAGAGGTTAGGTTCTTCCAGGGAGAGGCATCCTGGTGAACACATAAAATGAATGCCTTGACATTCTCTATAAGCAAAGGAACAATGTAGTGGTAGATTAGTTCTTACCAAAACAAATCCCCAGCCTTGCCTCAGCTTCATACCTGATTGAGTTAACCTAATCAGCTTCCTCCTTACAAAGGAAAGAGCAGACTCTTGCTGGAGAAAGATAGCATGATATACAACAACGCTTCCCAGCATTCAATCAAGAATTACCAGGCATGTGAAGAGACAGTATCATATGGTAGATAAACAAGAGAAAAACTGACAGTAGAAACAACACAAATTTGACCATCTATTAGAGTCATCAGACAAGATTTAGAAGAAAATAGAGTAGAATATGAAGCAGAAAAACACTAATTTCATCAGAATATTATTTATAGACAAAAGAATAAAATATTTCATAACTTGGAGTATAATATTTCATGTGGAACTTAAAAATTTGATTTAAAAATAAATCAGAAATAGTACAGACAATATTAGTGAGCTAAAAAATAGATCAATGCATCATATATAAACAGATCCACAGAAAGGACAAAAATGAAAAATGTGATAAGGGTGTAAAGACTTGTCATGTGGTTTTGAAATGTTCATACATATGTGTGATTGAGCTCCCAGAAAGAGAGGAGAGAATGAGATAGAAGTAATATTTAAAGGGATAATGAACAAGGCTTTTCCACAATGGAAGAAAGATACCAACCTATGGATTTTAAAAGTCTCTATGAACTCAAGGAAAAATAAACACAAAAGTGGCTTAAATCTTGAATCAGAAAAATTAGCAATGTTAATAGACTAAATATTCCAAATAAGGGCTAAGGTGACAGAAATTGATTAAAACAAACTAGTAAACAAAAATAAAATGCAATTGCCTTTTCCATAAATGTATGAAGACAAAGAAAGACCAAAAGTAGAATTATGAAAAAATTCATGCCAACAAGCATTGAGCAGAATGGTTCAGTTGCTATATAAATATCAGACAAATAAAATTTGAAGTAAAAAATTATAAGTAGTGGTAAATAGGGACATTTCCTAAGAATAAAGAGTTCATGCAACAGCAACACATGTAGTAATTGCAATTCTACATAGAAGTTAAGCCATTATATGCATAATGCAGTATATGCGGATTTGCAATTACTATATGTGTTGCTGTTGCATGAACTCTTTATCCTCAGGAAATGTAGTAAAATAGAAATAGTCAACTTCATAAACATATTCAACACAATAAATAATAGAATAAATGAATAACACTCATGTAAAGATTTAGGAAATTTAAACAACATGATTAAAAACTTGATCTAATTTATACCACACCCCAAATGGAGAATACAGAATTTACATCCTTTTCAAATGCACAAAATTGAAGATAAGCTGGTTTGTAAACCACACATCAACAAAAATGAAGGGACTAAATTATATCAGAATTGTTTCTTTGACCACAAGAAAATATTTCCTAGCCCTTCCTATTTTATTTCCATCATGTAAAGAACTTGGTAGTCATCATTCCTATGTTTAAAACGAGAAAAGTTCAAACAAACTAATTTTTTCAAACCTATCAAAGAACTACAGTTGTGAGGCCAACTGGTACAGCAAAACCTGGAGGAACAGGTAAAAACAGAAAGACACCGCAGCCAAGATCCACTTACCCAGGAGAGAAGCCCTTGTAGCCATAAACTAAAATGTCAGTTATGATGTATTCCTACTGATGATGGCTGAGTGTAAGACTAGAGTGAGACACAAAGTTTTGGGGGTTTCAGTCTTAGGGGAGCCACCAGGATCCCATGCCTTTCCTCAATGAACCCTATCTGGTTCTCACAATAAAGATCCAAGAGCGATCCCCTCCTATCTCTGGCAGGAGATGGGAAAGAGTAACCATTGTAAAATATCTCCACAACCTTCCCCATAATGAAGGTCTAATCTCCAGGAGAAAGGACTTTGCCCAGAGAACAGTTCTGAGAAAATTACTTTATACCACAGCTCTTTCCAGCCTTGCTATCTCACCTATGGAGGTGAGGGGATGAATGTGGGGAGGAAAAGGAAGCAGAGGAGGAAAAATATAATCAGCAGGAATCAGGGATTCCAGGAACTGTATTTGGAATACTACAGCCAGATTAGGGAGTAAGAGACAGGGAATGCACAAGCCACACCACTGGAGAAACATTTGTGAAAAGTTATATTGCAGTCTTGACAATGCACCACAATGTTTAAATTTTATTGTTTGAAGTAGGACCCCAGTTCTTTGTCTCACCACAGAGAAAATTAAAGAGCATGGACACAGGGGTGAGGATGGAGTGAAAATTTAATAGATGAAAGAAGAAAGCTCTCTGCAGTGAAGACAAAAAAAAGGGTTGCCATTCTACGGTTGCATACAAAGGCTTTTATAAACAGGTTAGTAGACAGGAATGTTTCATTTACATAAGGCATAAAAAACTGGTTAGGGTTAAGTGGTTCATTTGCATAAGGTGCGAAATCCTGAGAGCTCCTCCCTGTCCTTTTAGTGTGCATGCAGATTCTTTTTTTTTTTTTAGGTTGACTTTATTGATAATTTATAAGAGCTCTTTATATGGTCTGGAGACATATCCCTTATTAGATACATAATTTGCAGATATTTTCTCTCATTCTGTGGGTTCTTTTTTTTATTTTACTTTAAGTTCTAGGGTACATGTGCACAACGTGCAGGTTTGTTACATATGTATACATGTGCCATGTTGGTGTGCTGCACCTGTTAACTCGTCATTTACATTAGGTATATCTCCTAATGCTATCCCTCCCCCTCCCCCCACCCCCCGGCAGGCCCCAGTATGTGATGTTCCCCACCCTGTGTCCATGTGTTCTCATTCTTCATTTCCCACCTGTGAATGAGAACATGTGGTGTTTGGTTTCCTGTCCTTGCGATAGTTTGCTCAGAATGATGGTTTCCAGCTTCATCCATGTCCCTATAAAGGACATGAACTCATCCTTTTTTATGGCTGCATAAATCAATTCAAGATGGATTAAAGACTTAAATATTAGACCTAAAACCATAAAAACCCTAGAAGAAAACCTAGGCAATACCATTCAGGCCATAGGCATGGGCAAGGACTTCGTGTGCATGCAGATTCTTAGCCTAAGTTACTCCATGTTGCTTAATTTCCCTTACTGTGCATGTTTTAGGGGGTGCAGTTCTCCACTGTGGATGGACGGATGTGCCTGGTTCTGTGCAACTCCCCTTGTCTGTGACCCTTGTTAGTTACACAAAAGGCATTTTTATGGTGGACCTAGCCCCTTTATCTTTGCTTGCAGCTTAGTCTTTCAAGCTGTTCCTTTGTTAAAAAAGGAATTCGACCAAGGACTTGCTGTAGCTCTCTGCCTAACTGGTTCCTTTTTCTCTCGTCTCTTAGTTGCAGCCCTGAGACACAAGCCAATCAGAGACTGAGACTTCATCAGAAGATTCTAGAAAGCCCCTCTTCCCTCACACCTTATCACCAAACCACCAAGAACCACACCAATAGCTGAACAGAGAATGATAGGACTGCAAGATGCAGACACTCTCTGAAGAGGAGCACTCAGGGAGGGCCAAGATAAGGAGGGCAGACGGAAAGAAAGACATTAGATGAATTTCAAACCTCTGGTATCTGTGGCTGGAATAAATATTAAATACAGCCTAAATCCTCATCAAAATAATATAAATCCTCACACTAAAGATCTATATATCTCAGTTTCCTATTACCTCATATAACATACTCAACTTTCAACTAAAAATTACAAGGTATGCCACAGGCAAGAAAAAGCACAGCCTGAAGAGACAAGGCAATCACCAAAGCCAACTCTCATAGAACACTAATTTTGAAATTATCAGATAGAAAATTTAAAACAAATATGATTAATATATTAAGGGCTCTGTATTCATAAGGGATCTCCAGAGAAACAGAACAAATAGGGTATGTATGTATGTATGTATGTATGTATGTATGTATGTATGTATGTGGAGAGACAGAGAAATTTTAAGAAATCAGCTCATGCAACTGTGGAGGTGCAAGACCAAAATATGCAGTAATAGACAGCAGGCTGGAGATCTAGAGAAGAGTCAAGAACAAACTCCAAAGGCCACCTGGTGTCAAGATTCCTTCTTGTTCAGGGGAAGTCAGTCTTTGTTCTGTGAAGGCCTTTAGCTGATTGGATGAGGCCTATCGACATTATGAAGGATAACCTGCTTTACTCAAAGTCTACTAACTTAAATGTTAATCTCATCCTAAAAACGCTTTCACAGAACATCCAGAAAAAGGTTTGACCAAATATCTGAGCCACATGGACCAGGCTAGCTGATATAAAATTAACCATCGCATGTCTGCCCCTTGTCAATGTGCCACCCATACTCATCTCCTTACATCATACTTAATCTACAAATAAAAAAAGAGCAAATTCATACTTTCACCTAACATGATATAACTATCCTGCCTACAACAAAAAGTGCTCTAAGTCTTTCCCCGGAAAATGATGCAAAGTCCTTAACAACATTTAATCTTTTCCTTTATAGCCTATAATTTAAATGCAATGTAAAGTTATAAAGCCTATAACTTAAATGCAATGTAGATATATGTACAATATTCAAATACATGATGTACAGTCAATACATTTTATGTTACATAATAAGAGGATAAAGGTGGGTAGAAAACAAAGATATTGCTGCACACATATGCAACAACATGCTTTTAATTAAATTTTAAAAATTCATGTAAGTTACAGCTCTAGTTTCTGTAACTGGTCATGTGATTGTTAGCCTTTATTTATAACTATCTCCTTCCACCCATTCCATATTTCCCTTTGTCCTCAGTATTCATCACGGTTTATTAACTGGTGGGGTGACCCAAACTAGGCAAATTCTTAAAGGGTTTGGACCACCAGTAGTCCTGTCTGAACTGCATTGTAGTATTTCATTAAATTTAATCACAGGGTGCTATGGTTTGAATGTCTCCTCCAAAACTCATGTTGAAATGTAATATCATTGTAACAGTTTTAGGAGGTGAGAACTTTAAGAGGTGACTAGGACATGAGGGCTCCACCTTCATGTTTGGATTTAATGCTTTAATAAAAGAGTTTTCAGGTGTGGTCTCTGTCATCCTCTCTTTGCCCTTCAACCATGTGATGCCTTCTGCCATGTGAGAGCAGAGCAAGAAGGCCCTCATAGACACCAGTACCTTGATACTGAACTTCCCAGCCTCTAGAACTGTGAGAAATAAATTTCTGTCCTTTACAAATTACCCAGTCTGTGATGTTGTGTTATAGCAGCACAAAACTGACTAAAACACAAGGACTGGAAATACTAAGAGACCCTCTAAGGGGGTGAAGCCTAACTTCCTATTCCATATTGTAGATGACAGGTAGTGACTTCCTGTAAAAGCATATAGTATAGAAAGCGGAGAAAAAAGGAGTACTTTACAGAGAGGAAACCTGACAAACACTACATCAACCAGGTGATCAAGTTTAACATCAACAGTGATGCAATGAGAAAGGTACATTATCTCTATGGTTTTCCTCCCCATAACCCATAATCCCAGTGTAATCATCAGAAAAACATCTAACAAATCCCAAATAAAGGATCTCCTACAAAATGCCACCCATTATTCTTAAAATAGTCAAGGGGATCAAAATCACAGAAAGTCTAACAAACTGTCACAAATTGTAGGAGAATAATGAAACCTAACAACGAAATGTAATAAACTATCCTGAATGAGATTCTGAACAGAAAATGCCACATAGGTGAATATCAAGGAAATCTGAGTAAAATGTAGACTTTAGTTGATAATACTTTTTCAAAATCATATTATAAGATTTGTCATGAAAAACAGAGAAAACCCAAGTTACCGAAAGATGAATAAAACAGATAGCATAACTAAAGGTATTATAAATATTTAAAACATAATAAGAGGAATTGTTTATAATTATATGCCAATATATTTGCCAATTTTGATGAAATTAACAAATTCTTGAAATGGTACAATTTACCAAACCTGACCAAAACACATAAAAACTCTGATTAGGACAAACTTTATTGAATAAATTGAATCAGTTAATAAAATATGTTCTTAAAAAATTTCAGGATCTTACAATCCCCACATGGAAAGGTAGAAGGGCAGCCATGGAACATAGTTGTGTCAGGAATTTGGTTAAATATTTTCACTCAAAAGCTTTTTATATATTAAGGAATTAAACCAACAGACTAATGCATCATGAGTTGCCTGTTCATGTCTTATTGTTTGTTTCAAAGTACAAGTATTAAAAGACATTTTTAACAAACATCTATTCAAATTATTACTAGTAAGTAAAATTAAGGAGATACTTAAAAATAGAGTAAGAAGAAAAGGTGGGGTTATATTTATTCCCTCAACTCTTACTGAGACTCTAACATGCAGACCATATCCCAATTCAAATACTTAAAAAAAATTATAATGAATTGAGCTAATCATCAGCATTCCCATTTGGAGAGAGCTCTTGTATCCAGATCACATCATCAATCTTTAATTGGCCTGTCCTTAACCAATATGCCTATATCTCAAGCCTACCTTGTTCAATGATCTTGGTCACTGGCTGTATCTTATAACTAATATACCCATATCTGCAGGGACTCACATTACAGAAAACATTTGTTTAGCTTGTTCCTTCAGAAAATCAGGGCTATTGGCAGGAGAATTTTTCATGAAGGAAAGCCATGTGCAAGTAAGGCACTAAAATTGATAAATCCTATAAAAATTTACAACACATAAAAGGAAATGAAAAGTCCACATAATCAATAAGCTCACAATCTAGTGAGGGAAAAGACACAAGCATATTCTGTAAGAGAAGACAACTACCTAAAGTTGCCTTATAGCTGCTCATCACTTACAGTTCAGAAGAACTTCTTTTCCTTGAATTCTAATGCATGCAGTTTAAATAACTTTCAGGGACATTTATTTAGCATAATAAGGGGATTTAGCAGAAGCATTTTTTGATAGCTCTAATTTTTAAATACCATTGGGAAAACAGAAGAAAAGCAAAAATCTCAGTACAACTTAAGTAGATAAAAATACCTACTTGTACTTATTATGTGACAAATGTCATTTTAAGTACTTGATAAATATTGACTCAGGTAACTTTTATAAAAACCTATTAAGTGTGTCATATTATTCATGCCCAATTTTACAGATGTGTATACCCAGGGACATAGAGGTTAAGTAATTTGGCCAATTTCATATAGCTACTGACAGGATAACAATTTGAACCAGGTCATGTGGTTCCAGATCCCAAGTTCTTAAGCTATTTTAAGCTTCTATTCATGCAACAAACGAAATGTAGAATAATTCAAGGCTTTCCATTATACAAGAGCCTATCGTATACGTATTAGTTGATCTTGGGCTAGTCACATTAATAACAGCCTTTCTCATTACAAAGAGTAAGTGAAAGGCATAAAAAATGATAGTGTTACAGAAACCAAAGGGTGCTAGTGAGAGAATCCCACTACAGAATAAAAGCAAGCAAGCACAAGCATCAGAATGATGTAAACACGGAACCTGGGGATGTTCAATGAAGGGCCTCCTTGGCTTGGTAGGATGTTACTGCACTATAGTGAAGCTCAAAATTAAAAGCCTGGCTTACATCAAAGAAGTCAAAAGCATGGTTCATCCTGTGTGTAAAGCAGGCAGCTGGCTAAATAATTCATTTCAGAAATATTTATATTCCAAATATTTGAGAAGCTCTGATTCCAGAATAGTTCTAAAGTGAGATCCTACTAAAAGGAAGGGCACTGAGTAGGTAGGACTGATAGTACATGGCTTTACCAGAGGTTTCTAAACACTGTACCCTTTGGGGAAATGCCAGGACCATTCATTCATAGGCCTTTATCCTTCAGAAGTACCATAATAAGACTATAAAATAAACATTGTATTTTGCCCTTATTAATTGTTGTCTAAACACATATTCTTTTCTATAATTCAAGACAACACAGGATACTTAATAGGTATCTATACTAACAAACGTTCATGAACAAAGCTTGAAAATACTGAAAGGTCAGTAGATATCTTTATAAAAAACAATCCAAGACAAGTTGAATGGCAAGTCCACTATAAATGACTTTGTTATAAATATAAAAAAAAGGAGAAGATGTATGTAATAAAAAATAATAGCTGAAATCATGTTTTGTGCTCATCATTATTAAAACTATTTCAGAAAGTTTCAGATATTTTAATTAAAAACAATTGTACAAGGATGAAAGTTTATGCTGTGTTTCTAAATGAAATTTAGTAAGAAAAGGATTTTGTTTTGTTTTTGATACAGGGTCTTACTCTGTTGCCCAGGATGGAGGGCAGTGGCACGAACATGGCTCACTGTAGCCTTGACCTCCTGGGCTCCAGAACTTCCCCCTACCTCAGCCTCCTGAGTAGCTGGGACCACAGTCTCACACCACCATACCCAGCTAATTTCTTTCTTTCTTTCTTTTTTCTTTCTTTCGTTCTTTCTTTCATTCATTCTTTCATTCTTTCTCTCTCTCTCCTTTTCTTTCTTTCTTTCTCTTTCTCTCTCTCCTTCCTTCCTTCTTTCTTTCTTTGTTTCTTTCTTTTTCTTTCTTTCTTTTCTTTCTTCTTTCTTTCTTTTTTCTTTCTTTCTTTCCTTTCTCTCTGTCTCCTTCCTTCTTTCTTTCTTTCTTTTCTCTTTCTTTCTTCTCTTGTCTTTCTTTCTCTTTCTTTCTCTTTCTCTTTCTCTCTCCTTCCTTCCTTTCTTTCTTTCTTTGTTGCTTTCTTTTCTTTCTTGCTTTCTCTCCTTTTCTTTCTTTCTTTCTTGCTTGCTTGTTTTCTTAGGAAAGGTTCTTAAACAATTTCAACAAATTATTTCCTTCACTGTCTTCCACTCTGAGCCCTTCAGGGACGCCTTGTTTTTAATCTTTCTAGCTGCACGATCATAAGTGATCGCAGCCTCTGAAGCTTGCTTGTCATGCCTTCATACTCCTCTCATGGGTCTACAACCTAGAGCAATAGAGTGGATTGAATGTGCCCACCATGTTAAAACTTATTTTCTTGATTCCTAAAGGAACAGAATTTTCTTCTGGATTTATTATTTTATCTATTTTTAACTAACCCCCTTGTAATCTACTGTTACAAAGGACACTCAAACCATGTTTGATGATTTATGCTAATTCTTCAAGGGTTTTTTTTGGTTTGCTTTGATTTGGGTTTTCTGGTTGTTTGTTTGTTTGTTTGTTTTTATTTCTTGTTTTTTAAACCTGTGTAGTGAATTCACAGAAGATTTTATGTTAAACCGTTACCAACATTAAAACATTTATATTTACTTTGTACACAGTTTTGGTAGAGATTTTTATATTCATCCAGTGTTTGGTTAAAAGAGTAACACCAGAAAATATAGTCTCATCTGTTCTGTGAAAATTAAAATCTTTAGGTGGCATAGGCTGAAACAGACGCATTTCAAATTTTATTCAAAGATAAGGAGACTAAAAAGAAGGAAGGAAAAAATTTTAGTGATTATTGGTTGAAATACTGGTTAACAAAAGGACTGAAATATTTACAACCTAATTTTAATTTATTACGTTATAGTCTTCATAGTGTTCTTAGGTACAAGTACTATATTTAGAAAAGCAGATTCTTCTTTGAAGGTATCATGGGGCAGCACTAATACATAGATATGTAGATAGCAAGAACCACAAAGTTTCGGACATGAAAGGTTCCGTTAGAGAACATCCTAGCCCACACCTGATTTTACAGATAACAAAACTATAGTACAAATAACCTAGGTAATTTGTAGAAAGTTACACATTATTTAGTGACATAATCAAAATGCTAGTTTCCTGAATTACTTCTGTCCTGCTCTTACATTACTCAGCGACAAGAAGGAGGGAAACAGCAGAAAAAGAAATTGTTTAATTAAATGAAGCTAGTTCTTTTTCTTTCACAGATCTGTGCTGTTCTTGCAGAGTGATGGGCATAGGATAATCAGTATAAGAAGGCTTAAGGAGAAGTCAGGGGCTTGGTCAATTTTTTTTTTAAACAGCTATGGCTTTTTTCCAGCTTAACAGGTTTATTTTCTCTTCTGATGGGAAGCAAAGGTATAATACTCAGTTATAGGAAAAAAACTTGCTCTCTTATCCTCTTCTGTTATGTAACCCTCATCCCAATATAACCAAATGATTTTTTTTTTTGTTTTGCACAATCTGTTGTTCATTGCTTGTCTGTCTCTCTCCTAGCCATCTATGTTCCCTGCACATAGTCTGGTTACACTTAGTTGGTCATGTGGGGGCCATGGCTATTGAACCCCTAAAGGCTCACTGAAAAATTACTGGCATCAGGTAGATTAAAAAGAGAGAAGGCAATCATATTTATTTAATGTATATACACAGGAGCTTCTGAATAAAACCAGATACTCCCTTCTATTGATTCCAGGTCTTTAGACAAACTCTTTCAACAAGTTCCCAATCAAAAAATCTATGAATTCATCTATACCCTGGAAGCCTCCACTTTGAGTTGTCCCACCTTTCCAGACCAAACCAATGTACATCTTACATGTATTGATTGATGTCTTATGTCTCCCTAAAATGTATAACCAAGCTGTAGCCTGACCTCCTTGGTCCACGTTGTCAGCACCTCCTGGGGCTATGCCATGGACATGTTCTTAACCTTAGCAAAATAAACTTCCAAATTGATTGAGATTTATCTCAGATACTTTTTGGTTTACAATACCTGAGGCCACAGTAAAGAATGCAGACACAGAGCATGGCTCCAAGCAGGTTATGTTGATAAATCAGGTTTATTGGCAAAATGGGTTATCACGGAAAGTAAGGGAGAAGCTTGACTATCAAAGGTGGCACTGTTATGTAGATGAAGCTTCCCTCAGAGAGAACAGATGGTAAATGTTTCTTTTCAGACTTTTAAACATGTCAGACTCTCAATCTCTCCTGGATCCCAGAAATAAATAGAAAGGAGAGGCATGGTTATATTAATGGAGATTCTCTAAAGATACAAATTTTCCCCACAAAGACAGATTTGCAAGGCCACTTCTGTTTGCTGACTCTGCAGCAGCCATTTCAAAACATGTCAAAGAAACATATTTTGCAGTAAAATATTCTGATTTATTTCAGCCTCATATATTTTGAATTAACTAATTCATTTTTCCTGTAAATTCCTTATTTTTTCCTGTAAGGTTTTCCTTTTTCTTACTTACCTGCTCTTCCATCTTGTCCTAGGGCTTTATAAAGTTATTCCATCTATCAGACATCTCTCTAATTGCAAAATTATCTCTTTTTTTCTCGTCTAAAACCTTCGTCTCTTTCTACATGATCTCAGAATTTAGGAAATAGTTTAAATAGGTTCACACTTAAGTATAGATTACGATTGAAGTAAAATCATTTTTAGGCTCATCACTGGGAACTTCCTCTGCCTTTTTAGATAAAAGTCACTATATTGGCACCCACTCTCGTGCTTTCTTACAAACATAAAGAAATAGATTGTTCTTATCCTGCCAAATCTTGACCCCCACACCGTCTTGTTTCCTCTGAAAACTCACTCCAAAGAACTTTCCACCCAGGTACTAGTCCCTTAGCTTAAGATGTCTCGTCTTAGTTTGTACACACACGCATACGCTGTCCAAGACCACCTTAAGATTTCCCTCAGCCCAACTAAACTTGAGACATAACTCTTTCTGACTATTGGATCCCTACCTCTATTTTTGTAGAGCATTTGACTTAGAAAACTTACCATTACAAATTCTTTCCTTTCTCCTTTGAGATGTAAATCTTATGCCATACAGAAATGTCTTTTTCAAGGATCTGGGGACCATTTCTTTGAAGTGTTATAATCAAAAAAGATAATAACAGGGCCTCTATTTCCCAGTGTCTGGAGGAAAGTAGGAGCTTAATTTAAGGGCCAATTAACAAATGCAGATGGCTTCATCTTATTGACCAACCTCCTCCTAATGCCCTCCAGTGTTTTTCCATTAGCTTACCCAAGTATTTAAAAACGCTCCTGTGTTTTCTTTCAGTGTCTTTCTGTTCAGTCTCTCTCCCTTACTGCAATAATCTTGACCCCTTATTGTAAGAGACTTGAATAAAGTCTTCTTTGCCTATATAACTCTTTAGATGCAATTTTTCTTTGACAACACACATACATACACACACACATACACACACAGGTTTTTACTATCTTAAATAGTCTTTTACTTGCTATTCCATTGTTATAGCTGCAATTAGTAGTTAATATTCATGGTCCCAACAGTCTGTCATTCCAGTTATTCCTTATTCCACTTCAATATAGCATCTGTCAGCTGCCTGCAATTAATAACAGACAAAAATTTTCTAGTTACCATAGCTTAATCTTACCTAAAATGATCATCTGACTCAAAATTTAACACTGCTGACAACCTCCTTTTGAAATGTTCTCCGCTCTTAATTTTTTTGCGTTTATGTAATTTTTACAGGGTATTGGACCCTCACATCAGACATGTTGGTAGTTCAGTCTTCGAACAATTTTTTTTATAGTCTCTAAATTATCTCTGGGTGATTTCATTTACATCCAGTATCTACATCTACCATATTCCTGTTGTTGATTCTTAAATCTGCCAGTCAACTGGATTTTTCCTCTGAGTCCCAGACACTTATATCACACTCTTCACTGGATATTTATATTTGAGTCTCAGAGGCAAATTTAATTCTAGCATGTCTAAAGCTTTACTGATCATTGCTATTTCCCCATCTTTTCCAACCCGTAACTGGTCTTCTTATAACAATTCAGCATGCAGGCTGCCAACATATAGTTAGTTGCCCACAGAAGACATCAGTCATCTTTGATGTCTGTTTTATCTTCACATCTTGGGACCAATCAGCCATCCAGTCTTACCTAAATTCCTAGTATCCCCAGAATATGAGTGTTTCTCCCATATTCAGTCAAGTCATTTGTTCCAGCCTTACTGTTTCTACTTGGATTATTTAATAACTGCCTCACTGATTTTCCTGCCTCTTTTCTTTCTCTGTCTCAAATCATCCTCCAAACAGCACCCAGAATGACCTTTTAAAAACAGGAATTCATCTTTCATTTCCCATACCCTACAGAATAAAATACAATTTCATTGCCATGACATACTGAGCCTTTAGATCAATCATTCCTCTTTACTAGGTGTAAGATCTTAGGAAAGCCATTGGCCATCTCCATTTCCCAATTTCCTCATCTGTAAAGTAAAAATAATTATATTGTCTTCCTTGCAGTATTATTACTGAAATAGCTTAGTACAGAATCGGTAACATTGTTGTTGTCATTAATGGAATTGGAATGAAGTTTGTCCAATAAATTATAATTTATACATTAGTTAAAACATGTAGTGGATGAGAAAAATAGCACCTTGAGAACCTCTGTGCCAGTTTTTACCAAGATTGTGAATAAAATTATTCTCAAGATTGTGAATTGAGATATATTTATGATTTCTTTCTTTCTTTTATTTATTCTTTTTTTTTTGAGTTATTGATCTTTAGGCTTTATTTTTCTTTTCTTTGTTTTTCTTTTCTTTTTTTATTTTTTATTTTTTATTTATTATTATTATACTTTAAGTTTTAGGGTACATGTGCACAATGTGCAGGTTAGTTACATATGTATACATGTGCCATGCTGGTGTGCTGCACCCATTAACTCGTCATCTAGCATTAGGTATATCTCCCAGTGCTATCCCTCCCCCCTCCCCCCAACCCACAACAGTCCCCAGAGTGTGATGTTCCCCTTCCTGTGTCCATGTGTTCTCATTGTTCAATTCCCACCTATGAGTGAGAACATGCGGTGTTTGGTTTTTTGTTCTTGCGATAGTTTACTGAGAATGATGATTTCCAATTCCATCCATGTCCCTACAAAGGACATGAACTCATCATTTTTTATGGCTGCATAGTATTCCATGGTGTATATGTGCCACATTTTCTTAATCCAGTCTATCATCAGAGTGAACAGGCAACCTACAAAATGGGAGAAAATTTTTGCAACCTACTCATCTGACAAAGGGCTAATATCCAGAATCTACAATTAACTCAAACAAATTTACAAGAAAAAAACAAACAACCCCATCAAAAAGTGGGTGAAGGACATGAACAGACACTTCTCAAAAGAAGACATTTATGTAGCCAGAAAACACATGAAAAAATGCTCACCATCACTGGCCATCAGAGAAATGCAAATCAAAACCACAATGAGATACCATCTCACACCAGTTAGAATGGCAATCTTTTATTTATTCTTAAACAGGCTTTTGGAATTCATAGCTCTACTCCACCTGGTGGCATATTAGGCATATTATAGATGTGCTTTAGCAGGGCTGGGACGTAGAAAACAGTAGGAAGAGACTTAAAAATACTGTTCCTTCATAGTTTTGTCCTCTTTGAATGTATTCTATTACATTTGTACAGATTGCTGACATTTAGATACTCAAGATGTATTAGCCTGTTGCTTTACAAAGTACGGCCCAAAGGTCAAAATGATTGACATCACCTGGGAGATTATTAGAAGTAACTAATTTAAGGCCCTACTTCATACCTACTGAAACAGAATCTGTATTTTAAAAGATTCCAAAGATGATTTATACTCACATTAAAATTTGACAAACTGCTCTACAGAAATTTCAGCCTTCCTATATTATATTTTCAGGTAAAATGAAAATGACAACCTCAACCTCTTTGTTAAATGTAATCATATTTAGTGTTTTGAATTTAAGTGGCACTTCCTACAACAGAGACATAAGCTGCCAAACAAATATAAAGATCCTAAGCTTTGATAACATGTTTGATTTTCACAATGAACAGTCTGGTCTCATCACTTCTACACATTTACCAAGGCCTGGGCAAGAACATGTTCCAGAGGCTAATCTCTTTTGTGATGACATGTGGAATTATATTTTATATAATGTTTAATTTGCTATTCTAGACTTTAGAAAACTCCTCAAACCTTCTATTTGAGAATTTGGCCCATGTGATACAAGATTGTTCTGGAATATATTAGCAATCACTTCCTTCTTCAGCTATGAAAATCATGCAAGAAATTTTTTTTACAAACAATATATGTTTTTGATGTTTAGTCATCTTATAAATTTGAAAGTCTTCAGAAAGTTCAAGACCAATTTCCAAATATGAAACTGTGTGCATACTCTTGAAGTAGTATTTC
This sequence comes from Homo sapiens, assembly GCF_000001405.40. Lineage (NCBI taxonomy): Eukaryota > Metazoa > Chordata > Mammalia > Primates > Hominidae > Homo > Homo sapiens. The sequence goes on along the minus strand of NC_000014.9, from coordinate 48,069,108 downwards.
AGGTGTATGAAAGAGGTTTAAAAAACAACAACAAAAAGAAGAAAAAAATGCAGTGAGTCCTAAACAACAAAATCTAAAATTGTCAGTGAAGAATCTTAGGATTTAAGTTAAATGGTATTAATGCCATACATTCATTTAATTTACTTTATGTACAACATAATCTCTTTCCAATTTGTGAAATTGAATAGATCTTTCTAAAACAAACAAACAAAACATTTTTCATTTGTTGTCTCCCTGGCTAGCATTGCATTTCCACCATCTCTTTCGTAGTAAAAATTTTGTAAGCCTGTCTCCAACCCTTCAAGCCCTATTCATTTCTTAAGCAGATTCATTCACATATTGGGCATCCCTACCTAACAAAGCATGACCAAAGTCACCAGTATTCTATTTGCGAAAACTAATGTTCTTCTTTGCTTTTTTCTTCCTTGACCATTCATCATTTTCTGATACTATTTTCTCTTCTATTTTTATTGAAATTCTGTTCTCCCCAATCTTCTAAGAGATTGGACTCTCCTGATTCCTATTTTTTTGTCTATTTTTTCATAGCTATTATTATCCATGATACTTCTATTCACTTCCTGTCTTGCCCTTCCAGTTCTATAATTAATTCTGTTTTGGGTTTGCCATTTTCACGCACACAATTTCTTTCAATAGTTTTATCCAATGTTATGATTTCAATTAAACTTTTTAAACATAGATTTTGACAGTGTTATCTCCAATATATGGCCCCATAGCAAACCACAGCTACATTTTCTGGCTGTTTGAACACACAATTTCCTAGAACTTTTCTGTTAAAAGCTTTATTTCCAGTTTTATCCTTGCCACTGGAAAACATCATGCACCACATTAGAAACTTTACAACTTTATAATCCATATTCATTTAACTTCTCAGAGTTATTTCTTCATGGAAGAATCTTTTCATTTGCAGATGAAGAAATTTAAGTTCAGAGTCATTAATCAATATCCTTAGAAAACCATCTAAATTGTTACAGACCATTTAGATCAAAGTTCATATTAGGGAAGTATAGGAGACTTTCAAAATAGTACAAACTGAGCTGTAGCTTGAAATATGAGGACATGTTAGACAATGAAATAATGAAGAAAAAAGAAAACAGTTCTAGGAAGAGGATTAATTCAACATATGGTGTAAAAGCCCAGCTTATGGTACAACAAAAAAATGGGGTATAGTTCAGTATTGATATAATATAAGCAAGCACAAGAAGTGAACCATCAAAATGTGGACAGGAATTTTATCATAAAGGATATTTTATGCCATGACACAAATTGTGTTTGGAAAAAGAATGTACTCTATTGAGAGATTTTAAAATTCAGAGTTGTAGGGTAGTATTTTATAATAATATAAAAACATGCACAAACACAAGCACGTTCTGGTGTCTAAATAGAAGATTGAATTACATGACTAAGAAAGATTACTAGAGGAAACAAGACTGGAGGCAGGTTAAAATTCTATCAATATTTATAATAAATAAGTAAAACAGTGAAGGTCTAAACAAGGAAGAGAGACACATGGAGAGAAGATAAACTTAGAGCTTACATAAAAGTAATAAAATTAGGGAGAATAATATGTGGAGATTGGGAGAAGTAAAAAATTATTCCTCTGCTTTTGTTTTGATATACTCTAATTTCAACAGTGAGAACATAGAAAAAGAAGAAGTTGAGAGCAGGGTGATTGGACAAAGATTTACAGATACTGAGTTGAGATACAGGGATATCATGTTTTATTGCATTTCAGTTTTATTGTACTTTGCAGATTACTTTTTTAAATATAAATTAAAGGTTTGTGGTAACCTTGCATCAAACAAGTCTAATTGTCATGAGTTTTCCAACAGCAGGTGCTCATATTGTGTCTCTGTATCACATTTAGGAAATTTTTGCAATATTTGAACTCTTTCACCATCATTATATTTGTTATTGTGATCTATGAGTAGTGTTCTTCTATGTGAATATTGTCATTGTTTTGGGGTGCCATGAACTGCACCCTCATAAGACTGTGAACCTAATTGATAAATGTTTTGTGTGTTCTGACTGTTCCACCAACCAGTCATTCTCCTGTCTTTCTCCGTCTCCACAAGCCTCTCTATTCTCTGAGACACAGCAATTTTGAAATTAAACCAATTAATAACCCTGCAATGCCCCTTAAGTGCTTGCTATCAATGATTAAGCTTAGTGATAAAGGCATGTTGAAAGCCAAGGTAGGACAAAGCTAGGCCTCTTGTACCCAACAGTTAGCTAAGTTATGAATGCAAAGGAAAAGTTACTGGAGCAAAGTCATTAACTCTCTTTAACACTTTGAAAGCTGAGAGGTGAAAAAGGTACAGAAGAAAAGTCAAAAGTTATGGTTGGTTCATGAGGTTTAAGAAAGGAAGCCAACTCCATGACATAAAAGCTCAAGTTGTAGCAGCAAGTGCTGATGTAGAAGCTGCAGCAAGTCATCTGGAAGATCTAGCTAAAATCATAGATGAAGGTAGCTACACTAAACAACAAATTCTCAATGTAAACAAACAGCCTTCTATTGGAAGAAGATGCCATCTAGGACTTTCATAGCTAAAAGAGAAGTCAATGGCTTACTTCAAAGCTTCAAAGGATAGGCTGATTCTCTTGTTAGGGGCTATTGCAGCTGGTGACTTGAAGTTAAAGCCAATGCTTATTTACCATTCTGAAAATCCTAGAGCCCTTGAGAATTATGTGAAACCTTCTCTGCCTGCACTCTAAAAATGGAACAGCAAATTCTACATGATAGCACATCTGTTAACAGCATGGTTTACAGGACAGTTTAAGCCCATTGTTGAGACCTACTGCTCAGAATAAAAGATTCACTTCAAAATATTGCTGCTCATTGGCAATGCTCCTGGTCACCCACGAGCTCTGATGAAGATGTACAAGGAGAATAATGTTGTTTTCAGGCTTGATAACATAATTTCAATTCAGCAGCCCATGGATCAAGGAATAATTTGACTGTCAAATCTTATTATTAAGAAATACATTTCATAAGGCTATGGCTGCTATAAATAGTGATTCCTTTGATGAATCTGAGCAAAGTTGATTGAAAACCTTCTGAAAATGATTCACTATTCTAGATTCCATTAGGAACATTCTTGATTCATTAGAGGAGGTCAAAATATCAACATTAATGGAAGTTTGGAAGAAGTAGATCCCAACTCTCCTGGATGACTTTGAGAGGTTCAATATTTCAGTGGAGAATGTAACTGCAGATGTTGTAGAAATCACAAAATAACTAGGATTGCTGAAATCTCATGATAAAACTTTAATGAATGGGGACTGACTTTTATGGATTAGCAAAGAAAGATATTTCTTGATACTCTCCTGGTGAAGATAATATGAACATGTTGAAATGACAACCAAGGATTTAGAATATCATGTAAACTTAGCTAAGAAAGCAGCAGCAGGTTTTGAGAGGACTGACTCAAATTTTGAAGAAATGTTTATTGTGGATAAAATGCTGTCAGAAAGCATCTCATGCTATAGAGAAATCTTTTGTGGAAAGAAGAGTCAATTGATGTGCCAAACTTCACTGTTTCTTATTTTAGTAAATTGCCATAGCCACCCCAACTTTCATTAAGGTGTGTACATTGTATTTTTTTAGACATAATGGTATTACACACTGAAGAGACTGTAGTATATTATAAAAACTTTTATATACACTGGAAAACAAAAAAATACTTCACTCACCTTATTGAGATATTTACTTTATTGCTGGCTGGAAACAAATTTGCAGTATCTCTGAGGTTTGTCTGTCAGAGAGGAAAATGCTGACTTAGAAGTAATAAATCTGTAATTCTGGTGCTAAGAAGCAAAATCTAGTTTGGAGATACAGGTTTTAAAGTCATCTGCATGCAAGTGGTATTGCACTGAAAACTGTCAGCCTCACCAAATTATTCTGCCATATAACAAAACTTCTGTTCTCCAACTGCACCATGTTCTCTTACGATTTCTACTAGTGCATATGCTATGCTGTGAAACCTCCAACTTAGTTCTTCTACATCAAAACTACTTTGATTCTTTTATTTCGTTTACCTTTCCATATAAACTTGGATATTTCTTTTCTAAAAAAGGTACTACTAGGATTTTTTATTGGTATTGCCTTAAATCTATAGATAAATTTGTGGACGATTGACCTGTAAACAATATTGAGTCTTTCAAACTGTAAACATGGTATGTATTGCCATTCTTTTTCTTGCTTTATTGAATAGGATAGGATCTCTAGTATGATGATGTATAGGAGTAATGAAAATGGATGTCACTACCTAGTTTCTGATTTTAGATAAAGCATTCTGCCCTTTACCAATAAGTATGTTGTAGTCAGGGCTTTAATTATTCTTCTCCTTGTTCTCCATTTTCTTCTTCCTTTTCCTCCTTCACTTTAACATTCTCTTCTTGTCCTTTTTGATAGATTCCTTTTATCTAGTTGAACAAAACCTGTCTACTTAGCATTGAATGAAATCAGCTATAATGTATTATCCTTTTTATATATTACAACATTTGACCTGCTAATATTTGGTTGAGGATTGTTTAAGTCAATGCAGTTTCTTTTGCCTTATTTGTCTGATTTTGATATTTGAGTAGTATTTTCCAGAGGAATTTCTTTAAATTTATATAGTTTTCTCTTAAATGTCTGCAAATTTGCCAGTGAAGTAATTTAGATTAGCAGTTTCCTTGGTTGTAAACATTTTGGCTGCAAATTTAATTTCATCAAAAGAGAGAAACATTCAGATAATCTATTGGTTCTTGAGTGACCTTTAGTAGTTTGTATTTTTTTTCAAGGAATTTGTGGAACATATGAACATGATGTTGTCAGAAATTTTTGCTTACATTACTGCCTAGAACATTTATAGTTGTATTTCTGTGTTCGTTCCTCATATGGGAAATTTTTATCTTTTTTCCTGTTTATTCTTACTAGAGGTTTATCAATTTTAACAATCTTTGCAAAGAATCAGAGTTTGGTTTCACTGAAATTCACTATTCTTTTTCTTTTTAAAAATTTATTGATTTTTTTCTCTTTTGCTTAAAATATCCTTACTCATACCTTGTTTGGTCTTAATTTGCTCATTTATATTTTTTAGATTCTTGACATGAAAGCTAAGATCATTGACCAGAGATATTTCTTGTTTCATAAGCATTTAATGCTACAATTTTCCCTTGAATTTCTGATTAAGCTGTGTCTAACAACTTTGGAAATGTTGTATTTTTAATTTCATTAAAATCAAAATATTTTATAATATTCTCTGAAATCTGCTTATTCCCCAAGGGATTAGAAGCATTTTGATAGAACTTAAAATATTCAAAATTTTTTCGGCTATGTTTCTATTTTCAATATCTGGTTTAATTCCATTCTAGTTATAGAACATAATTTGTATTTTTTAACTTTTATTTTAAGTTCAGGGGTACAAGTGCTGGTTTGTTACATAGGTAAACTTGTAACATGGGCATTGTTGTACAGATTATTTCATCACCCAGGTATTAAGCCTAGTACCCATTAGTTATTTTCCCTGGTTCTCTCCCTCCTTTCACTCTTCAGCCTTGGAAAAACCCCAGTATGTGTTGTTCCCAACTATGTGTCTATGTGTTCTCACCATTTAGCGACCACTTACAAGTAAGAACATGTGGTATTTGGTTTTCTGTTCCGGTGTTAGTTTGCTAAGGATAATGGTCTCCAGCTTCATCTGTGTCCCTGCAAAAGACACGATCTCATTCTTTTTAATGGCTGCATAGTATGTATACACCATGGAATATTATATATTATTTTAAATTTTAAAAATTGTTGAGATTTGTTTTATAGCCAGAATATTATATATCTTCTTGAACATTTCATATGTACTTGAAAATACTGTGTATCCTGCTGTGTTGTATAGATTGCCCCATAAAGTAAATTAGATCAAGGTTGTTGATGTATATTTCAGGTCATATACAACCTTACTAACTTTCTCTTTCATCCATTATTGAGGAGGAAGTGTTGAAGCTCCCAACTATAACTTTGTATTTGTCTACTTCTCCTTTTAGTGGTATCAGTTTTTGTTGTTTGTATTATAAAACTCTGCTATTAGATACATATAAATTTAAGAGTTTCTTCTTAGAGAATTGACCCCTAATCATTACATACAGTTTCTTTTAATTCCTAGAGATATTCCTTGCTTTTAAGTTCACTTCATCTGGCTGCATATTCATAGAGGTATTCCATTGATCTTTTGTTTACTATTGCATGGTCACCTTTTTATCCCTTTCTTTTTATATTCAGAATTGGTTTACTTTGGATAAGTGATAGTTGTCTTGCTTCCTTTACTTACTCTGATATTCTCTGTCTTTTAAAATTTTGTTTAAATATTTATTTTAATGTGATTATTGAAATGATTGAATTTAAATCTGCCATCTTTCATTTGTTTCATTTTTACCTTTTCTGTTTCTCTTTTCTTCTGTTCTCTTTTGAATTAACTGATTATGTTTAATATTTTCATAACTGATGGCTTATGTGTTTTCTTAATTTTTAGAAGATCTTCATAGAAGACCTACCTGGGGTCTAAAATCTATCTTTAATTAATTAATCAGAACAGTTCCGTAAATAATATTATACTGTTTCAGATGTAATGTAAGAAACTTACATATGATCCACCTAATTTTTCCCTCCTGTCTACTGCACTTTTTGTTTTTTTGAGATGGAGTCTCACTCCATCAACAGTCTGGACTGCAGTGGTGCGATCTCAGCTCACTGCAACCTCCGCCTCCCAGGTTAAAGAGATTCTCCTGCCTCAGCCTCCTGAGTAGCTGGGACTATAGGCACGTGCCATCACACCCAGCTAATTTTTTGTATTTTTAGTAGAAATGGGGTTTCACCATGTTGGCCAGGAGGGTCTCGATCTCTTGACCTCGTGATCCACCTGCTTCAGCCTCCCAAAGTGCTGGGATTACAGGTGTGAACCACTGCACCCAGCCCTCTATTGCACTGTTATAATCACAGATCTTACTGTTGCAAAAGCTCTAAACCCAGAGGACATTGATGATATTTTGCTTTAAATGCTCAACTATCTTTTAAAATGATTACATTTGAGAACTTTTTTCTTAACATTTACTTTCATTTTAATCATTTTCAGTGATCTTAGTTTCTTTTTGATATATTCAAGTTACTATCTAGATACTAGATACTAACTTTCAAACGTTGTGCTTACCACATATTTCCTGGTAATTTCATTTTTGAAAGATGTTTTTACTGGATGTAGAAATCTGGGTTGGCGATTTCTCTATTTTAGTATTTTAAAGATGTTGCCTCATTGATAGTTATATTGCATATCTTCTGATGAGAAGTCTACTATAATTCTTATCTTTGTTCCTATATATATATATAATTTGTCTTTTTCTCTAGCTGCCTTCAAGAATTTTCTGTTTTTCTCCTTACAAGTTTGTAAATGTTATATATAGCTTCATTTTGGGGAAGTTTTTCTGTTTGGTATTTTTCTTTCCTTTGTGTTCTCTGAGCTTTATCTATCTGGGATTTAAGAAAATGTCATTATATTGGGGAAACCTTAATGCATTTTCTCTTCAAGAATTTTTCTTCTCCTTTGTTTCTTTCTTCTTCTGAAATTCCAATTATATGTATGTAAGACCATTTGATGGTTTTCCACAAAGTGTGAATGTTGCATTTTTAAAAATCTTTTTTCACTTTTTAAAATGTTTGTGTTTTAGTTTTGGTAATTTCTATTGACCTGTCATCAAAATGGATGATTTTTTTTCTTATTGAATCTTCTGATGAATTCATTGAAGTCTTTCTTCATCTCTGTTACCATTTTCCCCCCATTGATTCTTATTGTTCCTACCTATCTTCAGAAATGTGATATATTTTAAAGATTATCTAGCACTTTACTTGTGATTGAAGTACAGTGAAACTTTTTCCGGCATTCTACATCCTAGGCAGAAGTGAAAAGTCTTTTCAATTATTTTTTTTAATTAAGGTAAAATACACACAACATAAAATTTGCCATATTAATCATTTTTACATTTTCAATTATTTTTAACCTGGTTCTAATCGTAGTATGGATCCAATATTTGCAACTTTTCCTTTTTATTTTATACATGGGGTTATCATGGAAGAAATTTTAACATATTCTTGAAAACTATCATTTTTGGTTTTATAAATTATTAAAATAAGTAGATATACTACTGTGTCCTAATTTTTTTTTAGTTTTGAACTTATGATTTATTCACAATTTATTTGATAATTTCAATGGCACCATAATAAATGTCTTTTGCATATGATGTTTTGAGTTACTATCAGAGTGCATGGTAAATCTATAGTGAAAATGCAGAGGGCTAAAATGGTATGTGCTGTTATATAATAAAAACTGTATGTCAAATGATATGCATCATGTGATGAAAAGTTTGGGTTTTTTGAACGATATAGTACGCTATATATGTTTCGTTATTTGCATAATCAATAGAATCTGTCAATATTTGTCAAAGCCCAAATTTGTGCTTAAATAATGTGAAACATATATTCCTTATTTAAGACTTTATGTCCTTAGTAGCCTTTGAGTAGTGTCAAGAACAAAGTACATGCATATTGTAACTATTTTGGATATTCCAAGTAAATAACTGGATGTGGATAAAAGAAACTGAATTTCTCTATCCAGTGAATCCCACAAGCTGTTAATTCATACAGAAATTGGATTGTCCTTTTTTTGGTTCATGGCAGTATGGCAAGCTTGAATGTTTTAACACCTGCTCTGAGGAACTATATTTTTCTGCCTCAGGAAGAAAATGAAGTAGCTAGAAAATAATTTAAAAAAATGCTCATAATTAGCTGCTGGTGTTTATGGCTTTGTCTACATACATTATAGGATTATAAAGAGGACCAGATTTTCTTTATTAAAAATGATAATGACATATCTGAATGCTATGATACGCTTATCTATAGAGTTCTAATTTGTTATTTAGTATATTCCTCCAAGACACTTATGAGTTAGATACTAGTGTTATCCACATCTTACATAAAAGAGAATTGAGCATAGAGATATTATATTATTTGCCCATGGTCAGAGAGTTAATAAGAGGCCTTGTCAGATAAAAATCTAGCTTAGAATGTGAATTTCAGGCTCTTAATCATAGGCTGAACGGAGAATATGGAGCCTTAATTGTTTTTTAACTTTTATTTTAGGTTTGGGTGTACACGTGCAGGTTTGTTACACAGGTCAACTTGTGTCATGGGCATTTGTTATACAGATTATTTCATCACCCAGGTACTAAGCCTAGTACCCAACAGATATTTTTTCTGCTACCCTCTCTGCTTCCCCCTCCACCCTTAAGGAGACCCCAGTGTCTCTATTTCTCTTCTTTATGTTCATAAGTTCTAATCGTTTAGCTCCCACTTACAAGTGAGAACATGTGGTATTCAGCTTTCTGTTTCCTTGTTAATTTGCTATGGGCAATGGCCTCCAGCTCCATTCATGTTCCTGCAAAAATACATGACTTTGTTTCTATGGCTGCATAGTATTTCACGGTGTATATGTACTACACTTTCTTTATACAATCTGTCATTGATGGACATTTAGGTTGATTCCATGTCTTTGCTATTGTGAATAGTGCTGCAATGAACATTTATGTTTATGTCTATGGTAGAATGAATTCTATCCTTCTGGCTATATACCCAGTATTGGGATTGCGGGGTCAAATTGTAGTTTTGCTTTTAGCTCTTCAAGGAATCACCATACTGCTTTCTACAATGGTTGAACTAATTTACACTTCCCCAAACAGTGTATAACTGTTACCTTTTCCCTGCAACCTTGCCAGCATCTGTTATTTTTTGACTTTTTAATAACAGCTATTCTGACTGCTGTGAGATAGCATCTCATTGAGGTTTTGATTTGCAATTCTCTAATGATCAATGATGTTGGGCTTTTTCTCATATGCTTCTTGACCGCATGTATGTCTTCTTTAGAAAACGGTCCGGAACCTTAATTCTTCACTCCATTATATTTTAAATGAAAAATAAGATTTCTGTGTGTGTATTCATGTGTTTTTAAAATGTTTTTCCTTTTTAATTAAAAATATTATTGTGTTTATTTATATTTTAAACTTTTATTATGTATTTAAAGTATACAACATGATGTTTTGGTATATCCAGTGAAATTGTTACTACAGTCAAGAAAATTAGCATAGCCATCATCTCACATAGTTACTCTGTGTGTGTGTGTTTGGGGGAGGGGTGAGGGAGAACGTGATAAGAGCACTAAAATCAATTATCAGCAAGTTTCCACTATATGATACAATATTACTAACTATAGTTTTATCCTGTACATTTTCTGCCTAGGTTAATTCATCCTACATAACTATAGCTCTGTCTCATTTGACCTCATTTCCGCATTCCTCCCACCCTGCCTGTAACCACTGTTTCACTCTCTGGTTCTATGTTTTTAACTTGTAAAAGAAAATTTCCATACATAAGTGAGATTATTCAGGATTTCTCTTTCTGTGTCTGGCTTATGTTACAAGCATACTGTCCTCTAATTTCACCTAGGTTGTTGCAAAAGGCAGGTTTTTCTTTCTTATAAAGTCTGAATTATATCCCTTGTGTGTGTGTATGTGTTTCACAATTTTTAAAATCCATTTTTCCATCAGCAGATACTTAGGTTCTGTTTATGTGTTGGCTACTGTAAATACTACTGCAATGAATATGCAATCACAGTTACCTCTATGAAATGGTGATTTTATTTTCTTTGGACATATTTCCAGAAGAGGGATTGCTGGGTGGCAAGGTCGTTCTATTTTCACTTTTTTGAGGAACTTTGATACTATTTTCCATATGACTTCAGCAATCTTCATTCCCACTAGTAGTGCACAAGGGATCTCTTATATCCACACCCTTGCCAACACCTGCTATCTCTTGTCTTTTAGAGAATAGCAGTCCTAACAGATGTGAGGAGACACCTCATTGAGATTTGATTTGTATTTGCCTGATAATTAGTGATGTTGAGCACACTTTCATATACTTGTTGGCCATTTTAATGTTTTCTTTGGAAATATGTCTATCAGATTATTTGCCCGTGTTTTAATTCGGTTTTTTATCTTTTACTATTGATTTGTGTGAGTTCTTCATATATTTTAAATACAAACCCCTTATCAGACATGTCATTCACAAATATTTTCTTCCAAGACGTAGGCTGCCTTTTTATTTTGTAGATTATTTCCTTTGTTGTGCAAAAGCTTGTTAATGTGATGTAGTCCCATTTGTTTATTTTGCTTCTTTGTCTTTGCTTTTGGTGTCATATCCAAAATACTTATTGCCAAGGCCAATGATAAATAACTCTTCCTCTATTTTTTTTTCTAGGAGTTTTACAGTTTCAGGTCTGAAATTTAGGTCTTTAATTCATTTTGGGTTGATTTTTGTTTGTGGTGTGAAGTAAGGTTCTAACTTAAATTTTTGCTTGGGGGTTTCCAGTTATCCTAATACCATCTATTGAAAAGAATATCTTTTTCTCAATGTGACTTCTTGGTTGCCTTGTTAAAAACTTGTTATCTGTATATGTCTGGGTTTATTTCTGGGCTTCCAATTCTATTCCATTGACCTATATTTCTGTTTTCTTGCCAGTATCATACTGTTTTGATTACTATTGCTTTGTAATATAACTTGAAATCAGAAGTGTGATGATTCTAACTTTGTTATTTTTGTTTAATATTGCTTTATATATTCAGGGTCTTCTCTGGTTACATACAAATTTTAGAATTTTTTTTTTCATACTTCTTTAAAAAATGTCATTGTCATTGGAATTTTGCAAGCAAAATTCCAATTCTGTAATCTACATATTATATATATAATGTAATCTGTATATTGCTTGGAATAGTATGAATAGTTTAACAATATTTATCCTTCAAATCAATGGACACAGATATCTTTTTATTTATTTGAAAGAAAATATGGTATATATATGTGTGTGTGTGTATCTACATATACACACACAAACACACACACACACAATGGAACACTTACTATTCAACCTTAAAAAGGAAGGATATTCTGCCATCTGTGGCAGCTTGGATACACCCAGGGAATATTTTATGTTAGGAGAAATAAGCTATGCAAAGATTATGATCTCACTTATATGTGGAATCTAAAAATATTAAACTGATAGAAGTAGAGGGTAGAATGTTGGTTACCAGAGACTGGGTGTTGGGAGGCAGAAAGGGAATGGGATGTTGCTAGTCAAAGGGTATAAAGTTTCAGTTAGAAATGAGAAATAAATTTTGAAGCCTTTCATTAATGTTTTATAGGTGGTTTTTTCTTTTCTTTTTTTTTTTTTTTTTTTTGAGATGGAGTTTTGCTCTTCTTGCCCAAGCAGAAGTGCAATGGCGTGATCTCGGCTCACTGCAACCTCCGTCTCACAGGTTCAAGCAATTCTCCTGTCTCAGCCTCCCGAGTAGCTGGGTTTACAGGCACACACCACCATGACCGAATAATTTTTTGTATTTTTAGTAGAAACGGGGTTTCAACATGTTAGCCAGGCTGGTCTCGAACTCCACACCTCAGGTGATCTGCCTGCCTTGGCCTCGCAAAGTGCTGGGATTACAGGCGTGAGCCACTGTGCCAGGCCAATGTTTTGTAGTTTTCAGCATGAAGATTATATTTCTTTGGTTAAATGTATTCCTAAATATTTTATCTTCAATCCTATTGTAAATGAAGTTGTTTTTATTTCCTTTTTGGATATATTGGTATAAAGAAAAGCAACTGATTTTTGTATGTTGATTTTGTATCCTGCAAACTTACTTAATGCATTTGTTAGTTCTAAATTGTTTTTGGAAATTTTTAGAGCTTTCTCCATATGCAGTACATCAACTGCATAAAGAAAGAATTTTACTTCTTACTTTCTCATTTAGATGTCAGTACTATGTTGAATAGAAGTAATGAAAGTGAACATTTTTGCCTTGTACTAGATCTTAGAGGAAAAGTTTTCCATTTCTTCCCATTGATTACAAAGTTAGCTGTGGTTGTTAGCAAAAGAAAGTGTTGACCTTTGTCAAATGTTTTGAATTTTTTTTTCTTTAAGGCAGAGTCTCCCGCTGTCACCCAGGCTGGAGTGCAGTGGCACAATCTAGGGCCACTGCAACCTCCACCTCCCAGGTTCAAGCGATTCTATTGCCTCAGCCTCCTGAGTAGCTGGGATTATAGGCACTAGCTACCACACACAGCTAATTTTTGTATTTTTAGTAGAGTCGGGGTTTCACTGTGTTGGCCAGAGTGCTCTCCAATTCCTGACCTCAAGTGACCCGCTTGCCTCGGCCTCCCAAAGTTTTGGGATTACAGGCGAAAGCCACTGTGCCCAGCCCCAAAACATTTTATTTCTAATGGAAATTTAGTGTTGGGAGAAATGTACTTGGAGCTCAATACTAAAGAAATTATTACTATTTTTTCTAAAGCCATCTGTAACAATTTCACCAGGGTCAGGTATTTGGAAGCAGTCGCAAGACTTCTCAGGGGGTACTAATGATAGGCTTGAATCAAGGTAATAAATATAGTATAGCGGGAGAAAGAAAGCACAAGCAGTCATCAGGAGCTGAGAGACGTCCACAGCTCCACAGGATTCTTTCTCAGTTACACAGGACACACTTTGTCTCTGGAGTATAAACCACTAAGATGAGTGTGAGAAATTTTGGTTTCTCAAGAGCTTGAGCAGGATTTTTTAGTGAGGTCTTTTCTGCCCCATTGATTATGCAGCCAAGTGGGACTTTGTAACCGGTTAAATCAGGTCTCTGTCATCAATTTACAAGTTATAACTCTAAACAAGCTGGCCCTGGGGACTGTCTTAGGGTTTTAAACTTGAGGTTATAAATAGCATTTTATAAATTATTTGATAGCTCATTCTATCCTTATCCTAGACAAAATTCAATACCATGGCATTCTTGATGATAAGTACAGAACCTTCCCTATTAAGCTCTAGGATAATTCTATCTTACACACCATCAAAATGTACTTTCTATTACATGTGCTTTTATTTAAACTGGAGCAAATGTAATCAATGGCTTAATGCTCTATTTGTCTAAGGCATTAATAAGGAAAGTGATATCCTGAGAGACACTAATGAGGAAGATATTCCATTTAGTCAGCAACCTGAAACTTCAAATGGCATCTAGAACTTAATGAAAAGAGATACGTGTTTAGCTAAAAGATCTCCATGACTTAATTCAGTAAATAGTCACATCAGAAGTATTAATTCCTGATATTATGGGCGATAGAAATTCACCTCTGCAATTAGCTTTTATGGCTTCCTTAACACTATATGAAAATACACTCATGCCTTGCTTAAACATGGGGATACAGTCTGAGAAATGTATCATTTGATGATTTCATCGTTGTGTGAACATCGCAAAGTGTACTTACACATAGATGTTATAGCCTACTACACAGCTATGCCATCTGGCATAGCCTAGTGATCCTAGGCTACAGACCTGTACAGCATGTTACTGTGCTGAATATGTTAGGCAATTGTAACATAATGGTAAGTGTTAAAGTATCTAAATGTATCAAAACATAGATAAGATACAGTTAAAATATAGTGTGAAAGATGAAAATGGTACACCTGTGTAGGACACTTACCATGAATGGAGCTTACAGGACTACAAGTTGCTCTGGAGTCTGAGTGGTGAGTGAATGTGATGGCCTAGGACATTACTCTATACTACTGGAGACTTTATAAACATTGTACACTTAGGCTACACTCAATTTATTTGAAATAAAAATTAACTTTAACTTACTGTGACATTTTACTTTATAAACTTTTAATTTTTTAAACTTTTTGACTCTTTAATAATAATATCTGGCTTAAAACATAAACATAGTGTCCAGCTGTACCAAAATATTTTCTTTCTTTATATTCTATTTAATAACATTTTTCTATTTTTCCTTTTTTACTTTTCTTAATTTTTAAACTTTTTTGTTAAAAACAGAGACAATAACACATTAGCCTAGGCCTACACATGGTCAAAATTATCAACATCACTGTCTTTTACCTCCTCATCTTAACCTACTGGAAAGTCTTCAGAGGCAATAACATGCATGAAGCTGTCATCTCATGATAATAATGCCTTCTTCTGGAATGCCTCCGGAAAGACCTTCCTGATGCTGTTTTACAGTTAACTCTTTTTTATATATCTATAAGGAGTACACGCTAATGATAAAAGTATAAATAGTAAAT
Source organism: Homo sapiens (assembly GCF_000001405.40). Lineage (NCBI taxonomy): Eukaryota > Metazoa > Chordata > Mammalia > Primates > Hominidae > Homo > Homo sapiens. The sequence continues at coordinate 48,053,899 of NC_000014.9, read as the reverse complement.
ACATAAACCAGTAACTTAGTCTTGTATTATTATCATCAAGTATTATGTACTGTACATAATAATATGTGCTATACTTTTATATGACTGGCAGTGAAGTAGGTTTGTTTACACCAGCATCACCACAAACACAAGTAACATGTTGCACTGTAACGTTAAGATGGCTACATCACTAGGTGATAGGAATTTTTCAGCTCCATTATAATCTTATGGGACCAAGTTCATATGTGGAATCTGCCATTGACCAAAACGTGTTACGAAGCACATGACCAAGTGTAATATTATAAAAGCGCATTCATCATAGAACAGAAAGAAGAAGGTAAAGGAATTAGATGAGCATATTGTAAACTAAAACTAAAAATAAAATCTTAACCCCCTCCCCACTGACTGACTGGACCCCCTCTTGGTCATAAACATCCTTAAAATTGAGTTCCTGCCTATGACAGGACAGGGGGTCCTTCCTTTTCCAGTTTAGACACAAAAACTGTCAAGCATTCATGTTCAAACAGAGGCCGTAACAATGACAGAAGACACTCTTTGTGGCAGTAAGATGCCAAATTATAAAGAGGACCTGAGACCATGTCCAGGCAAGGGTTAATTCACACACTCCTAGACATAAATAAACTGTTTCAGCTGCTAGGAGGCTTTTCCTTTTCTGTAGTAGCTAAATAAGCACTGACCTCTAGATAAGCAATATTAAAACAATTACAACTTATGCAACTCACAGGTGTTAACTGAACCCCTGTTCCACCAGCCATAACTACAGCTTTGACTGCACAAGAGACTGATTTCAGTAGCTTTCTCCTGATAAGAAGACCTCCAACCACGGACTGCTTCTGGCCAGTTTACAGAGGCTGCACACCTATGTGCCTTCATGTCCTGAAAATACCTTCTTGGGCCTATTTGTAATGTATTTGAATGTTAAATCTCCACCCCAAGGTTAACGTGGGTCATACTTTACATGCATGTTTGTTCAATATGCATGTGTCAGGACCACCTTCATGAATATTCATAGCCTCTCCTATAACCTGTTGAATATGTATGTTGAACAAACTTTTTCAGTATAAAACTCTTACCCCAACCACTCCTCCTTTGAAGTGCCTGTCTCTGGTCTTTGCTGGAGGCTATGCTTCCCAACCTGCAGGATGGCTGGCTGCCTTGCAGACTGTAACCCTTTATGGAAAATAAAGCCCCCTCTTCTTTCCCAATTTATTTTTTAAGTTAACAATACACATCTAAAGCAGCTCAAATCCTGGATTATTTCATTGAAATCTGAATGGGGATGTTTGTGACAAAGCCTGCATTTTACATTTTTAATTCAATAATGGATGCAGCATATGTGAATTGACATAATTGCAAAACAGATAGTTGGAGGTAAGAAAAGAGTTTTCAAAGGTACAGCTAATGCTTCCTTCTTTGCATGGTGGAGAGAATGAGACAGTTCTAAATTCTGTTTATCTGAATTTGATATTTAGATAGGTAGAAGAATGAATTTTTAGGCAATTATTATTATTATTATTATTTTGAGACAGAGTCTTGCTCTGTTGCCCAGGTTGGAGTGCAGTGGTGCAATCTCAGGTCACTGCAACCTCTGCCTCCCAGGTTCAAGGAATTCTCCCGCCTCAGCCTCCCAAGTAGCTGTGATTACAGGCGCCCACCACCATGCTCTGCTAATTTTTGTATTTTTAGTAAAGATGGGGTTTCACCTTGTTGGCCAGTCTGGTCTCGAACTCCTGACCTCAGGTGATCTGCCTGCCTCAGCCTCCCAAAGTGCTGGGATTCAGGTGTGAGCCACCGAGCCCAGCCTCTTTTTTTGTTGTTGTTTAATGGTGATACATTACCATTCCAGCTAATTCACTCTAAGCTTTTTCATGGATAGCCCATTTGTTTGAGGGGTGTTTTTACATATAACGGCATAGATTACGTTATGATTTGTATGTTTGAATCCTACTTTATCAGAGGATTATCTTTATTGAATGATTTCTTAATAGACCTTATTTTTTTTTAACAGTTCTTTTAGGTTCACAGCAAATTGCACAGAAAGTACAGAGAGTTCCCATGTATCTCCTCCCACATATGCACTGCCTTCTCCATTATTAATATCCCACAACAGAGTAACACATTTGTTACAACTGGTGAACCTACATTGACATATTATTATCACCCAAACTTTTATGTTAGAGTTCACTCTTAGTGTGCATAACATGTTTCTACCATATTTCCACCATTATAGTATCATCATTACCCCAATTTGAATACGTCATTGAACCAAATTGAATAGTCTGACTCCCTAAAAATCCTCCATGTTCCACCTCTTTATCCCTCTCCTCCTTCCAGCCCCTAGCAACCAATGATCCTTTTTTTTTTTTAGATGGAATCTCGCTTTGTCGCCCAGGCTCACTGCAAGCTCCCTCTCCCGGGTTCCCGCCATTCTCCTGCCTCAGCCTCCTGAGTAGCTGGGACTACAGGCGCCTGCCACCACACCCAGCTAATTTTTTGTATTTTTAGTAGAGAAGGGGTTTCACGTGTTAGCCAGAATGGTCTCGATCTCCTGACCTCATGATCCGCCCGCCTTGGCCTCCCAAAGTGCTGGGATTACAGGCGTGAGCCACCACGCCTGGCCCAGTGATCCTTTTACCGTCTTCCTAGTTTTGCCTTTTCCAGAATATCTTATAGTTCTAATCATACAGTATGTAGCATTTTCAAATTGCCTTCCAATATAGTTTAGATACCTGTCCCCTCCAAATCTCATGTTAAAATGTGATCCCTAATGTCAAAGGTGGGGCCTGGTGGGAGGTGTTTGGGTCATGGGGTCAGATCCCTGAAGAATGGCTTGCTGCCCTCCCCGAAGTAATGAGTTCATGTGAGATCTCGTTATTTAAGAGCCTGGCATCTCTCTTGTCCTCATTTCTTGCTCCATCTCTTGCCATCCAACACACTTACTCCCTTTTCACCTCTCACCACAAGTAAAAGCTTCCAAAGTCCTGAGCAGAGGCAGATGCTGGTGCCATGCTTCTTGTACAGTCTGCAGAACTGCTAGTCAAATAAACTTTTCTTCATAAATTACCCAGTATCAGGTAATCCTTTTAGCCATGCAGAATGGACTAATACACTTTCTTTCACTTGGTAATATACATTTAAGTTTAATCCATCTTTTCATGGCTTGATAGCTCATTTGTTTTTAATGCTGAATAATATTCCGTTGTTTGGATGTACCATAATTTATTTATCTATTCACCTACTGAAGGGCATTTAGTTGCTAACATGTTTTGGCAATTATGAATAAAGCCTTTATAAATCTTTGTGTGTTTTTTTGCGTGTGGACGTAAGTTTTCAACTTATTTAGGTAAATAGGAAGAAATGCAATTGCTGGATGATATGATAAGAAGATACCTAGCTCTATAGGAAACTGCCAAACTTTCTTCCAAAGTGGCTGTGCCTATTTAAATTTCCAGTAGCAATGAATGAGAATGCGTGGTTCTCCACATCCCTGCCAACATTTTGTGTTGTCAGTGTTCTGAATATTGGCCATTGTAATAGGTGTGTGATGATATCTCATGTTGTTTTAATTTGCATTTCCCTAGTAACATACAATGTGGAGCATCATATCATATGCTTATTTGTCATCTGTATATCTTCTTTGATGAGGTGTCTGTTCAGATCTTTTTGCCCATTTTTAAATGAGTTGTTAGTTTTCTTAGTATTGAGTTTTAAGAGTTCTTTGTCTATTTTTGATAACAGTTTTTTATCAGATATCTTTTGCAAATATTTTCTGTGGAAATTACATTTTGTTTCACAAAGTTTATTTTTCCATGCCTATCTTATTTTTGACCTCCATGGTTTCTTTTTAGCTTCAAAAAAGCAATTTTTACATAAAAGGACACATTAAAACATACTTTTGTGAGGATGTATTATATATCAACTGTTTGACATATTTGCTTTAGTTTCCATGACATTCTTACATAAAATACATTTGTAAAATTACAAGTTTCCTAAATTAATATTCTAATACATTATTTGGCAATAAATGATATTGTAGGCATCTTTTGACTGTCATGACAGATTTCACGTATACACCTACTGAAGATCATTTTGGCAAATTTAGTTACATTTTTTAGGATAAAACTATAATTTCATTACTCTACTACTTCTTGAAAGCTATATTTAAACATAGTAATGTAAACGTGGTTTATTTAGTGACAAATTTAGAGACTGAATATTATCAAAAGTATATGCCTACTCTGGCATACAAAATATGCCCAATGTTAAAACTCAATGACATCATATTCTTTAGAATCTATAGTGCTCTTATCTCTAATAGTGTTTTGAAAATTGGTATCCTTGTTAGCTTGAATCCTCCAAGAAGCTGACATCAAGACAGGATTAATAAATTCTATGTTGAAATAGAATGATTTATAATTTCAATAATATTTAGCATATGGACTTTTAACAATAATGCACTGACAAGAATCTTATTTGAATTTCTTTTGAAGTTGAGGCTTATATTCTTAGAGAACTTTTGTTTCTTCCAGTGACCAAAAAGCATTTATGTCATCCTCTCATAGTTATTTTACCCATGCAGATGCCAACTCCTACAGAAGAAAATCATACTTTACTTCATAACAAACAGCAGGACTTCCTTCTCAGAATGCAGAAAATTTGTCATAAATACAAACCTGCCAAAGCATCATCAATAAAAAATCTATGCTGACTCTAATGCATCTCTTATGGATCAATGACCACTGTAGTAACATCCCTTCCTGTTATTTATATTCTAGTCTAGTGTAATCCTTTAAATGATTTGGTCTTTCTTGCTCTGTATCCAATTCCCACTTCCTCATCTCCTGGCTAAATCTTTCTTTATGTCTTTCAGAATTCCTACTGGAAATATTTTTTGAAGTTCTCTTTCTTCTCCATCTCTGAATTTTATTTCCATCTCTGAAATGCAAATGATGACCATCTTACACCACTTACCTGTACTGCTTTAAGTGCATCCTTTCACATCATATGTACATCAACGTCTTGATCCCAAAGTCATTCTAATTATATTATTTATCCATCCCCCACTCCACTGAGACTCTAGGTTATAAAATTATATTTGTCTTCTTATTTCTGATACATAGTTTCTTGCCATCTCTCATTATTTAAAAACTTCAGTCACTCAGTTGTAATCTTTTCTCTCTAACACAGTTTTTCTGTCATCATCCTAGATGTCTTCAAATTCCACACTGATGATGCACCCAATTTAACCTCTCATATCCTTGGACACTTTATTTTCAATGAAGTTATCCTTTCTTAAATCTTTCCACCTGTCAATATTCAAAACTTATCACCCACAGAATCAGTAAGTCAAACATCCCATTTTCTGAACAAAATCTCTAACACTTCAAATTTTCTTACTCGGAAACCCACCTGTCATTTTCTCCTTTATCTCCTGCTGTAACAGTCTCTTCCTACCTACCTTAAATTTCACTTTTTGTCAGTGTAATCACTTCTTTCAAAATTATTTTAAATCCTTTGCTCTTTGTCCTCAGAATTCCTGGAAAATTCAAAATTCATTTTCTTTTTGACTTAAAACAAATGATTGGAATTTCTTAGAGAAAACTAACACAAAAATGTAAATTAACACCATTTAAATTAATTATGTTTTTAAATTTTCTATATTTTATGTTTTTGACATCTAAAAGAACTTGCTATCAGTTGATAGACTGCCACTCCCAGGTCTAGCCAATTCCAGATGGCAAAAGGGTTGGCTAGGTAGGAGCATGTCTTTTATATGCAAACCAACCAATCCCAATCTTGTAGTCCAAACCACCTCCTTAACTCTCACACCCCAAGACTTTCCCTGCCCTAAATCACTGGCGGATTAGTTTCCAGTGGAGATCACCCCTACTGCCCATGGAAATTATTCAAGCCAGCCAATTCTTAACAGTTTACTTTGCCATGCTTTACCTTTCCCGCAGAAACCCCAATAAAGGATTTGGTGTAGGCTTCTCCCTTGCTCCTGCTTCTGGCTGACCAAACCTGGAATTTCCTTTGTGGTCCTATATGGCCTGGCATGTCTCCTTCTCTTGGGAAATGTGAGTAATAAAATCTTCTTTCAATGGCATTGACCTTTTTATTTTGGCACTAGGTTGCCTCCACCAATTAAAATCCCCCAGATATACTTTTAACACATCATTATAAATATTTAGTCAATATGCACAAAATATTAGTGTGACAAGCAAATCCTTCTATTTCCATATGGAAATTCTAGGTAACTAAAATGTTATTGTCTAAGAAAAAGCCACACTTGAACTTTAGTTGCATTTATCCCCGTGTATTTATATGTTGTAAAAATGTAAAGAAATTCACTGAAGAGTTCAAACATATCCTCAGTTCTACAAGGTAATCTGTCATTAGCTCACTCCCCCATCTCCCTGGAGCTATCAGACCAACCGTACTGTGTTCACTTTCTAACCATACACTGTGAAGGTGACCTTGTAATGCGCTTCATTTAGAAAATAAAAGTAATCCAGTTAAAACTTCTGCAATTTTGGCTTCAAATCAACACATTTACCTTAATCTCTACTTATCATTATTATTTCCTCCAATAAAAATGAAAAAAAAATGCCCGTCTCTAGTCTCGTATGTTACTTTTCTTCTGAATCTTAGCCCCTTGTTTTCTTTCAATAAGGTTAAACCTTTATCTATCTCTTGCTATCCTGTATCTTTAATCCTCTTACTTTGTACTGGATAACTTCCATCAGCATTTAAACATTCTCTGATATCTCTAGACTTAAGAATTATAGGCTTCCCTGTATATGACATACCCTTGCAGCTACTAAACTTGAAATCATTAATAACTTCCAATTTCCTAAAAGTATTGGACACTTTTTGGTCTTCATTAATTCTGTATTTTTATTAGACCTAATTGATTTGGTCATTTTCTCCTTATTGAAAGCTGAGATTTAAATTGTTTTTCTCTCATCATTATGGCTGCTGCCTAATTAGTCTCTCTTTCTGGCCTAATGTTAAAATATTGAAAGTCCCCCAGATCTGAATTTAGGTTTTTTTCTCTGTTCATTGTTGTATTCTAACTCTAGACACATTCATCACACACAACATTATCCCTAGGTTGTCAATTACCACATACGTCAGTCTTTCCAGGATTATAACTGAACTACAATTTTCTCTGAGATCCAATTCCTTATGTCTCTCTGTATAATCTCAGGAACAAAAAGTTCAATAAGTGAAAAAATCCTCTCCCCTAATCTACCACACATCACCAAGCTTTATCTTTCCTCACTGAAATTACTCTTCAGAACAGTTATTGAGGCAACAGAAGTTGAATCATACTTATTTTTCCTCTCTTTCTTTGTCAACTTTTTACATGAAATAAATTAACTTTTTCAAAATTTTCGTTTACTGAAGCATAACTTACATACTAAGATGTACATAGTTTAATTGTAAGGTTTGAATTTGATAAATTTATACTCCAATATAATTACCAATCCGATCAAGGCATACAATATTTCATCACGCCAAAAAGCTTCTTCATGCTCCTTTCCAATCAATTTGCTCTGACCAGAGATCAATTGCTGCCATTATATCCCAAGCCTACATCTATGTATCTAAGCATCTACCTATCTAGCTATTTAGCTATCTATGTATCTATATAATTTTAATTTTTTAAAGTAATTACTTTTCTAAGTAGGCTTCTCTTCTCTTCTGTAGCTCTTCTGAAATAATATTTATACCTGATGTCTGTGGAGTATCTTGAAACATATTCTGAAACTATCTTGAAATATATTCTGAAACTATCTTGCATACTGAGCTAAATACCCTCATGGAGACCTGCTTCTTCATCTTCCATGTCAATTTCTTGGTGACTTACTGTCATAGCTCTCTGCAAATCTTTCCTTCTTCATTGAGTGCTCTTGATTCATCAATTCTTACTAAGATTCACTCAATATCTGATTTTTTAGCTGTGCTAATTCTTCTCTGATAAGTTTAAGTCAGTGCTTCTGTTGGACCCTGATTGTCTGGAGGAGTTCATCAACTTCACAATCTGTAAGATCGCCCTGAACAACAAATATAGAATAGCTCCCAAGTGCAAGGTATTTGTTTCATGCTAATTCTGGACTTGTAAAGAGAAAATCCAGGACACTAAATCACGTCATTATCATCATCAACTATTTCTCTTGGATTTTGACATATCCAATATATTTTTTCAGTCTTTCATTTTATAGGAGCTTCAGATAGAAAGAATATATTTTATTAATTTCTAACTGTAAACCAGTGTTCTTTATAATTGCCTATTTATAATGGCCTTTCATTTATAAGATCAAGCCTGAGCCTCTGATCAAGACAGCGTCTGATACTCTAGATTTGAATAGGATTAGTTCAAATTCTAAACTTTCAAGGCATTGCTTATAACTCTCTACGGAAGTTTCTAACACAGGAAGAAATCTTAACTTCTGAAGAAATTTCAGTTGTTCAGCTTTCGCTAAAGTCTGTATGCTACCACAGAGGTCTTTTTACTAGGCCTCAATTCTGGTTGCTAGAAATCCTAGTGCAGCGTCAGGCTTAATTGATTCTAGGACTCAATGACATTATGTAAGACTTAGGTTCTTTCTTTCTTTTTGCTTGCTCATTCTTTGTGTGGCTTCATCCTCAGCGGATTGCAGGATGGCTGCAGCTGTTTCAAGCATTACATCCAGATACGCATAGGAAAAAGAAAGACCATCACTATCTGCACTCTCTCTAAGAAACAATTTATCTTTTTTTTTTTACACGGAAGTATTGCAATAATCTACTAACAAGTTTCTAACTGTATAATCCTGTCTTCTCTTCCAAATCAATAACTGTCACTGGAATAGCTAGAATTACATTGTTAACATGTAGATATATCTCTTTTTTTCTTTTTTTCTTTTTCTTTTTCTTTTTTTTTTTTTTTTTTTTTTGAGACGGAGTCTCCCTCTGTCGCCCAGGCTGGAGGGCAGTGGCGCGATCTCGGCTCACTGCAAGATCCTCCTCCCGGGTTCACGCCAATCTCCTGCCTCAGCCTCCCGAGTAGCCTGGACTACAGGCGCCCGCTACCACGCCCGGCTCATTTTTTGTATTTTTAGTAGAGACAGGGTTTCACCGTGTTAGCCAGGATGGTCTCGATCTCCTGACCTCGTGATCTGCCCGCCTCGGCCTTCCAAAGTGCTGGGATTACAGGCGTGAGCCACCGCGCCCGGCACATGTAGATATTTCAATCTTATTCAAATGCTTGTAGTGTAAATATCTTCCTGTTATGTGTTCCAAATTTTTAAAAAGTGTAAAGATAACTTTACAACATGCCTCCTGTCAATCACCCAGAGTCCTCAGAAACACCCTTTCCCCTTGATCACTGTTTCCAGGAGCCTAGTTTGTTTGCTTGGAAGCAAACTCCTTCCTGTTTTATTGTCTTCTTACATGCTAAGCTTAATTGCTGCAATATTCTTTTCTCCTTCCCCATAATATTTTTCTTCTAACTAGCAACTTTTTTCCATCAATTTTCAGGAAATTACCCCAGGTTAAGTCAGTCGTCTATATTTCATGCTCTCACTGTACACTCTGCTTTTGCTTTGAGGAACTTATTACAACTATAAATGGATAATTATTTTTATAATTTCTATCCTTTAAAAGTACCTCTGTTTCCTCACAGATTCTAAGCTTCTTGAGGGTAAATGCTATTTGTCTCTCTTGTTCTGCTGTGTTCTCAGAAAATCTGAGAACATACCTCACTGAAAATAGAAGTAACAACAGTCAACGGTAATTTATATTTTATATAGAAATAAAACATAACTTCTGTTTTTCCCATGTCCATTAATATTTTCTGTGTACCACACATCTCATACTCTTTCTACTTTTGCAACAGATTATTGGGATCCTATTTCACATGCAAATAAGTGAGCAACTGAGAAAACTAATGTACTTTCCTGCTTTTGCTAGCAAGATTGTTTTTATATTTCTCATTATTTTATCATTTGGATTAAAATTGTATTTCTTAAAACATTGAACACATATATTTTGTAATTTTCTCTTGATGCATGTATCATTTTTGTGCGAAAAAACACATATGATGAAACTTGAATCAATTGGGGATGAGATTCTTTCTGGTAAAATAATGGAATACCAGAGTTAAGGAGAACAAGTATTAGCAAAACAGCCATTGGATTGATGGTACATTGGGGCTTTGTGCAGATTATGAAAAAAAAAAAAGTCCAGTTGTAGGGTATGGGAATAATACAAGTATAATTAGAATGAAGATCAGACCAATAGATAGTGAAATGGCCACGGAGGGAGAAGAATAGTTTTAGAAATGAATTTTAGGGATGAAATAATTCTAGATGATAATAGGATGATAGGGTCTATTATTCTATCATAGATATGTAGACTGGAAGGAAATGAAGTTAATTGGCCAAATGGCCTATACATACACACATGCACATCTGTATACACAACATGTGTGTAACTTAAAGTGTATGTGTGTGTGTGCATGTGTGTATACAATATGAGATAGACTTAGAACATAAAAAAATGCCAGTTCCTTAAAAAAATATTGGTGATGGACCAACCGAACTATCTGGGGGCATTTGGAATTCTGTTCTACAGTTAGGGTAATATTCTCTTCCACAACTACCAAAGTGTTCATTGTATGTAAAAAGAACAACACTGGAAATCTCTCTTTTACCATTTAAAAATAAGAAAAAAATGTATACTTCAGGTTTTTTTGGGGATTTGTAGTTGAGAATACTACTTTTTTGTTAGAATACTCTTCCTCTACAGTGACATATTTCTCCAGAATGCATCAAGTGATTGAATTTGTATGTTTGAGTTGAATGGTCTTACCCCACTAATTGTCACTGTTCTGACCTTACTGTGTTACGATGTGAGCTGTCACCATAGCAGAAAATAAAATTGGAAAAATATATTGCACTTCAGAGGTCAGAGTAGAAAGGTTTGGGCTAGCAGAAAGTGAAGTTTACTAGGATCAGATTAAATAATATAAAAGGAGTATGGTAATAAGCATCTTTGTGATAATGAATCATCTGGGAAATCTGGGATTCTGGTTATAAAAAAGTAAACAGTAATGTGAAGAATCAGCCTTTTAAATCTCAAAGGTAAAAGTTTTTAATCAGTAAAAATGAAAGTCTCAGCTTTTAATACAAATTTTATTTATTTATTTGTTTGTTTTAAGGATGGGGTCTTGTCTTATTTTCTCACCCAGGCTGGAGTGCAGGGCAAGCTCATAGCTCACCGCAGTCTTGAACTCCTGGGCTCCAGCTTTCATAAACACTTCAGGTTTCAGATCACCTCTTGAGAGGGATGACTGTCCTTAAAATCTGGTGCTTTAAGTACTCAGGCATAATCAATGAGCTCTAATTAAACACATTTCTCACTTTTAAACTGGTGTCTTGTATCATTTTGATAAATAAACTGAAATTAAGTAGCTCCAATTATGAATCTCTCTCTATTCCTCTCTCTCTCTCTCCCTGTCACACACACACACACACACACACACACAAACACACCAGTTACCACTCTTACAATCTTAAACTTTTCCTTTTGCTGATGAACTATCATATATGTTTCTGTAAAAGTGGAATAGAAAGGGTTATAGCTGAAGAATTGTCACTAATACCATATTGAGCACATGGAAAGGGTTTTTTACTGTGGTTAGAAAATCAGATCTAGAGAACCAGATGTCATTGCTTCAAATTTTACCTCTGCTTCTTAGTAGCTACAAATTGGTTATCATACACAAAATTTCACTGATAGATTAAGGTTCCTCTTTTGTGAAATATTGATGTTATTTTCAAACCGTTTGTATTGTTGCTAGGGCTGAATGATAAAATGTGTAAAGCACCTTGAACAGTGCCTTGCATATGTTCATATTCAGTGGATATTAACTCTTGTTTCATTGTCCTTATATGCTGAAGAAAATTGAGATCTACTCTCATTATTCTCAATGACATGAAGGGAGGCTACATAAAAATTAGAGAGGTTAAAGTGTGAAGAAATTACTTCACCTATTTTCAGCTTGATTTTCATAGCTATACAAGGGACAGAGATAGATGATGCCTTCCAGTTCTAAGATTCTATTATTCCATAAATAAGTTTACCTACAAGTAAAATAAACAAGTCATATTAGACATATTTCTAATATGGATATTATCTATTATCCAGGATATGATACACTCACTCAAAACAAAACAAAACCCAACACAAAACTTAAGGCAAAACAGACACACATGTTATTTCCAGAATCATGTGGATAACTATTTCAATCATCATTTTTATCTTTTACAGGTATAATAAATACCATAGTATTATAGCAAGTTGTAACACTTGGGAAAATACAGAGTTTATTGATGTATTTCGCAGATATAAGAACACCTTACTTTTATAATTTGCATGTTAAGCAAGACCTGAGGCGTGCCTAAATCTTTCATCAACAATTAAGGTGAAGTAGGTTAATATTTTCCCAGTACTATTTTAGATTCCTTCTCTCCGAGCTATGTACTAACAGCCATTCATCAATATGCTTTTCTTTTTCTTTTTATATATAATAGATAAAAATTCAACACCAATTTGTCTGTAAGATGACTGTTATTGCCCTTAAGCTATGCCTCTGGTTTGCTTTTTTAAAGTTATTTTAAAATATATTCTTGGCAACATTTTCATTTCCCTGGGATATAGCTTAGGTATGCCTTTATTAAACATTAATGAGTCATAATCATACACACAAACACATACATATATATAATTTTAAATATGTGCTGTGGAAAAATCTAATACATGACTATTAAATAATAAATTTTAATAAATATATATTTTAAATAATAACTATTTGATAAATATAAGCAAATAAAGTAATTGTGTATCCATTTATACTATCTTTCATAAAGTAATTGAATTTTTCAGATTCCCTAAAGCAGTGCTTCTCACAGTTTTATAGATTGTGGCATGCAGAGAAAATCACTAAAATTCTTTATCCTGGCTGCAGGAATTGTCTACATGTGGTTTCTCTGCTCACCACAACCTACACACATGCACAACACTGGGGCTGTGTAAGGACAGAATCACCCAGCCTGGCACTGCCTCCATTCAGTGGCTAAGCAGTCCACCAGGAGATCTGGGCATTACCCTGGCATTTTGGTAGCCCCAAGCATGAGTGTGCAACACCAGGGGCCTAACAACTGGCCCAGAACACCTGCTACCAGTGCCTAAGTATGCTGAGTATGCTGTCAAGGAGCCTGGGGATCTTCACACCCAGCCACCACTGCTGGCATCTGTGAACTTCTCCTGGGTGCCTGAGGATGGGGCAACCAGGCTGCAACTACTACTATGGCCAGCATCTACCTGCGTGTACCAACTGGGACTCACTCACCCTCCCCATTTTAGCTGTAATTAACATAAGTGTGTGCCTCTTGGAAGCCCAAGGGTAATGCCACCACTGCCATTGTCTATGCCACACATGCTGCTATAGATTCCAAGGAATGATCAACCTACTTGGCCCACTGAAGCCACTGCCAGTAACCAAGTAAGCCACCTGGAGGCTCAAGAATTAGGGCACATAGACCTGCTAACACCAGTGATCACGTCTGATGTCCACTGGTTCAAAGACAGGAACACAGTCTACTGCAGGTACAACTGGGGCCCAAGGACTAGCCTACCTGGCATCCCCATCTCCAGCAAAGCCTCACCGCAGCTTCCACTAAGAACTGCAGCTTAAGTCACTGAGACATTTACAAACACTACTGATATTGTTTAAAGACAAAGAAATCATGCAGAGGCTACAGTTCTACACACACCAAAAATCAAAGCTAAAGTACCTTACCCAGCCAACACCATAGACATATCGACAGGAAAAAGTTTTCCCTTATAAAACCCAATCCAAAAAATTGGAAAAAAAGTGACTGTTACACCAAATGTGCTGATGTCAATGTAAGGACACAAGAAACATGAAAAAGCAAAAAAAAAATATAATACCACCAAAGGAACACAATAATTATTCAATAACAGATTCCAATAAAAATGTATAAAATGCCTGAAGAAAAAAATAATAATGTTAAGCTCAGAAAGATACAAGTGAACCTAGATAAAGAATGCAAATAAATCAGAAAAACAGTTCAGGATATAAATAAGAAATTCACCAAAGAGATAGATATTATTAAAAAGAAACAAACTGAATTGTAATTGAATAATTCCATGACTGAGATTTAAAAATACAATTGAGAGTTTCAACAATAAACTATATCAAGCAGAAGAAAAATCTCAGAATTTAAACATGTCTTTTGAAATAACCCAGCCATACCAAAATAAATAAATAAATAAATAAATAAATAAATAAAAAAGAGTAAAAAAGAAAAAAAACCTATGTGACATATGGGACAATATAAAGTGACCAAATATTCAAGATTTTCATGTTCTAGAAGGTGAGGAGAAGGTCAAAGGCATATAAAACCTATTTAATGAAATATTAGCAAAAAACTTTCCAAGTCTAGAATAGAGTTACGCATTCAGATACAGGAAGACCAAGAATCCTAAGTAGATATAATCCAAAAACTTCTCCAAGGCACATATATTAGTCAGGGTTTTCTAGAGAAACAGAATTAATGGAATATATATAGGAGAGTTTATTAAGTATTAATTCACATGATCACAAGGTCCTATAATAGGCCATCTGCAGGCTGAGGAACAAAAAGAGCCAGTCTGAGGTTCAAAACTGAAGAACTTGGAGTCCAATATGTGAAGGCAGGAAGCATCCAGCACAGGAGAAAGATATAGGCTGGGAGGTGAGGTCAGTCTCACTTTTCACATATTCCTGTCTGCTTATATTCTAGCAGCACTGGTAACTATGATTAGATTGTGCCCAACCATGTTAAGGGTGGGTGTGTCTTTCCCAGCCCACTGACTCAAATGTTACTCTCCCTTGGTAACACCCTTACAGATGCACCTAGGATCAATATTTTGTATCCTTCAATCCAATCAAGTTGACACTCAGTATTAACCATCACAGCACATTAGAGTAAAACTGTCAAGTCATAGAAAAAGAATTCTAAAATCAGCAAGAGAAAAATGTCTAGTCACATGTAAGATAATTTAATCAATCTAAAAGTAGATTTCTTAGCGGCAAAATTATAGGCTAGGGGAGAATGGAATGATATATCCAAAGTGCTGAAAGAAAAAAAAAACTGCCAGTCAAAAATACTATACCCAACAAAGTTATCCTTCACAAATGAAGGAGAAAAAGTTTTTCCCAGACCAGGAAAAAACGGAAGGATTTCACCCAATCGATCAGCCCTACCAGAAATACTTAAGGGAGTCCTACACCTGGAAGCAAAAGAAGGCTATCACTATCTACCATTATGAAAACACATAAAAGCATAAAACTTAGTAGTAGAACAAATACACAAATGAGGAAAAGACTAAAATGTTACCCCTACAGGAAACTCCAATGCAAACAATAAGAGAGAAAGATATGAACATGAGATACACGAAACAATCAGAAAACAATTAACAAAAAGATGAAAATAAGTCATCACATATCAATAATAACCTTGAGTGTAAATGAATTAAATTTTCCACTTAAAGATTAGACTGGCTGGATGGATTAAAAAAATATGAACTAACTCTGTGCTACCTACTAGAGGCTCCTATCACTTCTAAAAACACATATAGCCATAAAGTAAAGAGAAGTAAAAATATATTTCATTCAAAAGGAAACTGAAAGCAAGCAGAAATAGCTATACTTATGTTAGATAAACAGTCTGTAAGTAGAAAACAATAAATAGGCACAAAGATGGTCATTATATAATGATAAAAAGATTGATTTAGCAAAAGGATATAACAATTCTAAATATCTATGCACCCAAAACCAGAGCCACAAAATATATAAAGCAAATATTATTAGATCTAAAAGGAGATACACTCTTCATTAGAGTAATTGTTGGGGACTTTCATACCCCACCCTCAGCATTATACTGATTATCTAGATAAAAAGATCAACAAAGAAACATTGGATTTAAGCTGGACTTTAGACTAAACAGACCAAACAGACATTCACAAAATGTATCCAACAGGTGCAGAATACACATCGCTTTCATCGGCACAGTAAAAATTACCCAAAATAGCCCACATAATAAGGCACAAAACAAGTCTCATCAAAATTTTAAATACTGATTTCATATCAATTATCTTTTCAGACCACAATAGAATAAAACTAGAAATCAACAATAAATGGAACTTTGGAAACTGTACAAATACATGGAAATTACACAACATGCTCCTAAATAACCATTGGGTCAAGAAAGAAATAAAAAAATTTTTTGAAATGAATGAATATCAAAACACAACATGCCAAAACCCATGGAATTCAGTAAAGGTAGTAATAAAAGGGAGACTTATAGCAATAAACATCTACATCACAAAAGTAGAAAGATTCCAAATAAACTAATTGTTCATTTCAAGGAACTAGAAAAGCAGAACAAACCAAACCCAAAATTGGTAGAAGAAAACAAATAATAAAAATCAGAGCAGAACTAAAAAAAAAAAACATTTAGAATAAAAACCAATAAAACAGAAAGTTGGTTTGTTGAAAATATAAAGAAAATCAATAAACCACAAACTAGTCTAACAAAAAAAGAGAGAAGAAAAAAATAAACAAAACCAGATACAAACAAACTAAAAAAATGAGACATTACAATGAATAGTACAGAAATACAAAGATCATCAGAAACTCCTAGAGAAAAATGAATAAATTCCTAGACACATACAATCAATCAAATTTGAATCAGGAAGAAATAGAAAATTTGAAACGAGTAATAAGATTGAAGAGATTGAATCAAAAGTCTCCCAGTGAAGAAAATTAGGACTGAATAGCTTCACTGCTGAATTCCACCAAATTTTCAATGAAGAACTATGACCAATTATCCTCAAATAATTCCAAAAAAAATTGAAGAGGAGGGAATTCTCCCTAACAAATTCTGCACAATCAGCATTACCCTGATATCAGAACCAGACAAACACACACACACACACACACACACACACACACACACACACAAAACTATAGACCAATATCCCTGACAAACATAGAGGGGAAAATCCTCAACAAAATAACAAACCTAATCTAACAGCACATTAAAAAAAAAATACATCATGATCAAGTGAGAATTATCTTGGGAATGCAAGAATGGTTCAATATACACAAATCAATAATGTAATATGTTACATCAACAGAATGAAGAACTAAAACAATCTGATCATCATAATCGATGCAGAGAAAACATTTGATAAAATTTAGCATCCTTCATTTTAAAAACTCTCAACAAGCTAAGCATAGAAGGAGCATACTTCAGCATAATAAAGGCCCTATGTGACAAATCCACAGATAACATCACATTGTATGGAGAAAAGCTGAAAGCCAGGTGGGGGCGGGGCCAACTGGAAGCAGAGGTGATCAAGGCTCCCATAGAAAAGAACCAAAACAGCGTGGGAATCCTGCACAGGCAACTGAGGTATCCAAGTTCTGTCATCAGGACTGACTAGGCAGCTGGCATGACCCACAGAGAGGAAGGAAGAGCAGTGTGGTGCGGCAGCCCACCTGAGAGCCACACCCCCAGCAAAGGGAGGTAGTGACTGAACATACTACCCAGTCTGGGAAACTGTGCTTTTTCCACGGAAATGTGCAACCCATGGTTCGGAATATCCCACTCATGATCCTACCCCACCGGCGCCTTGGATCCCAGCCATGGAGCTGCACAGATTCTCAACAGCTACTTAGCTGGAATCTGCCTAAGCCTGCCAAGTTCCCGAGGGGAGGGGCAGCAAGCACTACTTCTGCTTGCTGTTTAAGCTGTCTCAGCTCCTTGTGGGAGGGGCGGCAGCCATCACTTACAGCTCCAGGGGCGTGCTTTTCCCCTGCTGGAGTCAGGGAGGTGAGACGCTTGGTCCTAAGAGGTATTCCCCACAGCCTAGCACACTGGCTGTGGCAGATGGCAGCCAGACTGCCTCTTCAGGACAGATCCTGAACCATCCCTCCTCATTGGGTGGGGCCTCCCTGCAGGAACTCCAACAACTCCAGCCAGGGCTCAGGGACAGAACTCTGATCTCCCTGGGCCTGAGCCCCTAGTGGGTGGGGGGCCCATAGTCTGCGAAGACTAGCAAACTCTTCCCTCCTGCTAGCTCTGAGGAATCTGCGCAGCACAGAAAAGTGCGTTTTCCCCCAGTTCAGCACTCCCCCCTCCACAAAGGAACAGGCAAAGTGCTTCATTAAACAGATTCTGCTTCCCGTGCCACCCAACTGGGTGAGACTCCCCAACAGGGGTCGTCAGACACCCAAAGAGGAGCATTCCTGCTGGCATCAGGTCGGTGCCCCTTGGGGTCAGAGATCCTAGAGGAAGGAACAGGCACCCATCTTTGCTGTTCTCCAGCCTCCTGGAGTGACATCCAGGCATGGGAAAGAATCAGATGAATAGGACATGAAGTGAACCCCCAGCAAACCACAGCAGCCTTGCAGAAGAGGGACCTGACTATTGAAAGAAAAACAAACAAACAGAAAGCAACAACGACAGCATCAACAAAAAAAGTTCCCACAGAAACCTCATTCAAGGGTCAACAGCCTCAAAGATCAAAACTAGATGAACTCATGAAGATGAGAAAGAATCAACAACAACAACAACAAAACTGAAAACCCAAAAGGCCAGAGTGCCTCTTCTCCTCCAAAAGATCACAACACCTCTCCAGCAATGGCACAGAATTGGATGGAGGATGAGATGGACAAATTGACAGAAGTAGGCTTCAGAAGACGGGTAATAACAAATTTCACTGAGGTAAAGGAGCATGTTTTAACCCAATGAAAAGAAGCTAAGATCGTGATAAAAGGTTACAGGAGCTGATAACTAGAATAACTCATTTAGACAGGAACATAAATGATCTGATGGAGCTGAGAAACAGTACAAGAACTTCGTGAAGCATACACAAGTATCAACAGCCAAATCGATCAAGTGGAAAAAAGAATATCAGAGTGAAGACTATCTTGCTGAAATAAGGCAGGCAGGCAAATTAGAGGAAAAAAGAATTAAAATAAATGAACAAAACATCCGAGAACTGTGGGACTATGTAAAAAGACAGAACTTATGACTGACTGGAGTACCCGAAAGAGATGGGGAGAATGGAACCAAGTTGGAAAACACAATTCATGATGTTATCCAAGAAACTTCCCAAACCTAGAAAGACAGTCCAACATTCAAATTCAGGAAATACAGAGAATACCACTAAGATACTCCAAAAGAAGATCAACCCCAAGACACATAATCATCAGATTCTCCAAGGTCAAAATGAACGAAGAAATGCTAAGGGTAGCCAGAGAGAAGGGCCAGGTCACCTATAAAGAGAAGACCATAAGACTAACAGCAGATCTCTCAGCAGGAACCCTATGAGCCATAATAGAGTGAGGGTCAATATTCAACATTCTTACAGAAAAGAATTTTCAACCAAGAATTTCATATTTGGCCAAACTAAGCTTCATAAGTGAAGGATAAATAATTTTTTTTTCAGACAAGCAAATGCTGAGGGAATTCATCATCACCGGGTCTGCCTTGCAAGAGCTCCTGAAGGAAGCACTAAATGTGGAAAGGAAAAACCGGTACCAGCCACTGCAAAAATACACCAAAATATCAAGACCAATGACATGATGAAGAAACTACATCAACTAGTATGCAAAATAACCAGCTAGCATCATGATGACAGGATCAAATATACACATAACAATATTAAACTTAAATGTAAATGGGCTAAATGCCACAATAAAAAGACACAGACAGGAAAATTGGAGTGTCAAGACCCATCAGTGTGCTATATTCAAGAGACCCGTCTTATATGCGAAGTCACATATAGGTGCAAAATAAAGGGATAGAGGTAAATTTACCAAACAAATGGACGACAGAAAAAAGCAGGGGTTGCAATCCTAGTCTCTGACAAAACAGACTTTAAACCAAAAAGATCCAAAAAGACAAAGAGGGGCATTACATAGTTGTAAAGGGTTCAATTCAACAAGAAGAGCCAACTTTCCTAAATATATGTGCACCCAATACAGGAGCACCCAGATTCATAAAACAAGTTCTTAGAGACCTACAGAGACTTAGACTCCCACACAATAATAGTGGGAGACTTTAACATCCCACTGTCAATATTAGACAGATCAATGAGACAGAAAATTAACACAAATATTCAGAACTTGAACTCAGCTCTGAATCAAGTGAATCTAATAGATACCTACAGAACTCAACACCCCAAATCAACAAAATACACATTCTTCTAAGTGCCAAATAACACTTACTCTAAAATTACCCACATAATTGGAAGTAAAGCACTCCTCAGCAAATGCAAAAGAACTGAAATCATAACAGTCTCTCAGATCACAGTGCATCAAATTACAACTCAAGATTAAGAAATTCTCTCAAAACCACAGAACTACATGGAAATTGAACAACCTGCTCCTGAGTGACTCCTGGGTAAATAACAAAATTAAGGCAGAAATCAAGACGTTCTTTGAAACCAAGAAGAACAAAGAGACAACATACCAAAATCTCTGGGATGCAGCTAAGGGCAGTGTTAAGAGGGAAATTTATACCACTAAATGCCCACATCAGAAAGCTAAAAAGATCTCAAATCAACATCTTAACATCACAATTAAAAGAACTAGAGGAGCAAGAGCAAACAAATCCAAAAGCTAGCAGAAGACAAGAAATAACTAAGATCAGAGCAGAACTGAAGGAAATAGAGACACACAAACCCTCTGAAAAACTAATGAACCTAGGAGGTTTATTGAAAAAATTAACAAAATAGATAGACCACTAGCTAGACTAATAAAGTAGAAAAGAGAGAAGAATCAAATGGACACAATAAAAATGATAAAGGGGTTATTATCACTGACCCCACAGAAATAAAATCTACCATCAGAGAATATTATAAACACCTCTATGCAAATAAACTAGGAAATATAGAAGAAATGGATAAATTCCTGGACACATACAGCCTCCCAAGACTAAACCAGGAAGAAGTTGAATCCCTGACTAGACCAATACTAGGTTCTGAAATTGAGGCTACCGACAAAAAAAGCCCAGGACCAGACAGATTCACAGCTGAATTCTACCAGAGAAACAAAGAGGAGCTGGTAGCACTCCTTATAAAAATATTCCAAACAAGTGAATAGAAGGGACTTCTCCCTAACTCATTTTATGAGGCCCGCATCATCCTGATACCAAAACCTGGCAGAGACACAACCAAAAAAGAAAACTTCAGGCCAATATCCCTGATGTACATCGACGAGAAAATCCTCAACAAAATACTGGCAAACTAAATCCAGCAACACATCCAAAAGCTTATCCACCACAAAAAAAGTCAGCTTTATACCAGGGTTGCAAGCTGGTTCAACATATACAAATCAATAAATGTAATCCACCACATAAAAAGAACCAATGACAAAAACCACATGACTATCTCAGTAGATGCAGAAAAGACATTCAATAAAATTCAACATCACTTCATGTTAAAAACTCTCAATAAACTAGGTATTGATGAAACATATCTCCAAATAATAAGAGCTATTTGTGACAAGCCTGCAATCAATATAATACTGAATGGTCGAAAGCTGGGAGCATTCCCTTTGGAAACTGGCACAAGACAAGGATGTCCTCTCTGTCCACTCCTATTCAACATTGTATTGGAAGTTCTGGCCAGGGGGTGCAGGCAAAAGAAAAAAAATAAAGTGTATTCAAGTAGGAAGAGAGGAAGTCAAATTGTTTCTGTTTCCAGATGACATGATCCTACATTTAGAAAACCCTATTGCCTCAGCCCCAAAACTCTTTAAGCTGATAAGCAACTCAGCAAAATCTCAGGATACAAAATCAATGAGCAAAAATCACAAGCATTCCTGTACACCAACAATAGACAAGCAGAGAGTCAAATCGTGAATGAACTCCCATTTGCAATTGCTACAAAGACAATAAACTACTTAGGAATACAGCTAACAAGGGATGTGAAGGACCTTCAAGGAGTACGACAAACCACTGCTCAAGAAAATAAGAGAAGACACAAACAAATGGATAAACATTCCATCCACATGGATAGGAAGAATCACTATTGTGAAAATGGCCATACTGGCCAAAGTAATTTATAGAGTCAATACTATTCCCATCAAGCTACCATTGACATTCTTCACAAAATTAGAAAAAAACTACTTTAAAATTCATGTGGAACCAAAAAAAAGAGCCCATATAGCCAAGACAATCCTAAGCAAAAAGAACAAAGCTGGAGGCATCATGCTACCTGACTTCAAACTATACTACAAGGCTACAGTAACAAAAACAGCATGGTACTGGTACCTAAACAGATATATAGACAAATGAAACAGAATGGAGACCTCAGAAATATCACCACACATCTACAATAATCTGATCTTCAATAAAACTGACAAAAACAAGCAATGGGGAAAGGATTCCCTATTTAATAAATAGTGCTGGGAAAACTGGCTAGCCATAGGCCATATGTTAAAACTGGACCCCTTCCTTAAACCTTATACAAAAATAAACTCATGATGGATTAAAGACTTAAACGTAAAACCCAAAACTATAAAAACAATAGAAGAAAACCTAGGCAATACCATTCAGGACATAGGCACGGGCAAAGATTTTATTATGAAATCGCCAAAAGCAATTAGAACAAAGCTAAAATTGACAAATGGAATCTAATTAAACTAAAAAGCAAAAGAAACTACTATCAGAGTGAACAGGCAATCTACAAAATGAGAGAATATGTTTGCTATTTACCCATCTGACGAAGGTCTAATATCCAGAATCTGCAAGGAACTTAAATAAATTTACAAGAAAAAAACAAACCCATCAAAAAGTGGGCAAAGGACGTGAACAGACACTTCTCAAAAGAAGACATTTATGCAGCCAACACGCATATTAAAAAAAAAAAAACCTCAACGTCACTGATCATTAAAGAAATGCAAATCAAAACCACAATAAGATATCATCTCATGCCAGTTCAGAATGGTGATTATTAAAAAGTCAAGAAACAACAGATGCCCATGAGGCTGTGGGGAAATAGGAACATTTTTACACTGTTGGAGGAAATGTAAATTAGTTCAACCATTGTGGAAGACAGTGTGGCAGTTCCTCAAGGATCTAGAAACAGAACTACCATTTGACCCAGTAAAGGACATGAACATAAAATACACAGAGAATGCCCAAATTTCCTATATATAAAGGATATGAATAGGTACCAAATACAATTGCTACGAAACTTCATACACATTAGACTGGCAATTATTTAAGTCTTACAATACAAAATTTTCACAAGTTGTAGAACAATGGGAATTTTAATACAATACTCTAGTAAGTATAAATTTGCATAACCACTTATGAGTGTAATTTAGAATGTAATAGTAAAATGAACATTTACATATCCCATGACTCAATAATCCTATTTTCATTTTGTAATCTAGAAGGAATTTTGCCCATGTGCCCAAGGAAACGAATATTCATTGTAGTAATCCATATTATAAAACCTTTGAAAAAATATAAATGTCCCTAATAAAAATGGTTAAAATTATACATATGTAGATATAGATATAATTAACAAATATAAAAGTTAAATATGGAGTGTAAATTAAGTAAAGCTACATGCATTAGCATACATAAATCTGAAAAACATTGTTTAAGGGAAAACAAATCATAGCCTGTTACAGAAGACCACTGTTTATATAATAAATTTTAAAATAATACCTAATGTTTGTGGATACGCCCATATGAAGTAAAAGGGTAAAACATGCACTGAGATGATTATTACCTATTTCATGAAAATAGTTGTACCTGGAAAAACTAAATTATGGCACAGATGAGGAAAATTGATGCAAACAAAAGGCACAATGGTGCCAGAGAAATCAATTTGGGGAGACATTTTTTTAAAGTAAATTTAAAATCATTTCCAACTCAGTAGTTATATACCAGATGATGGAGACTGTTGATTTGTTCCAATTAGCATAACATATCTGAAACACAGATGAAATTGGATTCATCACATAAGATTCAGTTTTCAATTGTCAGTACCATTCTCCACCATCATGTTTCTTTTGAGTATAAATATGGTAGCTAAGTATGGATGTAATAACAGTCACTACAGTTGTGAGCTTCAAGGCTTTAGTCGTGATCCCAGTCTCCCTGATTCTCTAACAAAACATGCCTTATCTTCAGAGTAATCCTTATAAGTAGAGAATGATCTAGAGGTTTCCACTTGAATCTTTTTAACCTGATAGCACTCTTGGAAATGAGTCATGGAAACAGGGTGAGTACCTCATTTATTTTAAATATTCACCAACTATAATGGTTACTAATAACTACAGGATGGGTTCATTGCCTCTTCTATCCCGCTGAAACCAACATGAGACAAGGTTGTATCACAACTATACTATCTAAATTTCATAAGCCCCCCTCTCATGAGTACATCACCATGGCAGTCTCTCTAAGCATCCCCTAAATTTTGCTTATTTCTTTTCTATTGCATAGTTACTCTGATAAAGAGCACAGCTCCCTTTGCAGATAAAAAGAAGAAACATTTACGGCATAGCAGGTATGATGTTAGTAAGGCCATTTCTCAATTGTAACTTGCCTCCCCTTCCTTCAAAGGGATCTTGATACCCTAAGAGCTCATGGCATTCTTTTGTCCAAATTGAAATCAGTAAACCTGTTACAGTGGTAACATCTCCCACCCTTATTTCCAGACTATAGAGGATGAACCTGCTTTCCTGTTATGGAAGATTCTGTCATGGACGCTTGTACTCTCTTTTCCAGTGTATTTTCTAGGGTTTATTAAAGAAAATTTTATCTCGGCTTTCCAGAGAAAACAGTTAAATCGCAGATAACAGAGTATTCATAGTAAATTCAGTGTAACATTCTCATGTTCAAAAGTTTGCACATGCATTTTTCAGTTGAGGCTTCCTAAGCCTTCCAACATTGTGGTGGCACACATAAAAAATGGTAATATTGGCTGTCATGCTGGACTTCCCGCCACCCTAAATCTCACCTTCACACTTTTACATTGTGGTCTGAGTGGATCAATATCACCACACCGTGGATTCTAATAGAAGAAAATGTGTTCTACACTAAATAACAACCAAATAAGTTTTTCCTCTCAAATTTATTCATTATAGGCCACCATGAGTGTAGGTTTGGCCAATCAGCCAAACATATAAGGAGACCACTCTTACCACATAGATTAATTAATAGTCTCTGGGAAGTACATCAGTAGTAATAAATTCAGTCTGAACTATGACTTTATGTCATCCTCTTTTGTCTAGTAAACTCTAAATTCATTTTCTGTATATACTCTTCAGCTTGAGAGTGACTGAAGTTAGTAAAATCTGTTTCTCCCCTTCAGAATTAATTATACTTCATAGTTTGTCCCTGGACCATGCACTGATCTGACTCCAAGTTATAGGTCTGTAATTAGCGATAGGTGGTAGTGGTGGGGCATTAAGGAAGTTGATATCGTCTTACAAGATTATTGACTTAGATGGTTGTTATATGGTCTTCCAGGAAGACAAGACTGGTATCCTCAGACAGGAGAGAAAAGGCCACCTTTGTCACTAATGGAAGCTCAAGGGAGTCTGGGAATATGGAATACCTTGAGGTTTTCCAATTCTTCCAAGCATCGTGGTTTTAGTTCTGTGGGTTCCAATGTTTCTTATTCATTTTCCACTTGTCACATAATGAAATAGAAGATGCTGAAAATTAAACTCCATGCAGACAGACACAAATTCTCCTAATTATAGTTTCAGTATCTCTAAAAGAAGTGATGAGTTACATTCCAGGAAATTAAAAGAAGAAAAAAAAACTCTCCATTGTTCTACAACCACGTTAAGCTAAAAGGTTAAAATCCTAGGGCCAGACCGGGTCCTATGGCTCACACCTGTAATCCCAGCACTTTGGGAGGCCGAGGCTGGCTAATCACCTGTCAGGAATTCAAGACTAGCTTGGCTAACATGGAGAGACCCCATCTCTACTAAAAACACAAAAATAAATAAATAAAAATTAGCCGGGTGTGGTGGCGTGCACCTGTAATCCTGGCTAGTTGGGAGGCTAAGGCAGGAGAATCACTTGAACCCAGGAGGTGGAGGTTGCAGTGAGCTGAGATCACACCACTGCACTCCAGCCTGAGCAACAGAGTGAGACTCTGTCTCAAAAAAAAAAAAAATCATGAAGCTAGTAATTTCCTCATATAATTTGTCCATTGTAGATAGCAGTGCGAACACCCCCACCGTGGCCCATTTTAATCCACCAATATGACAAGGTAGAGATGAGATATGCAAAATAAGCCCTCATCAGCTGATGTGAGCTGGCTTTCAGCACACCACTGAGTGATTTCCAAAACCACGCTGCTCAACTGGCAAGGTCAGAGAGCCATGATCAAGAACCTTAGGAATCATAAAGGTTCTGCCAAAGCTTCTGCTCCAAAAGCTTCCTGTCTCCACCTTGAAACATGCCAGCACAATGACTGCTTTGTGTTCAGCTTCTTTCCCACATCAGAACACTAGCTACACAGAAGTCAGGAAAACACAGTGTCAGCTGTTTTTGCTGCTTCGTTACAAGAAGTTATGCTTGAAAGGACTTAGAATGATGGTGGAACTAACCAACACAAATTATGTGTCACACCCATGTGACCCATATAGAAAATCAGACTGTTTTAAATAAGATATTACACAGTGAAGAAAAAAACTCTCTGTGCATGTTTCTGTAAGTATAGATTGAGCGTGTTGGAAAGTACTACAGAATATACACTGAATGTTAACTAAGGCTAACTGGCTTAAAAAGGCTCAAGGAGAGGAGAGAAGAGAGGAACTGTTTTAAAAAAGTAAAAAAAAAAAAAGAGAAAAGAAAACTAAATGCATTAACATGTGTGATACTATGTATACCTATTTATGTACACAAGGGACTAGAAAATATTGAGTTATGTCTCTATCTACTAACTTATACAGATATCCATTAAAAATGGGTAAGATTAAAAGGTAGGAAACTATATATAGTATAATTCCACTTAGGAAATAAATCAACAGCAAAACTCCCACTTAAGTGTATATAGGTTGAGTATCTTTGTATGAGCAATAGAGAAGGCATGGAAGGATAACTAGACCTTTATCATTAGTTGAATGGCATGTTTTATTCATACTACAATAATATATTGTTATAGTTTAAAATGATTAGATATAGATAACTTGAAATTCAAGTGTTTCTTTTATGGTATTCCATCTCCATGATCAACTGAACTACATAAATAAAAGTTATTAATTATTTTCAAAAATTAACATTGCTTGACTCTTTTGCAAATAAAATTTTAACAGTACACACATTTTTAAAAGAATCTCTTCTTTGAGCCACCATATAGAAGAAATAAATTATAAATTCTAGTAAGAAACAAATGTAAGAAATTGCATACAGAGTTTTGATTACGTAGGGAGTGAACATTATTGGGGTAAGAGAGGTCAACAGCTTCTATTTAAACGCATAAAATATGTTCAGCAAATGGCACAATTGTAAAAAAAAATAGTTGGTTTGTAGGAAAAAATAGTTACATCAAGGATCTTTTCTTTAACTTATTATTCATTGTATTACATTATATCTTCACTCTATTCAGTGTTGTAAGTATTGATGAGAATGTTTTATTCTGGAAGAATGTGATCCTGCTGAGATTTTTGAATAAGGAGATAAATAAAATGCTTATAACTGAAATATATCAGATCCTGGTTTCTATTATTTAGAGGAGATATAGTTGTTAACAAGGGAGTCCATTGTGTTCTTATGTGCCTTTCCTACCATGGTATGGGCAAGATGGCAACTTTTTCCCTAAACCCTTTCTTCTCACCTCTTTATTGCAGCTATTTGAAGTTCAAAGCCTTAGATATGCTGAAGAAAGGGTATATTATAATGAATATACTATATCCTAATGGGAAAACTTACGTGATCTTTAAATGTAGGAGTTATCCTAACCTCTATGGCATTGATTTAATGAATCCTGAAGTTTCACAATTCCAATAGTAATTGTATTAGTAATAAAATGTGTAATAGTAAGCACATTTTATAAGAAATATTTGGAACTTTTTAAGAATAGATGCCCATATCACATTCTCTTGTTTGATTTAAAATCTTTAACAAAACATATATATTTTTTATTCTCTTTTTATACTTTTAAACTGAATCTGACTCAATAGGAATGTTCTCTCTGTGATGCATCAAAATTTTGAGGTAAATATGTAATAATAACAAAAAGAATTGACAGGCATAATAATGATAAACATAAGTATTGTAACAGATTGTGTTTGGGAATAATAGAGGCAGGCATATGTCTTATAAATCTTGGGGAAATATATATACACACCATAGCTTATTATTTTTCAGCAAATAAGAAAAATAGCACGATCATGTAGAAAGCCCTTCTCCGAATGGTTTAAGACAGACATCAAAATGTCTTTTATTATAGCTCAGGGTACTTGAAAGCTCATGTAAAGAATTAAAATTATAAAACGTGCTCTGTTCATGGTCACATTTGTCAGGTGGAAAATAGCTACTTATGTATTTAAGCCTTCCTCTGTGAGGCAAAAGTAGATTATGAGGCTTTTTCATTTAAATGTGGTTAAAAGCTTTGTATTCCTTCATTTTCTTCTAGTGTTCTTGGAATCTTGTCTGTTTAAAGTGTATGTTTAGATTATATATGGATTTGGAGAATTTTCTGTCTTTCTTACCTACTTTGAATACATAGTTAGATTATGGATAGGGATAGGTAGGTAATTGGATGGATGGATAGATAGATAGGTGGATAGATAGATAGATGATAAGTAATCTGAGATTCCTTCACTCTCATATACATTAGCAAATTAGCCAATTATAAATAAAAGTTAGGGCCATAGCAGATATATTGAGAAAAATAAGCGCAATTCAAATTAAGGAAGTATTTTTCTATGTGAATAGAATTTTCTTCTTATGTGCTCATTTATGAGGTTTTGAGGGACCTCTTTCTTGCATACTATAAATAAAAGTTTAAATTATCTTCTGTCAGGGATATGCCAGACAGAGTTCCTGCCTTGACAGAAAAGATTGGACCAAATAACTTTTAAATTCCACACCTGCATCAAATTCTATGATTGGACCAAATAACTTTTAAATCCCACCCCTATATCAAATTCTATTATTATAACATATATGCAGATTAAGCTATCATTAATTCAAAATTTATTATTATAAGTTCCATGGACCAAAAATTATGTGAGTAATGCATGCAACATGGTGTGTTGCACATAACAACGCAGTGTTAGGCCACAGAAAAATAGCCCTAGATTCTAGACTTAGATCTTTAGATTTCCCTCCACCAACGATTCTATAAGCTTGGACAAATTTATTCAGTGTTAGGAAGCTAACTTTAACATATGCACACATATACACATACAGAGACACATATGCCAGCATGTCATATGTGTATATATGTATATATTTACTCTAGGTTAGCCTTGGTAGATTTGTTTGGAGAGCAAGCAAGAAAACCCCAAACTGAGACAATAGGCATATATGAATTACCCAGGATAAAAGGCTGGAGTGATAAAAGGTATAGAAAATTAGAAATATGGATCCAGGTAATAAATCCAGGGCAGCCCCAGCAGAATGTAGGCTGATAATGAGCAGCCCTTTCACTGAAGTGGTTTTCTCATGTTGCCCAACCAGGACTGTAATTGTTCTCCGCAATAGTTGCACCCAAATCGTCAGATGACGACAAGGAAGGAAGTGAAAGAGCATTCCTAAGGGTATGAAGTACTCAGTTTCTTGCCAAGTAACAGAAGCACTTTTAACTCTAAGGGTACATTTTGCCCTAATTACAATCCAGAAATTTCAGTAACCTTCTTTCTAGTGCCCAATATTTAATCAGAGATTTTGGTGTAATCTAAGACCCCAGTGGTCAATAACTGGAAAAGCCAGTAAGAAACAGCTTCATAACTTATAATTAATCTTCAAATGGAATTATCTTGCACATTGTTCATGTTATTTATTTAGAGGTGGGCATTTGCTACAGATGATAGGTGAGAGTTATCTTGACATTTGAAAAAACAGTAAATAAGGATATATGTAAATGGGTTAAATTCAAACTCCAGGTATGGTAAATAATATCTATATAACTGTTGATAAGTGTAATTAATGATTACTGAGTGTGTATAACGTGCTAAATCCTGGTCTATGTGTTTTAGATGGACATTTTAAAATATTAATCACATATGACATAGATAACATTATTTTCCTCGTCTTACAGATGAAAAAAATGAGATTTTGAGGAAACTCAGTAAGGTTATAAATGGCAGAGAGTTTTCTCAAAGGATGGATATCTAGTATCTAATATTAAGTTCATAATTTTAATGGATATATGAGTTAATAGACTCATAGTAATATACTTCATAAAATCAAAAATAAACTATGAAATATTAAAACTTCAATGTATTGCACAAACCACACAGGGAAATCATGCTTTATTCACTGAAAGTATGAATAATGTCGCAAAATGTTTGGCTGAGGAATAATACCAAAATATTTTAAAAGATATTTATTTTATTTGGCTTGCAACATTAAAATTTTATGGATTTCTTATGTAGTTCATTGTCCTTCAATTAAAAGCCACGTTTGCTAAATGCATAGAGACCTATGATTGATTGCTTACAATTCCTTTTCTGTTTCTGAAAAGAAGAGCATTTCCAGCATGTAAGATGACTTAGACTGAGGACGCTTAAAGATAGCAACAGTGCTATGTTATGTTCTTTTCATGGTGGGATGATAAAGCAAATTACTCATAGATGTGTTTCCTAACATTGAAATATTTTCAACTATTTAAAAACAATTTTAAACCTACAGAAAATTTGAAAGAACAATATAATTGACAACTGTGTACATCCTATCTAGACTCAGTAAATGTTAACATTTTGTTCATTCTCTTTCTCAATCTCTGTAAATAAATGCACACAACCAATACACACATATACGTCATCCATATGTGTGTGCCTTTTTGCTGAATTATTTAAAATAAGTCAAAAACACTATGGAGCATCTTCCCTTGATGCTTCAACATGTATTTCCCAAGAACAGAATACCACTCCACTTGATTATATGTTCTATACAATCAAATCATAAACAAAAATATTAACATTGGCATAACATTATCTAATATGCAATATATACAAAATTTTTCAGGTTCTCCCAAATATAGCTTATATATTTGAGAAAACTTTCTTTATATTCTCTAAATACATCATATATGTGTAACATATATGTTATATATATATATATATATATATATATATATATATGTATAATCTAATACATTGATGACATTGACATTTTTAAAAAATCTTGTCCAGGTATCTTGTAAAAGTCCCACAGTCTGGATTTGATTGACTTCTAATAATGAACTTCAGATTAAATCTTTTGACAGGAATGCCATTTATGTGACATATTATACTTGACATTATATTCCACAAGGAGATACACAATATCGGTTTGTCCCATGTTGATAATGTTAAACTAGATCATTTGGTTTAGGTGGTGCACATTTTCAATTTTGCAATTAACATATGAGTAACCCGTAGGTTATAGTTGAGACCATGTGAATATATTTGTCCTCCCAAACATTTCATTGAATAGTTTAAGAATCTATTGATTATCCTTACTGGTGTCTTACCAGTATCATTAGTTACATTGGTGGATATGAAATGGTGATTTTTTAATTCCCTTATTACTATACATTTATTGCTGGTATTCTTCTGAAAATAGAATTTCTCTCAACTTTAATTTTGAATATCGTTATGGACTCATGAATTATTCTCTTGTACTAAATTAATTAATTGCCATCTTTTTATATTTTAATGCTTTACTCATAGAAATTTGGCAGGTAGGAGCCCTTAGGAAGGTTCACTCGAACTTTTGACACGCCTCTGTCAGTTTTTGGAATATGCCCTTGCTTTTGCTCCTAAGATTATTTCAGACTCACCCTGCTCTTTCTTTGTCTTAGGACTGATATCAGCCATTTCTTCAAATCCCTGGTTCTTTTCAGTAGAAAGCTGAATTTAGAAAGAAAACATGGATGTTAGCTGTGGCTGTTGATATAATGGTGTTTATGCTGTTAGGTTTTTAGTTTCTTTAATGAAACAGGCTAGCACTACACACACACACACACACACACACACACACACTAACACACACCGAGAGAGAGAGAGAGGGAGAGAGAGAGAGAGAGAGAGAGAGAGTCATATGCTACATAACAAAGTGCCACTAAATATCCATCATTTAGTAAATGACGGACCACATATGGTTCCATGAAATTATAATACAATATTTTTACTGTACCTTTTCCAATTTTAGGTATGTTTAGATATACTAATACATACCATCGTGTTACAATTGCCTACAGTATTCAGTATAGTAACAAGCTGTACAGAAGCATGTTGTAGCCTAGGAGTAGGCTATACCACATAGCCATGGTGTGGAGTAGGCTATACCATCTGAGTTTGTGTAAGTACACATATACATATATTTATTCTTTAACTTTCTGAACAACTTTTCTTAGATATTTCCATTATACAAAGAATGGAGTCTGACTTTTCTTTTTTTGAGCCATTCTGAGACTCTCTTTCCTGATAGATGAGTAAAACCCATTTACATTAACAGAGAGGACTGAAATGTTTGCTCAAAACTTTACCATATTATTCATATTTGCTCATTCTTTTTTCGTGTGGTTCAATTTTTATGTTTGCATTGAAAGATTTTCTAGTTTTTTCCTAGTTGCTGTTTCTAATTCCTTTTTTTTTTCTTACTTTAGCTCCAACAATTTGGCTTGCCATATTCAAATGATACACTTTAGCTCCCACCTATTACCTAGTTGTGTTATTTTATTTTCTTCAGGATGTACAATACTTACATACTGTTTTTCATCTTTGTTCCCATTTTATGTTAGTCTTGAATCTCCAATCAAATATATTTAACTCTCACTAGCTGTTTTTTGTTGTTGTTAAAGTTTCCCAAGTTCTTTCTTTGTTGGGTGAAATTCATCCTATAAAATATTCTTCAAAAACGGCTCAAAAGTACAGTATTCTCTGATTTATTACATTAAACTTTTTTTATTTCTTTGTCATTGGGTAAGAGTCTAGCCTCATGTACATTGACTTACTTTTTATTTCAGCCACATATCCAATGCATAGTTGCTTGCAAACTCAGACTTACCTTGCACCAAGAATTTGGTTCCAAAGTGCAGACCATTCATACATTTTCATTTTCTCCTCCAGAGATTCCTTGATGCTTCATTCAACATGTAAGTACAGACCAGAAGGCAAAAGCTCATAGAAACGGCAATGGGAGTTGTGGATAGATATTTAAGCGTCCTTCCCTTCAAGCAGACACCTCTGGTGGGCACTCTGAAGACCCTTCAGGAAGTATGGTAAATTAGATCTCCACTGCTCATGGCAGTACCTCAGTAATGCACTCTTTGGCTTTACTGCTTCCCTAATTATTTTTCCTCTTTTCCACTCTGACTTCCTGGAGTCACATCCCAAATAATTTGAACTCCATTTAAGTTCTTATCTCAGGTTCTGCTTTCAGGAAAGCCCAAACTAAGTAAGTTTGTACAATAAATTATTAAAAGCAGTTTCTGTGATGGCATTCAAGAAATGAATCACTCACCAGTTACATAACAATAAGTGCCACCTCATTTGTTTTAAGTGATAAGCCCTAATGTATTGTAAAGGCATCTAAAGGTTCAGTCTGATGGACATGTTAAAATTACATTTTTTATTTGAGATAAAAGAGAATACACTTTCTTCATTAAGAAAATAAGGAGTGAACAAATGTGGCAGCATACTTGACGAGCTCTGGGGTGCTGTCTCCTAAACCCCAGGGTTGATAGAATGAGATGATGCCTTGGAACTGACCTCATTAGTACAATATGAGTTATAGAATTCTGGATTTAGAAAAGTACAGGCACTATACTGCTTACATTTCAGAGGCAAGGTGGATATAATTACTATCATAAGAAGAAAGGGTGAAATGGAAACTATTAATCCATTAATAAACTTTGTGGAGGATAGCTAGGTCACCAACAATGGATAACTTTAATTGTAGAACCAGGAAACAACAACAACAACAAAAAAACCCTAGTGAGTTCGAACATCCTCCTTTAGCTTGGAGAATTTTGATCGTCTGAAGCCTTCCTCTCTCAACTCATCAAAGTCATTCTCCGTCCAGCTTTGTTCCCTTGCTGGCAAGGAGCTGCATTCCTTTGGAGGAGAAGAAGCACTCTGATTTTTAGAATTTTCACTTTTTCTGCTCTGGTTTCTTACCATCTTTGTGGTTTTATCTACCTTTGGTCTTTGATGATGGTCATGTACAGATGGGGTTTTGGTGTGGATGACCTTTCTGTTTGTTAGTTTTGCCTCTTACAGTCAGGACCCTCAGCTGCAGGTCTGTTGCAGTTTGCTGGAGGTCCACTCCAGACCCTGTTTGCCTGGGTTTCACCAGCGGAGGCTGCAGAACAGCGAATATTGCAGAACAGCAAATGTTGCTGCCTGATAGTTCCTCTGGAAGCTTCGTCTCAGAGGGGCACCTGGCCATGTGAGGTGTTAGTCAGCCCCTACTGGAAGGTGTCTCCCAGTTAGGCTACTCGGGGGTCAGGGACCACTTGAGGAGGCAGTCTGACCATTCTGAGATCTCAAACTCTGTGCTGGGAGAACCACTACTCTCTTCAAAGCTGTCAGACGGGGGCATTTAAGTCTGCAGAAATTTCTGCTGCCAGCATCATCCTGATACCAAAGCCTGGCAGAGACACAACAAAAAAAGAGAAGTTTAGACCAATATTCCTGATGAACACTGATGCAAAAATCCTCAATAAAATACTGGCAAACCTAATCCAGCAGCACATCCAAAAGCTTATTCACCACGATCAAGTGGGCTTCATCCCTGGGATGCAAGGCTGGTTCAACATACACAAATCAATAAATGTAATCCATCATATAAACAGAACCAAAGACAAAAATCACATGATTATCTCAATAGATGCAGAAAAGGCCTTCGACAAAATTCAACAGCCCTTCATGCTAAAAACTCTCAATAAATTAGGTATTGATGGGATGTATCTCAAAATAATAAGAGCTATTTATGACAAACCCACAGCCAATATCATACTGAATAGGTAAAAACTGGAAGCATTCCCTTTGAAAACTGGCACAAGACAGGGATGCCCTCTCTCACCACTCCTATTCAACATAGTGTTGGAAGTTCTAGCCAGGGCAATCAGGCAAGAGAAAGAAATAAAGGGTATTCAATTAGAAAAGAGGAAGTCAAATTGTCCCTGTTTGCACATGACATGATTGTCTATCGAGAAAACCCCATCATCTCGGCCCCAAATCTCCTTAAGCTGATAAGCAACTTCCGCGAAGTCTCAGGATACAAAATCAATGTACAAAAATCACAAGTATTCCTATACACCAATAACAGACAAACAGAGAGCCAAATCATGAGTGAACTCCCATTCACAATTGCTTCAAAGAGCATAAAATACCTAGGAATCCAACTTAGAAGGGATGTGAAGGACCTCTCTAAGGAGAACTACAAACCACTGCCCAATGAAATAAAAGAGGACGCAAACAAATGGAAGAACATTCCATGCTCATGGATGGGAAGAATCAGTATCGTGAAAGTGGTCATACTGTCCAAATCTAATTTATAGATTCAATGCCGTTCCCATCAAGCTACCAATGACTTTCTCCACAGAATTGGAAAAAATTACTTTAAAGTTCATATGGAACCAAAAAAGAGCCCACATTGCCAAGACAATCCTAAGCCAAAAGAACAAAGCTGGAGGCATCATGCTACCTGACTTCAAACTGTACTACAAGGCTACAGTAAGCAAAACAGCAAGTTAATGGTACCAAAACAGCGATATAGACCAACGGAATAGAACAGAGCCCTCAGAAATAATACCACACATCTACAACCATCTGATCTTTGACAAACCTGACAAAAACAAGATATGGGGAAAAGATTCCCTATTTAATAAATGGTGCTGGGAAAACTGGCTAGCCATATGTAGAAAGCTGAAACTGGATCCCTTCCTTACACCTTATACAAAAATTAATTCAAGATGGATTAAACACTTAAATGTTAGACCTAAAACCATAAAAACCCTAGAAGAAAACCTAGGCAATACCATTCAGGACATAGGCATGGGCAAGGACTTCATGTCTAAAACACCAAAAGCAATGGCGACAAAAGCCAAAATTGACAAATGGGATCTAATTAAACTAAAGAGCTTCTGCACAGCAAAAGAAACTACCATCAGAGTGAACAGGCAACCTACAGAATGGGAGAAAATTTTTGCAATCTACCTATCTGACAAAGGGCTAATATCCACAATCTACAAAGAACTTAAACAAATTTACAAGAAAAAATCACACAACCCCATCAAAAATGGGTGAAGGATATGAACAGACACTTCTCAAAAGAAGACATTTATGCAGCCAAAAGACTCATGAAAAAATGCTCATCATCACTGGCCATCAGAGAAATGCAAAACAAAACCACAGTGAGATACCATCTCACACCAGGTAGAATGGCAATCATTAAAAGTCAGGAAACAACAAGTGCTAGAGAGGACGTGGAGAAATAGGAACACTTTTACACTGTTGGTTCGACTGTTAAATTAGTCCAACCATTGTGGAAGACAGTGTGGCGATTCCCCAAGGATCTAGAGCTAGAAATACCATTTGACCCAGCTATCCCATTACTGGGTATATACCTAAAGGATTATAAATCATGCTGCTATAAAGACACATGCACACGTATGTTTATTGCAGCACTATTCACAACAGCAAAGACTTGGAACCAACCCAAATGCCCATCAATGATAGACTGGATTAAGAAAATGTGGCACATATACACCATGGAATACTATGCGGCCATAAAAAATGATGAGTTAATGTCCTTTGTAGGGACATGGATGAAGCTGGAGACCATCATTCTCAGCAAACTATCCCAAGGATAGAAAACCAAACACCACATGTTCTCACTCATAGGTGGGAATTGAACAATGAGAACACTTGGACGCAGGAAGGGGAACATCACATACTGTGGCCTGTCGTGTGGTGGGGGGAGGGGGGAGGGATAGCACTAGGAGATATACCTAATGTAAATGATGAGTTAATGGGTGCAGCACACCAACATGGCACATGTATACATATGTAACAAAACTGCACGTTGTGCACATGTACCCTAGAACTTTTAAAGTATAATAATAATAAATAAAAAACCCGAGTGAGTGGAAGTTCCATCTAGTTTCCAACATTGGGCCAGTTCCGAGTCAGAGGCCATCAAATTAAAACAGAAATTTTAAAAAGAACTCTGTAATTCCACCACAAGTAAATATTCTCCCAACCCTTCTCCAAACGTACCTGGTGTCCTTATCAGACTAAACATATACTCTGGGGGAAGAGAGAATACCCAGATCTTCTGAAGGCCCTTGGGTACAACGTGCGAATAATTTCTACTACTAGATTATATGAAATGCTGCCATGACCCCCAAGTTAAGTTGGCACACTATGAAGTACATTTGATATATGTACTGTTGCCAAAATATGTCTCACAGATTCTCCAATGTATCTCTAGTCCCAACCTATGGTTATTTGTCTGAATTATGAGTACCAAATTGGCATGGTTATGCCTTGAAGTTAAGAGAATTCTGATTTTCGTTCCCTAATCTATATGAATCACACATTAAGAATAGTGAAATGGAAACTCCTGAAACTGCTTTCTCTTCCTAGCCAAGATAAGCTACAATACACGTAGGATGGCATTGCAGAGATTAGAGCCACATTTAAAATCTTACATACAAAGTGGTGATTCCCAACATATCTCTATTCATTTTACCTGCATGACCTGTGCAAAAATAGATGGATCATGATAGATTCAAATGGACTAGTATGATGTTAATTAAGTGGTAATTATTGTAGTACTGGATGTTATGCTGATTGTGATTTCTTAAGTGAAACAGATGAGCACAACTTCTGGCTCTTTTAATGTGGCCATCTGACCCATGTGAGAAAACATTCATCCAGCAGCCTAGATAACGTTTTAAGTACTTGGAATGAAAAGTGAGGCATCATCTCTTTAGAATATTAGTGAGGCAAAAAGAAAGTTTCCACATGACATATTTTGGCTAGATGAAACCAGCTTTGGATATTGAACCTAGATGGGAGAATGACAGAACACAGATATATGTGTGGCACCTATCTGGTTTATTGCCAAGATTCAATAAATAGGTTGAATGCTAAGCAAATAAAGTAAAAGCTATTATAAATAATATTAAAAATACAAATTGAAATTATGGAAAAATGTGACATTTTACGCATGTATATGAAAAGAAAACTAACCAAATAATGCTGTTGGATCAAAATCAGCCTACTTTTCAGCATGTATTAAAATCTCATACTATAATGAAAGCAAGCAGAGCCAAAAGGAAGTTGTAACACACAGTATAAATTAAGAAATTTGTCTCTGTGTTGAACATGCAGCCTTCTGTTCTACAAACAGCCATCATTCATTAAACAGTGAAGTACATCACCCTGCATGGGAAATGCAGCATTATTCATGAAGGATTCCCAAACCACGTGAACCGTCATTTTATACATAACCTTGTTAGTAAGGAAGTCCATTTATATTATCTGCTTGACTAAATTAGGCCAGACGCTTAGAGAGTAAGTTTGGTACATATCCAGAATCATAAGATAATCTTCTGAGCCCCAAAGAAAAAAAATAACAACTGTTTGCCAAAGAGTAACATCTGGGGTGTCTCATAAAACAATCCCCATAACAGTGAAAATGGG
The DNA here is from genome assembly GCF_000001405.40 of Homo sapiens. Lineage (NCBI taxonomy): Eukaryota > Metazoa > Chordata > Mammalia > Primates > Hominidae > Homo > Homo sapiens. Next base: position 48,014,928 of record NC_000014.9, on the reverse strand, counting down.
TACAACTTCCAATTTTCATCTTTTATATGTGCTAACTCTGCAAATACATGTGGCCTCACTTACTACTTCAAATAAAAGTACCAGAGCATCTGTTCAGGTAAATCTCACTTCCAGGAAAGATAAATGTGCTCCTTGGAGCCAGATTTTATGGTCTTTAAACAAATATAATTTCTGCTTTCTCTTATCAGCAGGATTTGAATATTTTGCTTGGCTAAGAAGTTCATTATAAGAATTGTTTCCTATAGAATTGTTTAATACTGATAATATAAGGCCTATCAAAGTGATATTTTTATTATCTATAAATAAATAGCTGTACTTTTGTAATGTTTTCCCACATGAACAAAGACAATTTGGGTAAGTTCAATTCTCCTCTATATGTTCTAATTGCTGTTCTTTTTGTTCCTCACTTAGGTTTTAACAACTCTCAGGTCTCTCCTTTCAATATAACCATATTTGCTTTCTTTTTTTCAACTTCATTGAGGTATAACTGACAAATAGAAATTGTATATATTTAAAGTATACAACTTGATCATTTAATATATGTATACATTGTGAAATGATCACTACAACCAAGCTAATTAACATATCCATCACTTTTCATAGTTCTTTCTTTCTTTTTCTTCTTTCTTTCTTCTTTATTTCTCTCCTCTTTCTCTCTTCTTTCTCCTTTCTTTCTTTCTTTCTTCCCTCCTTCTTTCCTTTCTTTCTTTCTTTCTTTCTTTCCTTCTTTCTTTCTTTCTCCTTTGTGGTGAGAACATTTAAGATCTGTTTTCTTAGCAAACTGCAAGTGATCAATACAGTATTTTTAACTGTAGTAGCCATGATGTACATTAGGTTTCCAGAACATATTTATCTTGCATAACTGAAGATTTTGACCGGCATCTCAGGATTTCCTCTTTCCTATCCTTGGCAGACACCCTTCTACTCTCTGCTTCTATACATTGAACTAGTTTAGATTACACGTATCCCTGAGATCAAGCAGGATTTGTCTTTCTGTGTATGGCTTATTTCACTTATCATAATGTCCTCCGGGTTTATCCATGTTGCAAAAGGCAGAATCTCCTTTTTTATGGCTAAGTAATATTCAATTACACACACACATATACACACACCCTACCTTTTGTTTATCCAGTTCATCTATTGATTAACATTTAGGTATTTGGGTTGTTTCGATATCAGGGCTACTGTGAATAATGCTTCAATGAGCATAAAAATGCACCTGTCTCTTTAAGATCCAGATTTAATTTCCTTTGGATATATACCCAGAAGTGGGATTGCTATATCATATGATAGTTTCATTTTTAATTTTTTGAGAAATCTCCAAACTGTTTTCCAAAATGTTTGTACCAATTTACATTTCCATGTACAGTGCTCAAGTGTTCCAGTTTCTCTGGGTCCCTTCTAACATTTGTTAGCCTTTGTCTTTTTTATTATAGTTACGCTAGATATGACACCAGAAGCACAAGCAACTGGTTATGTTACAAAAAATAGGCAAGTTGGATTGCATCAAACTAAAAACCTGCACAGCAAGAGAGACAATTAGCAGAATGAAAAGGCAATCCATGTAGTGGGAGAAAATATTGGCAAACTACATATTTGATAAAACATTAATATTCAAAATATACAAGGAATTCAAAATGCTCAATAGCAAGAAATACATATGGTAACCTTTACTTTTGTCACCATAAATCACACCATAGTAATGTGATTAAAAGCATCCTTCCAATAGCTCTGCTTATCAGTTACTAGACCTACTCACTACCAATGATCCTGTATCTACCCCCATCTTAACTGATATACACAGTAAGATCATATCATAACCATAGCACTTCAGACTTAATGAAGGTACTTCCTAGGATTCTTCAAAAATAGTTTTGATTATTATAGCTTATCTTATAGTTTATAAGTTTGTCACACCAAAACCCCAAATACCAAATACCCTGCAGATCTGAAGATATTTTCTAGCCATTTGTGTGAAATATAGGATAAAAAGAGCCCAAATTGAGAATATTAGTGACAGTTCGTTTGGTAGTTAATATCAAGCTCTGCATGTTAAATGGAGAAAAATATGAGTACACTGTTTTATATACCATTTTTAATTTTTTTGCTTCATTTTATATTCAGCTTTATAATATGCAGTCAAAACATTGTTTTATTTCTTTATTTCTTTTTTTTTTTTTTTTTTTGAGACAGGATCTCACCCTATGGTCCAGGCTGGAGTGCAGAGGCAGAATCTCAGCTCACTACAACCACCTCCTACCTAACTGAAGAGATCCTCCCATCTCAAGAGTCCTGACTGGCTGGAACTACAGGTGCTCGCCACTACACCTGGCTAATTTTTTAATTTTTTGTAAAGACGAAGTCTCACTATATTGTCCAGGCTGATCTCCAACTCCTGGGCTCAAGTGATCCTTCTGCTTCAGCCTCCAAAAGTGTTTGGATTACAGGAATGACCCACTCCATGTGGCCCAAAACACTGTTTTCTAATTTTACTTAGGTCACCTACTTTCTTCCCCATTCACTTCAATGTGACTGTGAATAATTTGTAATATGGTTAGACACATTTCTTGTAAGTCCACATCCTATCTGTTTTATTTTTACTGTTGTTTTTGTTATTGTTCACAAATACTAAAACTCACTCTTTGTAGTGTACAGTTTCACAGGTTTTGACAAATGTGCAGAATCGAGTATCATCATCATGGTCTCTTTGGTAACAGTCTCCATGATAAGGGCTATATCTTCATATATAACCTCATCTTCCACTCTTAACCTTTCTTCACTATTTTAAAGATATTTCATTACCTTTTTCTTCCATGCATGTTTCAGATGAGAAATTCTCTCATCCACATCTTAGCTTCTCTGTATAAAACATGTGCTTTATCTTCAGCTGCTTTAAGCTTTTCTTTTTGTCTCTGGTTTTGAGTAATCTGATTATGACATAATTAAATGACATAATCAAACAATTTTTGTCATATTTGTTTTGCTTGAGGCTTATTAAGGTTTTGGGATTATATGAGTTCATAATTTCCGTCACGTTTGGAAAAGATTAGCCATTATTATTCCATTTTTTTCGATATTCTGTCCTTCCCCACTCAGAGTCTACAATTACACATATAGTAGTCTGCTTGAAGCTGACCTAAAAGTAACTTGGTGGGGAAACCAGCCCCACACCACCCGGCGGGTACCCCGAGTCCGGCGGAGACAAAGGAGTTAGAAAGAGACAGAATAAGCATTTAAAAGGCAGGTCCAGGGGACCGGAGCTGGAGGCTTGCTCACGGCCCAGAGCTCTTCGGCTCCGCCTAATTTATTGGTTTACAAGCTCTTTGTTCTTAGGGCAGATGGGATGGGTAGGAAGGGATAAGGAAAAGGATTAATCAGTGAAGGAGAACTCGTGAGTCATTCAATAAGATGTATAGCAGTGGCGGTTTCTGTGAATTTCCTTGAGCAAAGACGTGTGTCTAAACTACTTACGATCTTTAACTTATCGGGACTGAAATAGGTGGGAGCGGGTTTCAGGAGGAGCCAAGATGTTTGATTTTACTCCACTGCTTCAAGGGAGTGTTATCTCCCTGAGCAACCTGTGGAATGCCTCTGAGCGGTTATGCTCTCAGGGCATAAAGACATGAAGGCAATAAGGAGACTTTTCTCCTCAGAGGCCGCCCATGGCTCCCCATGGGTGCCTCACACAGGGGAGACCAACTCGACTGGCACCCTCTTTCTCACATTACTGATGCTCTTTTTATTTCTTAAAAAAATTATCCTCTCTGTATTTCCTTTTGAATAGTTTTTATTGCTGTGTCCTCATGATCATTAATATTTTATTTTACAACGTCAAATATACCATTACCTCATTCAGAACTTTTTCTTCTCAAGTATCATAGTTTTCTTCTTTAGAAAACTAATTTTTTATATTTAAAAAATACCTTCCATAGCTCTACATTTTATTACGATTTTGATAACTGTTTAACAATTTTTGTTTCCTGGGGATTCAAACATCAATGTCAATTCTGGGTCTTGATTGATTGATTTATCTTCCCTTTATGGGTTCCTTTTTTGCCTTTTTGCAAGCCTGGTAATCTTTGAAGGAGTTCCGACATTGTGAATTTTATCTTGTTGCAAGACGAATAATTTTTTCTTCTTAAAATGTTTCTTGAGCTATGTTCTGAGTGCAATGAAGTCACTTGGACATGGTGTGCTCTTTGGGAGCTTGCCCTTATGCCTCGCTCTGTGGGTCTGGCGTTCTGCTTAGTCTAGAACTCATTCCTCCCCACGACTGAACCAAGATCATTCTGGACACTCTGTTCAATGTTCCCTAAATTATGAATTTTTTCAGGTTACCTGATGGGAGAAGACACTGTCCATGGCCTTGTTTGAGTGTTATTACCTTATTTTTTTAAATAGATTGTTTTTACCCTGGCTTTGGGTTCTTTTTCACATGCATGTTCTGATTAGAACTTTTCTGAATATTTTAGGAGGACCCTCTGTAAGTCTCCTGGACTCCTTCTCTGTTATGCTTTCCTCTTTCTGTTACTCTGTCCTGTGAATTTTAGCTGCCTAGGTCTCTCCAGACTCTTAGCCTTGTCCCTTCAATTTAGGAAATGTGCTGGACTCTGCAATGTGGCCTGGAACCTCCTTGAAAGCAGTAGATTGGGCAATCTCAGGGTTCACCTTATTTGTTTCCCAATTCTTTTCCTTCCTTGCCTAAGGTCCAGTGTTCTGAAAATATTACGTCTTTTTCGGCATTCTTTTGCTACTGTTGTTATTATTTCAGGCAGGGTGTATTCGGCCTCTATTACCCATTATGGGCCAAAAGAGGAATTTTCTGGCCACAATTTGAGATGAAAAATAAAAGAAGGAATTCACTTTGGACTAGCTAAGCTATCTCCTATGGTTTATTGCATGATAAATACAGGAAACTATGGTCTTTCCAGGAAGTTGGCCTCATGAAGAAAGGAACAGAAGCTCTTATGGGGCATTAAGCATATCCTCAGTTAATTATAGATGGCTAAGTTGTAAAGGCTTAAGAATTTTAAAAACTAGAGAATATTATTTCTACTTTCTTACTACTTTTCATGTGAAGGGCCCTTCATTAGAATAGCACTCGTTACCATTTTCCCCAGTTCTGTCTTCTCTTCAAGGCAGGAGTGATTATTTTTTTGATTGAACAGTTTAGGTGCCATAACTAAGCCTGTTTTCTCCCATCTTTTTTTCCTGCTAGCTCATCTTCAGAGCATACCCATACTTGTATCCTTCATGATGTAAGCTTTATATGGGAAGTCACTCTGTTCCTATATTTCACCTAAATCTTCACTTCACTGATGTATCATGAAAATCTCAGGAGCAAATTTCCTTAAAGGGAAACCAACCTACCAACTGAATCTCTATCAAATTCCACATTTGTCTCTTGACTTAATTTAATTCGTCTTTTTCCTCAATGTACTTTCAAAATTCATATAAGTAGAGAAACAATGTTCTGGGCAGGAAGGGTTGTGAACAAGAAAACCACGTGAGGAGGAAAAGAAAATTTAACTCAGTGTGTCTATTATTGGAGGATTTCAAACTCTTCCAAATGACTCTGGGGCACAGAAATAAGAGGAAGTACTTGTAATAGAAAGTTTACCAAATTTTAGAATAGAGACACATTTTAAAACTCGATTTTAATGTTTGTTTTGAGATTTTTGCATAATTCAGAGAGCACAGAGACACTGAATGAGTATAGTCATTTTTACAACAGGTAATAAGGAATTCTTACATCCAATACATGATTATCAAGAGAGCATTTTAAAAGCTGAGGTATAGAATACAGAAGCAGACAATGTTTGAAAATTCGCACAAGGATGGAGAAAGATGAGAGATTAGTTCCAAGACACTGTGCTGGTTTCAGATATATAAATTTAGTTATTAGCAAGAAGAACATTGTGACAAGAAGGACACTGTGACAAAGATAGTGGTGTTCACCAAATTTCCCCATTTCCTCCCTTACCTCTCCTAGCCTCCTTGACAATTAGATTGAGGTCTTGTGGCTAGTTCTGGCCAGTGAAACTTGAGTGGAAGGAATTTGACACTTCCTGGCTAAGGTGCTGAAAAACCCATGGGTAATTCCCCAGGTTTGTCTTTCCATTTTTAAGCAACAGAAGAAAGTACTTATTACATAATCACATGAATACACTGTGGCAGTGCCTCTGACTCCCTGGGAATGTGAGTGACTCTGTTTACCCAAGAACCACCTGACCCATATGGAACCTACAGTATGTGGGAGAATAAATTTATATAGTGTTGAGTCATTGATATTTTGGATATCTTTCTTACCAGCATAAATAGATTTATCCTGACACATAACAGATCACAAACCTAAGGGACAGAAGGTGCCACACAGATGACTAGCAAGAAGTGTGCATTGGAAACAAGACAAGAATAAAGCTAACAAAATTTGTATATAAGATCAGGGTTAAACTTATGCAATGTGTATGCAAGCTTTCTGCCTATTTCCTATCTACACTCTGTATAATTTTAATACAAATATTTAATTGAGGGTTAAGAAATCTAAATTGTGAGAATAGGAATATTTCATAAATCAATCTATCAGCAAAATATGGCCAATAAGAATGTTATATCAATATATAATAATATATTAATAATCAGAACATGTTTTTATAGTGTGTGATAAAAAAGGAAGGTCCATTTTCTAATGAATTTTGGAATAAACTCATTTTGTTTTTCTAAAACTTCAATGTACATTTTTTTTTAATTTAAGAAGATCAAATATTGCTTCTTCCAAAACTCACTTAATTTAACCTTCTGGACAATTTATGAGCATTTTCTTCTTGCAGGAAGACTTACAATGCTTCCAGCCCAAGCTATCCTAGAAAACCAGGGATAAAACACTATTTTTATTTGCTTTCTTAAACTGTAGTAGCATAGGATACTTATCTTGTCAGTTTTTTAATTTTTTCCAGGGGAAAATAATGAGTGGAATTCCGGAGTCTTAGTGAGCTCACTTTGATTAAAAGTAGCTTAGAAAAGTTACATTTTAACAACATTTAAGCAATACTTAAAGTTCTCTTTCAAATTTATTAATTACAAAATTAACCATTAATCAGTAGGAAAAAAATGTGGCAAGGGAAAATAGAAATCTTTTAATAATAAATATTACAGAATAGACATCACTAAGGCATTAGTTCTCATCTTAATTGCCTTAAAGAACACAGTAGATATTACATATGAAGGGAAATTTCCCTAGGATTAAAATAGCTGAAAGTAATAAACTTGGCTGAGTTTATATTTTCTATCATTATAAGAACATTGAAAAAAATAAAGACAATATTATTTCATCTTCTCCAGCTCCATCTTCACCTGGTATTCTCATTCCTTGCTAACTTCTTCTTAATAGTTAACTAAAAGTCTTACCTAAGTACAGAGAACTAATAGTCTGAACCATGATATTTGGCTTTCATTTTCTTCCCACTCTGACTCCCTGAAGCAAAATCTATGGGCTTCGCTATTGTTAAGGCAATCATCTGTCTAATACAGCTGCTGTGGAGGTCAATCCACAGGGCAAAGGACACAGGCCAATAGCACCAGTGTTTGCTGCCAAAGCCTTGAGAAGTGGTGATACTATTCGCCTGCTACATTACTTCCCATTGCCATTGTAGCTGATGCGACTGACAGCTCTACCAAACGGCAATCCTGGATTCTAACTGTTTTGTTTTTAACATCCTGTGAAATTGTAGATAAGTAATTTAGTTCATCTCTTAGGGGCTTTAGTTGGTCTACACATTATTATTGTACTCTCCTAACTACAGCACATAGTTGTGGGCTTATTTAATTAAGCAGGCAAATAATCTGAATAATATGCACTAATAATGCTGAATCCAAATTACTCTTCCCTGAACCCTGATCCCAACTTGTACCCCTCAATTATTTTTTCCTTTTAATCAGTTCTTTTCCAGAAGGTCACTGGTTTCTTTGTACACATAGAAGTACATGAACTGACCCTATTAAATTTTCAAATGTATCAGGCTTCCCTCTGGCTTTAATGACCACAGTTGGGGCATAAATTTGTTCATCTGTTATATCACACATTAAAAGTAGGTAATTATGTAAATAGATTGCAAAGAAAGAGATAAAAAACATCAAGACAGAGTTCCAAAACCATCTCTATTAAAATCTCCATATCAATATTTAAGTTTCTACCTAACATTTAGCCAAGCTGGAAAAATGGTTTGTTCTTTTATCAGTGGCATGCTTAACACTTTTGACACTTGAATGGATTTTGGTTTCTATACTCCTTCCTTTTCAATGACAAAATTGTCTTTAATAATAACCATGAAAGAATCAGAATAGTGATTACTCATTCCTTAGTTTCAAAAAAAGCAATTTAAAGAGATATTTTACTTTTGAAGATTATATTCCACTTTAGTAAAAGTTTCCATATAAACTAAAATTTGTGCATATCAAAAAAAATGTTATATCCATCAGTTTGCACTCAGTTTCAGTTTTTAATTTCAAATGGAAATAAGCTCTCTGTGTGATTGTATTGTATGACAGAATTAAAGTTAGTCTGCTTTCTTTGTTTTGAAAACCACTGTGCTATCTACCTAGACTGCTAATTACCTGGTTATCTCAGGAGTTTCTTTAGCTCATAGCCTGTGATTTGAGACTTCATTTGACAGTCATTCACCCTATAAGAAGGAGCTACTAATTAAACCTAAGGACACTTATAAGCTCTACAGGATCACTGTGTACTTACTCTTAAGTTATTTTGCAGGAGTGAGAACCTACCTGGTACACATTTGTGTACCTTGTGCCAACTGCTGCAAAACAAGTCCTTTCTTTGGAGAGTCATCTTTATGCCTATTTAGAAAACGTTTGAACTAAATAAAATCAGGATTTTTAATCTATCCTTCACATGCTGAAAATTTGCAACAATTATGCATTTTATACACATCAGACTAATATACATCAGAGTAAGAGTAATATGCATCAGACTCTCTTTTTCCTTTTAGTCTGACAATCGATTCTAACTCTATCTTAAGAGAATCACATTTTTACTGGAAATGTGATATGATTCAGGGCAGAAACTTCAAAATAGAACATTAACTTCTTTGGGCATGGGTTTATCTGACATACCAGAAGAAAGCCTTAGTCTAACCTAATGTGATTTTGGGTGCATGATAGGTTTTCAATAAATAAAACAGTCCATGAAAAAAGAATTTGAACTGAATCAGATAGGATTTAGAGCACACCAGGTACAGGCAACACTTGAACAAAGGCAAGAAGGAAGAAGAGCATGTTTGTGGAATCAGGAGTTCCAATTTTTCTGACTGTAACAATAATAGGTTTCTATTTGCTTTCATATAATCATGAAATTTTAATGTCTTTCTACTAGATCTAAAATCTTTATAATGGGACTTTTAATTGGACCCATCTTAAGCATATAGCTTTCATCAAAATATATGCATTTAGCTAGAAAATAAATTATTTTGAATTTGTCTGATCAAATGCTTTATAATGTTTTATAGTCTTATGAAATATTGTATTAGGGTGACATTATTATTTGTTTTATAGAAGAGAAAAATAGCATTAAAATATAGAGATTTATAAGTGTTATTCTATGTAAGTCTAGTTTGATTATTCTTATTGTTGTATATAATTCCGTTTAAGAACTGTTCATTAATACTTTGTTCTGTTCTGTTAATTAGCATATGGACAGTTTGGGGCAATTACAAATAGCACTGATATCAATACGTTTATACTTGGATCCTAGGGTACAATACTACAGAAGAATGGAATCAGTGGGTCTTTATGTAAACATGTTACAACTTAAAGTGTTTAGAAGGAAAATAAAAGAAAAAAAACCTTTTATATAGTTTCAAAACTGAGCCAGAAATTTATAGTAGGGAGTCAGTGTGTTGAAATTTTCATAATGATTTAAGAAAGTGAGGCTAAACGACTTTCCTAAGCTATACAACTAGCAACTGTCAAAGATAATACTCCATACTTTTTATCCCAAGTTCAGTGGTAAAACTGGGTCCAATTCTTCTTTAATCAATAAACTATTCATATGAATGAAAACAATATCTGATAAAATGAAAGCTGAAATTTACCTAAATATTCATAGTTGTCACTGAGCCAGTTACAATTCTTTTGAATCAATTTTCAACCTAAATAAAGAGGTACATTGCTTGGGAAAATAGTATTTTAAATATTAAATTAGTTCATTTATCTTTGTAATCATAGTTCATAGGATAGTAGCACACTTAAGAACAATAATGAGTCATTATATTGTAAAAAGCATTTCCCATCAATTATTTACCATGGGATAAAAATAAGCCTACTAGAAGATTGTTAAAGCTAATTTGCTTTTAACAAGTGCTATTTAGAGCCCCAAAGTTTATAAAATCACAGAGAAAAAGTAAGGATATTCTATTTACGACTGAATTACTGTATAGTGGAATATCAGAGAAAAATAAAGCACATTTTAGGTAGGTAAATCAATGAAATATAGACTTTTTAAAATCAGAGTATATCATTTCAGTAATACAATGTTTGGCTATCAAATCAGGTGACTTTATGAATTTCAAAGTTAATGCATTTTAATTTAAGATCAGAAAATAAAACACTGTGGATTCTGATCTGGAAAATACATATCATTAGCTTTTACATTTAAAAGTCATATTTTATTCCTACTCTTTGTCTTATTTTACTTTTGCAGAAAATTGGCTTTCTGGAGAGCTGGAAAGCTAACATAGATACATTGCTTAAGAAGGGTTGAGACCTGATGATGCTTTATCCCAAAGAGGAAATCTTTGGGATTTTATAGAGATGTTTGTAAACATCTCTATAAAAGGAAAAGTATAGAATTATAATTATTTATATACCCTTGGATAAGTACTTGAGGGATATAATCTAATTTTACCATGGATAGATATCTATAATGTCTTCCCACCAACCTGTAATCCACTCAAAATGCTATTTTGTTTTAAATTTTCAAGTGTCTTTTTTTTAATTTCTTAACTTTCCTCATAAAACATGCAGATTATAAATGCTTGCGAAATATTCACAAAGCTTATTAGGGGAGAAATATACATATGAATTTTAGTAGATGTAGGCATTTGACTCAAATTTAATCAAGTTTCTCCGCAATGTTCTGAAAATTTCCAAATTCTCATTACTAGTTTTCTTCCGTTCTTGCTCTCAATTAACCTTTATAGTTTTTCATATACAAAAACACTGCACTTTCTACTATTTGCATTTTTATCTTACTAATAACATTTTTCATCTTCATCTTTTGATTTCAAATTTACTTATTTTGTGATTACTATCACCTCATTATTTTAAAACCACTGTTATCTATAACTTCTTTTATGAAAGAAATAAAATTTACCTTATCATCGTTCGTTGTTTAACATCCTGTTGTACATAGTGACCCTGATTGGCTTTGTAAACATGCTTGTTACATCCAAATTCTTAGCCCATGATTCTGTAAATGTGTCCTGATGTCAATAGGTTAGTCTTTGATTTAAACAAACTGAAGAGTTTCACACCCAGTAATATGCATACAAAATTTAATTATTTTCCATTTAAATGTGACTATAAATATATAGACCAAAAATACAGTAGCATTCTACATAATGCTACTGTTTAATGGTGGCATTTAAAGAAGAATCATAGTACTAGCTAATTATTTGCGAGGAATTGTGCTAAGGTCTTTGATATAAAGATTACCTCATTTAGTCTTCACCAAAATGCCATGCCATAGGCTATATGATTATTTTCAATTTACAAATAAAGGGACTTTACATTATTTGTGTTTACTACCCCCACCCAGTTACTTCTCTAAATTTGTCTCATTCTACTCTCCTTCTCTTCTCTTGCCACCACCTTCACCCCTAGATTTCCCTCCACCCTCACCCTTCAAGCACCATACACAGTTCCTCACACTATCTAGGATGCTCCCACCACAGGGTCCTTGCACACTTGTTCTGTTATTTCACAATTTTAGAATCTAGAACAAAATTCACTACCCAAGTGTCTCTTATTGACTGGATATGTCCATCATTTCACAATTTGAGAAGGATATGCCATCATCAGCATATTATTTTCAAAATGCTATAAAGAGGATCTCAAGTTTATGTCCCTACAGGAAGAAAGGCATTTACCATCAAAAAGTCATGCAAAGAAGAAGTCTCAAACAGAATAGAGTCATGGTGTTTAAATAAGATTTTATTCTCTAATACTTGCTGGGACTTGAACTGATAAATTCAAATTTAATTTTACTATCTAGAGAATAGACTTCTTATTGGTATTTTGTTATAAAAAGAATAATTAAATTGACAAGGCAAATTATTGATCTACATATGACTTAGCTGTATTATAAACATTAAAATAATTTAAAAATGAACCAACAATGATATATTAGAAATCAATTATGTACAATTTGATTTAATATATTACTGAACCTATATTTTAAAGAAATCATTATTGTTTATATAATTCCTACATTATTTTTATAGCAAAATTAGATAGTAAAGAAACTCCTTTGTCAAAATCATGGAAGGTTTTTTTGTATAGTGTTTCACTGTTCTCTTCAAGGAAGTTTTAAAAAACAAGTTGGTTTATCCAGCGACAATTTTAGAAACAGTTCTACAGTTTTCTGTTGATTTCTTTTTAATTTTGTGAATTTCTCCTATGATTGACAGCCAACAGAATTTAATTTATTGGTTACTGTAATGACTGGTGCAGAAATGAAAATACATTTTCTTCTTGAGACACCATCTTATAATGGTAAAGGATGAAGAGCTCATTTGCTGTTATAACACAATAGCAAATTCTTACTTTCCTTAATGGTCTGTAAGATTTACATCTAATCTTATGTAAAATTATTTTATGGTCAAAACGTCTCATATTTGTTTTGAATGCTTGCTAAATAATTTCAGATTTCCTATTTTGTCTGAAAATCAACTAAATTTGATCTTTCAATCTCAAGCAGAAGTACCTTTAAAGTATATTAAGATCCATAGGTTGATCCTCTATTAAAATAACCTATTTATTTTTATGACACCATTTTCATTCTTGTGATGCGACAGAATTTTAATGTTTGAATTGGAGTTTCTTTTTTTCAGAATAATATCAAAATACAACCCTCTACTTCACAATCATCCTTTATAGAATTACTCAGAAAAGTGGAACTCTTATTCAAATAATATTGCTGAATCTTAAAACATCTCATAAATGCTCTATTGAAATTATTACCACAGCTATAAAATTATGCACAAGAAACAAAATTAATTTTCTATTTTATATTAAGGATACAACTTCCATTGTTCTTTTTATTTACTCCTTTCTTCCTACCGCTATATTATTTATCTTGATTCCATTCATATCATTCTTTCAGGACATTTCAGCCTCTGCCCTAAGTTACATTGTGAAGTTTTATGTATAAAATAGAATAACTGGAGAAAGTTAATAAATATATGGTAGTTCCGTGATAAATGTAGTTAGTGGGTAGCATGAATGTAAATAATAAGTAATATAATTAAATTTCCAGAAGTCAGTACTGCTTGTGTAGTCTATAGAAGGGGCAGTGCAATGTAGGGAATGAATCAATGCATTTATCTGAAATTATTTTTAATAACTTTCAAAATGTTATTTAGATGTAAAATTAGAAAACATAAGCTAAAGTGATCTGCAAAGTATAAAAGACAGTAGTTATCCAAGGTAACAGTGGTCAAAAGCTGGCAGTGAATCTGAGAACTACATATGCAAGTTGTGATCTCACTCTGAAATATTTTAGATGTCAGCAAAACTTTTACCTTTAAAGTTTAGCAGATTTTGAGGAAAACAAATGTAAAATAGCATTTAGATGATCAATACCCTACCACAGGGTCAGTCTCAAAATTTCAAAATTTAGAAATAACAGAAGAGTTTATTCAGAATTAAGAATTCAATAGACTTAATGAGACTAGGGAAACAAAGTTGACATGTCTGTTTGTAACATATGAACAATTTTTGCATCTTTGTAGGATTTTGATTTTTTGAAAGAATGGAATTTTAAAGTAATTTCCTTCTCATCTTGCTCAGTTTCTTCATTTTAGGAATTCTTTTCTCTTCAAAGAAAATGTTCTACCTTTCTAACAATTTTTTGCAATGGTTGCTTTCTTTTCCTCATCTTACATTTGCTGGCTATCATACCCCTTCTTGTTCTATTCCTGGCCAACTCAAACAATTCACATATTTTTTCAATTTGTCAAACTGACTTGTTATCTAAATATAATAGACAAATTTAAGAATGAGGAGATCCTTTTTGTTCCTGAGTTCCTGAATAAAATGAAAATCTATTCATCCGTTCCCTGCTCTCTAGCCTGATTGTAAGCAGATTTCAGAAGCACATTTTGCTTTGCTCTTACTTGCAAAACAGCCATGTAGATTCAACTTAGTTTTGGTTTAAGATATAAATAAAAATTAAGAAAAATAGACATATTTATGTTTCAACTTAGGTTTTTCCATGATCAGGTCAACTTTCCTGACTTCACCAGAATTTGTACACAATCTTCTCTCTGCTTCAGTAATGTTTTCTGCATAATAAGAGCTTGGTAATTACTCTAGTAAATTACATTATCTCATTATTTTCATTCTCATTAGTAGGCTTTGAGCTCCTTTAATACGGAGACTGTTTGACTCATCTCTGTGTCCCCAGTGCTTGACATGGTGCATGGCACATAGGGGATGTTCTACTCATGCTTAGTAATTATTAAGTAAATTAAAAATAGACATCTCTGAAAAGAAAATGTTTTATAGTTCATATATTTCTGATATAAATTAGATTAATACTGAGAATTAAACTGAAGGGAACTCATGAGGTATTATTTAACTTATTATGATAAAATTAGTCATGATGATTTGCAAATTCTGTATCAATGCATGTGTCTCATTAACTCCGCCATGCTATCTCTTAGGATGTACATGCACCAACATGTCAGTAATTACAATCCATTCCTAATGATGGCTGTAAATCTTGGCTTTAAACAAATAGACCACCACTTTCTAAAGTAGATACAAAAACTAAGGGGATGTTTCTTCACAAGTACAATTTTAGTAAAGAACGCGTTATTACAAATCAGTTTAACAAATAAGGACAGTTAATAAATCATATTTTGTTTTTGCGTTTTCAATGAGAAAAGGGTTCCAATTTCAAACAAACAAACAAAAAAAAACATTGTTAGAAGATTTTTATGTGAGCAGGATAGAGTCCCTCCCACAATCTCAAAATAGCAAATATTTTAAAAATGTATAAACACTGCATTTCTAGTGTTAGCAAGGCATTTCAAAGTCACAGAGCACATTAACGCAAGTTTTATCATATAAAAATAATATATATTTCTATCCTCACCACAGAAATAAGTATAAATAAGTATATTTATCTATAAAATTATGTTTCAGGAAATCACATAGAAAAAATGTGGTCTATGAATGAATAGATTTCAAAGGAAAATTAATGAAATATTATTATGACAAAAAGAAAAAACAGGGCTTGGACTATTTCCCAAACATTTAAAAAGAATAACAATAAATTAAAATTAAAATGAAAAGTAGGAAACTATTTCCTTCAAGTAGCAAACATCCATGAGCTAGCTATTTTAAAATAGTGATAAAACCTGAAAGGGTATTAATAGATACAAAACAGTTCATATCGTTACAGAGCTTTGTTTCCACTGAAAGAGAACACAGGCAAACACACAAAGATAATCTCATTACCGATATATAAGATATAATAAGATACTTGCTTATTATATGAGATAGAATAAGAAAATTAAAAAGGACTTTGAAATGCTTTGCTATCACTAGAAATATCGTATTTGTACAGTTATAGTGGACCTTTCACAGCCACCCAAAAACTGGTTACAAGGAGCTGACGAAAGATTCCTTGGAAATCAGAAGGCAACAGACAGCCCCCAAAACGTCATCTTTGAGCATTTGTTTAGTTCAGAGGGCACTGATGTCAGATCACCTTGACGTATCTATCAGGAATGAACTATGCTGCTCTCATACCTCTTACCTCTATATATGCTTCCATCTTCAAGAATTCACAAGTGGAAACACTAGATAAGGAAAAATTTAAAAATTAGCCATGCCATGCTCCCATCTAGAGTCTCAGGACCTATAAAGATCCCATATTGGGTGTTGAGAGAGGTCTCCTTAAATCAAGAAAGAACTTCTGATTAATACATGTGAGTAGACATTTTAATTTTTGAACTGAACATTTGTTTTTTAAATAGAAATAAAATGCAACCTTTATTATTTAAGAGTGATTATTGAGTCATGGACCTTGGGCATGAAAGAACAATTTACTGAAACCTAAAAGGAAAGTCAGAGACAAAAATAAAGTTACTTTCATAATATGTTACAGTTTATTAATATATACCACTATAGCTTTATTATTAAAATGCAAGAGAAAATGAATCACCTTAAATATTGAAATATAGAAAAAGATTAAAGTAAATTTTATCCCATAATATAGACATAATACCAATTTAGTCATCTCTAGAGAATTTGGAATTCTTATCATGTCTTAAGTTTTTAAATACATCTCTTTGTATACTACTATTATTCAATAACAATAAAGTTGAAAAACTACAATATTCAACAATCCAAATAGAGAATAAGAGGTTTTTCCACTTTAGCTTTCTCAAAATATATTCAAAATCAAAATGGAATGAGTAGTATATGTATTACTGAACCCTACTTTTAACATGTTTAAATATTTGTGACTTCTAAAGGGCAAGAAGGAGCAGGAAAAGTAAACTAAAGCAAGATAATGCCGAAAATAAATAGATGAGGTTAAGTCCAACCTATCATAAAAAATTATTCTCCATAAACATTAGAATTAACAATTTACAATAGCATATTTAATAGGAAAAAACACAAATAAATATCTAGTCTCCATGGAAAGAAATCTGATCACTTAAGAAGAATTGTCATTCACATACACTTGCAATGCCAAATAAATGTATGTTGAAGAGAAGAGGAGAAGTACTGAGGGCTAGTAATCAGGCACCAGTCTTCAGGACTCTTATTTCTAAACATGTAAACTGGAGAATGAAATGAAATAAGTGAGATATTAGTAGTAAATTCAATGATTCAATGACAGTGAAATGTATTTAAATAATATATATTTTTAAATTCACAATTTAATTGGCAGAGTTATCAAAGCATAAGGAATATAGAAATTGTTTAATAAGTTAATCCCAAGCTGACTTTATGCAAAAATACACAAACAAGTGAAAAAAAATTGAATCCTTTAATTATCTCCACACTCAATCCTTATATATAATGGTTATTTATAAAAATGGTATGGTATAATTTTAAATGATTTTTTGATTACTGGAAAATGTCAGTAGTTGAAATACCTGTAGTATATATGGCCTGATGGAAAAGCAATGCTCTAAGCAAAAGAGTATTTCCCCATGCTTCAGACAGTCACAGCATCACCCAGGCAGGCTTAGATAATCAGGGCCAGAAGAAAGAACGCCAACAATGGCAAAATTGAGATCAGTATTTCTAGTTTTATACCACAAAGCCAAATTCAGCCATGTAACTAAGCTACATAAATGTTAATGAGGAGAATGCTTCACTCTGATCCAATTTGTGGTATTTTACAGTCTCAGTCATATATGTTAATATGTACCATAAACAACAAACACCTCCGTAAGTGAGTAAAAGAGACAGGAACCAGTTTTTGTTGTTGTTGTTTTTGTTGTTTTTAGAATGCTGTAGGAGAGAAAGCTCAGTGGTAGAATTTACAGAATTTCCTCATGCTCTTGCCTGGTATGGTTTCTTCTTTCTGCATTTACTCTCTTATGACTTATTATAAATAAGTGGAATAACATAATTATTTACAAATGTTAGTGATATAACTGTGGGTGCAAATTCTATTTGTTAAAGCAACAACCTTCAGAGTTATCTATTTGAAAGATGGCAAAGTGAGCAGAATCAAATTTCTGAACGTAATGACAACGTCAGTGTAGCTTTATGAAACCATAACAAAGTAAGGAGAGACATCTGGTGAGTGTGCCATGCATGTAATGTATGGTTAGCTTCAGTGATTCTTCCGAGTTCTTCTTGTCCCATAATGTATGTGTGGCAGAGTGCCACTCAAACTAAGCGGAATCACTCAACTATCTTGAATGTAAAGTAAAGAATACAATGCTTCACTAGGCACGCTAGCTGCACATGAATTTTGATGCAGATGCCCAGTAAAAATGTTTCCGATAACTTAGGGTAGAAAACAACCTAAAGAATCAAGAAAGAGAGGTTTATTTCTAGAGAACATACAACTGTGTTTATAGTGCAATAGTTCCAAACACAAGCTGAGAATTCTTATTCCATTCTGTGAGTGCACCGGGGCTGACGGCTACAACGGGCATTGTAAGCAATAAAAAAAATAAAATGAGGAGTATGTATATATATGAACATAAACATGAATTATGCCTGTGCATATACATGTTTTTGTGCATGTTTTGAAATAGCATGAGCTTGTTTATTCAGTCCCTGAAGAGAAAAAAGGCACATTGTCTATATGTCAGTAAAATGCTATTATTTTTAAAATATTTACTTGATTATAACCTGTCATTTTTGCTAGCTCATGTTTTCCTACCTAATCAGTGGAATCGCACTTGAGAATTTTTGTGACACTGGTGAAACTGAATGCTTCTCAGCCCCCTCCCTCTGAATTTGTATTTCTCTCCAGAGCCTGGAATCTATTGAGCCTGCTGAGCCTGGTTGATAATAAGGTCTGGGACAGTACAGAGTTCCCAGTAGGAAGAGCTACTATAGCACTTTCTTCTCTCTAGGTCAGTAGATAATGGCCTAGAGATCATTCTACTACTAAGGATATATTTGGTAAAGATTAGAACACAGGGATTCCAGACAGTCGATCCTTTACAATCATTATCCTTTGTTGAAATTTGGCACCACCCAACATGAATGGGTCTAGTCTCACAGGCCACCAAGAACCTAAGGAAGGATGGAGAGACGGGGTTAGATCTTTGCTATTCCTGGACTGGCAAAGTTCTAGAAGACCACAGAGAGAGATGACTTCCTTTTGGTGCTTTCATGGAGGAATAGTAGCCTGCCCATAGATTCTCTTTATCTGAGGTCATCAACTAAACCTGAGCCCCAGCAAGGTGACAGAGGAAAATAACAATAGTTTTTGCAAAGCCAATCTACTGAAGAAAGAGAAGACAGAAGAAAACAAAGTATGCTCTAAAATAGGAAAGACAGAGGAAGCAAAAAACACCACAAATAAGAATAACAATATTCATAAAAATACAAATTGCAAAAATGTGTAGTTCCCAACTAAAACTGTGAGTCATATGAATGAGTTAACTGTCACTGTTGACATAAAATTACGGCCAGGAAGATCAAGGAGAAGAATATTTTCTTTTTTCCAGGGCGGGCAAAGTAGCTCATGCCTGTAATCCCAGCACTTTGGTAAGCCAAGGCAGGAAGATCACCTGAGGTCAGGAATTCAAGACCAGGCTGGCCAACATGGTGAAACCTCATCTCTACTAAAAAAAAAATATATATATATATATAAAAGCCAGGCATGGTGGCGAGCGCCTGTAATCCCAGCTACTCGGGAGGGTGAGACAGGAGAATCACTGGAACCCGGGAGGCTGAGGTTGCAGTGAGCTGAGATTGCACCACTGCACTCCAGCCTGGGCAACAGAGCAAGACTCCATCTCAAAAAAAAAAGAAAAAGAAAAGTTAATAAAATCTAAAATGCAATCAATATCATTTCAGAATATGAAAAATTGGCAAAAGGAAGAGGAGATATACTAATTAAATTTATTTATTTATTTATCTTTGTTTTTTTAGAGACAGGGTCTTTGTCACACAGGCTGGAGTGCAGCGATGAGATCATAGCTCACTGCGGCCGCCAATTCCTGGGCTCCAGTGATACTCCCACCTCACCCTCTCAAGTAGCTAGGACTACAGGCATGTGTTACCATATCCAGCTAATTTAAAAAAAATTAAAAAATGTAGAGACAGAGTCTTGCTATGTTGCCTTGACTGATCTTGCACTCCTGGCTTCAAGCCATCTTGCCTTAGTTTCCCATGGCACTGGAGTTACAGGCATGAATCACAGAACCCAAGCATTAAATTTATTTTAAAACATTTCTGAGATGAAGAAACATACAATTCAGAAGATTGAAAGGTTGTGTTAAATTTTTGAAAGGTTTTAAGTAGACATAGACATATGGACACATAATCTACAAACATTCCTGAATATTTGAATAAAGAAAACTTCTACAAGACTCCAGAAAGAAAGGAAAATTAACATACTGAGGAAAAATATCACAACTGTATCTCACATTTCATCTTCTACGCTAGAAACTAGAAGATGGTGGAATAACATTTACTAGTTACCGTGAGCATTAAGTTATTCAACAATCCTATAATTAGCAAAGATGGCATTCATTCATCAGGGCAAAGAGAATCACTGGGACTTACAAAATTTTGGGTTGTATTACCAACGATCTGTACATAAGAAAATTCTCAAGGAAGAAATATAATGAAACAAGAAATGAATGAGAAAAATTATCCAAAGAAAAGAGGAGCTGAAAGGTAGAGAGAAGATCTTAGACTGTTCAATGTACATAACTAAATGCTGGTTATAAAAATGCTGCCATGGAAACTCCAATAATAATAAGAAAATAAGCACACAATGATTTCTCATCTGAACTTAGCCTGTGTGTGCTTGGTGCTGGGGAAGGAGGTAATGTTTCACTGTTTTCATGAAAGAAGGGTAGGGGTGAAGAAGTATGGGTTACAAAAAATGAAGAAGTGAAACTAATCTAGAAAACTTAATAATACCTGTGGATTGTAATTGAGGTGGGTGCAGAAAGCAGAGGAAAGGAGAAATCCTTGGTCAGGAAATAATTGGTATCTTTTGACATACAGTAATAGAGAACTAAGCAGTTTTAAAAAGGTTACTAGCAAAGAAAATACAAACTAAATAAGGAAAGAATAGAGAAATTATAATAGAAAATTCAACTTTGAAATGATAAAAAGTATAATGAATAGCAAGTGGATCAGACAAAATAAAATAAATGCAAGAGGAACAACAAAATAAAATAAATAACAGCTAAAAGAAAAGGAATAAAATATACCAAATAGATATTCACAATAAATTTGAGCTAGTAGAAAACCATTTAACAACAAAATAATATATAACATCCATTTCTATTTTGTTATCAATGAAGCATCAAAAGTAAAGCAATAAAGAAAGGTTGAAAATTAAGAGATGATCATAAATATAGCAAACAAACAAAGTTCTAACAAAATCAAGTTATACTGGAAAGGTTAACATCTTAAAAGGGAAAACTAATTAAAACACACTGGAAAGAACTTTACGTAATGAAAACATGAACACTTTTGAAGTTTAACATTAGGATAGATAATAAATAGGTAATAAGACAAATAAAACAAAAGTAAACTTTATAATAATATAGTAGGACTATTTGATACCACTGTGGAATGTAACAAATCTAGTAGATAAAAAGCAGGACATACCAGATTTGAATGATAAACAAACATTACTTTTCATTTATATATAAAATGTAAATCACCAAAACACCGAATATGCATTTTTCTAAGTCCAGGTAGCATTTACAAAACTCAAATATGAATTCATCCTCAAATAGGTTCTTAACAAAATGAAACCTAAAAAAAGCCTCATTCTCTGGTCCTAATCTAATACAGTGAGGAAAACAATAAGAAATATGATAAATATATTTTATATCTTGAATATTAAGAAATATATATGCAATAAACAATATATCAAGAAAAAAGGAATTTAAAATATCTAGAAAGTAGAAGAAATATTTCAAATGATCACCTCTAAATCATAGTAAACTGTATTATTATTTAATATTAATAGAAAAATACATAAGAATCTATATAGACTCAAAAATTTAATACTAATACCAAATAAATTAAGCAAAAATATAATATAGAACAATATCACTTGCAAATATAGATGCAAAATTTTAAATATAATAACAAAATGCTACACTTTATCAAATGTAATCTTTTATTTCTAGGTAGAATTTATTTCAGGAATGCAGACCATTTAAATATCAGGTAATCTGACAAACTACTACATAATAAATTAGAAGAAACCAAAAATAAAATAATATCATTGGTTGATGTAAATATAGTTGGTAAATGTTAACATGCATTTCAAATAAAAATACTGAATTTTATAGAAATATTATAAAATATATAAGTAAAATAAAAAGCAATTCTAAATCCCATTAAGAACCATACCAGTAATGGTGAGGGACTAAAAAAATGTAAATTAATATTAAATGAATAAAGATGCCCTTTATCGTTACCATTACTTACTGATTTTATTTAGCAAATAAAATATCAATAGGAAAATAAATACTAGAAATTTTAGAAAATAGTTAAAACTGTACTTTTGTTGCTACTAATATTAATACATATCTAAAATGTCAAGAATACCTATAAATATCTACTATAATTTACAAGATAATATGATTTGATATGAGGTAAATATATTCAAAAACAATAGCATTTTCTTTAGAGTAGAAATGGAAACTCAGAAATATAAAATAGAAAAATTCAAAGTAAAAAATAAGTGTAAACACTTAGGAAATACTTAAACAAAGACATAATACCAACATAAAAAAATGGAAAATGTACCATGTTCTTCAGTGGTAGGGCTATTATAGTATTTTCAGTTTCCCTAATAATAATTATAACATTGATTCTTAATATGGATAGAGCAATATTACATATAATATGAAATAATAATTGCTGAGACTATTCCACAAATATCTGAGTAAAGGAGAATAGTTGGAGGGACATACTACAAAACCGCTGTAATCAAAATATATTTCAATGGTTAGGAAAATTTCAGAATCAGTCCCAGTGCATAAAGGTATTTAATATATGATAGATGACTTAGTAAACAGTTTTGGCATAATTGGCTACGCATCTGGGAAAAATCATTGTATCTATCTCTCACATGACACACAAAAATAACTTTAAAATTAATGATACAATCTTTGGAAGTCAGTAAGAGACACATGAATGATAATTGAGTTATACAAGGTTATATACGTGGATTTCCATGACATGTTTTGAGTAAGAAAAACAAGATGCAGAACAACTCATACTATGAACATGTTTCTGTCAAATGTTGACCTCCAAACCCACTATATTTATAAAAATCTTTCTAGAACTATCGGGGCAAATAGAAAAATATACAAGGGTACAAACTAGGTTGTTAATATGGGTTACTTGATATCGGTGGGGGGAAATAGAAGGAAAAGGGAGAGAAAAGAAAAAGGAAAAAAGACTGCTTTAATAAAATTACTACACATCCATTATAGACTTTTATGGAATATATTTAATATTTTTAATTAAAAATGTGTATATATAGATATTAAAATAAATCGTGTGAAATAGTAATCCTGAATGAAGTTTTACTGTTTATTTATGACTTTTTAGTACTAAAAAAATTGTAACATATTTACTAAGAAAAATAGTAGTCAAATCACATCACTGAAAAAAATAAAACTCAATAGATATTTGTTACGGAACACCAGGGATCCAGTCTAGGTCTGTTGCTTACAGCAAAGAAAGCCAATCTCTGAAATAATGAACTTTGATGGTGAAAAAGACTTTATTCAAGTGCTACAGCCAAGGAGAATGAGAGATAAAGTCTCAAATCCATTTCTCTGTCCAACTACAATTGGGGGTTTATATAGCAGGGAAGGAATGTAAATTTATGCAAGTAAATAGGAATTAGGGAGGAGTGAGAAAGAGGAGTTGGTCAACAAGAAGCAGGTGATTGGTTAGGCAATCATGACAGGTGAGGGGTCTGGCATCTCGTTCAGATGTGGTGTTCTGGTAAGTTTCAGATCCTTGTTACTATCTGGGAGGTCTGATAGTTGGTCTCCTCAGAAAGGAATGCTGATAAGACAACTATAATTTTCTTATTTTTTAAGACTGAGAGGTGCAATTTCTATGTTGATTCAAAATAACCATAAACATCAGTTCTACGGGACAATCCGGCAGATTTCATATTCGTGATATTAATGTATGCAAAAGATACTATCTGAATTGAATGTACAAGATAATATTGAAAAGCTTTGCAAGGTGTATTATGAGTATTAATTTCAAAGAAGAAGCTCTTCAAACAGTAACTCCAAAATAAGTATTTAGAAGAAAATATTGCAAAGTAAAAAGAACAAAAGATATAAGCATGAAAATAGCCATGGAGATCTTAATGATACATTTTATAACCACATTTATACTTCCTAATGTGGGTAGCTTATTCTAATTATTTGAAAGTCCACTACACCTTCTCTGGCAATTTTAGCACAGCCAGCATTGGTAGATAAAAATTTACCTTCCCAAACTAGTCCTCCACATTCTCTTTCTTTCCTTCTTTCTTTTTCTTTCTTTTCTTTTTTTGAAAGCGAGAACCTTACTCTGTCACCCAAGCTGGAGTGCAATGATAGCTTACTGCAGCCTTGAAACACTGGGCT
Organism: Homo sapiens; assembly: GCF_000001405.40. Taxonomy (NCBI): domain Eukaryota; kingdom Metazoa; phylum Chordata; class Mammalia; order Primates; family Hominidae; genus Homo; species Homo sapiens. Next base: position 47,990,344 of record NC_000014.9, on the reverse strand, counting down.
CAAGTGTCCCACGTAGATGGGCTCTAGGTGCGCACCACCACACCTGGCTAATTGTTTTTATTTTTTATTTTTGTCGAGATAAAATCTTGCTAAGTTGGCCAGGCTGGACTCGAACTCTTGGCCTCAAGTGATCCTCCTGTCTCAGCCTCCCAAAGTGCTGGCATTACAGGTGTGAGCCACCACTCCTGGTCTACCTCTACATTTCAAAATAATGATTTTGAAAACACTCAGTCTAGAATCATGTGCTGATTCATCTCCAGGCAACTACCTGTAGGTTGATGACATAACTTAATTAGAACACATTTTTAGGAATTATTTGTTGTTGTTACCAACAAAAATGGGTCTTTGTTCCACATAAACTATCAAAGAAACAGTATAATTTTCAGTATTATTATTTTCTCATTTAATTATTTTTCAGCTTTATTGAGATATAATTAACAAATAAAAATTGCATATATTTATGGTATACAATGTGATGTTTTGACATATGTGAATGATTAAATCAAGCTAATCAACATATCCATCACCTCACATATTTATCTTTGTGTGTGTGTGTGTGGTGAGAGCATTTAAGATCTACTCTTTTAGCAATTTTCAATTTACAATACATTATTATTAACTATAGTCACTACGTTGTACAATAGACTCTCAGAATTTATTCCTCCTACTGAAACTTTATACACTTTGTACAATGAAACTTTGAGGAACATCTCACCATTTCCCACCCCCACATCAGCCACTTGCCTCCTTTCTCTTCTTTGTAGAAATTTGAAACAATATTAAATAGAGGTAAGCATGATTCTGTTGGTATCTAAATTTAAACATAAAAGAGTATGTTGTTCATACAATCACTTATCTCAAGAGATATAACAGTGATCAAGATAGATGTGCTATCATGGAGCTTAGTAGAGAAGTCAGATAGTCCCAGCTAAAAAATAAAGAAAGAAATGGTTACAATAATGATATTTCCTTTGAAAGATTTTAAAAACCAGGTGCTGTGATGAAATATTATGGGATCTGTGTCAGTGGACTTCATTTAGCTTGACTTTTCAGAACTAACGATTACCCCGGGGGTGGGGGGAAGAATATCAAAAGTAATAAAATTACTTAGTAATATCGTGAAGATAAAACTGCTGTACCAGAATTAAATGATAGAGCAAGTACTAGACTGCAATTTAATTTTTAACAAGTCCCTTAATTTCTATTCTCAGAAAAATTAAAAAGTTTGAAATCAGGGATAGGAAATACAATGTTATTAATTTCCGTATTAAGTGGCATGTTTCTCATGAATCTCACAGTGACAATATCACAAACAATATGATTAATAACAATTCATTAAATTAAATTTGATATCTGAAAGCTATTTTCTAAGAAATGTCTTAGTTATTTGTATCAGTTTAAAATCTAATAAAATCCCAATAAAATATTTTAAAATGTTGACATATTTCTAAAGTTTATTCATATCTCACAATAATATTCATAACCAAGCCCCTACTTTTTCTCAAATTTAAATGTTGTTTGATTTTATTTCAAGCCAAATTCTCAAAAACAGAAAGCACTTTTAACTCCTGTGTTTTAAAATATATTTATTTATTTTAATCATCTTTCAGTACATTCAGTAAGCTCTAATTTGTTCGTGTAGGGAAGCCAATAATTCTTAAACACATAAAGTTAAAATCAAAATTAATCATTTACCAAAGAAAGAAATTAAATAAATATTTTATAGATTCATGACAGTAAAACAAACATAAAAATCAAATATATGTAAAATATATTTCAGAAGAAAAAGTCATCAGTATATTTCTGCCATCTATGACTAATGATTCATTACTTTATAATATAAAATTATTTTCTTCAATACGGAAATTTTCCATTCAAACAGATAATTGTGCATCAATATTAATAGTCTATCTATCACCTTTCTATTTATACACATACATGCACAGTTACATATACTTCTCAGAGTTTCACTTTCAAAGGAAAAATCCCCCACAATGTTGACAGGTGTACAGACACAGACTTTTCTTAAGTTGTCCAACTTTACCAAATTTTTTTAAAAATCCTCAAAAGTATTAGTTTTGTTCACTCCAGTAATACCTTTTCTGAACGTAAATCTCAGAAAATACATGTTGAATAGCCCATATCCAAAATGCTTCAGACCAGAAGTGTTCCAGATTTTGGGATATTTTTTAGAATATTCTCATATAAATAATAGGATATCTTGGGGATGGTACCCAAGTCTAAATAGGAAATTCTTTTATGCTTCATACATATGAAACTTTATACACAGAATCTGAAGGTAATTTGTGCTTAATAATTTTGTGCATGAAATAAAGTTTTGGCTGCATCTAGACTGTGACCTGTCACATGAGAGCAGGTGTAAAATTTTCCACTTGTGGCACCATTACAGCACTCAAACAGTTTCAGATTTTGGAGCATTATGGATGGCAGAGCATTTCAAATTTCAGATTTTCTGATTAGGACTGCTCAACCTACAATATAGGATAGTAACTGAAATCATGTGGCAAATAACAGCACAAATGCCCAAAGTAAATAAATCATCATGCTATGGGATACTTTCACCTATTAAGATTTAGTTTGGTCATTGACATTCATCGATATGGAATGACCTTAACGACCTGTCTCTCCATATACATACAAAGACTATGTGTAAGTTTATACACCAACTATAGTTATCTCTGCTCTAGAAATTAAAAGTCTTTCTTCACTGTTTTTAATTGCTTATCTGTATTTTTAAATTTTTGATAAAATAAACGTGTATTATTCTTATAACTAAGAAGTTGTTTTTAAATCCAAAAACAATAGATGATTTCCAATAGTTAGTAAAGCCCACTGTCCTTCTCTTAGATGTGTGCATATTGTTATAAAGTCTGATTGCCATGTTTATGTTGAGGAAAATATTTGTCAATAAATTGATAACTTAATGTGTAGGCAAATATTTAAAAGACTGGAAAAACATTTACCACAAAGACAGTTTACACACTACCTTTTCCTTATGGGGATGAGGGAAGTAATGGTATTTGCTTTTCTTTCCAAGATTTTAAACAAGGAATATCCTACTTTTTGCCTCTTCTGTCTAATTTTCAATGAAAAGATTATTCTACATTATCATTTGTATATGATTTGGCACTTAGATTTTATTTTCATATTTTTAAACAATTTTTCAGAATTTTAGAGAGTTTTTTTCAAAAAACATTGCCACCAACTTCAATAATACATACACAGAAATCTTTTTTTTCTTCCTCTACACTAACTCTCTCTCTTCCTCTTCCTTTTTTTTTTTTTTTTTTTTTTTTTTTTTGGAGACAGAGTCTTGCTGTGTTGCCCAGGCTGGAGTACAGTGACGCCATCTCAGCTCACTGTAACCTCTGCCTCCCGGGTTCAAGTGATCCTTGTGCCTCAGCCTCCCGAGTCGCTGGCATCACAGGCACGTGCCATCACGCCCAGCTAATTTTTGTATTTTTTAGTAGAGTCAGGGCTTCACCATTTGACCAGACTGGTCTTGAACTCCTGACCTCAAGTGATCCATCCACCTTGGCCTCCCAAAGTGCTGGGATTACAGGTGTGAGCCACAGCGCCCAGCCTCTTTTTTTCTCTTGGGCCTTAGGTACATAGTTCAAGGAGTGAGTCTTATCCTTCAATTTATGGCAATTTACTAGTTTGAATGAGGTACCATTCCTGTTTTATTTTTTAGTTAAACTGTCTTCATTGTTAAAATAGACTTCTTGTTTTCCATCTCCCTTTCATATCTTACATATCTATTAACCAAGATTTTTAAATATGTATTTTTAAGTATATATAATATTGAGTTTTATGTTTTTTCTCTCTTTTCTTGAATTGATTTTGAATTATACATACAAAATATATGATTAAAAAGTACAATTTACTAGGTCAAAATAACAACTATGAAATTTCATGAAATAAATTCTCGAATGTATTTACAAAATTCATAGAAGTATAGTGACCAGTAGACAAACATCATTTTGGGTGGTTTTGATACAGTTATTTCAATTATTGTTCTGCTTCGTACTTAGCAGTAAAAATATAGAAGATTTAAACCATGTAAGCAATTTAATTTAATAGGCATTCATAAAATTCTGCACCCAAATATCAGATAATATAACTTTGTTCAAAAGTACATGGAATGTTTTAAAAATAGTGATTTGGGGTCATGCAACATTACTGAATTAATTTATTATTTCAAACAGTTTATTGGTAAAGTCTTTTTAAAATATAAGATCATGTTATCTACAAACAGAAAAAAAATAATTTCTTCCTTTCCAATGTGGATGCTTTTTCTTTTACTTGTCTAATTGTTCTGGCTAGGATTTCCATCACTTTGTTGAAAAGAAATGGTGAGAGTGGGCACACTTGTTTTCCTAAAGAGCTTTCAGCTTTTCACTACTGAATATAATTTTAACTGTAAGCTGTCTACATGGCTTTTACTGTGTTGAGGCACATTACTTCTATACGATATTTGTTGAGAGTTTTTATCATGAAAGGATGTTGAATATTGTCAAATGCTTTTTCTGCATCAATTGAGATGATCATGTGACGTTTAGCCCTTCATTCTGTTAATAAGGAGTATCACTTGTATTGATTTGAATAAGTTAAACTATCCTTGCATCCCAGGAATAAATTTTACCTGAATAAGGTAGATGATCATTTTAGTGTACTGTTGAGTCAGTTTGCTAATATATTTGAGGAAATTCGCATCCATCTTTATCAAGTTCTTCAGCCTGTAGTGTTCTTGTCTTGCAGTGTTCTTGGATGGCATTGCTTTGAGGATAATGCTAGCCTTATGAAAAAGTTTTGAAGTTGTCTCCCTCTTTAATTTTTTTAGAGGAATTAAAGAAAGATTGGATTAATCATTATTTAAATGCTTGACATAATTTATTCATGAAATTATCTGGTTCTGGAATATTCTTTGTTGGGAGATTTTTTTGATTACTCATTCAATCTCCTTTTGCTATTGCTCTGTTCAGATTTTCCACTTCCTTGTAATTCAGTCTTGGTAGGTTGTATATCTCTAGGAGTGTGTCAATTTCTTCTAGGTTAGACAATTTTTTTGCATATAAGTGTTCATTGTAGTTTCTTATGATTCTTTATATTTTGTGATATCAGTTTTAATGGCTCCTATTTCATTTATAATTTTATTTATTTGAGTCATCTCTCTTTCTTCTTGGTTAGTCTAGCTAAAAGGATATCAATTTTATTTATCTTTTCAAAGAAACAACTCTATTGTCTTTCTAGTCTCTACTTTATTTCTGCTACAATCTTTATTATTTTCCTCTTTTTGCTGATTTGGGACTTTATTTATTCTTTCTCTTCCAGTACCATGAGGTGTGAAGCTCAGTTCTTTATTTGAGATTTTACCCTTTCCTTAATGTTGGCATTTATTGCTATAAACTTTTCTCTTAGAACTACTTTTGCTGTATCCCACAAATTTAGGTTACTGAAGATTTACAAGTTTCCTTTGGTGGTATGTTTGCCTGTATCTTTTTCATCTGTGTAGCCTTGTGTTGGTGTCTGTGCATTTGAAGGAGCAAACACTTCTTCCAGTCTTTACAGACTGGTTTCAGTAAGTAAAGACCTTCTCCTGGTGCATTTCCAGGCTTATCGGATTGCCTTTGGGATCACGGTTGAGTGGAATTGGAGCTGGATCATGTGGTGCCACTGGGTTCACACTAGGGTCTGCAGTTGGCAGGTCTTTTACTAGGGGCTCAAGTGGGCATTCATCCTGTCTTTTCTCTTGGTAGACTAGAATGCCTCTAATACTTTTATCAGTAAGGCTGACATTGGGATGAGGGTGCACTTCAAGGTCCACAGACAGCAAGGCTGTTATCAGGTGTGTGGACAGTGTGACTTCCTCTATTCCTTGGAAGGGCTCCCCCTGGGTCACTGGGTGAGTCTTCGGCCCTAGACTATGGCTAAGAGGGCCTGGAACCGAGTCACAGGGCCATCTCTGAGGGAACACACTGGCATGTCTTCTAGGTCAGTGAGCAGATGGAACTACTCTCAGACCATAGCTTTGAGGGGTGGGGGCCACGCTATAGGACCATTTCAGCATCTGCTTTGGCTGGAGTCTGCAAGCCTGTCCTGGGAACACAATGGGCACTAGTCCCCTGTGTGAGCAATGCTACTTTCAGACCGCAGCCAAGAAGAGCTGGGACTGTATTACAAGGCTGTTTCAGGGTCCACAGCTGGAACCAACGTCAGTGGGCCTGTCATGCAAGCACAAGTGAGCATGACTTCTCTCAGATCCAGTGGTGGATGGTTCTGGTGGCAGGACCAAGGCCAAATAAGACTGTAGCTGAGTCCACAGGGTGACAGGCCATTTCTGTATCTGGATTCACGAGTACAGTCGGTGAACCTACCACCTGTGGGGAGGTCTGTCCTCTTAAAAGAGTCCTCTGAGGTCTTCAGCTTCACCAGGTTTCCTACCCAAATCCCAAAGCTCCCACAAAGGCTCTTTTGTCCATGGATGGCTGTGAAATTATAGTTGCTTTGGGAGAATATGAACAGGGAACCTCCTATGCTGCCATCTTGCTGATATCATTGCACAGTTTGTTTTGTTAAAGACTAGTAATAAAGCCCAGCATCTGGTGATATTAATCAATTATTGAAGACAAATGAACCAAGTTGGAAATAAAAAGTTTTCAAAGATGGAAAAATATGATATATAATATTGTTAAAATCTTTGCGCCAGTAAGTTTAAAAACACATGAAAAAGATAAAATCTTAGAAACAATGTAACTAGTGAAATCTTACAAAGAATTAAAAAGCCCCTAAAATTACAGAGACATTAAGGACTTGAAAATATAGTTAAGAATATCAATTCAGGTTGGTATGAAGGTGAATTCAGACAAAGTATCAAAGAAGAGATAATGTGGGTCTTATATAAACTTTCCCAAATAAGAAAGAATAAGAGAAAGTCCATTTCGTCTCTCTAAGATAATCTTGTTTGTCAAAGCAATCAAAATTATAAACTAATCTTACTAATGGAGACAGATGCAAAGCTTTTAACAAATACCCACCCAATCTAGGATGACTTTTAAAAGACAATGAAACTATTTTTAAAAATATGTAACTGATTATACAACGGGCTTAAAGGAAAAAGTGTTTCAAATGATACAGAAAAAGTAATATATTTCATCTTTCATTCTTGAAACTAATAAAAAATTATAACTTATAAAATTAGTAATATTAATAGAAGGCAGCACGCTAAATCTGATAACAAGTACCTGTCAAACTTTACAACAATTATAACACTAGTGAAGAATATGATAATATTTTTAAATCATCAACAAAAATCAAAATCTGACATAGTTCCTATTGAACATGTATTGGTGGACTTAGCCAAGTAACAATTTCAGAAAATTATATGAACGTTATAAGGGTTGGAAAGAAACAAAACTGTTGCTATTCATTTTTCATTACAAATGATTATATCATTTGTAAAATTCCTATAATTTCCAAGAAAATCTATAGTTCCGTTGAGGTTTTCTGTTTACAAAATGATAAAAGATCAATATTCACATTTCTATACACCAACAGAGAAGCTTAAAAATAATTAAGAATATGTTATTAAAATAGCAATATAAATTTTATAGTATTCTCGTATTCTTGGACATGTTACTCAGTTTAATTCTTTTCATGTCCCTCTAGAAATTATTGGTTCCAATATTTGCTCCTTTCAGACCAAAATCTAAATGGAAGATGCTATTAATGTTTTGAGCATCCTTACGTGATGTGTCTCCTCCCAATCAGATAATCATGTCAACCCTTTCTTCATAATCAAGTCTACCTGTGAAAGTTGCAACGTAAATTTCAACTCACCACCATGGCAATTATGATCCCTTACCCATTGATTGTTTTTCCTAAAATGTCACATAGAATGAAAAAACTTCCTGACAACCAAAGCATTCTAGGCTTATAAAATTCTAAAAGCCCATTTCTAGGGGACAGCACTGCTATCAGGTCTTTTTGTGAAATACTTTTCCTGAGGATCCCATTCCAGTACTCGGCCATGCTGCTTTGGTCCATTCCAGGAAATATATAAAGTCTTACCAATCCCAACTTTAGAGCTTATAGTTACTCACCCTCAAGCATACCCAGCCTGTATTTTACTGTTCTCTTCTGAAACCAGATTTCGTGATTCCATTTTGACAATTCTGCCTTGACAATCAAGATTAAAGGCTTTAAAAAAAGAACTGAAGTGTTCCATAGGAGTGGTTCAAGTTTCATGATACCACAGATGTCAGTTCAATTTTAGGGTCAGGGAGAGCTCACATTTTACTCTTAAAGGATTTTTTAAATGTGCTACAGCCTTTCATGGAGCACATTTAGAAGAGTTTGTAAAGGAGAGTCTTAGTGAATTTAAGCTCCCTCCAACTCAGTGTTTAAGCAGCTGTGCTGACCCCCCCAACACACACACACCTAAATCCAGTGTGTGAACACTGAATGAAAGGATGTCTTATAAGATATCACAGTTGGATCAATAACTCATACTGCTCAATTGAATTTGTACTTTGCTCTTGTTCCTATGTTTCTTAGATTTCCAATTCACTGACTTCTCTACTTATTCTGATATTTGCCTTCTCAGCAGACCTCAGTACATAACTCTTCTGATTATTAACATATTTTTCCTCTGAATATAGCCTTGTGTCTTTGTTTCAGAAATACTCTTGTAATTTCTTTTAGGAATGCTACTTCAATCTGACTTTATTTCTTGTGAACCTCCAAGTCACAGGTGATCCTGAGGCCCATTCAATTGGTCTTTTTTGTCTCAGAGACAAATCCTAAATAGAGAAGAATATTGCAGCCAATGAACAAAGTTAATAATTAGTTAAGAAGAAGGGTGGTGAGAAAGAATCAAACTTTGATGTCCATTTCTTGCTGTGAGAAGGAACTTGGAGCTTGTCCTTATAGCAATGATGATAATATAGGTTTTGGAAGATAGATAGTTACATACAGAGACATTTTATAAACCACATCAATCTAGAGGTGATGTGAAAAATGGATTACAAGAGAGAGTTGCAGAAAAATGGAATCGGATAGACTAATACTTACCAAAGAAATGCTTCTGCTTATGAAGGAAATTTTAGACTTAGCAATTCACTGAATGATGAACAAAGAATTAGAAAGATTATTACTTTACCAAATCATAATTTAGAGAAATGTTATGGTGAAAAATGGCTTTCTGTGAACTACACAGATCACTGCTTTAAAAAATACTGAAAATGTGCCTGATAGCTCCACTAATTAAAAGCATGTGGAAATAAAATAGAAATAAATCTTAAGGTTTGTGGTAATTGTATATGGGTATTTAAATATAAGCATTGGGTGCTATTTAGTATATGGTTTCCACTGGGCCATGTAATTCTTCATTGTCAAGACACTGTTTATATGAATCTTAACCAACTCACCCTTGCTATTCAGAGAAAAAGGGTAAGTGGAGCTGCATCATTAGAGGAAAACTGAGAAACAAAAGCTCTCATACCAGCTAATGGCTAAGAGAGATTTTTGTCACAGATAAGGTGATAAGTCAGCAATTACTGCCTTCACTCATTTGCCAAAATGCATTCAGATTCTAAAATTATATTCTAAACAATTTTTCCTTTAACCAAGGAGAAGAGACAAGAATAAGAGAATCTATTGCAAATGGCAAACAGTTCAATATTTTTGTTCATTACAATAATATGTAAAATATATTTTCATCTATATCTGTGTACATATATGTATTATGTGTATTTATGAATATATGTGTAGTTGTATACATTTATATATGTGCATTTCTGAGGGCTCTTGCAATTTTGTCTTAATCTAGCAAATCCGCACATATTCGTGAGGATACAACCAACAAGTATGTCTTAAAAAGTGGATGCTTCCCAGGACACCACCATGTATATCAGCAACTCAACCATCAGTAGCTCATTCATTTAGTCTTTCAATCTTTTAAGCATATTGAATGTCTGCTCTTATTTTAGGCAATATGCTAGGTATCCAGGTTACAGAAATCAATAAGAATTATCTCTTTACCTGATGACCTTAAGGTTTATTATATAAAGTGGTTCTATGGAGAGTGATAATAAAGTTCAACACTGATGTCATGACTTTGAGTGAATATATTTGAAGAGAAAGTATAGCTGTTTCTTTAAATTATGGGTTTTGGAGTTAGTCTACCTAGATCTGAATCCTACCCTCATGACCAGCTATTTTTAGTATAACTTTGGAAAATTTAATTTATCTCTTTATACTTATGTTTCTTCATCAGAAAAGTCTAGACGGTAATTAATATTTTTTTCAGTGTGTTTATAAGTATTTAATTGCATAATCTAGATAAAACCTAGATAAAAACCTAGGCATAATCTAGTTAAAAACTGTAAGAGTAATACTAATAATGAATGCTTATTATGATTATTACTAAGAATTGCATTCTATTTTAGGAATATTTTCATACAAATATCTTACTACTAATGAATAAAGGATATTATTTTACTAATGAGTGTTCACATGGTAGTTAATAATTCTTTTAAATAATTTTAATAGCATACTTATGATGTGTATTCCAAATGGTCATAAGATATACTCAAATTCATAACTTTATAATCCATCTGCTTTTGTGTTTGTTGTTTAATATTAAGTAAAATGGGCTCAAGATCAAAGACAGAATATTACATATCTGTATCTGCTTGTTACACACACAAATGCAAAATATGTTCAATTGGCAGCATATGTTAGAGTGAACACCAATCTGTTTTGATAATAATTTCGTTGTTGGATTTCTGCAGAGGCCTGATCTATATTGTATTTTATTAAGATGAATGTGCTTTAGTTTGTTCAACCAGTCATGATATAATATTTGGCTAATGTTTTTATTGCATACCATCTGTGTGGGCAGTAAGGTTGTCCAATAACACACAAAATGTCACTGTTTTGAATAGGCAACTAATTGAGATATAATCATATGGATATTTTATATTAACTAAATGCTAGCTGATTAATGAAAACATTTTTGATACTTAATAACTATGTAAAAATGGGACATGATTAGCTTTAAACTCCATGCATTATGCACAAAATGTAGACTTTCTCATGAATACATGCATGCCAAACAGTGTGGTAGAATCTGATGCATTTAAATAGCATTAAAATAAATGTCACCCTGCAACTTAAGGAATAGCAAGCACTATGTGTTTGGAAATGATTCTAATATCTGGATCTCTCTGACCTCTCTTTGTACTGTCATAAAGCAGCACATTTTTTTTCTCTGCAGCCAAGAAGAAATGTAAATGTACCCACTCCCACTGTGACAAATAATCAGTTCCATATATGCAAACCCAGAAGCAGTGCCAACTATCAAAACAATTGTAAGAATCACAGGAGAACACACTTGGGCAGATGTTTTGAAAACAAAACAACTTGCTGAAATTTAACATCTCTCAAGAAAATTCAATGAAATGAAACAGCTTTACTTTCCATTTTTCTTTCTTTCGCATTTTCCATGCTACCTCCTGGAGAAGCCAATTTTCATTCTGGGCACATTTCACTTTTGATACTTGTTTCAGGTTTACCCCCAAATATATGTGTACGTGCCATTCCCTTTTGGTGAATGAGAATTCCCTTTTCCTTGAAAGATTTTTTTCTTACTTGAGACTATAAGAAAATTCTGTTCATAGGAGAGATCAGCTCCTACATGCCATACTCCTATCACTTATATCAAACAAATGGTGATTGCTTCCCCCAACCCTTTCTCCGTTGTTGTTTTCTCATTAGATTAAAGATAAATCAACTACAAGATAAAGGATTGAATAACCCCTGTACAGAATCAGGCCCAGGACTTTGCCTAGTGTGGATCCAGATCCTTAGTATCTCAAAGCACTCTTTACCTCCCAGAAAACACTAGATAAAATGCATCTTTGGAGCACTCACATTTGGTGTCATGACTAAAGCCACAAGTAAAGAGAGAGATGTAATATTTACCTAAGTGTTGCTGTATTTAATGCCTAACTGTGACCTTTAAGAACCTGAGATGTCTCCTATTGGTTTTCTATCTTCAGCCACTAACACACCAAATAACTTATTTAAATACACTATTATTTAAATACTCAATGTGATCCCAAACCTTTAAGATTGATTTTCTTTCCATATATTTATAATAAAGTGACAAAAATTAGATATTAGACAAATATGTCTGTATGATCAGGTAAATAACTTAATGATACCCTGTGTCTAATCAATAATCTATCTAGCCCAGAAATTTTCCAATGTTTAAGAACTTTCAGGCGAGTATCCCCGATTTCATGTTAAAACCTGGCTAACTCGTGAGTTAAGTTCAGCGCCTTTGAGTCTGTATTTTCAGCTTTCAGTGGCACTTTGGATAATGTTGCTATTAAATTTGTCAGCTGCTGGTTTTATTTGACAAAAATAGTGCTTATTTCTGTGTGAGACTTGAGTCCTACATTATGTACATTTGTGTGTGTGTATGTGTGAATAGGTAACCCCATTTGGCAATGACTTCCATACCTAAAATGTGTTGTCTAACCTTCCATAAACTCTTAAAATTATTTTTAACAGTTTTTTTTACTAGGAATTTTAGGAATTTAGTAAAATAGGAATTTAACTGTTTGTACTCTATTTTCCTAATAATGTTTTAAAATATAGGTAAGCCTAAAGACAACATGGTTTACAGTGAAGCATCACTATTGACATTGACATACAGTCATATGAACTGTTTTTTAATTCTTGTCTGTATAGAGTACACATGATGAAAATAATCCACCCATAAAGAGAAATATTTCATAATCTTTGGAAAAAGATCATGTAAAAAAGTCCCATTGGCATACTAGATAAATTAATTAATGAATGAAAAGTTTAGTAAGGTATATTTGTGCTTGCAGAATTGAAATTTCTTTCTCATAATACATTTTTAAAATAGGCACCAAAGAATGAAATCTCAACAATTGTGTTTGCAGAGTGCCTTCTGAGTGTCGATAACATTGGCAGGATTTTGTACCCTGACACTGCAGATTTTACTCCAACAGGTAAGGTACTTTGGCTAACAATTTCACCCCTGACTTCTTTCAAAACTCTTGAGAAAAGTCTATCTGGTCCTGGAAATTTATTTACATCAAGTTTCCAGCATTGTTTTTCTGATTTTATTGCTTTTTAATGAATTCTTTTCTCCTCTTATTTTTTCTTTCTTTAATACCTATTTACTGGGCAGCAATACTGAAAAATAAATCATGATGGTTTCAAAATAATAATGTTAAAAAACAATTTATTCTAGAAGCATGAAACACTTCAAATTTAAGGAATGTCACTAGTATATTTTTCAGTTTTGGAATTCTTCAAATAGAAATGAAAAATGCATACATATTTCAGGGGAAATAGACAATCCCTCTTCTCATACAGACAGGAACATACACACAGATAAATATACAAAAATTCAAGACAGTTTTCTATAGGAGGTGTATAGTAGAGATTGTATGATAACCAACAGAGATTAGTAAAATAAACTTGAATATCCTTAATGCAATACATCACAGTTTTTAAGTAATTTTGTACTTCTTATTTAACTCTTCTAAGTAGAGTACATATGAAGCTTCACTTATATATTAAACCTACATAACTGTTCTTAAAATTAAAGTTAAAATAATGTTAAATATTGGATGTTTCAGTCCCAGGGTTATTTTGATCATATATAATTTTTATGGATATTATTTTTTTTAATTTCCCTTTAAGTTTTTAACTTTGAAATTATTCCAAATATGGTGTGATATGGTTTGGATATTTGTTCTCTGGAAATCTCATGTTCAAGTGTAATTCCCAGTGTTGGAAGTGGGGTCTGGTAGGAGGTAATTAGATCCTGGGGGTGGATTCCCCAGGAATGGCTTATCACCATCCCCTTGGTGATAAGTTAGTTCTTGCTCAGTTAGTTCATGTGAGACCTGGTTGTTTAAAAGTGTGTGGCACCTCCCCCTTTGCTCTCTTGCTCCAGCTCTTGCCATGTGAGATGTCTGCTCCCCATTCGCCTTCCACCATGATTGCAGGCTTCCTGAGATTCTCACCAGAAGCAGACACCAGCACCGCATTTGTACAGCCTGCAGAGATGTGAGCCAATTAGACCTCTTTTCTTTATAAATTACCCAGCCTCAAATATTTTTATAGCAACACAAACAGCCTAACATATGGTGTTTAAAGTAAGATGTAATAAACTAAAAAATTTACACTGTATGTAAAAAATGTGCATTAAGCAAAAATACTTAACGGTATTAACATTTTGAGAACAATAAATTTCTCAAAGCATTATTAACATTGTCTTAAGTAGTATTTGTGTTAGACTAATCATTTTATAAATGTTCTAATGACATTGTCATTCTAATACCATTAAATTTAACATATCTATTTAATTGCACTAACCCACTACTTCTAATATGTCTTCAGTATTAGTTCCAGCTTACGTGAGGAAAGTAACATTGATATATGATCATCATTACACAGCCACAAAGGCTCACAGCCTACATATAAACCCAGATACGTCTATTGTCAAATTTCATGCTGTTTTCATTCTGATGCATTTTCTTTGTCTACTAATCTCACACATCCTTTGCAGCCATTCACTGTATTAGATGTCTCTTATCTCCTGGTTTGCATGGTATTTATATAGCAAGATGCAGGGAGCAAGTTAGAAATTAGGTAAGAAGGAACTTTTTTTTTAATCACAAAGAGTTAGAACAACCAAAATTTCTTTTGTATTGGGTATGCCAGTATGAGCATGGATTAAGGTGGACAGCATAAGTATACTGGAAGAAATATTAGGTCTCTGTTAGATGTGGCTCTTTAGGAAGAGAGACAGATTGATAACTACTATGCATATCTAAACTCATCATTCTTTTCACTTTTCAATATATTTTGTAGATTTTATTTCATGCATCATTTTCAATCCTGTGTTACTGGTTATCAGAGTCTTTCCACAGATTAAAGCCAAGCAAAACTGAAAGACTGACAGCTTTCCTCTAGAAAATTTATTTAGATTATAGAATCCCCTTAAAACGTCGAACAAGAGGCTGTCATACAGAGCCTGGTTAGATTATTCAAGTCATCAGCTGTGAAATTAGTGTATTTAGTTTAAACTGCTCAGTTCTCCTAAGAGGCTCTCTTTACTCATGGAGATTTCTGTAAAGCATGAATGCAACATCACAAGTCCTTTACAGATCTAAATTGATTGGCTCTATCCAACCATTGAAACAAATATCAGATCATCAGTTCAGTTAAAAAAAAAAGCAGAACAGAAAACTAGAATTGCTAGTTTGTTAAGTAATGAAGAAAAGTCTTCTATATCTCTTAGTCATTGTACTTACTCCTCTTGTATTTTCCATCTCAATGAATCATAAAATCATTCATCCTAAAAAAAGAAAAACCTGTAAATCGGATCCCACGTCTCCCATGTTTCGTCTTCCTATATTTAAGCATCAAGTCCAGTAGTTTAAACCTCTTAATATTTCCTAAGTCTTCATCATTTAACTCTATGTTTCCACTACTACTGACTTATTCTATTTATTTGTCTTTCTATCACAGCTTGCTTAGTATTCTGTCTTTAAGTACAATGTAAACTATCTTCGACAGCCTGGCTAGTGATTGTTTAAATTGCATTACTGATAATGTCAAATTTAAAATATTTCTTTCTCTCCTCATCACTTCTTAGATCAACTGAAAGTTTCTAAACATTTCTCATTAAAATATGACATGATTTGGTGCTAGGATCTGGTGCCCAGCCTTGGATCTCATAACTCTACTACTCCACCCACTTCCCCCCAACCTCCTCCACCCTGATCCCACTTAAGTTTAGGCATATAGAACTACTTGATATTCCATGGCTTCATGACATGTCAGGTTTATCTGTTGATTAGTGATAGGGAAAAGATTATAACACAGAAATTTACCTTTTCAATTTAGAAGTCTCTCCAGTGTGCCGCAGTGTTAGTTTTATGTGTATTACCCACATCATGAACTGCCTTGATAATCTTTCTAATGCTGTCAGTTGGGTATTAAAGTCCCCCACTATTATTGTTTGCCTGTCTAAGTCATTTCATAGGTCTAGTAGTACTTGCTTTATGAATCTAGGTTGATATACATATATAATCCAATGTTAGGTGCATATATATTTAGGATACTTAAGTCTTCTTGTTGAATTAAACCCTTTATCATTATGTAATGTTATTCTTTGTCCATTTTTACTGTTGTTGGCTTAAAGTATGTTTTATCTGATATAAAAATAGCAACCCCTGCTCTTTTTCATATTCTGTTTGAGTGATAGATCGTTCTCCAACTCATTACTTTGAGCCTATGTGTGTGCTTATGTGTGAGATGGGTGTCTTGAAGATAACAAACAGATGGGTCTTTTTTTTCCTTCAACTTGCCTCTCTGTGCTTTAAGTGGGGGTGCTTTTCTGGGTGAGCAAGTGCTTTCAATTCCTTGAGATAAGCCTGGGAATAGAGTAGAGAGGGCCATCATGCACCAGGATCTCACCACAGGAGGAGTAGGGTGACTCATGATGCTGTTCTGGGGGAGCAGGTGCTCTCAATTCCTAGAGATCTGCCTGGGAATGGGGCAGAGAGGTCCCATACTGCACCATAATCTATGCACAGGAAGGGTGGAGTGGCTCAGGCTGCTGAGTCATGTGAGCACGATTATAGCATCTGAATGGTCTGAATGCTTGAAGATCTGCCTGGGTGTGGAGCAGAGAGGACACCACTGAAACACAATCTCCTCAACAGAATAGTGAGGTGGCTCAAGCTGCTGATCCAGGAAAGTGTGTGCTCCAAATTCCAGGATTTCTGCCAAGGGATGAAGTGGAGAGGGACCTGCTGCACCACTGATCTTAGGGGAGCAAGCTGGGGCACTCAGAAATGATATAAGCAGATAGGAAACAAAGTGCTCTCCCTTGGCATGGGTGGTTTGGATCCCCAGTGGAAAGGTGAGTCACAGAGGGAAGTTCTCTGCCTCTCTCACGTACCGGTGCTTTATTCAATTTTATTAGGCAGATGCCATCACAGGGGCTATTTGGCTATGTTCTCCTCCCCAGGATCTGGAGGATCTGAGGCATCCTTCACAATTCTGGTGTATTCTCATTTTCTTTCTTGATTTAAAGATCACAGTTAAAAAAGCATATTCTAACCCAATGCAAAGAAGCTAAGAACCTTGATAAAAGGTTACAGGAACTGCTAAATAGACCTGTCTAGAGAGGAACATAAATGATGTGATGGAGCTGAAAAACACAGCACAAGAACTTCATGAAGCATACACAAGTATCAATAGCTGAACTGATCAAGCGGAAGAAAGTATATCACAGTTTGAAGACCACCTTGCCGAAATAAGGCATGCAGCCAAGGTTAGACAAAAAAGAATGACAAGAAATGAACAAAGTCTCCAGGAAATATGGGACTGTGTGAAAAGACCGAACCTGTGATTGACTGGAGTACCTGAAAAAGACAGGGAGAATGGAACCAAGTTGGAAAACACAATTCAGTATGTTATCCAGGAGAACTTGCCCAATCTAGCAAGACAGTCCAACATTCAAATTCAGGAACTACAGAGAACACCACTAAGATACCCCACCAGAAGATCAAACCCAAGATACAAAATCCTCAGACTCTCGAAGGTGGAAATGAAGGAAAAAATATTAAGGGGAGCCATAGAAAAGGGTCAGGACACCTACAATGGGAAGCCCATCAGACTAACAGTAGATCTCTCAGCAAAAACCCTACAAGCCAGAAGAGTGGGGGCCAATATTCAATATTCTTATAGAAAAGTATTTTCAACCTAGAATTTCATATCCAGCACACCAAGCTTCATAAGCAAAGGAGAAATAAAATCCTTTCCAGAAAAGCAAATGCTAAAGGATTTCATCAGCACAAGGCCTGCCATGCAAGAGCTCCTGAAGGAAACACTAAATGTGGAAAGGAGCAATCAGTACCAATCACTGCAGAAAACACACTAAAATATAAAGAACAATGACACTATGAAGAAAATGCATCAACTAATGTGCAAAATAGCCAGCTAGCATCATGATGACAGGATCAAATTCATATATAACAATATTAACCTTAAATGTAAACGTGCTAAATGCCCGAATTAAAGGACATAGACTGGCAAATTGGATAAAGAGTCATGACCCATCAGTGTGCTGTATTTAGGAGACCCATCTCACATGCAATGCCACATATGGGTTCAAAATAAAGGATTGGAGGAATATTTACCAAGCAAATGGAAAGCAAAATAAATAAATAAATAAGGGGCTGCAATCCTAGTCTCGGACAAAACAGATTTTGAACGAACAAAGATCAAAAAAGACAAAGAAGGGCATTACCTAATGGTAAAGGGATCAATGCAACAAGAAGAGCTAACAATTCTAAATATATATATATATATATATATATATATATATATATATATACACACACACACACACACACACATACCAATACAGGAGCATCTGAAGTTGTAAAACAGGTTCTTAGAGACCTACAAAGAGACTTAGACTCCCACCCAATAATAGTAGGATACGTTAAAACCCCACTGTCAATATTAGACAGATCATTGAGATAGAAAATTAACAAAGATATTCAGGACTTGAACTCAGCTCTAGATCAAGTGGACATAAGAGACATCTACAGAACTCTCCACCCCAAATCAACAGAATATATATTCTTCTCAATGCCACATGGCACTTATTCTAAAATCAACCATGTAATTAGAAGTAAAACACTCCTCAGCAAATGCAAAGGAACTGAAATCATAACAAACAGTCTCTCAGACCACAGCACAAAAAAATTAGAACTCAGGATTAAGAAACTCAGTCAAAACCACATAATTTCCATGGAAATTGAGCAACCTGCTCCTGAATGAGTCCTGGGAATATAATGAAGTTAGGGCAGAAATCAAGAAGTTCTTGAAACCAAGGAGAACAAGGAGACCACATACCAGAATCTCTAGAACACAGGTAAAACAGCATTAAGAGGGAAAGTTGTAGCACTAAATGCCCACATTAGAAAGCTGAAAAGATCTCAAATTGACACCCTAACATCACAATTAAAAGAACTAGAGAAGCAAGATCAAACAAACCCAAAAGCTAGCAGAAGACAAGAAACAACTAAGATCAGAGCAGAATTGAAGGAGAGACACAAAAGATCAATTAATCCAGGAGCAGTTTTTTGAAAAAATTAACAAAATAGATAGAGGCTAGATAGACTAATAAATAAGAAAAGAGAGAAGAATCAAATATACCCAATAAAAAATGATAAAGGGATATCACCACTGACCCCACAGAAATGCAAACTACAATCAGAGAATACTATAAACACTTCTATGCAAACAAACTAGAAAATCTAGAAGAAATGGATAAATTCCTGGACACATACATCCTCCCAAGACAAAACCAGGAAGAAGTTGAATCCAGTAATAAGTTCTGAAATAGAGGCAGTAATTAAAAGCCTACCAACCAAAAAAAAAAAAAAAAAAAAAAAAAAAAAAAAAAAAACCAGGACCAGATGCATTCACAGCTGAATTCTATCAGAAGTACAAGGACAAGATGGTACCATTTTTTTTCTAAAACCATTGCAAACAATTGAAAAGAAGGGAGTCCTCCCTAACTCATTTTATGAGAATAGCATCATCCTCATACAAAAACCTGGTAGAGACACAACAAAAATAGAAAACTTCAGGCCAATATCCCTGATGAACATCAATGTGAAAATCCTCTATAAAATACTGCAAACCAAATCCAGAAGCACATCAAAAAGCATATCCAACATGGTCAAGTTGGCTTCATCCCTGGGGTGCAAGGTTAGTTCAACATACACATATCAAAAAATGTAATCACATAAAAAGAACCAATGACAAAAACTACATGATTATCTCAATAGATGCAGAAAAGGCCTTAGAAAAATATTTAACATCCCTTCATGTTAAAAACTTTCAATAAACTTGATATTGGTGGAACATACATCAAAATAATAAGAGCTACTTATGACAAACCCATAGCCAATATCATACTGAATGGGCAAAAGCTGGAAGCATTTGATTTGAAAAACAGCACAAAACAAGGATGCCCTCTCTCACCACTCCTATTCAACATAGTACTGGAAGTTCTGGCTAGGGCAATCAGGCAAGAGAAAGAAATAAAGTGT
Organism: Homo sapiens; assembly: GCF_000001405.40. Taxonomy (NCBI): domain Eukaryota; kingdom Metazoa; phylum Chordata; class Mammalia; order Primates; family Hominidae; genus Homo; species Homo sapiens. The sequence goes on along the minus strand of NC_000014.9, from coordinate 47,970,131 downwards.
ATTCAGATAGGAAGAGAGGAAGTCAAATTGTCTCTGTTTGCAGATGACATGATTTTATATGTAGAAAACCCCATCGTCTCAGCTCAAAACTCCTTAAGCAGATAAGCAACTTCAGCAAAGTGTCAGGATAAAAAAATCATTGTGCAAAAATCACAAGCATTCCTATACACCAACAATAGACAAGCAGAGAGCCAAATCATGAATGAATTCCCATTCACAACTGCTGCAAAGGGAATAAAATACCTAGGAATACAGTTTACAAGGGACATGAAGGACCTCTTCAAGGAGAACTACAAACCACTGCTTAAGGAAATAAGACAGGACACAAACAAATGAAAAAGCATTCCATGCTCATGGATAGGAAGAATCAATATCGTGAGAATGGCATCAATGCCCAAAGTAATTTATAGATTCAATGCTATTCCCATCAAACTACCGTTGACATTCTACACAGAATTAGAAAAAAACTAGTTTAAATTTCATATGCAACAAAAAAGAGCCCATACAGCAAAGACAATCCCAAGCAAAAAGAACAAAGCTGGAGGCATTATGCTACCTGTCTTCAAACTATACTACAAGGCTACAGTAATGAAAACAACGTGGTACTGGTTCCAAAACAGACATATAGACCAATGGAACAGAACAGAGACCTCAGAAATAACACCACACATCTACAACCATCTGATCTTTGACAAACCTGACAAAAACAAGCAATGGGGAAAGGAATCCCTATTTAATAAGTGGTCCTGGGAAAACTGGCTAGCCATATGCAGAAAATTGAAACTGGATCCCCTCCTTACACCTTATACAATAATTAACTCAAGATGGGTTAAAAACTTCAATGTAAAACCCAAAACCATAAAAACCCTAGAAGAAAACCTAGGCAATACCATTCAGGACATAGGCATGGGAAAGACTTTATGACTAAAACACCAAAGCAATTGCATCAAAACCCAAAATTGACAAATGGGATCTAATTAAACTAAAGAGCTTCTGCACAGCAAAAGAAACTATCATCAGAGTGAACAGGCAAGTTACAGAACGGGAGAATATTTTTGCAATCTACTCATCTGACAAAGGTCTAATATCCAGAATCACAAGGAACTTAAATAAATTTACGAGAAAAAATAAACAACCCAATCAAAAGTAGGCAACGGATATGAACACACACTTCTCAAAAGAAGACATGTATGTGGCCAACAAGCATACAAAAAAAAGCTCATCATCCCTGATTATTAGAGAAATGCACATCAAAACTACAAGGAGATACTATCTCAGGCCAGTCAGAATGGCGATGATTAAAAAGTCAAGAAACAACAGATGCTTGCAAGGCTGTGGAGAAATAGAGTTTTACACTGTTGGTGGGAATGCAAATTAGTTCAACCATTGTAAAAGACAGTGTGGCAATTCCTTGAGGACCTAGAACCAGAAATATCATTTAACCCATCAATCCCATTACTGAGTATATACCCAAAGGATTATAATTCATTCTACTATAAAGACATATGCACATGTATGTTTATTGTAGTACTATTTACAATAGCAAAGACACGGAACCAACCCAAATGCCCATCAATGATAGACTGGATAAAGACAATGTGGCACATATACACCATGGAATGCTATGCAGCTATAAAAAGGAATGAAATCATATCCTTTACAAGAACATGGATAAAGCTGGAAGCCATCATTCTCGGCAAACTAACACAGAACAGAAATCCAAACGCTGCTTGTTCTCACTCATAAGTGGGAGTTGAACTATGAGAACGCATGGACACAGGGAGGGGAACAACCCACACCGGGGCCTGTCGGGGGTTTCAGGGCAAGGGCATGGAGAGCATTAAAACAAATACCTAATGCACGTGGGGCTTAAAACCTAGATGATGGGTTGATAAGTGCAGCAAACCACCATGACACATGTATACCTATGTAACAAACCTGCACGTTCTGCTCATGTATCCCAGAACTTAAAGTGAAATAAAAATAAATAAAATAAAATAAATAAAGCTCACAGAGTTGTTCTTTATGTACTATTTTCTATTCTCAAGTGGCTGAGGCATGCTAAAAGCCTCTAATCACAATCTTGAAAATAAAAACGTATGATTTCTTAAAGGTAAAGTAAATATATTCAGCTGATAATACCAAATATTTACATTAATCCAAGTTTAAGTCAGTCCTCATTCCTACATTTGATATCACCTCTAGTAAAAAGAAAACAAAGTTTCTAAAATTTTTCTGAGGTTTAGAATCCAACTAATATTACTTTCCTTCTCTGATTGAAATGACCAATGAATAAATGACAAGGACCATTTGAAAGCTATGTTTCTAAGTCTGATCAAAAAGAGAAAAAAAGAAAGGCCCTGGTCAAGGGCTACAGATTTGCATGGGACCTCATGAACCAAATCCAGCTTCTAGATTCCCTTTCTTCTCTGAGCTCAAGGGTGAAGATACAGAATTCTGAATTTCAGGGAAGCTATGCAGGGAGAAGAGTACCTGAGATCCTTTCAAGTCAATAGCAACAGAGGTCTTTTTTTGTATGTTTGTTTGTTTGTTTTTCATACATAGCATTCCTCTTTTTTTCTAGCAAATATCTTGTTGGATTTACAAGTAATTGGGATTATTTTTGTTGATACTGGAATACTGGAAAAGAGTTCACACAGTCGGGTGCTGAATGGGGGAGCAAGTCTAATAGGAATATTGGTACCAAATTCCTAAAATCTCATCAGGAATTAGAAGAGGGCATCCAGTTTTGTTTTTGATTCTTTTAAATAGACTCTTCTTGAAGTTGTAATTAAATGCAATTAAATAATTAATGAAATAAAACATATGGATCATCAATTTTAGATTGTGAAAAGTTGTCTCCATATAGCACATGGAAAAGTTTATCCCACTTCACAACTTTTGCTCAACGTTATAGAGACTGATAGGTGGAAGAACACAGCACACAGTAATAGGTGTAGTAGGGATAAATATAATAGACATAGTAGCAACAATGCCTGATATCGATTAATTATATGCCTACTACATGTATGTACATATATAAAAATACACATACACACATAAATATGTGTAAGTATCTTAAAATTTTTTCGCTAAGCAGGTATAGTTGCCACATAGAGATGAGGAAACAAGTTAGAGAAGATAACAAATTTTGCCAGTCTAATAACTATCAAATAGCTAAACAAATAAATATCTAAACAGCTAAATATCAAATGCATAAGGACCTAAACCCACATTTTCCTACTCAAAAGTCACCACTAATTACACCATTCAACATTTTGCCTATTTTATTTCTTACAAGATTTCACAAAATTCTCCTTTCTACAAATTATATTTTTCTAATTCTAGCTTTTCCTGAATTATTAATTCCCCTAGACTTTTCCTGGAATGACTTCAAACCTTTTCACTTCCTGGCTTTATTTTAGCAGTCTTTGGGCCCTGATGGCCAGGCCGATCCTCATGAAAGTGGAAAGCTGCCATTTCTCATTAGCCCCTGCTGTTTGTTATCACAAAACCATCTCCAAGGTTAAGTAGTGTAATAGTGATCCCTGAGGTCTGCCTTTGCTTTTTGCCTTTGATGGAACATTTGTGAGCATGAGCCCAAGCTAGGCTTTTACTATTATCTTACTACCACAAGAGGAGTATCATTTAATATAATCAATAATCTACTATATTTCAGGGATACATTCCACGATAATCACAATCATAAGTCATTAGTGCTTCTAATTGGAAAATAAAGGATACTCCTGTGCCTTTACAAAGAAAATCACATTTGTTATAAATGTATTTACAGCCTTGATATAATGAGCATGTTACATTAAGCAGTTAAGCAGCCTGTTTAACCAGGTATGACAAAATGTAGTAACCTCAGGGGATCAAAGTGATTGTCTCACAAGAAAGACAGGAAAAAGCAATAAAGCTGGGATCCCCATTTGAAATGCACACAGGGGCCAAGTGGTTATCATAAAGCATGGTCTTTGCCAGGCACAGGGGCTCATTCCAGTAATCCTAGCACTTTGGTTGAACAAGGTGAGAAGATTGCTTAAGGCTGGGAGTTGAGACCAGTGTGGGCAACATAGCAAGACCCTGTCTCTACCAAAAAATAAAATTTTAAAAAATCAGCCTGGTGTGGTGATGCATGCCTGTAGTCTCAGTTACTTGGGAGACTGAGGCAGGAGGATCACTTGAGCTCAGGAGTTTAAGGCTGCAGTGACCTATGATCGTGTCACTGCACTGCAGCCTGGGTGACATGGTTCTGTCTCTAAAAAACAAAAGAAGAAAGAAAAACAACAAAAAAAAAACCACTGAGTAAGATATCTTTAATAGGGAGGGGTAGTAGTCTGTATCTTCAATAGGGAGTAGTGCACTGTGGTGAACCGAAGTGCCCATACCAGCTGTAATGTGGTAGTCACAGCTTATAATCCAATGTGTCTAGTATTGTTAGAACCCTAAATTTTGTGGGGAGAAATAGAAATACAGATTTAAACGTTAAATCCCCCAGATGTTTAATGTTGGAAGTAGACTCAATCTATTTCAGAAAAATAGGCCAAATCTAACATTTGTGATTTTAATACCAGAGGAGTGTTTAGTAGTCATCAAAAATGTAGAATTACTGGTTCCCTTCCAAAAACCCACGAATATCTATAGAAGAATTAGCCAAGGCTAGTTGTATATCATGTTTATGTTTGAAATAAATCATAATGTATAGGTATTTCCCTCATTATAAGAATTTGTGTAACATGAGTTATAAACAAATATTTATTGTATGCATGCTAAAAATAATGAAATATATTTTAGTAATAGAAGAAATATTATACATTTTCTTAAGAGAATTTAAGTGTCCAATAGTTAGAATTCAAGCATTTATATTAAAAACAGCCACACCAACATGACCTGCAGAAAACTCAGGACAAAGAAAAAGAAAAAAACTCCAATATAAGACCCTTAGCCCTCTATAGCACATGTGAAACATATCATTAATGAAACATTTTAAATAATGAACTGATGTATCTAGAGTAATGTTTTTATGGACAGGATAAATAATCCGAAATGGTATATGCCACTTGTTTCTATGTAGTATTTGGTGTGTGCATTTTTAAGTTTTTTCTTATCTGTATTTTCTATTTTTTAGTCTCATTGTAAAGATCTTAAAATCTTATGTTGCTTTTTCTTTCTATTTTTATTCTGATTGTATATATCTTATAATAAATGACTAAAATTATACCATGTCCTTCCAAGTTCTGAAAATAAATACTTATCAAAACACAAAAAACAAAGCATTTGGAAGTTTCAGAGGAATTTTTATTTTAAATAGAATGACTCGTGCAAACTGTAAGTTATGTCATATCACTAAAGACATCTCATAAATACTAAGGCAGAATTTTACATTCGGCATGAAAGGAAACTGAATTAAAGTCATGTACTGTATAAGCAAGACAATGTATCAGTGTTCTCACTTGCCTTGCCCAAGATCACACTGAAAATGGTAAAAGGAATTGGATAGGAAATGTCTGAAAAGCCAGACCCCCAGCCAGAGTGTGGCTATGGGGAATTTCACAACTAAAGGCTGGCAGGGAAATATCATTGGAATGGTTATGAAACATTAGGACATCTTCCTGTTTCCTCCAGGAGCAAGAGAAGAAGCCTGGATTCTGCTATTAGCCATTATTTTGAGATTTCTGTTATGATTTTTAGGCTTGAAGGCACGGAAAAGTGGAGACGCGTTCTACATTAGTTGTAGAATTCTAATGAGCTCAGTAATTATGGGAATCATCTGGAAAGAAGAGCTGTCTCACCTTTGGATTCTAAAAATGCCTTATAATGGAAGGAGACCCTGAGCATAGCTTGTGCAAAATTTGGGGCCTTTATATCAGATAGATTTCAAAGCACAGAGCTACAAATAAAGATTTTGAATGGTACATGTCAAGACTCAACACTTTGGCCATTCAAGTGGACTATATGTTGAGTGTATTATGAATCTTCTGGAAAGGGCTTGAAGTAACTAGCAAGTTTTCTATAAAATCCATGGAAATATTTATTTGTTGCTTGCAAAGGTGATTAATTGAAGGGCCCTGGACATAGAGTTTCAGAGATCAGGTTGAGAAAGTGAGCTTATTGTTAACCATCCTTAAATCAATTGCTTCTAAATCTCTGCAGGTAAGATTTGTGTAAATTTTAATAAGAAACATTATTACGTTCTATATTTATATTTTTAAAGATTTATATTGAAAATAAATACTGTAAAATAAGATAAAAAACCAATGAACAAGAATTAAAAGCTAAAAGTAATAACAGTACCAAAAAAAGAAAAAAGTATAAAAGAAAAATAATTAACAAGGACTTCTAATGGAAATAATGAAAATAAAATACTAACACCACTGAAGAACTAGAATTAAAAATGAAAGAAAATGGACTAAAAGATCACAAAAAATTAAAACTAAAAAAGATTAAAAATATTTTAAAATAATGAATAACAATAAAAGTATAATAGTGTGATTATATTTATTTTATGTGCTTAATTTGATTGTTAAAGAGTTTCATGTAAGTCAACTCTCTTTAATTAATACCACCTATAAATTTTGATATACAAGAACAATGACACTGACCCGTCAGACACTGTCTTCATGCCTTACTTTTTCATGATGGTCTTGATTTGTCTCATAGGTTCATAATCTCTTCTTTGCACACCTCCTCATTTCAATTGCACACTTTCAAATGTTTAAACAATTTTACTTTTATTAATATTTCATACTCTTTGGAAGTCATCCTTAAACTTCTTCCAACCTTAGATGGCTCTAAAAAGCAGGTTTCCTAACTCCTTCCCCTGTGTGTGTATATGTATGTGTATGTGTAACATTATCTTCAGTTTTATGTAAATGCACACTGACCTGTCATGTAAATACATAAGCAAGCATGGTTTCTACTTGCTCTCTTATTGCTAAACCCTTTCAAACTATTTGGCAGAGAGAAACAACTCTTTCTTTTCTGGGGAAGAAAAGTGTAGCATCAGAGAGTATCATTCTTATGTTCAGCTTCATAGTAAGAAATATTTGGAATGGGATTCTGTTTAGTAAATTTTTACTGAATATTTGATTTTTAAACAGGTATTCTTATATTAATTATAACAGTTACATAAGAAATTTGATATGACACTTTTCACTAGAGGTTGATTGGTTTTGGACACTATATGAATAAGTTTTGTCTATTAAACCACAGTAGATGTGATAAAAAATGATCATTTAGCAACAGTTCTGTAGATCTGTTCATGTCCAAAGAAGCCACAAGAAAGATTTATGAAAGAGAATATCCAGCAGTGTTAACATTTCTGAGCTTCTGGAAGAAAATGGGGGATCAAGGGAAACATCTTCACATTAGAGGAACAACAATATCTCATAAGGAGTCCATTGTTGAATTAAAAATTTAAAAAAAAGTTTTTTAATGCCACGAAGTCTGTGGATTAGTCTTCTCTGTTTACCATAGAGAAACTATATTGGCTTTCACAGAGGTGACTAAATGTTCTTGAGCTATTTATTTTTACTAAATAATTTTAGTTGATTGAATTAAAACATTTTGTATTTTTTCAACGTGTTTATTAAATCACTATAAAGACACAAAAGATGACAATTCATCCTTATCCACCTGCCCTCTTTGATATTAGGATTGTTACGTATTATTTTGTTTTAATATTTTTGTTATGTGACAGAAAAAAGAAAGGTATGGGGAGAAAAAGCACTTCTTTTTACATTCATTAGGAACTTTTCCTCTTTGTTCTTTTCTCCTAGTCTCTTTTGCTTCCCTCCTGAGGCACAAATCTCTTTTGCTTCCCTTCTGTTGCACAAATCTCTTTGCTCCTCTGTTCATTAATTCATTATCTATTGAATAACACCATGGGAAACAACACATTGCTCCCCAAGGTGCTTTCAATAAATAATGAAGCAACCAGATGACTAGGTCTCACCAACATGGGAGAGGAGTGAGGAGCTGAGAATTTGTGAAAGGCATGGGATTATTTTTTGAAAGGAATTGTTTTTTTCACTTGTACTATACAGAAGCCTTGGGTCCCATTTCCCTTCATGGGGTTCCATAAGTTTTAGCTCCAAAATTTTATTGAGAAACACAACTGGGGACTTCTCAGGAATCCACACTGATCTTGTCAGCTGCCTGGGTTGTGAAATTGGTGAGAGAGAAATGACAGGAGTGTTGTCAGCAGCCACAGTGTCAGCAGAAAACAAAGTGAACAGACACATGTGACTCAAAGGAGCCATGTTTGTGGCTATTAGAAACTTAGACTGACTTGCTAATGTCTTACTCATGGCACTAAAACAAGAAACAGGTATTTGTAATGGTGATCGAGGTCCATTTACAATTGGTTCGGCAAGGGAGTGACTGATTTGTTGGTGAGCATTTTGACACTGGTTCATATTCTCTAATCACGTCATTCAGCTGATTAAAAAACAAGGTCATAGTTTGTTCAGGTTTAATCAGAATATATTCATATAAAATACATATTCACTACATTTTACATCTCTAAAATTTCACCAGACACTAAATAAGAATGAAGTAAGTAAATTGATAAAAAATTAGATTAAAGGAAGAACTTCTGTTTTTGCAAATTCTTGTCACTATGCACAAAATCTACTCACCATTTCATGTTGTGTTTCTCGTGTTTTATTCATCAAGAGATAAAAGGAAAAACAGTGGGAAATTTTGAAAATAAGAATCTTAAGGCTAAAGAGGTTGCTAATATGTAACTTTGTTTTGAAATAGGACTGGAGTCAGAACTTATGGAGGGAAAAGGTAGCTGCAGACTACTCTTCTGAAAAATAAGAAGCAATTGAAGGCACACACGTAATTTCCTTTTGCTACTTATCTTGGCATCTGACAGCTCTTAAAATCATGATTGGCTTCGTAAGACTAACAAATATAAGGTGGTAAGTTAAAAAGGCACTACTTTTCTTGTCTTGGTTTTGTTTGAATCAAAATAGCGGCCTATATATAGGTTCCTACATAAGATAATATTATGTAAACCCAAATAGAACCCTCTGGGAGCTACATTACCACCACCATCACCTTCTTTGCTTTACCGCACTAACTGGCACTTTTAATTTTCCTGGAAAGAGGTCTCAGTAAGGATAAACTTCATAAACCAGTAAGCTTTAGGTGTTTAGAACACCTTCTGGAAAAGCAATGTCCAGAAATGTTGCCCTGAAAACTCTGTGCGTGTTTCTGACTTAACCCCGAAGTACTCTTGTTAGAAAGATTTGATTAATCTTGGTTTCAGTATTCCTTTTCCTGAGTTGATGTGGATGGGGAGATCATGGGAAGAAGGTAGATAAAAGAGCAGTTATTCTGTTAAATTTCATCTAAAAGTCATCTTCTGAGATCACACAATGGTAAAAACATTAGCTTTTGACAAAGTTGACTTGAGTTTGAAATCAGCTTTGCTATGATCCTTAGATAAATTACTTACATTTACTGAATTTAAATTTCCATAATCATAAAATGGAGCTAAACCCATCCATCTCGTATGATTACTGTTAATATTAGGAATAATTCACATCAAGCACCTAACGCAGCTCTTGGCATCTATTAAATAGTAAATGTTCAATAAATTATAGCTAACATTGTTACTCTTTTCATCATCCCTTTAAAACATTACAAATCCACCTAATTTCCTATACCAATCTTAACTATATGCCTTTCTGTTTAAATGTAAACTTTATTTTTTTATTTTATACACACATATGTATATGTACTTTAGAAATAACTGAAAGTCATCTTTTTGTTCTTAAAATACCTGTCTCCATTACTGATATCTTGTTAAACAGCAACTTACAAGAACAGAAATAAGTTACTTCTGTTTTTTCTCCAAGCATTTATTGCATTTGTCCTATTCAACATGTAGCCATAAAAGTGATTTATGTGAGATGAAAGCTAAAAGCGATAGCTTAATTTCTCCAAATTAAACAATTCCTCAAATCTATGCAAATTGAAATGTCCAAATGTGATGGGAGATGTAAAATGCTAACTGCAAGTAATGTTAAAGAGGCTATTCTTTTAATAAATTAAAGACTGATGCTATTAGCATTGTTAACAAAAGAATTTTAAGAACGGATCCTTCTACACTTGTGTACATAATCTAGATAAGGTGTGGAAGTGACTAGCCCAATTTACAGCCCTCACAGCATTCCTTCAAACAGTAGTCACCAATGTATGAAAAGGGATCCTATAAAAAATAACAGATGCTGCAGCCATACTAATCTGTATATTCTTGCCTAAAAATAGCATTTTAAAATGCACCTCCTCTGGTTCTTGTTTGTTCATTTCGTGTATGTAACTTCAAGATTTTACATAACAGCACCATAACAACATTGCACTAGAGACAGTTTTATTCATTTCAGTAGCTTACACTGACACTCCTTTTAGAAAACAGCCATTTTGATGGCTAACATTAAAAAAAACATATTAAATATGAACATATGAGCAGCTCAGAGGAACCTCTTTGTCATATTTGTCAGAAACTGAGAATTTCATTCGGAGTTCCTGGAGCTCAGGGCAGATGGAAATGTACAGTTCCTTAGTTTGAGAAGTCATTAATATTCCAACCTGTAATAGGCATTAAGAAAAACTACAATCTGGGATTTGGACCACTGTACCAGAATTAGTTTAGATTCTTTGAATATTACGTTATGCAAATGTAACATATTGTTTCTTTTTCGAATTTTGAAGAAATCCATAGGAAAGAAATATCAGAAAAATAAGTCCGGATTATATACATATTAAAGTAATATTTTCCTGTTACAATGTTTTTTCAATAATTAATGAGTGTATATTTCAGAGTTACTAATAGCCTGAGAGACAGGAACTGAAGAATGTCGGCAGCTCCCCTGTGTTTGAGACAATGTGTCATACTCTGCTGTATGGGAATGTTGGGGCTCAGCAAACAACACCCCAAAATGAAGGCCTCAGCACCATCCTCAAAAACAAAAGTTGTTTTTTCTTTTTTTTTTTTTCTCTGACCTTCTCCTGCCCTCTTGTCTTTCTGAGTCATTCTGTCCCTAGGATAGCCATTAAACCTAGAACCCCTCTTCGCCAAGACAGGCCATAGAAATCAGAACCCCTTTTCCAGAAAGCCGGCCATAAAACCTAAAAATGTTCTATGTAAAAACTGGCCATAAAGAAATCTTACTTAACTTGTTTGACTGTGGGTCATAAGACCCCCATTCCAGAGAGGGTCCTATCCGCACCTGGAAAGAAAGAATGCATGTTCAGAGAGGCCAAGAAGAGTCTAGGCAGGCATTGCTGGGTTTTTCCACTCAGCCTGTTAGCATGAGATCATACCCTTTTTGTGTAATCACTTTTCTACATAGCTGTCCATACTTTGTTGAACCTAAGCACAAAAATGGGCAAATTTCCCCTGTGTCTTTGGGTCTTCATTCTGAATCCTCCTGTGTATACACGTTAAATAAATTTGTATGTCTTTTCTTCTAGCAATCCATCTGCCTTATGTCAGTGATTTTTCAGCAAACATTTAGGGGGCCAAGTTTCTTAGCTCCTACAGAGACTTACTTGGTAACCAGAATGTTCTCCTTTCTTGAGTTATTTTGCATACAACTATATGTAGCTTGGCCTAATGCCAAAGTCAACTATGCTGGGAAATGAAATAATTTATGAAAACACACAAATAGATGCACACACATAATCTTGTAGTTTACGAAAATTGTCTTTGTGTGTTTTTTCTTAATTCCTATTATCTACCTTAGTAAATTCACATTTAAGTAGAATCTAGGATTTTTCCATTCTACTGCAGGAAATGCATAAGAGCAAAAGTATGAGAACTCTCCAGTGTACATATATAGGAAAAAACACTGAAGTTTACATGAAATTATCAAACTGATCATCGAGCTAACAGTAAAATTCTTTGTTTTAAAAAGCAGAGTTATTCTTTTTTTTTTTTTTTTTTTTAGAGTTTCACTCTTGTCGTCCAGGCTGGAGTGCAGTGGCATGATCTTGGCTCATTGCAACTTCTGCTTCTGGGGTTCAAGCGATTCTCCTACCTCAGCCTCCTGAGTAGCTGGGATTACAGACACCTGCCACCATGCCCAGCTAATTTTTGTGTTTTTAGTAGAGACAGGGTTTCACCATGCTGGCCAGGCTGGTCTCAGACTCCTGACCTCAGTCAATCCACCTACCTCAGCCTCCCAAAGTGCTGGGATTACAGGTGTGAGCTACCGTGCCCAGCCTAAAAAGTAGAATTTTTTAAATGGCTAAAATAATTGCAATAAAAATAGAAATGAAATTTGTACAGGTCAAGTGCTATAAAAAATTTCAAAATATAGACACGAATTTTCATACTCACCATGACAAATTTAACCATTATTTGAAAAAATAATTACATGAAAGACACAGACTTAGTTTTCCAGCCTGTTGACAAAATAATATAATAGTCCTATACGCTTTCTTAAAGAAAGAAACAACACTTGCCCACAGGAAGACATGAGTTGTAGGGGCCAAAATTACAGTTGACTATTTCATACAGAAAAGAGACATCATTTTTAAATGTTTTTATATTCAAGTTATAAAACAATTAAGATCTAGTGGTGAATTTCTGCTCATGTTTAGATTAACTGAAAGTGTATTCCAAGTTTACATAAACATAAAATAAAACGCTATACATTATTTGAGAGACAATTTGATGGGGCTGGGAGAGAGAGGGAAGGAAGAAAGCAAAGAAAGAAAAAAAATGAAAGTTATCTATTAAGTACATATGAATGACAAAGAAAAGCATTTTAGCTTTAGGCTTCTAGAACAATTAAAGGAGGCGGTACACCTTAAATTGTCTAACAGTTTGTTACTTTAGCCCTTTTCTATATATTAAAGAAAAATAGGAATAAGAAAATAAAACATTTTATTACAAATGGGAGCTAAACATTAAGTACATGTTGACATAAAGAAGGAAGTAACAGACACCGTGGTCTAGTTGAGGATGGAGAGAGAGAGGAGGATGAGGATCAAAAACTGCCTATCGGGTACTATGCTTATTACCTGTGTAACTGAATAATCTGTACACCAATCCCCAGGGACATGCAATTTACCTATATAACAAACCTGCACATGTACCCCTAAGCCTAAAATAATTTTTTAAGTTTAAAAATAAATAAATACATAAATAGAGATATCTGGTATTTGAAAATATTTGGCTCCTATTCTTCAATCAAACCTGATTGTCAATAGTTAAAATTAAAAACAACTACTTCTTTCCTATTTCCTCATAATTGTCTATTGTTTCCATGGAATAAAACTGTGGATGCACAAAAACCAGGTGTGCTGTCTTTGTAAATAGCCCATATATTATACAACATTGAAATTGATTCTGACAGGTTATTTATTGTTGGCTTTACTCCAAGATTGGAAATATTATAACATTGTGAGATGAATATATTGAGAAAAGAACAGTAAGGCAAAGAATAAATAAGCAAAAGTAATTAGGAATGGATTACATTCTTTAATGTAAAGGAACACGTTTTGCTAAAGTATGTACAACTCCCAATGCATGTACAATTCCCAATAGCAGAATTTTGTTGAAATTAATTCTTTGAGCTATTTTCTGAAAATTTAAAGTTTTGTTTTAACATAATTTTTTATGTTGTGTTCATCTTGTCATCATTTGGATGCCATCAAATAACCATTAACATCTTTTTCTCAGTAAATAGAATGATTTCCTACAAATTTAAAGAAATCATTTTATTTGTTTTTAATTGAAATTTTAAAATATATACCTTGTCTATTTATTTTGACCATTAACAGTGAATGATAAGTAGCATAAATTATTTCTACTAGTTCTGACTCTGCTTCTCTGATCTATGCTATGGTTTTAACAGGTTAAGAGAGCTAAATGTCTTTTAGTTTTCTGTAGCATAGTCAGTTAAGCCATCAATAAACTTAGATTCCTGTCCTGGTTGTTGTAGAACGAGATTACTATTATAATAAAAAATCAGTAAGTATATCAGATTACACACATCTTCTGTATTCTAGAGTTAATTTCCTCTAGTTGTAATCATGAATTCTTTTAGATTAATATAATCATGAATTCTTTTGTGCTTTTTTTCTTCAAAAATGTTAAGTTTCTGAAATTCAACTATGTTTAGTCTGTGCTGCTTATTAATTTTCTTTGCTTAAACTCTCGCTTTGAATGAATATACTAAAAAATTTGTTCATATATCTGGAAGAACATATACAGAATATTTGCATATGTACTTAAGAGAAAAATCACTACATGAGACAGATTGTGGGTCTTAAAATGTGTTAAATAATGTAAAACTGTTTTCTGAGATGATTGAAGCAATTTACATTCTAATTAACAGAATATGAAGATACTAGGTGCCTACAATCTTGCCAGTAGTTACCTATCATGTGGAAATTTTGGCCATTCTGGTGGATAAATAATAGCAACATGTTGTCTTTTTAATATTTATTTTTTTTTATCACCAATAGTATGAAAAATATTTCCATGTGTTTATTGGCCTTTTGCATTTTTTCACATTTGAAGAACTTGCGCTAGTCCTAGTTACCTCCCTTTTTCTCATTGACTGGTGTGGATTCCTTATATATTGTAGGTACTATTCATCCTCTATCTTATGTGTAACAATAATCTTCTCCTTTATGTGAAGTTTCTTTTAAGATTTAACCTTTTTATTATCATCATTTATTGGCTAAGAGGTAATTTATTTAAATGTAATGATAAAATTCGCTATTAATAAATTACCTCTTAACCAATTTTAGTTTAGTAAATAAATGTAATGACAAAATTAGCTATAATAAATTACCTCCTCTTCTAGAAGTCATTCTTTGCAGATTCTTTGAAGATCATTTTCTATATTACATTCTAGAATATGATCAGTTTTAGATTTCACAGTTAAGTCTTTGATCTGACTAGAATTTCCATTTTTTAAAAGTGAGGTAGAGGCATAATTTAATTTTTTTCCATATGGATACCCAATACATCAGCTTTTTTGTTAAAATGATAACTTTGTCCCACTGTTCTGCAGTAGATCTCGTTGTATTTTAATTGTCTATATATGTGTGGCTCTGTTTCTGAGTTTTCTATGTATCCTATCAATCCATGTATATCCTCAAACAAAATCTATGCTGTCTTTACTACTGTAGCTATATCTTTAGCACATATATCTGATCATGTAAATACTCTTTTTTAAAAAATACTAAACTGGCATTCTTTGTCCTTCGCATTTTTCTAAGAATTTTAGAACCAGCCTATCAATTTCACAAAAATGTGTTGAAATGTTTAATAGTGTTCTATTAAATCTGAAATTAAATTCTGGAGTATCAGAGTTTTTGAAACCTAGAAATTTCAATATACAGCCATGCATCACTTAATAACAGAGAGGCCTTCTAAGAAATGCCTCCTTATGCAATTTGGTCACTGTGTGAACATCATAGAGTGTACTGATATAACCCTAGATAACATAGCCTAATAAACACATAGTTTCTATGATAGAGCCCTTGGCTCCTAGGCTACCAACCTATACTGCATGCTACTTTACTGAACACTGTAGGCAACTGTAACTCAATGGTGTCTCTTTGTGTATCTAAACATATTAATATAGAAAAGTTACAGTAAAAATATGATATAAAAGATAAAAAGAGGGCACTTAACATAGATGGAGTATGCCGGCATGGAAGTTCCTCTTAGTGAGTCAGTGAATGAGTAGCAAGTGAATGGAAAGGCCCGGGGCATTACTAGACACTATGTAGACTTTGAAAACATTGGACACCTAGATTATATTAATTTTTTTTAATTTTTTATTCAGTAATGAATTAGCCTTAGCTTACTGTAACTTCTTTATAAACATTTTATTTATTTTAATTTTTGACTCTTGTAGAAACACTTAGCTTAAAACACAAATACATTGTACGACTATAGAAAGATATTTTCATTCTTTATGTCCTAATTCTATGGCATTTTTCTATTTTTAATTTTATTTTACTTTTTAAACGTTTTTGTTAAAAACTAAGACATAAGCACACACATTAGCCTAGGCTCACACAGGGTCAGGATCATCAACGTCATTGTCTTCTGACTTCACAATTTGTCCCTTTGTCCCTCTGAATGGTTTTCAGGGACAATAGGACTTATAGAGAGAGCTGTCATCTCCTGTAATATCAATATCTTCTTCTGAAATATCTCCCGAAAGACCTGACAAAGGCTGTTTTTTTTGTTTGTTTTTTTTTTTTGAGATGGAGTCTTACTATGTCGCCCAGGCTGGAGTGCAGTGGCGTGATCTCGGCTCACTGTAACCTCCGCCTCCCGGGTTCAAGCAACTCTCCTGCCTCAGCCTCCTGAGTAGCTAGGACTACAGGCACTGGCCACCATGCCTGGCTAATTTCTGTATTTTTAGTAGAGACGGGGTTTGGTCAGGCTGGTCTCGAACTCCTGACCTCAGGTGATCCACCCACCTCGGCCTCTGAAAGTGCTGGGATTACAGGCGTGAGCCACCGCGCCCAGCTGGCTGTTTTTTTTATAGTTAACTCTTTTTATTAAGCAGGAGTACACTGTAAAATAGCAATAACAAATATACAGCTATCTAATGAATAACATAGATTTAATATGTACATGTCCAGTTATAAGCAGATCTTTTTCAACCAAACATGGATTAAAAATACAGTATTTGCAGGATGTGAAATATGCATATACATGGAAGGCCAACTTTTTATATACACAGGTTCTATAGGGTCAACTGCAGGACTTGAGTATGTGTGCATTTTGGTATATGTGAGAAGTCCTGGAGTCATTCCTCTGCTTATACTGAGGGACAATTGTAGTACAGTAAATACTAGGTGATAAGAATTTTTCAACTCCATCATAATCTTATGGGACTACTGTAATACACACAGAATGTTATTCACTGAAATGTTATATGATGCATGATTGTATAAACATGCTGTATCTCTCCATTTATTTTGATTCTTCCTTAATGTCTCTCAATACTTTGTTATTTTTATCTTTCATATTTTCTTTAAATTCATTCTTAGGTACTTTGTATATTTGCTGCTATTAAAAAGTACATTATTAATTTAACACTAAAAATTGATATATAAAAATCTAAAGTCACCAAAATTAAGATAATATGAAGAGTGAAAATGTTCTAGAACAAATAATGGCTTCTCTCTTTTTCTCTCGCTAATCTAATTATTAATTTGAACTAATCTCTTCAATAGAAAAGACATTATTATATTGTTCTAATTCTTAAGCATTTCTAGTTCTCAGTGCCTGAATTTTGTTTTTGTAATTTTTGGCTCAGTATGAAAAATGAACACACACTGAACACATAAGAAATCATTATGTACTCTAAAAGTAAAAAATGGATAATTTTGATTATGATGAGGTTGATGGGCTAATTTTAACAGAGAGTCTCTGAAGCTGATGACTTATAACGATAAAAATGGTCATCTTATATTATTAACTAACAAACTTTCTTATATTGCACATTTTATTGTGTAAGTACATACATGTAACACCGATTTGCTAGAGTTGTTTGATTAATCCTGATCATCTAATTGTTTAAAATCAATTCATAATATCAATATTTTGTTCTTGATGTAAGCTACTATTAAGCTCAATTATCTTTTTTAATAAAATATATATTATCTTATTGATGAAGTAGAAATTTCAGGTAATAACCTAAAACAAAAACAAAAAAATAAAATATGTGAAACAATGGTTTTCAAGATATTGGACATCAAGCAATAAAGGATAGAGTTCACTGAGAGACAAGACAGAGATAGGGTTAGCCCTAGGAATTCCTCCACTTACTGACTTAAAATGTTTACAAGCACTGACGCAGTGAAGGGAAATCAAGGTGAAGCTCAGCTCACTCCATGAGTTGAGAAGATGGAGCTTAGGTTCCCGCATAGACTAAGGTAGGCAGAATTTATCAGGCAGAATACCAGAGAGAAGAGAACTTCACAGAGAATCTGATATCTGCAAAGGGTATCCCTTGACTATTCAGCAGTGATCAGAACATAAATGTGAGCAAATCTTTCAAGGCAAGGGAAAGAACCAACCAAATGGATTAGAGGAAAGG
Source organism: Homo sapiens (assembly GCF_000001405.40). Classification (NCBI taxonomy): domain Eukaryota; kingdom Metazoa; phylum Chordata; class Mammalia; order Primates; family Hominidae; genus Homo; species Homo sapiens. The sequence goes on along the minus strand of NC_000014.9, from coordinate 47,952,030 downwards.
GTACATCTATTTCTCCTGATCAAAGCATAAAATCTAAAAATTTACAGGACATTGAAGAGTATCTACAAGGTTGTTGCCTCAGCAGTGGTGAAGATTTAACCTTAGATTAACTGCTCCTTTGGTTTAACAGATTTTTAAAACATTGTACTTTTTACCAATGAATACATAAAAAAAAAACACATTGTTTCCAAACACAAAATTGTGTCCCAGAATACAGCTCAAGAGTATTTGTAAGAATATATAAATATCCAGCACACAACGATGTACAATCTACAATGTCTGGATCAAATCAAAGATCTCCAAGAATGCAGAGAAACAAAAAAATACAATTGGCCCTCTGTATACACAGTTTTCACATTTCTGAATATGGAGGTTCAAATAAGGAACTTGAGCATCCATGAATTTTTGTATCTGCAGAGATCCTGGAACCAATTCTCCATGAATATAGAGGGCCAAATATATGTCCTAAAGTGAGGAGAAAATAAATTGATTGACTTTGACAATAATTGAAACAAATATTACAGTTAGCAGACAAGGATATTAAAGAAGTTACTAGAGCTAAATTCCATATGTTCAAGAAGTTAGGTAGAGACATAGACAAATCTCAAGTCAAATCTTTAGAGTTGAAAATTACAATATCTGAAATAAAAATTCCACTGGATATGACTAATCACAATTAGACATTTCATCCTTTTTTTTTTTTTTTTGACAAGAGTCTTGCTCTGTTGCCCAGGCTGGAATGCAGTGGCACAATCTCAGCTCACCTCCATCTCCTGGGTTCAAGCGATTCTTGTGCCTCAGCCTCCCAGGTAGCTGGGATTACAGGCTAGAAAGAGGGAAAGTGTTGAAAAACTAACTGTAGAGTACTACACTCACTACCTGGGTGATGGGATCATTTGTACCCCAAACCTCACCATCATGCAATATATTCATTTAACAACTCTGCACATGTAACCCGTGAATCTAAAATAAGATCTAAAATTATTTAAAAACTAAACAAAATAAAATAAACATATTATTGAACCTATGTTGATATAAATAAATAATTGAATAAATATTTATTCAATCATGTGAATAAATGAGGGAGAAGAAACAATGTTTCACAGAGAAATTCCAAATAACAAATACAGAAGGAATGAGAAAAAAATCACCTTTAGAACAGTAATGAAACAATTACCGAGGCAAGATGAACTTAAGAATACTAAAGTTACTGGGCTAAAGTTTAGGTACAAAGGATAATTGTAAAGCCTAAAATATATTGTCCAAAATACGTGTTAAATTACTTTTGTGGTTTTACCATATGTCTACAAAATCTGTGATACTGCTTTCTCTGAGAGAAGCTTAATTTCTTTTCTTGATTTTGGGGTGGAAATGGTGACTTACTTCTAAATAATGGAGTTTGGAAGGAAAGAATAGTAACTTTAGGGTGGAGAAACCCAAGATACAGTACCTTCACCATGTGATCAACATACTGTCACCAGCAATGTCAGGTGGACATCGTGTATCACTTGATATTATGTGATAAAGGGGACATGCCACCTTGTTTTATTTTTTTCCTAAAATCCATAACTTCGGGCTAATCACGGGGAAACATCTGGAACAAAAAACAAGAGAAAAACGTTTTGTAAAATACCTGATTACTGCTCTCAGAGTGTCTAAGTCAGAAAAACAGAATGGTGATGACATTGTCATGCATTGAAGCAGAATAATGAACCTATATAAATTACTAGTATATGCAGCTAGGTAATCTGGATAGATCCTGGAAGGCTAGAGAAAGCCTGTAGTTTAGTTAAGAGTATTGTGCCAATAGTAATTTATTTTTTGACAAATGTGCAATAGTTATATGAGATATAACATGATGGAATGCTGCCTAAAAGATGTAAGTAAACTCTGTGTACTACTTTTGTAATTCTCATGCAAATGTAAAATCGTATCAAAATAAATTTTTAAAAATTGTATGATGCTCATCAATTGACTCAAAACTTACTGTAAAGACATAGTAGCTAAGACAATGTGGTACTGGAGAAGTATAGATACAGATCAATGGAGCAGAACTGGAAGTACTGAAGACAACTACACATACATGGTCAATTGATTTCTGAAAAAATGCAAAGGCAATTCTATGTAGCTACGATAGTATTTTCAACACATGGTGCAAGAACAATTAAGCATCCTTATAGAAAACAGAACCTTAATCTATACTTTCTTCCTTACACAAAAATGAACTCAAAATGGCTCATGACCACAAATATAAAACCTGAAAATAATTCTGTAAGAAACAGGAGAAAATTGTTACAGCCATGATTTAAGCAAATTCCATATTACAGTTCCAAAGAAATCCCACGTAAAAATAAATAAATTGTACTTAATTAAAATTAAAGACACTGCTAAGAGAACAAAAGACATCCCATGCTGTGAGAAAAATATTTGCAAGCTTCTGGATAAAAGGGCTTGGATCCAGAATATATACAGTCTTAGCAAAACTCAGTAAGTATGTAATCAACCCATTAAATATGTGCAAAAGGTTTGAACAGATAATTCTCCCAAGAAGATATACGAAGGGTAATAAACACATGAAGAGTTGGCTCAACATCATTAGTCTTCAGGGAAGTGTAAATTATTACATCACTACCTACTACCAGACAACTAATTGAATGACTTAAAACACAGAGAGAGAGAGAAAATACCAAGTGCTTCGTGTTTGTGAGGCTGCAGAGCAACAGGCACTCTCATACATTGATGCTGGAAGTATAAAAAGTACAGTTGCTTTGGAACAGAGTGAGGCAGCCAAGTATAACGCGGTCCCGGAAGAATCTCCAATCAGCTGCGCACTGGGAGAACAGGGTGGAGCCACACACATTTGCAAGTGGGAGGAGCCTGGCCCCTCCTGTTCCTGTGGTAACCTGGGATTCAATCGGTGAGATGGGGGCCTGTTAACAGTAATCCCTGTCATTTTGCTGTGCTGTTCTTCCTTTTTCCTTTGCTTCCAATAAATTCCCTTCCTCTTTACCCTTCAAAGTGTCTGAGAGACTAATCTTTCCTGGTCGTGTGATAAGAACCTGATTTTCAGCTGAACTAAGGAGAAAGTCTTGCAAAAAGAGTGTGGCACATTTATATAAATGTAAACATATACTTACCATATGACACAGCATTCCAACTGCCAAGTATATATTCAAGTAAATTAAAATTTTGTTTACAAAAGCCTGTATGCAAACATGTATACTAAGCCTGCATGGAAACATGTATACTTTGTTCATATTTGCTAAAAACTAGAAACAGCCCAAATATGCTTCATTTATTGAATTAATAAATAAATCGTTGTGCATCCATACAATAGTGGAATAGCAATATCATAATGCTACTCCTCAATAAAAAGAAACAAATTATTAATCTATGCAATAACATAAATGAATCTCAAATGGGTTATGCCGAGTAAAAGAAGTCACAATTAAAATGTTATATATGATTCCAGTTATACAACATTCTAAAAGAGAAAAAACTCCAGTGACAGAAAGTGGAATGGAGCAGAAGTTGCTTGGGACTGGGCATGAATGGAAGTGTTGATTGCAAAGAGGGATTGTGGAGTTTGGGGAATGATTTTGATAGACATGACTGCAAGCATTTGCCAAAACTTGCAGAAATCTTCACTAAAAAGAGTGAGTTGTACCAAATATCAATTATACCTTAATATATAAAAAAAGGAAAAGCATTGATCCCTTTTCTAGTTTTCTTTACAAAAATCTAGGATTTCAGCATTTACTTTAGCTCCAAAATGACATTTTAAGTAGAGCTTTTTGATGAAAAACATTTAATCCCCATGAAATTGTATTTAAATATTTTTTTTGCCCTGCATACTTCCTGCAGTGAATAAAGATAAGGAATCATTATTTCCTGAAATAATTTTATCTTAAGGAGACTCATGTATAATAAATTTATAATAAATAAATGTTAATGTTAATAAGTGAACTTTAACAAATGACTTTAGTGTAAAATTTGTCCTATAATGATGTTTGAAATTGAAACTAGAACTTTGAAATTGGAACTTTATTATTGAGAAGTGAGTATCAAACTGTATTACTCCAAAAGTTTATCAAATGTTTAAATATGTTAGAAGTTGACATAGAAAAAAGATAAACATTGATAATGATATATTGGTTATGTTTTCTTTGCATAATGGGGAAATTACTCTACTGCTGTTAACTAATTGTAAGCATAAGATATTCCTGAAGATGTTAATGATGCAAATGCAGGTGATAAAACCACTGTTAGTGACATAGTATTAATGGGTATTCTATTAACTGCTCCCCTTGAACAGCATTTTTCAGTGAGCAAGAGATTCAAGGCCATTTATTCAGTTAAAGTGGTATTACTTAGACAGAGAACCATATGAGTGGACCAGATAACAATACCATAGTGTTCTAAAAGGCTTTTAAAACAGCTTTTGTAGTGTTATTTTATCCCTAAGTACCCTATTCCATCATTGTGAAGAGATGTCCAACTCCAGGTTGAATACAGCAGCAATAATAAAGCTCCATTTCCAATATCCTCAAAAATTTGTAATCAATGTGTATTGCACATATGTGTACAGATACAATGTAGTTTGGATCTGCATATGTGAGAAGTTTTATTAAATATATGCATTGAAAATAAGAACTTCTAGTATTTACAGTTTATATTTATCCCACTATTTCATTTACCACTTTAGCAAAATACAGTATGTGCATAAATAGTGATAAAAGAAAAACTTCAGCCAAATTAAATGTAAAGGAGTTTAATTGAGCAATGAGTGATTCATGAATTGGGCAGCCCCCAGAATCACGGTAGAGTCACAGAGACTCCAGGAGTGCCTTGTGGTGAGAACATATTTATAGACAAAAATTGTAAAGTGACGTACAGACATCAAAAGTGAGGTACAGAAACAGCAAGATAGGTTACAACTGGGCATGTGCCTTATTTGAGTGCAGTCTATGAGTGGTTGAAGTATGGCCGCTGGGATTGGCCAACACTCAGGTATTGTTACAAGTTCATGCTATTGAGTTAGGTCTTTTTTTTTTTTTTTTTTTTGAGACAGAGTTTTGCTTTTGTTGCCCAGGCTGGAGTGCAACAGCACAATCTTGGCTCACTACAACATCCACCTCCCAAGTTCAAATGATTCTCCTTCCTCAGGCTCCTGAGTAGCTGGGATTACAGGTGCCCGCCACCACACCTGGCTAATTTTTGTATTTTTAGTAGAGACGGGGTTTCACTATGTTGGACAGGCTGGTCTTGACCTCCTGATCTCAGGTGATCCTCCCGCCTTGGCCTCCCAAAGTGCTGGGATTACTGGAATGAGCCACCGTACCCTGCCAGGTTTTCAATCTGTCTGACTATTGAGCTAGGTTACAGTTCATCCACAAGGACTAAAATATGGAAGGACAGAGTCCTTCTCAGGCCATATTTAGTTTGCTTTAACAATTTTCCCCTTTTGGTCATTTTCTCAATTTTGAGAGAATGACCATAACCTTTAGTATCATTATCGTAAATGTACTTCTATGGTTTTGAACCTCACTGGTTTCCAATAGTGGGTTTTGCAAGGAGGGAGGACTAAGTAGAGGGTACCTCCTTAGGCTGGCACATTCTGTTTACAGGAGAAAAAACAAAACCTGGTCTGTTCTAGGATCTATGTATTTTCTTGAAGCCTTAGTTTGATTATGTCACATTTAGCATGAGTGACTCCATTTTAGTTTGGTTTGGTTTGGTTTGTTGGGGACTAGTGCATACGCTCAGTTCAAAATAATGGCCTCCAATAACTTGGTTTTAAAAGATGCCCCCCTTTTTGCCAGGTTCTCACTTAGGTGAGAGTGTGACCAAAACTTAGGGCCTTAGCACCACTCTCAGTTACCATCATTTTGGGTTTCCAGTCTCAGTACGTCAGTCATAGGATATGGTGTCCTCATGGTGGCACACTTCTTTCAGCTTTTGTCATTCCAGTTGGAGAAAAATCATTTGACATCCGGGAAATGGATGCATGCAAACATTTAAAACTTTTGAAAGAATACAGCACACCAGGGAGACTATTATTATGACGGTCAGGAGGATAATACCAAGAGTTTGGAGTATGCTCCTTACCTAGGGTCCTCATAACCAAACCACATAAAATTAACTAGATTAAAGAATGAGCTAGATAAAGAGTCTACTCGTTCGAGTAAGTGGTCTTTTCATTAATCCCCTACAACTGATTTTTTATAATCTACATTTGATATATTTCTCCAGAGGCCACAAGCGTCAGCAGCTGCACAGGTACTTTTCTGTTTAGCCAATTCTATTATTTAGCATAATTTCACAAGAGAAGTTAAAGTGTATTGTGTAACAATAGCCTTTAAAGTAGAATTTGCTGTAGAGCCTATTATGAGGGAGACATTTCTAATTATTTCCTCTTTTATTCTAAACCATGGAAAAGGACCTAACAAATGATGTCTTTCTAGAAGAGTGAAGGCCTTCACTCTAGAAGAGAGAAGGCAATGTTCTCTTTAATCTGTGATGTGGGTTAAGAAGAGTTTTGACTGATTATGAGGTAGCATATGTACCACTAAAGTTTCTCACCTACATTGGGCTTTCATCTTTCATCTATTAAAGTATAAGTTTATTCATGTATAAGGCTGGCTGCAAAATTCTTCACAAATAAAAGTATACCCTATAACTGCTTATAATAGATCTTCTTTTCATTTCTATTGTTCACAGAGGCATAAACAAAGAAAGATATTCAAAGATAAGAGTCTCGTGATAGTAGACATTTTGAGCCATGATCCTGGGAAAAGCTGTTCAGATCAAGGACGCCATCTTCTTCTGGAGAGAAACTTTCCTGGTTAGTTTTACTTTAAGGGTACCAATGGGTGTACAGTTCCAGGGATGTGGCAGGACCTTTCTCAGTTGTGAGATTAGGAACCCAAGGTTCAAAACTCCAAAGTTTTGCTGTAGTGTGGATGGCGAGGACAGTCTTTCTCTGATGTTCTCAGAAGATCCAGTCCTTAGGTTCTAGATTGTGAAGGAACTGTCCTCTGTGAACCATAAAAAGCTTTCTTTACCTGGTGAAAATACACTGTAGCATAATAATCTACTGTTATAACATCAGCCCCCTTGCATGGGAAAGCTTTATACAACCAGAAAACATGCACTGAAAATAACAATTGAATGAAATCCCTTTATAAATTTTTAAATGGCCCATCAGGTAGCCAAATATACCTTAAGCTTTGATTGTCTTTCCAGGAATATGGAACCAAACACTGGTTTTAAACTATTTACACAATTTATAAGTCACCATATCAATATATTTGATTTGGATTATTTTATCTTTTCCATGACAAGTCATGGAATGCAGAACCTTTAATAACAAAACTTTTAGGACTCAGGAAGGACAAGGTGGACGTCTTGGGTCTTTATGAGTCCATGCTTAACATCGGACTTATGTCCTCTTGAATACCAGTTGTTTCTCCAATGTAGCTGCATAGCACTGATAACTAATGGGTTATCATAGGTAATTTGACTTAGACCATGTAGCTCATTCAAATAGTATATTTAAACAATTTTAGTATTGGCTGATTTAGCATGATAATCTAGAGCTTGATTTTTAAAGGTTTAAATACCAAAGGTTTAAAACATTGGATATCACAAAATAGAATCTTAGGTTACCATAAGTCATTTACTTAGCCAAAATGATAATTCAAAAATTTTTTAAAGGAAAAAATATTATGCTGATAGAGGAGACTTAGCTTTCCAAACAGGACCCAGTGAAGACAGCATGAGGCCAACTGATTGTCTCCTTTCTTTCCTTTCCCCCCATTTTCTTTTGTAGTTTACTTAAAAGGTAAACAAAAACTTTTCATTATATTTTACTATTACATAAAAATCATTTTGAGAAGAGAAAAACAAGTTTTATGTTTTCATTAGTATACTTCAAATATTAAAGCTAGTTTTTAATAACATTTTATAAATCTATTCAGTTTTAATTAGTTTGACCAAAAGGTAATATTTTTATAAACCTTTCATAACCATTTACAATATTTTTTCAAGAAAACTCTGTTGTGCTTTTATTCCAATGTCCAATTTATGGAAAAAAACTGAATAATGTCATTTTAACTTTTGTCAGTATGTTCACACATAAAATATCTTACAATTAATTTTTATAAACCTACCGCAACTTGTTCAAACCTCTAGCGTTATTTAATTTGAAACAATCCTTTAACCCTCTAACCTAGGCAAAAATTTACGTTCCCATACCATCTTATAATCTCTTACAAAAACAGATTTTATTCTTCTTACACATCTTGAATGTAAACTTATTTTTTCAGTAGTCTCAATTACATATGGCAATGTTAACTCTCAGAGACTTTTACTTTTGGTGAAAACCTTGGTAAGTAAGGAATTCTAATTAAGTACTAGGTGTGGAGTCTAGCCTAGAACACAACAGGCAGAAGTGCAGATAAGGGCTAACTCTCCTGCACAGCTAGGGGGCATGACCAACTAGTCCACATCTCCCCAGGCCTTATCTAGAATCTAATATCTCCAAGGTAGGTAAACTGAACAATTTTCAACAGCCTAAGAAGCAGTTTATAACCTTAAAGCATTTAGTAAACTTAGTATCTGACCTGCATAATTAAGACCAAATGTCTTTATTTTACCAATAATTTTTATTTTATTACTATTATTTTAAATTATACTTTAAGTTCTAGGGTACATGTGCACAACGTGCAGGTTTGTTACATATGTATACATGTGCCATGTTGGTGTGCTGCACCCATTAACTCGTCATTTACATTAGGTATATCTCCTAATGCTATCCCTCCCCACTCCCCCCATTCCACGACAGGCCCCCGTGTGTGATGTTCCCCTTCCCATGACCAAGCATTCTCATTGTTCAATTTCCACCTATGAGTGAGAACATACAGTGTTTGGTTTTTTGTCCTGGAGATAGTTTGCTCAGAATGATGGTTTCCAGCTTCATCTATGTCCCTACAAAGGACATGAATTCATCCTTTTTTATGGCTGCATAGTATTCCATGGTGAATATGTGCCACATTTTCTTAATCCAGTCTATCATTGATGGACATTTGGGTTGGTTCCAAGACTTTGCTATTGTGAATAGTGCCACAATAAACATACGTGTTTGTGTGCATGTGTCTTTATAGCAGCATGATTTATAATACTTTGGGTATATACCCAGTAATGGGATGGCTGGGTCAAATGATATTTCCAGTTCTAGATCCTTGAGGAATCACCACACTGTCTTCCACAATGGTTGAACTAGTTTACAGTCCCACCAACAGTGTAGAAGTGTTCCTATTTCTCCACATCCTCTCCAGCACCTGTTGTTTCCTGACGTTTTAATGATCGCCATTCTAACTGGTATGAGATGGTATCTCATTGTGGTTTTGTTTTGCATTTCTCTGATGGCCAGTGATGATGAGCATTGTTTCATGTGTCTGTTGGCTGCATAAATGTCTTCTTTTGAGAAGTGTCTGTTGATGTCCTTCGCCCACTTTCTGATGGGGTTGTTTGTTTTTTTCCTATAAATTTGTTTGAGTTCTTTGTAGATACTGGATATTAGCCCTTTGTCAGATTGGTAGATTGCAAAAATTTTCTCCCATTCTGTAGGTTGCCTGTTCACTCTCACGGTAGTTTCTTTTGCTGTGCAGAAGCTTTTTAGTTTAATTAGATCCCATTCCTCAATTTTGGCTTTTGTTGCCATTACTTTTGGTGTTTTACACATGAAGTCCTTGCCCATGCCTATGTCCTGAATGGTATTGCCTAGGTTTTCTTCTAGGGTTTTTATGGTTTTAGGTCTGACATATAAGTCTTTAATCTATCTTGAATTAATTTTTGTATAAGGTGTAAGGAAGGGATCCAGTTTCAGCTTTCTACATGTGGCTAGCCAGTTTTCCCAGCACCATTTATTAAATAGGGAATCCTTTCCCCATTTTTAGTTTTTGTCAGGTTTGTCAAAGATCAGATTGTTGTAGATGTGTGGTATTATTTCTCAGGGCTCTGTTCTGTTCGATTTATCTATATCTCTCTTTTGGTACCAGTACCATGCTGTTTTGGTTACTGTAGATTTGGAGTATAGTTTGAAGTCAGGTAGCATGATGCCTCCAGCTTTGTTCTTTTGGCTTAGGACTGTCTTGGCAATGTGGGCTCTTTTTTGGTTCCATATGAACTTTAAAGTAGTTTTTTCCAACTCTGTGAAGAAAGTCATTGGTAGCTTGATGGGGATGCCATTGAATCTATAAATTACCTTGTGCAGTATGGCCATTTTCATGATATTGATTCTTCCTATCCATGAACATACAATGTTCTTCCATTTGTTTGTTTCCTCTTTTATTTCTTTGAGCAGTGGTTTATAGTTCTCCTTGAAGAGGTCCTTCACATTCCTTGTAAGTTGGATTCCTAAGTATTTTATTCTCTTTGAAGCAATTGTGAATGGGAGTTCACTCATGATTTGGCTCTCTGTTTGTCTGTTATTGGTGTATAGGAATGCTTGTGATTTTTGCACATTGATTTTGTATCCTGAGACTTTACTGAAGTTGCTTATCAGCTTAAGGAGATTTGGGGCTGAGACCATGGGGTTTTCTAAATAGACAATCATGTCATCTGCAAACAGGGACAATTTGACTTTCTCTTCCTAATTGAATACCCTTTATTTCTTTCTCTTGCCTGATTGCCCTTGCCAGAGCTTCCAACACTATGTTGAATAGGAGTGGTAAGAGAGGGCATCCCTGTCTTGTGCCAGTTTTCAAAGGGAATGCTTCCAGTTTTTGCCCATTCAGTATGATATTGGCTGTTGGTTTGTCATAAATAGCTCTTATTATTTTGAGATACGTCCCATCAATACCTAATTTATTGAGAGTGTTTAGCATGAAGGGCTGTTGAATTTTGTTGAAGGCCTTTTCTGTATCTATTGAGAAAATCATGTGGTTTTTGTCTTTGGTTCTGTTTATATGATGGATTACAGTTATTGATTTGTGTATGTTGAACCAGCCTTGCATCCCAGGGATGAAGCCCACTTGATCATGGTGGATAAGCTTTTTGATGTGCTGCTGGATTTGGTTTGCCAGTATTTTATTGAGGATTTTTGCATCGATGTTCATCAGGGATATTGGTCTAAAATTCTCTTTTTGTGTTGTGTGTCTGCCAGGCTTTGGTATCAGGATGATGCTGGCCTCATAAAATGAGTTAGAGAGGATTCCCTCTTTTTCTATTGATTGGAATAGTATCAGAAGGAATGGTACCAGTTCCTCCTTGTACCTCTGGTAGAATTCGGCTGTGAATCCGTCTGGTCCTGGACTTTTTTTAGTAGGTAGGCTATTAAGTATTTCCTCAATTTCAGAGACTGTTATTGGTCTATTCAGGGATTCAACTTCTTCCAGGTTTAGTCTTGGGAAGGTGTATGTGTCCAAGAATTTATCCATTTCTTCTACATTTTTCTAGTTTATATCCATGGAGATGTTTACAGTATTCTCTGATGGTAGTTTGTATTTTTGTGGGATCGGTGGTGATATCCCCTTTATCATTTTTTATTGAGTCTGTTTGATTCTTCTCTCTTTTGTTCTTTATTAGTCTTGCTAGTGGTCTATCAATTTTGTTGATCTTTTCAAAAAACCAGCTCCTGGATTCATTGATTTTTTGAAGGGTTTTTTTGTGTCTCTGTCTCCTTCAGTTCTGCTCTGATCTTAGTTATTTCTTGCCTTCTGCTAGCTTTTGAATGTGTTTGCTCTTGCTTAAAACTATCTTTATCCCCAAGATTACTTAAGTCACATGAACTAAAAGGCATGAACACTTTTTATTTTGCTTTCAAAATATGTAAGTGCTTATTTTTGTTTAAGCCAATAAATTAGAGCTCTTTTATATAAACATTATGCACAACAATATATAATTACACAGACAGTTGGAAGATTACTACAGTAGTTGAAAGATTTTTCATTTGTCTGTTTTTAAGTTTCTCACCTGGTTATTTGCTTTATCGTGGAGTCCTTGGAAGAACAGGGCCAGGAAAGGGGTTTCTAGTGCCTCCTGTTTTTCCCATGGAGTCCAGGCTGTTCAAACCTTAATATCCAGTTTTAATTAAGCTTGCTTTTAACCGTAGCACTCTTTAATAAAGTCCTTTTAAAATTTCTTATTACCCAATTTTAGCCAGGCCAAATGGCCAATATTTCTGGCTTTTGAATTTTACCAAAGGTAACCTCCCAGGTGCTCAGAGAAAGGAAAATTTAAGATAGTCTGTGGAGGTAAAGACAACAGGTCAGGTGGATATGAAACCAGAAAGGACTTACTTCCTAAGCAGGGAATCCCACTCAGACCACCATTGCGAAAGGGAAAGAACCTAGCTACTGAGCTATGGCACAGGACAGTCTCTATCACACTTCCCTGAAGGAGTCTAGAGTAGTTAATTTTGAGCTTGTAAAGGTTTTTGACTACTCAAGATAATTTTTAGAGCTAACTATGACATAAACCCTAAAATTCCTGTTCCCTGGAAGGTGGAGACCAAAAATACTGTCATGTGGTTACAAGGTCAAGCTCCCAAGATCATAAAACAAGATAGAGACCCCATCTAGTTTTTTGGCTTGTTTCAGAGACCTGTAGGAAAGTTTGTTACTGAACAGCTTGCTGGGCCATCTTGACTGCAAGCTTATGGGGTCCTAAGCCCATGTTTTATCCTAAGGTACCCCTCGAAACAGAAAAACAAACTCATAGCACATCAGTTTAAGGACTAGCCTCACAGTTCTTTTTCTCATTAATAAAAAATTTACAGAAGAGATAAACAGTGATTTTTACCATTCATTCGACTGTTTGCACAGAAAGAGAGAAGCCAAAAATCTGACTGGTAAGAAATTTTTACCTTTTTGCCCACACGCCAGGCTTCTGGGTTCCCTTTCTCTGAGCTGCCCTAGTGACTCAGCTTGCGGCACCATTGCCCTGGGGGCCAAGACGCATCATAAAGGAAAATTATCCAGAGCAAAATACGTGTAATAAAACATAGACATTAGCCACTCTGCTTAGCACCCAATATCAAACTGGTAAGGCTCAAATTTGCCTTCAGATGGGCCCCGACATCTTTAATCCAACCTCCAACTAGGAGTTTCAACACGGGGTCTCTGGGCAAGATAGTCACCCTGAGTAATAGAAAAGATAAGAAAGGGAAAGGAGAAAGAGAAAAGCATTGCCTGTGGCAGGGTGGGGCAGGCAAAATGATCAGGGAGGCCAGAGAAAGACCCACCCATTGCAGTGACACTGAAAAGTTCAGGTGGCTGCTTCTTGGTAGCAAAGGGATTTTTTCCAGCAGTCTCATCACCTCTAGTTTCCCCTCTTAGGGAGGAAAAAGCTCCCCATGTCCCACGATCCTGTACATGCCTAATCTTGTCACCCACAGCCGTCAGCAAAGAGTGCAAGGCAGATTATTCCAAAGAGAATAGCAGTTGACATCCTGTTGTGCCAAAACTGTTCTTAGCCAGAAGGGACTTTACCAAGAGCCCTCACTTTTAATCGTACTTCAATGCATTGTTGTTCATACGGAAAGTTCCACTATTAAGTTATCTTTAGTTAGATTTTGCAGTTTCTGTAAGACTTCGCTGCCTCCCAGGCCTAAAGTATAGGCCAGAAGGAACTCAGTTTTCTCAAAATTAAGGATCCCATTTGCCTAAAATATTGGCTAGGTTCTCTTGATTAACTTGTCCAATGATTTTTCTTATCTAAGTGTGCAAGAAAAATGAAACAAAGGGGTAGAACACAAAATTCCCTCTGAATTTTCAAAAGCCAAGTTTTATAACCCCTGTAATATTACTGCTTACTACCAGTTCCTTTCTGACCCAGTCAGATGTAGGAGGCCTCTAGCTGGATCTAAGCCAGTTAATTCCCAGATCAAATCCATTCCTGGACCCAATCTAGTTTCTTTCTCGACTTCAAACCCAGTTTGGATCAGAAATTTGCTCAAAGAAACTCAGAGAGCTCAAAAAACAAATCCGTGGAGCTTCAAAATCCAAGAAGGAGCTCACCCACTATCCCAGCTGCTCTGAGAGATCAATGGACACAAATGGGTCTTGCAGATACTTTGTGTGTTCACTCAGTGATCCTGGGGGTTGCTAGAAGCTCCATTTTGGATCCCACTCCTGACATCATCTGATAAAAGAAAGTCTTCAGCCGAATTTAATTTAAAGGAGTTTAATTCAGCAATGAATGTCTCCAGATTCCTCATGGTCAGAACAAGTTTACAGACAAAAAAGGTAAAGTGATGTACAGGAATTGGAAGTGAGGTACAGAAACAGAGATTGGTTACAGCTAAGCATGTGCCTTGTTTGAATGTAGATTGAATGCTCAGCAGTCTATGAGTGGTTGGAAGTGTGGCCACTGAAGTATGGACAACACTCAGCTATTGTTACCCATGCATCCTTGCATACTATTAAGTTTTCAATATTTATTTATTTATTTATTTTGAGGCAGAGTTTCGCTCATCACCAAGGCTGGAGTGCAAATAGCACAATCTTGGCTCACTGCAACCTCCACCTCCTGGGTTCAAGCGATTCTCCTGCCTTAGCCTCCTGAGTAGCTGGGATTACAGGCAACCACCACCACCACACCCAGCCTCTACTTCTCAGGCTTTTTGTATTTTTACTAGAGATGGGATTTCACCATGTTGGACAGGCTGGTCTTGAACTCCTGAACTCAGATGATCCACCCACCTCGGCCTCCCAAAGTGCTGGAATTACAGGCATGAGGCACTGCACCCAGCCAAGTTTTCAATTTTGTCTATTAAGCTAGGTTACAGTTCATTCACAAGGACTCAAATATAGAAGTATGGAGTCCTTCTCAGGCCATATTTGGTTTGCTTTGACAATAGTCACAGTAGTCTTTTTCTAATTTAGTGCAAGTAGTTATATATTTTGTTACAGAAATATGAATATTCATATAAACAGGTTGCTATTACTATAATAGACTGTTGTACATTATTGAGTATATTACATAATTTGCAAATATATAGACATTACCACTCTAAAAATAAAGCAAATGGTAAATTCTAAAACATATCTAACCCAGAATATTTTATATATGCATTTTAGAACTATAATTTCCCGTATATCATGAGTTAGATAGTCCATCCTGGGATTGTTTTTATTTTCTTCTAATCTCTGAAAGATTATTTATATGGAAGAGCTTTTTATTCCCCAAAGATATTGTGAAGCGTTACCTGTAAACATTTTGGGGGATTCATGTCACATTAATAATTAAATGTCATTCAATACTATAGATCTATAAATTCCCTGGTTCATTTTCTAGAAATGTTTATAATAATTTATAAACACTAGTAGAAAAGTATTTATCTCATCTAATTTTTTAACTTCAATACATAATGCTCCTCATATTTTCTCCTTTTTCTCTTTCTCAGTCTCTTTCCAAATGTCTCTTTCTTTACCTTTCTCTCCCTTCCTTATCTCTCTCTATCTTTATAGGTATTTCTATCTCATTTTTTTTTGTTGTTTTTTTTTTTTTTTTTTTTGAGACAGGATATTGCTCTGTCACCCAGGCTGGAGTACAGTGGCACAATCACAGCTCACTGCAGCCTCTGCCTCTCAGGCTCAAGTGATCTTCCCACCTCAGCCTCCCAAATAGTTAGGACTACAGGTGTGTGCCACCATGCTTTGCTAATTTTTGTAGTTTTTTAGAGACAGGGTTTTGCTATGTTGCACAGGCTGTATCTCGAATTCCTGGGCTCAAGCTATCATCCCTCTTCAGCTTCCTAAAGTGCAAGGATTACAGGCATGAGCCATGGCATCAGGCCTCTATCTAATTTCTATTTTACCTATAGTTAGAGGAAACTCTTCTCTTGGACTTACTGGATCAGGCTTTTCTAATCAGACATATGTTTTCCCTTTTAATTGTCTTCCATATATCTTCATCTTTTTTGAGTATACTCATTCTCTCATTTCACTGTTTCAGGTATTTTAGATAATTTTCCCTTAAACAATGTCTACTATTCTGCACATTCATTTTAACATCTACATTTTGTAGCAATTCTAATTGCCATTTTTTCCAAATGTATTTTTTGTCTTAATATACAGTAGTTCCTCAAATAATGTCATTTCATTCAATGTCATTTTGTTGTAACACTGCCTAGAAAGAAATCTATTTCTGTCTGGGGCCACTGGCTGTGTGGAATTTGTAGCTCTCCCCATGTCTGCCTGGGTTTTCTTTAGGTACACCAGTTTCCTTTGTGAAAAGAAATAAAATTTAAAAGCTGTTGGAACCCCAAAAAACATTTTAAGCCTTGAGAGAAATAGGACTGTAATCTGAGCCTCATATGATTACAACTTCTGTTCTCAGATTATAGATTAACTTGCTTTCTTCTTTTACAATTACTAGAGAGAATGAAACAATGTCAGGGGCAAAAACCTCCTGCCTTCTTAATTAGCGACGCTTATTATAAATTAACTTCCCCTTTTTCTGTCCTGCTTTGCTTAGACCAGATGACAGCAAACTCATGATTATTACATCCTCTTTATAAACTGCTAAATGTACCCTTCCCAAAAGGAAACGCTGCCTATAAGGAATCAACTGCTATAATTATGTGCCAGCCTTGTATAATACAAATAATGTAATCCTGCTGAAAGCACCTCTGTCTCTGCCTGTAGATAAAATCTTAACGTGCCTACTTTTGAATGCTGACTCCATTCTTTTGGCATTGGTGTTTCCAGGTGGTCTAGCCTCATACTCTGTGCTTGAACAAATTCTCTTTCAATTAGATTCTGATCCTTTTGATTATCGTAGGTTGACCCTTCCTGCATCCTAAAGATGTGCAAGTTTGGTGAACCAGTGTTTAAATTTCCCAGTCTGAGAAAGTGTAGGCATATGAGTGTTTTAACCCTGTGGTGGGATGATGCGTGTCCAGGGCTGGTTCCTACCTTGTTCCCTGCACTGCCAGGAGAGGTTCCAGCCACCCACCTCTTTTTTTTTTTATTTTTTGAGACGGAGTCTCTCTCTGTTGTCCAGGCTGGAGTGCAGTGGCGCGATCTCAGCTCACTGCAAGCTCCGCCTCCCGTGTTCACGCCATTTTCCTGCCTCAGCTTCCCGAGTACCCGAGTAGCTGGGAGTACAGGCGCCCGCCACCGCACCTGGCTATTTTGTTTTTGTTGTTGTTGTTGTTGTTGTTGTATTTTTAGTAGAGACGGGGTTTCACCCTGTTAGCCAGGATGGTCTCCATCTCCTGACCTCGTGATCAGCCAGCCTCAGCCTCCCAAGGTGCTGGGATTACAGGAGTGAGCCACCGTGCCCAGCCCACCCACCTCCCTTGAGTGGAATATATGGGTTAGAAAATAAATGAAAAATTATTGTAAAATAAAAATTTTTAATAAGTCTACAATAATCATATAAATGCATGACAATAAATGACTCAATTGCATGGTGACAGGAGGAACTCCTGACAATTTCTGACATCACCACTGTCACTAATCACCAAAAATAAGGTAAATAATTATTTTACTTGTTTTTATTAATCTTTCTTAAATGTAAATATGGCTTACATTTATTTCAATGTTTAATATTAGAAGCGTTTTGAGTCTGTTTAGAAGTTTGGTTATGTTTTTGTGACAACAAATCTACTTTAGGAACTTTTACTCCTGTTTATATCAATAAGCCTATGGTAAAATTCGTTTCATTATACATTGTTTTGCTCAAAGTCACAGTTTCCAAGAACTTACTGATGAGGTTAAGTGATGATTTATTGTACTGTTCATTTTTTTAAAATAACAGATACTATAATTGTAAATTGTTTACAAACCACTTATACAGTATTACTATTTATGAACAGATATTGCTATTGCAAAAAACAATGACATATTTCTTTCTGTCCCATGGCACAATAGAGTATTTTAATTTTCTGTGTCCTAATCCATTAATAATTCTCTTAGTGCCTGCAGCGTTTAGGGCATCTTCTTTTATAGAGTGGTAAAACTGCAGACAGCAAATGTTAAATTCACTTTAACATGCAGCTCTGCCTTCAACAAGCCCATGTTACACCGATTCTTGGTGTCAGTTCAATGTGATGATATCAAAATAAATATCCTCTCGACAAAAGCATTTGAGCATGGAGCATTTCGGATTTTACTTACTAAGAACAGTAGATTTGTAGGCTTGTAGAACATAGTTAACAACTCTTCAAAGATGTTCATCCACTTTTTGGCTTGTTTTGGTGAATAAGCTCCTTACTAATCTGGTGCTTTGCATCTCTGAAGTCATTATGAGACTATCCATGTGTTAAATGTCCATCATTATTGACACATTAAATGTCATCATAAGTTTAACCCCTTTCTCATGGAAAATGGTTTTAAAGCACAGAGCTAACTTGAACTTGTGAAATCGAAGTTGGATCCTATGAATGTTCTCTTTTAATGGGCTCTTTGCAGTATCTTTCAGATATACATGAACCAGTGAGCAAAGATTTAAAACTTCTCTTCTTTTCATATGCTCATTAGTCTTTGAAGGTTCTCCATTTATGAAAACTTCTTAATTTGAGCTGCATTTTGAGTAGGCTTAAAGCCATATCTTTTGCTTACTTTTGGGCATTTAAACCATAGTTCCCCACTATTAGATCTTATATACTAATCTTTTCCTACACGATCCTCAGCCAGTACTGCATTTGTCTGCATATAAAGCTCTCACATCAAATTTTCTCCTTTTTGTGCATGTAAAGATTTACTTTTTTTTTTTTTTGGCTTTCTAACTGCAGCCATATTTTCTTACATAAACTGACTAATAGATTGAGCCTCTATGTATTGTCTTCGCTTAACTCTGAAACCATGATCTATGTGTATATTTTATAGTGTTAGCATTTCATGTCAGCCTGGAATACCATCTTGCCAAGCAGTCACCTACAAAGCCTACTATATAATACATTTTCATTTTATCTGTTTTTTTGCAGAAGAAAAGATTAATGAAATAGAATCCTAGAAATTTTCTTGAAATCAACTCATTTTGTTCATATTCATCTATTTTCTACTGTATGTACAAATGATTTGGGCTGCTTTTTCACTACATCGCTACCACTTCCTATTCCATCTCTTGTAGATAATTTTTAAAGACTGGATACAGAACAGAGTTTCTACCTCACCATTTCTTTGGTAAAACTAGAAATAAACATGTGAATCCTTTGCATTTTAGTAATACTTTTAGTTATTATGACAGTAAAAAAAAACAGGAATAGCAAAGCAATGAACAGGAGAAAAAATGAAAAAACTTAATGTACCCCAATTTTTTTTTACAATCATAATATCTGACCTCTATTTTCTCATTTCCCTCTATGATTTCACTATTGCATTTGCTTATATGGGTAGCATTTATATTAGTAATCTCCCAATCCCCATTTATTCTATTAAGTTTCCACTCCCAGATCCATAAATCCATCATTTGATTTATCTATAAAAAGTGTTTATTCCTTGTCTCACATGTGTCATTTGTAGTTTCAGAAATTTGAAACTAAATGCAAAGTTCAGTCATATATCAGAAATTATTTTCTCTTGACATTTCTTTAAAAGTTTTTATGAAGGAAGACAGAAAGATGAACCAATCTACAACTACAGAAAGGTTGCCTGTGCTAACAGAAACTTGAAAAAAAAAAAAAAGAAAGAAAAGAAAATTGCCAGTAAGGTGATAGGTAGGCATTTCAAAAGACATGATCACTTGTTGGACTAAGCTGAAGCCAGTATCAGAGATTTTTAGCAAAGATAAATAAACCTATTATAAAATCCTTCCAAAATTCTGACCCACAATATAATGATTTGCGTGGCCCCCATCCTGAAATTCCTGCAATATCAGAACTTCTCAACAGTTAGTGATTACCTATGGCTGGTAACAAGGTTTTGATCAATAGTGTTATTATAGCCAATAGGCACTTAAAGAGTACTAGGTCACACTTGGGTAATGACATCAGTATATTCCTGGTCCTATTGTTACTTCATCATTACCAATTTTTTTTTTTTTTTTTTGCTCCTTGTGTTCATGTCCATGAGTTATACTGCATTCAAAAAAATTGTCTAGATTTCCGTTTACCTCCCCCTCTGACTTCAACATGGCCAAGTCAGGTTGAGAACCCCTGATCCCCTATCTTTTTGAGGATCATTGGTTTGCCATGCCTCAGTTTCCAATTTTAATCTCCACTGTTGTTTCCTTTCTAGCTACAGCAGATTTCCTGACAAAGCTGATTGACCGGGTTTCAATGTATGGTTCTTGTTTAAGTCTGAAGCGTGATCCCTTTATGTCTCTAAACCGGGGAGCTGTCACCTATAACCAGACATCAAAATGATTACGTTAACAGTAATGACAATAACTAAAATATATTATGTATTTGATATGTACCAGTCACTGTGCCAAGTACTGCACCATGCTTTATCTCATTTAATCCTCATAAACATACAGTTTATATTATTATGCTCATTTTATATGAGGAAGCTGAGTTTCACAGAGTAAGTAGTTTAAATTGGGTCACACAGCAAATAATGCTAGAAAAACATGACCTGAATCCAGCTGGATGCAACTCCAGATCTCAACCACACTTACCATACTATCTCTTTCTACCTGCTTTTAAACATTTTTTTTCTGATTGGATTTTTAAGATAAGTGATTTGTTTAAACCCCTAGTCATTAATCCCGATTAACTTCTTCACAATCTTAGTTTCCACAGTGTGGGGGTGTATCAAATGGCTTATTTAACAGCTAGAGCTACCCTCGGTCTTTTGTCAGTTTTAATGACTATTAGGAATCAATGAAATAACTGAATCAGAATTATTATCTTAATTATTTTAATGTGACTACTCTTTGTCTAGCTACTGTTTCTGGGGGAAAAAATCTAGCAAATCTATGATTTAGGCTCAATGCCATATTTTAAAAATGATAAGATCTTTGTACCAAGAATAGACTCCTCAATGGTCCATGCCGTTCCTCAAATTATAAGCAGCTCAAATCTAAAACTATGTTCTCAATCTTAGCTCCCAGTCTAGTTCCTAGTCCTTGTGATTAGTCTTCATGAATATTCTCTCATTCTCCCTTCTCTCCTTCTTTCTCCTAATTGATCCAGAACTGCACCCCACTGGCCTGCCCTCTCAAATCAAAATATCTTAAAGGAGTTTCTTTCATCATTATGTCAGTGGTAGCTCTACCAATCTGCACACTCCCAGATGGCTAAGAAATACTTTTAGATCATCTAATCATGTGCTTTTCAGATTCCTGATGACTGATTTATAAGAAGATTATGTTTCATAAATTGATTGGGTTAGATAAGGGACTATTAAAATTTCATTATTTCTTTCAACTGTTGTTATGACTATGACCACATTTAGAATTAAGTGATTTGTTTTAATGTAGGTATATATGAAGCCAGGATAAGGAAAAGAAAGGGAAAGTAATTATTTCCTTTTAAAAAGTGGAATGATGCTAATATGGCCAAAATATGTTTGACTTTGTCTGGCATCAGTTTACTTGTATTATATCCGTCAGCAAGAACATAGGTGAAGGAGGTCAGTAGTCATTACTTCTTGATAAGACTTACATTCAAGGTTCCAATTTCAGATTGTATTCCTAAAAATATTCCTATGATTTAAATTTGCAGATGGAGTGGTTTTTAGCTCAGAGTTTATGTGATAAAACAACTAACTTAAGCATCAAAACTGGCATCAAAATTGAAGAACATATTTTATTTCCAAAATAGAAGATAGAAGATATTGTTTTAATACAATACATTCTAAATTTTGGTGGTAAGACTCTAGAAGGATCACAAACATTTAAAATGATAAAAAGTAGACTATTCAAGAATGTAACTAACAGAAAATCACAGAATATTATTTTATTTTATTTATTTATTTTTTTTTTTTTGAGACAGAGTCTCGCTCTGTCACCCAGGCTGGAGTGCAGTGGCGTGATCTCGGCTTACTGCAAGCTGCGCCTCCCAGGTTCACGCCATTCTCCTGCCTCAGCCTCCCAAGTAGCTGGGACTACAGGTGTCCGCCACCACGCCCAGCTAATTTTTTGTATTTTTAGTAGAGACGGGGTTTCGCCATGTTAGCCAGGGTGGTCTCGATCTCCTGACCTCGTGATCCATCCGCCTCAGCCTCCCAAAGTGCTGGGATTACAGGTTGAGCCAACGTGCCCGGCCGAGAATATTAATTTTATGTAATACCAATGTGCAATACAGATCATTCAATAAGAAATCTTTGTTACAATTTGATAACTGGATTATTTAAAGTCGTCACCTCTCTCTGTCTCTGACTGACCTGTAAAAATTTAAATATCTGAACATTTTTCTATAGTTTTATGTAATAACTGTAAACCAAGTTTGAAAAGAAATCACAGAATATATTTTAAAATCCAGTTCCCATCTGGTGTCTCACAGCTTGAGTTTTGTTTCAAGGTGATTTTTAAAATTGTATGTCACACAGAGATGTCAGTGAGCAATGATGCATAACCATGTGTGGACTAATTTATGCCACAAGCACTCATTTGAGGAAGGAAGAGAGAAATGAAACTTGGTCATGTTTACTTGTTACAGAATCAAGTACTGTACTGATATCAAATGTTCACAGAGTTCATAGAGTCAAAATTAAAAAAGAAAACTCTTTTAACATTGAATGGGGACATAGTCACCAAAATTGTATACTAGGAGTCTTTATTTTTAGAAACTTTTAGAAATGTATTATAACATGGAAAAATTGAAAAAAATTGCTAAATCAGCTACAAAATTGAGAAATGTTGGTTTACTCATGATCCTTTTTTTAATCGCTAATGTTTTTCTTCATTATTTAACTCTCACACACCCACACATATATATGTATACACGTATATGTGTGTATGTGTATACAATGATACATTCATTGAATCATTTCATTATCTTTATTTTCAGAAATAAATATAAGAATCATCACAGAAGCAACATGGTAGAATAGGAAGCCCTGGACCTTCCTTCCCCATCTGTCCCCCTACAAATGTATTGATTCAGCAACAATCACTGACAAATTCCCTTTGTCAAAAATCAGGAACTAATAAAAAGAGTCAGGTCTGGTGGTCAAGGAACAACCCACTTCAACCCTGCACTAGCTGAATGCTCACTAAGTCCTGGACATAGGGTATAACCTGAACTACCACCTCACACTCTCATTCTAGCTGTGATAAAGATTTTTACCTAACCTAAAAATGGAAAATAAGCAAGGCAAATGCCCTGTCTATTGGCAAACTCCTGGTCAGATAAATCTTTTCTCTCTACAACATAGTTAAAGAAAAATAAAACCCTAATAATTCATTGTTGAAAACTTATTGAAAGGCATGGAAAATAGTTGCCTATTGTTTCAAAGAAAGTCTTAACTGGGAAAAGGTTCTTAGCTAAAAACAGGAAAACTGTTCAAAATCTCTTTGACATTCTTGACATGGAGGCAATATTCATATTCATGAAAGATAATCAAGGGCATAAGAAAAGGTGAGCTGATATTTAAGTATGAGTGTGTATGACACATATACCAAAGAAAAAATGGGTTAACAAAATTAAATCCTAACTACAGAACTCACCTTTTAGTGAAGTATATTACTGGCATAGAAAAAAGGTTGAGGGATTCTTCTCAAAATTCAAAATACAGTAATGGAAATATGCAGAGGATAAGAAAGTAAAAGATAGATATGGGGGACATAAGAGAACTTTAAAATTAAACAATTTCATCTAAAAATAACAGATCAGGAAAAAAAAACAGTAGAGAAGCAAAAGTAAAATTCATAAAATATCCAAATGCATAGACCTGAATCTGTATATTGCTCTAGGAAAAAAAAGAAAAAAATGATGAGAAAAAAAGCAGGATGGCCTTCTTTTATCTATAACTTTATAAATCAATATGAGAAGAAACGTGGTGCATACCAGTTGTTAACCCAAAAATGCTCCAGTTAAACTTAACCAGCCAAGGAAAACTATTTTATTTACTTACACATAATTAGCATGACTTGTATTTCTAGGTATGAAGGAGTTGTTTGTAGCTTACCAATGACCCTTTTGAGAATAACTCAGATGGAAAATACACAAATGTATGTTCGTATTGACTTTGGAGAGCTGAAGAATCAACCTGAAATAGAGGAGACAAGAGAACTGTGAAGAGATGACATGACAGGCTATTGCCTTCTTCCCTCTGGACACTTTCTGATTCTGGTCCCTAGGCAAGAGTTCAAGAATCTGGGTTTTGCCTGAGAAAAGCTTACTTTTGAGAAGCAGAAAAGAAATAGAGATTTCAATTCATTCAGAAGGCTAAAGAGACTTGAGAAACAACAACAAAAAGCAATAAAAAGAGAACCCTCCAGTGAATGTCCCACTTTCAGGAAAATCAAATTGAACAACTATCCACACAAGAAAATACCTTCATTAAGAACTAAAAATTAGGTAAGCAATCACAGTACTTGGTTTTAATATCATATCAAGAAAAGAGGCACTGAAGATGGTAGGAAAGACAATCTTGGATTGCAGAAACTACCCCTTCCCCATTCCCCCAGAAGCAACTTTGTGGTGCAAAAAGGGTTCCAGTAAGCTCCACCACCATAGCATAAAGCACTCTGGGGTCGTACACTTGAAGGCAGTTTAGGCCACAGGATAGCAATTCCTGGGCAAATCCTGGTGCTGTGCTGGTCTTAGAGCCAGTGGACTTGCAGTGCACAAGACCTAGTGAGACACCAGCTAGAACAGTCATGGGAATGCTGGCATCACCCTTTTCCCAACCCCAAGAAGCACAGCTCACAGCTATGGGAGAGATTTCTTTCCTCTGCTTGAAAAGAGGAGAGGGGAGAATAAACAGGGTTTGTCTTGCAACTTGGATACCAGCTCAGCCACAGTAGAATAGGGCACCGGGCAGAATTCTGTGGCCCACATTTCATGTCCTAGCTAGCATGACAATTCTAGACACACCCTAGGCCAAAAGGGAACCTGCTGCCTTGAGGGGAAAGACCTACTCCTAGCAGGATTCATTACATGCTGACTCAAGAATCCACGGGCCTTGAATATACACTAGCGGTACCCAGGCAGCACTCACAGTGGGCTTTGGGTAAGACCCAGGGCCATGGTGGCTTCAAGCGTGACTCAGCTCATCCCCAGCTGTGGTGACCATGAAGAGAGTATCCTCCTGCTAAAGGAAAGGAGAAAGAAGAGTAAAGGGGACTTTGTCTTGCAGCTTAGGCACCAGCTTGGCCACAGTGGAGTAGAGCACTTAGCAGTATCCTGGGGTCCTGATTCTGTGCCTTGGCTCCTGAATGGCATTTCTGGACCTGCTCTGAGCCAGAGGGGAGGTCACTGCCCTGATGAGGGATACCCAGGCCTAGCAGCATTTACAAGCTGACGGAAGAGCCTTTTAGGCTTGAGCGAATATCAGTAATAGTCAGACAGTACTCGCCATGGCCCTGGGGCAGTGGTGGCCATGGGGAAAGACTAACTCTGCATGAGGAAAGGAGAAAAGAGAGGGAAGAGTGGGAAGAACTTTATCTAGAGGCTTAGATGCCTCAATTCCCTTTGAATACTCCGAAAGCCTTCCCAAGAAGGATAGGTGCAAACAAGCCCAGACCAAGAAAACTACAATAAATACCTAACTCTTCAAGACCTAGACATCAAAGAACACCTCCAAGCATCAAGGAAAATATGAACTCACCAAACAAACTAAGTAAGGTACCAGAGACCAATCCCAGAGTGACAGATGTATGTGATTATTCGGAGAATTCGAAATAGTTGTTTTGAGGGAGCTCAACAAATTTTAATCATAGCACAGAGAAGGAATTCAGAAACCTATCAGATAAATGTAACAAAGAGATTAAAATAATTTTTAAAAAGCAGAAATTGTCGAGCTCAAAAACGCAACTAGTATACTGAAGATTGCATCGGAGTCTCTTAACAGCAGAATTGATCAAGCAGAAGAAAAAATGAGTGAGCTTGAAGACAGGATATTTGAAAACACACAGTCAGAGAAGGCAAAGGAAAAAAGAATGAAACAAGACTCCAAGAAAATAGCATGCCTCAAAGATCACTGATCTTTGAAAAAGCTGACAAAAACAAGAAATGGGGAAAGGATTCCCTATTTAATAAATAGTGCTGGGAAAACTGGCTAGCCATATGTAGGAAGCTGAAACTGGATCCCTTCCTTACACCTTATACAAAAATTAATTCAAGATGGATTAAAGACTTAAATGTTAGAC
Source organism: Homo sapiens (assembly GCF_000001405.40). NCBI lineage: Eukaryota > Metazoa > Chordata > Mammalia > Primates > Hominidae > Homo > Homo sapiens. The sequence goes on along the minus strand of NC_000014.9, from coordinate 47,925,819 downwards.
CTAAAACCATAAAAACCCTAGAAGAAAACCTAGGCAATACCATTCAGAACATAGGCTTCATGACTAAATACCATTCAGGACAAGGACTTCACGACTAAAACACCAAAAGTAATGGCAACAAAAGCCAAAATTGATGAATGGGATCTAATTAAACTAAAGAGCTTCTGCACAGCAAAAGAAACTACCATCAGACTGAACAGGCAACCTACAGAATGGGAGAAAATTTTTACAATCTACCCATCTCACAAAGGGCTAATATCCAGAATCTACAAAGAACTCAAACAAATTTACAAAAAAAAATCAACCCCATCAAAAAGTGGGCAAAGGATATGAACAGACACCTCTCAAAAGAAGACATTTATGCAGCCAATAGACACATGAAAAAATGCTCATCATCACTGGCCATCAGAGAAATGCAAATCAAAACCACAGTGAGATACCATCTCACACCAGTTAGAATGGCAATCATTAAAAAGTCAGGAAACAATAGGTGCTAGAGAGGATGTGGAGAAATAGGAACACTTTTACAATGTTGGTGGGAATGTAAACTACTTTAACCATTGTGGAAGACAGTGTGGTGATTCCTCAAGGATCTAGAACTAGAAATACCATTTGACCCAGCCATCCCATTGCAGGGTGTATACCCAAAGTCTTATAAATCATGCTGCTATAAAGACACATGCACACGTATGTTTATTGCAGCACTATTCACAATAGCAAAGACTTGGAACCAACCCAAATGTCCATCAATGATAGACTGGATTAAGAAAATGTGGCACATATACACCGTGGAATACTATGTAGCTGTAAAAAAGGATGAGTTCATGTCCTTTGTAGGGACATGGATGAAGCCGGAAACCATCATTCTGAGCAAACTATCGCAAGGACAGAAAACCAAACACCACATGTTCTCACCCATAGGTGGGAATTGAACAATGAGAGCTCTTGGACACAGGGTGGGGAACACCACACACCAGGGCCTGTTGTGGGGTTAGGGGAGGGGGGGAGGGATAGCATTAGGAGATATACCTAATGTAAATAACGAGTTAATGGGTGCAGCACACCAACATGGCACATGTATACATATGTAACAAACCTGCACATTGTGCACATGTATCCTAAAACTTAAAGTATAATAATAAAAAAAAAACCTGAATGATCTCTACAATGAAAACTGTGAAATATTAATGTAAACAATTGAAGAGGACATACAAAAAATAGAAAGATATTCCATGTTCATGGATTGTAAGCATCAATATTGTTAAAATATTCAGACTACCCAAAGCAATCTACAAATTTAATGCAATCCCTATCAAAATACCAGTGACATTGATTATGGAAATTAAAAAATCAATCCTAAAGTTTATTTGGAACCACAAAAAACCCATAATAGCCAAAACCATCTCAAGCAAAAGGAACAAAACTCAATGAATCAGATTAGCTGACTTCAAATTATACTACAGAGCTATAATAATCTAAACAACATGGTACTGTCATAAAAACAGAAACGTAGTCCAATGGAATGGAATACAGAACCCAGAAATAAATCCATCCATCTACAGTGAACTCATTTTTGACAAAGATACCAAGAACATACACTGGGAAAAGCATAGAGTCCTCAATAATGGTGTTTGAAAAACTAGATATTCATATGCAGAATACAACTAGACCCCTATCTGTCATCATAACAAAAATAAAATCAATATGCATTGAAGACTTAAATCTAAGCCTTCAAAATATGAAACTACTAAGAGAAAACATTGGGAAAATTCTCCAGGACTTTGGGTGGGCAAAAAATTCTTGAGTAATACTCCAAAAGCACAGGTAACCAGAGCAAAAATGGACACATGGGATCACTTTAAGTTAAAAATCTTCTGCACAGCCAGGGAACCAAACAACTGAAGGAAGAGACAACCCACAGAATGGAAGAAAATATTTGCAAACTATCCATCTGACAAGAGATTAATAACCAGAATATGTAAGAAGCTCAAACAATTCAAGAGAAAAAAATAATATGATTTTTAAAAGGGCAAAAGATCAGAATAGACATTTCTCAAAAGAAGACATACAAATGGCAAACAGGCATATAAAAACGTGCTCAATATCACTAATCCTCAGAGAAATTCAAATCAAAACTACAATGGAATATTTCACTTCAGTTAAATGGCTTTTATCCAAAAGACAGGCAATAATGAATTCTGGTGTGGTGCAAAGGGAAGCTTCCTACAATGTTGGTGGGAATGTAAATTAGTACAGCCACTAAGATGTTCCTCAAAAAACTAAATATAGAACTAACATATGAACCAGAAATCCCACTGTGAGGTATATAGCCAAAAGAAAGCAAATAAGTATATTAAACAGATATCTTCATTCCCACATTTATTGCAAAACTATTCACAAAAGCCATAATTTGGAAGCAATGTGTCTTTCAATTGACGAATAGATAAAGAATATACACAATAGAGTACTATTCAGCCATACAAAATAATGAGATACGGTCTTTTGCAACAACACGGATGGACTGAAAGAATATTGTGTTAGTGAAATAAGCAAGGTACAGAAGTGGGATACATTTTCACACATTTGTGGAAGCTACAAAATTAAAACAATTAAACTCACAGGGATAGAGAATAGAATGATGATTACCAGCGGCTGGGACGGATAGTGGGTGGGAGGGGAATGTTTAATGGATATAAAAACAGAATTAGATAGAATGAATGAGCACAACAAGCTGGCTACAGTCAAAAATAATTTACTATACATTTTAAAACAACTAAAACAGTATAATTGTATGTCTGTAACACAAAGAAATGATCAATGCTTGAGGTGATGGATACCCCATTTACCCTGATGTAATTATTACATATGATATGCCTGTTTTAAAATATCTTATGTACACCATAAATACATACATCTAACATAAAAATGAAGAAAAAAAGAGTTAGCCAAATGAGAAGGGAGGAATGAGAGCTGAGCCTATAAGTAAGCCTTTTTCCCCTAAAGACATTTGCCAAAATGTAAAGTTGCATTTACAATGAAGTAAATAACTAAATAGCCTCTCAAAGATAAGCAGAGAATTTAGCTGTCTCATCAGCCCAAGAAGAAAGAAATTGCAATTGAGACCTTCCATGTGGGGAGGCCCTGGTGAAATAGACCAGGCTCTTAGATGAAAGTCTTGCTAGGTTTGGCCTTACATGAAGGTAAATCAGACAAGACGATTGTGGATAACTATAATGAGCAGTAAGGTTGGGGCAGTACTTACCATTGTTGATGTCCCTTGGGTTGAAATTGATGTACAGTCTGCCAAAATTTTATTTCAGTTGTAAGTGACAAATAAACCTTTATAGAGGTGTTTGTTTCATTTTGTTTTGGTTTTCTAAGCTGAGTACTTGAATCTACAAGAAGGTTACTTCCCAGATTTTTCAGAAATTACTGAAATTGGCTCTAAACTGAAATTAATTCCTTGAAACCCAAAATGCCATTTTGGTGTGCCACTGCAAGTAGGACTAGTGGGTTTAGTTTCTTAATGATGTTTTGGCTTTAGTCTCTCTCATGGTAGGTTCAGTGGGTTTCTAAATACATTCTGTAGTTATTTATCCCAGTTCCAGACTGCACGGTTGAAATAGACATATTCAACAAACAGTAGAATTTCCTTACAAGTTTCCTGACCTGTGGAGTAAGAACTATCATGGTAAGACTTGAAAGAGGAAAGAAATTAGAACTGCTTCTCCCTATTAAAATAATAATTCAAAACCGATGCTACATCCCTGGAAAGATGGCGAAGTTGTGTGTTACCATCATAGACTTAAAGGAGAAAGGGGTAGTGATTCTTACTATTGTGCCCCATTTTGCTTGTCTGTTTGACTGTCTGTGAAGGACACAGATGGATATTGGAGAATGATAGTGGATTACTGTAAATTTAATCATATTTTAACTCCATTTTCAGCTCCTTTTCCTGATTTTTTTCCTGGAGCAAATCAACACAGCCTTGATACTTGATATGCAACTAATATTCAAGCTAACACACACACATACACACACACATTATAATCTGTTAGTAGAGACAGACAGGATAAGTTTGCCTTCTCCTGACAAAGAAAACATGCAATATGTGTCAGTATACATTTACTATCTTACCTCAGAGCTATATAAATTCATGTCTAGCCTTATAATAATAATAATTTACTTTTCAGGAATGAATTTTGGATATCATTCTGGTTTGCTTCATTGATATCATTGTTCTGACTGAGCAAGGTAAATAAAAAGTAGTGAATAGTGATACACCTTCCTATGACATATTCTGGGGCCAGGGTGAGGACCAAGGTGAGGTGAGTCAGGGACTCTCCTTGGGAGCAAAAGTTAAGGTGCACCAAAAAAAACTCTGGATCAAAAATATTTTCAAGTAATATTTAAATAAATCAATTAGATTTTTTAAATTCGTGAGAAAAATATTAAAATTCTAAATAATAATTTAAATAATATTTAAATTATTAAAACAATTTAAATAATGACAATTTAAATAATAATTTAAAGAATAATGAGTAATACTTATTTTTCCCATTTGACTAAGGCTCCAATATGGTATAGAGTGGCACTATTATTAATCCTGAACAGTAAAACAGAGCCAACCAAAATTATTACAGATGAAGCACTTTATTATAGGAATCTGAGTTTGCACAGATGTGGGAGAGATTTGAGGAATAAAGATCTGGAAGGCTACAACAAGATTATAAAAAAGGTCATTACTACTTTAGTCTGATGCACTGGAGTAAGTTGAAAAGCTACTGTGGGTTGGGGAAAAATGTTTAGCTACCAAACTGACATGAATTGGGAGCTTATAGACAGTTTTATATAGTTCATTACTATATGTGTAACTGGTGGGAAAGCCTGTGATATGTAACTGATGGAACAGCCTGTGAAGCCACCATGTGTAGATGAAGCCACTGTATCTGGCAGTCTGACAGCTATGTTCTCTTTAGAATTACAGCCTTTGCTTCACTTCTGTTTCCCAAATCCTGCGCTAGTTCCTCTCATTGGTAAAGTCTAATCTGGATCCATATAGGAAAGAATATAATAATGAAGTGTTTCCAGTCTTGCATGTGGTGGTTATGCCTAATAGACAACAGACAATTCATCCGTTTGTCATCTCAGCAGCCATACAAAGCTTTTTAAATTTATCTGAATATAGGTAAAGAGTGTATCATGCTTCTGTCTAAGCTGGCATAACTATCCTTTATACAACATTCTAGGGTTACATACACAAAATAAATGTTTATAGAAAACCAAGATAGGGGCCAAGATGGCCCATTAGAAGCAGCTGCAGTCAGAGGATCTCACTGAGAAGAATGAAAATGGCAAGTGAATCCTGCACTGGCAACTGAGGTATCCAGGTTCTTTCATTGGGACTGACTAGATAGTTGGCATGACCCACTGACAGCAAAGAAAAGCAGGATGGTGCGACGGCCCACCTGGATCCACATGGGGCAAGGGAGCCCCCACCCCCAGCCAAGGGAGGTGGTGAGTGATCATGCTACCCTGCCTGAGAAACCACACTTTTTCCACAGATCTGTGAAACCAGTGGATCAGGTGATCCCCCTCATGAGCCCATGCCACCAGGGCCTTGGGTACCAAGCACAGAGCCGTGCAGATTCTCAGCAGCCACTCAGCCGGAAACTGCCTAAGGCTACCAAGTAACTGGGGAGAGGGGCGGATGCCATCACTGTGGCTGCCTGCTGCCTAAGTTGACTGAGCTTCCTGGGGGAGGAGCAGCAGCCATCACTGAAGCTCCTGTCTGCCGTTTTTCCCCTGCCAGTGTTGAGGAGACTGGATAGTTTGGACCCAGGAGGAATTTCCCACAGCACAGCACAGCAGCTATGGCAGATTGTGGCCAGACTGCCTCTTTAGGCCAGACCTGCACCCATCCCTCCTCACTGGTGGGACCGCCCTGCAGGAATTTCAGCAACTATAGCCAGGGGTTTAGGGAAAGAACTCTGATCTTCCTAAGACTGAGCCCTCAAGGAGAGGGGTGGCCATGGTCTCCATAAATCAGTAGACTTAGTCTTTCCCCCTGCTGGCTCTGAAGAATCCAGGCAATCTGGATGAGTGGGATTTCACCCTGTGCGGGGCACCCTCTCCGCCAAGGGGCAGCCAGAGTGCTTCGTTAACCAGGACCCAGATCCAGTGCCTCCTGATTGGGTGAGACCCCCCAACAGGGGTCACCAGACACCTTATACAGGATCGTTCCTGCTGGCATCATGTCGGTGCATCTCTGGGATGGAGATCCCAGGGGAAGGAGCAGGCAGCCATCTTTGCTGTTCTGCCGCCTCCACCGGTGACATCTCCAGGTGCGGGAGGAACCCAGGCAAATAGGGTGTGGAGTGGACCCCCAGCAAATCTCAGCAGTCTTACAGAAGAGGAACCTGACTGTTAAAAGAAAAACAAACAAAAAGCAGAAAAGGCCTTTGATAAAATTCAACATTCCTTTATGTTAAAAACTCTCAATAAACTTGGTATTGATGGAACATACTTCAAAATAATAAGAGCCATTTATGAAAAACCCACTATGTCATACTGAATGGGCAAAAGCTGGAAGCATTCCCTTTGAAAGCTGGCACAAGAAAATGATGCCCTCTCTCACCACTCCTATTCAACACAATTTTGGAAGTTCTGGCCAGGGCAATCAGGCAAGAGAAAGAAAGAAAGAAAGGGTATTCAGATAGGAAGAAAAAAAGTCAAACTGTCTCTGTTAGCATACAGCATGATCCACATTTAGAAAACCCCATCGTCTCAGCCCAAAGGCTTCTTAAGCTGATAAGCAACTTCAGCAAATTATTACTACTATTGCTTTTGAGAATATATTACTTTCTTATTTTTTGAGAATCATTATTTTTAAGAGCTTTTTGAAGAACAGAATGCGGCTAATCCTGTCTAACTCTCTCTGCCTTTGTGTTTGGTTCCCTAAGTTTTTAGTGTAATGAAAATGCACTGAAAAGATGATGGATTTTAACCCATCAATTTTCTCTTCTTACCCTGTGTCCTTGGTTTGTTATATTTATATTATCATTATAGGATACTTTTGACAGATATTTTGATTGTTCATTTGACACAGTTTAGTTACACCTTCTTACATTCTCCTAAATTCTTCACTTAAAATTATTCAATCAAATACATTTCATTTTCATATTTTTATATGTGTGTGTATGTGTGTGTATATATATGTGTGTGTATATATGTGTATATCTATATACACACACATATACACATATATACACACACACAAATATATATATACCAAATATATATGTATACCATATGTATTATATATATAGACATATACCAAATATATATATATACCATATATATATATGGTGGGGCCTTTTAGTAGAAGTACCTCAAGTGTTTCAGTTTCATCAAACAGGTTTTCATATCTGTAGACTGTCTTATATTTGCATTATATACTATGATAGCTTTATAGTTACTTTGTTTTTCCTATAAACTATCTTTCTGAGACCATATATAAGTATTTAATTTCTCTTTCAACTTGAGGATCAATTGGCTATTAATGATTTCTGAAAAAAATTCGTTTGTATTTTCCTTCCTAACTACCATACAGCAGAATATTTACAACAATGTAAAAAACTTCCTCCAATTAAGTGTTTGTTGTCAGCTATTCTTAAAATAAATAAAGTCTAGCTTTTCATCAAAAGACAACCCTCTTTTCTTCTAAACCATTTCTGAAAATAGCTGTAATCTTTTGACCATCTGCCATCACTACATAACAAATACTAGTCACTAGTCACAGACTAGCTATTTTCCTTTTGTCGTATTTATAATTAAAATTTTATTTCCTCAGCATCATCAACACCATTATTTTTTTCTTAAGGAAATGAGTTAATACATCAATGGAATTATGTTTTCACAGTCATCTCCACTAACTTGTCGTACTTTTTTGTTCAGCTTGTTTCTTCTAGTACCTTTCCTCTAGTGCCTGTCTTCTTCATTCTGGGCATATTCATGGCCGAAAAATCAGTTTCTTAGGCATGTTTTCCAGTTGAGTTGCTTTCCACTTTGACAAATGGTTTTGAATGAACTCTTCTCACCTTTTTCAGCTCTCTTTTTAAATTACCTACCAAAATGGTCCAATAGATTTACTTTTTAGTCGCAGTTACAAACTCTTACCTATTTTTCTAGATGTATGTTCTCTCAAATTTTAGGGGACTTCCAAGGTCAAGTCTTCCCTTTTTTTCCCATAAATTTCAGCTTTCTGCTGCCCTCTCCTGGCCTTCTGTGGCATGTAAACATTTAATCCTACTGCTGAAAGTATAAATCTAGAGTTTTACTTCGAGGGAAGTAAGGCAAAGATTCTGAAAATTTAGTGTGTATCAAAATCTCCTGGGAAGATTGTAAATAAGTTACAAAGCCTCTCACTAGGAGATTATGATTCTGTATATCTGAGGCAGAGATCACGAACCTTCAGTTTTAATAGACAGTGTTACTGTGATTCATGTGAACTATAAACCACATTTCAAGAAACCCTGAAATAGGAAAATCTGACTCAAGGTATTGGTCATAAGCTCTTTGGTTGAAAAAGCAAGTCTTGAAACAATGATATTCATTTAGAAAAAAGTGTTTTGCATGCCTTTCAATTTAAATGTTTTAATTTTTATGTAAATGGCAAAACAAAAAAAAATAGTATTTTGGAGTTATCTAATTGACATTCAAAATTAGCGCAAAATTTAAAGAAATATAAATACCTAGGTACAAGTAGATACAATGACCTCTAGCTTATTAGCTAACTCTTCTTATTCTTAGAATTATCTGCTCTGGCCCAATTTTGTTGTTGATTAGTCATTAGGACAAGTCAGATCTTTCTTGTCACAATCAAATAATTCCAATAAATTCTACTGATCCTATTTGCAAGTATCAGGTCAATAGTCTTTAAATATGGATTTTTTTAAATCTAAAAACACATAAAACTTGCTTAAGTGTGCAGAATTAGATACAATATTAAATTTATTTCTCACTGATGTCTGTAACATTTATTTGCCAAAGTCTCTAAATGTATGATTCATAAGCTTAGCCCATATGAGAATTACCTGATAACTTTAAGAATATACCTATACTTGGGTCTCACGCCAAGAAATTCTGATTTAATTGATCTGGGTACATTCTGAGTATCAGAATTTTTTAAACCCCCTGCCCCAGGTGAGTTTAATGTACTCTAAAACTCTTTTTCACTTAGACTTCTGGCCAGAACAATGGTTGTTGTTCATCTGTTTTCTTATACTCTCGGGAGCCTGCTTTGCCTCATCTCCAGTTACCATCATTTTTATCCTTGAATTATTGATAGAATATGTAATTTCTAAAACACATAAAATTGGCTGGAGGATATTCACGGTTATGGTGCATCTGCTAGGCTCGGTATTGGGGGACAAGATCATAAAGTCTTCAGTTATTTTGTCTTTAATAAGTAGAAGCCTGACATTTTCCAGAGTATTGCAGGACAAAGGATGCTTGAGTCCTTGATCTTTTTTCTCAAAAACAGTTGAAATAATTAAAAAGCTAGGTAGCATACCTTTTTCTGCATCTATAGCTTTTGCTAGTAACACATAGTTATCTTACTCTCTTAATTCTGATTCTGGGATTCAAATCCATACCTATGTCGGTCTTAACTTCCATGGCATAGGTAATTTATATCCATTCTCTATAAAAGATTGATAAAAATATAGCATCGTCTTCTGAAAGAAATTGGAATTCTAAAAATAGTTACATAGCTAAAGATTTGACAGCATTATCAATGGGATGTAAAGTGGCTTCAGGTCACATATAAACAAAGATATTTTCTGAGTTTGGCCTCATCAGTATGAATTTGTCTAAAATATGGATTTAACATTTTACATAAATTAGAACTCTAAATAGTCATCAATCTCTAAGGCTAGAATGAAGGTATACTTAATAAAGTAAATAACTGAGTACATTAAAGGTGCCCATTGTCCTTAGATAATATTAAGCTGCAATGTAAGCAGTGTGAAGGACAACGCTTGCCTAAAGCTACAACATGGAAGTATTTTAGCTACTTTAAAATGCTGCATTAATTCTTTATGTAATTCAGGTTGTAAAGGAGAGAAGAAAATTAAGGCAGTTCTGCAGGTTTGCACTTGTCTTTAATGTGCATTTTTAATTGAAAGATAAACTTAAGTAGGAATTTGGAGTGCCTTTTAAATAAGGTCAAAAATCTGGCTGAGAGAAAGCCCCTTATCATAAATCCTGTGCTCAATTTTTTCCAGAGAAGAGTGAACACAAATGTAATGAGATACAGAAATTGTTATACTGTTAGTAGTTTGTGCACCTTCTCTCTTAAGGAGAAAAAGGGAAAAGTTCTCAAAAAGCATTTGTCTTGAGACAGTTGGAAAAGTGAGTATGTTCCCTCCAGAAAACTAGGGAGCACATGCAGAGGAAAGTGTAGCAGATTAAAGCTGAATAAAGAAAAGTCATGGAAAGTGGTTATTTACAGAAAACAAATACAATAAATTATAGGTGTGTATTAGTCTGTTTTCACACTGCTGATAAAGACATACCGGAGACAAGGCAATTTACAAAAGAAAGATGTTTAATTGGACTTACAGTTCCACGTGGTTGGGGAAGCCTCACAATCATGGCGGAAGGCAAGGAGGAGCAAGTCCGGTCTTACCTGAATGGGCAGCAGGCAAAGAGAGAATGAAAGTCAAGTGAAACGGGTTTCCCCTTATGAAACCATCAGATCTCTTGAGACTCATTCACAATCATGAGAACAAAAAAGGAAAGAAATGCCCCCATAATTCAATCACTTAACACTGGGTTCCTCCCATGACACGTGGGAATTGTGGGAGTTACAATTCAAATGAGATTTGGGTGGGGACACAGCTAAACCATATCAAGGTGCAAGGAATATTTTGTGGAAAATGGTGAAGCACCTGCTTATTTGTTCCAGACTGATGGAGAACAGGGTGGAAACAGAGGATAACATAGGCATGTTAACTACAAGCTAATCTTCAGCAGTTACAAGGAGCCCTCCTGATTCTCCAAGATTACAAATCAAGTTTAACTAGGTTTCTGAATCCGCAGGGGTGCCAGCTTACAATTGGTTTACTAACAAATTAACATAAAACCCCTACATTTAATAAAAGTCATTCACTTTTGTTGTTTTGTTACCCAGAACTGTCACTAGTACAAGATATAATCACTGAAAGAAATAGTTTCCCCACCCCATATCCTAAAGAAGTCTATTCCTAAAATGGTCTTAACGCCCTTACAGATGAGTAGGGCTCAGAAAAGAGATCTTTGTTGAGCATTGACATTGTCATCTGCAGTTGCTGTACCAAGTCTCAAAGCCTCTAGCATAAACTAGCGAGAACAAAATGAAGTAAGGAGCTTGAAATAGGGTGCATAAACATGTCACTACATACTGACTACATACAATCTTGATGTAAATGACTATTTTAGATCCACTTTACATTCATGTTGAGAAAACCCTTTTCTTTCCAGGTACATTTTATCCCTGTCCTCTTCGTGTCTAATTTTCATAAAAGAGTTATTTGTATTTACTGTGCCCATTTACCCTCTTTCCACTCTTTCTTCAACCCATTACCATCATTCACTTTTTACTATATCTTTAAAATGGATTTTAACAAGGTGATCAATGACTATTATGTGGCTAACTCAAATGGGATTTTTAAATTTGTAAAATTTTTATCTTTTTTGCATTCTCTCTTCTATCTGTGTCTCTAACACAACTCTCAATTGATCTTTTCTGCCTTCTCCCACATCTTTACCAATTTATTTTCACTTATCTGATATTTAGATCCAGAATCCTAGTTCATGGGTCAGCAAACCACGGCCCATGGGTCAAGTCCAATTTGCTTCCTAATATCTGCTAATAAAAATTTATTGGAACATAATAATGCTCATTCATTTATATATTGACTGTGGCCAATTTAGCACTACAATGGCAAATGTGTAGTAGTGACAGAGACCATTTGACCTACAAAGCCTAAAATATTTACTATCTGGCCCTTTATAGAAAAAAAAAACGTAGACTCCATTTATAGTATTAAATATTAGGCCAGTTTCTCATTTTTCTAAAAGTTTTTAATATAAATTTCATCAACTCCTCTGCCTTCAGTTTGTATCTGTAAAGAGATGACTCAAATTTATTTAGTAAGTCTAGATGACAATTCAGGGTTTTAAATCTATATATCCACTTGCACTTTCACTAGTTCTAATGGGATGTCTCACAGATATTTCAAAGCCCGATTCACAATTTATAATTTTGAATTTAAATTCACACACAGACACACACACACATGTTCACACACAAAACTGCCCTAATTAGCTCCTTTCCTTAGTGAATGGTGCCACCATTGATCCAAGTGCTAAAATCCAAAGTCTGCCATTCACAGCATCTCCCTTTCTCTACACTTCACCAAAGGTAAGCAGTAGCAAGTCCAAGCAATTCTACATTTTAATGTATCTCATACGTGTCTGATTGTATCTGTACATATTAACTCAATTTTTGTTATCTCTCATCAGGACAAATGCAATAAACCCTTCGCTGGTCTCCCTGCATCCATTTGTATTTCTACTCTATCTTCTTTGTATCTAAAAAAAGAAGGGTGAGGAGTGTCTTTTTTCAAAATGCAAAAAGTGTTAACTGTTCTCTGTGAGAGGTGGTTGTAGTTAACATATTTATGGTATGCTGACCCACATGCATTTCAATTTGCTCTCTCTCTGACTCTTTATTTTTTGCTTCTACTTTAAAGGAATACATACAGTTTATATAGCTTAGATATTTAGGCAATCTCTAAAATATTTATGCACTGATAATCAGATCTTTTAAACTCCTACCTAATGATACATACTTATATACAAAGTTGTAAGTTCTGTGTATAGCTTACATCTCATTCCTGGCAGAATGCTTTATTTATAAAGCAGAAATACTGCTGCCAATTATAAATTTCCCAAATTAAATCTTTCTGAATTAACCTTAGCAAGTCTGCTCTTTTAAACCTGTATTTCTACAGTAAGCTAGTGTATATCAAATATGAATGTAAAAGACATAAAGACCTCCCCACCCCCCGCCACACACACACACATCATTTTGTGCAGTACTGGGCCAAGCTTTTAAGCAGACTAAATCGGGTACTCAGTCCAGCCACCCCCTTATCCCTGCCTGGGTCCTGGCATGTAACTTTATCTGTGTCAGCCTGATCTTGAACTCCCACATCATTATCACAAAATGGCTGGTTTTAAGTCACACACTGAGTTCTAGGTGAATTCCCCCAGTAATGACACAAAATAATATTCCATTCTATGTCTAGTGCAAGTAAGTAATTTATCATTTATAGAATGAATTTGAATGTTTATTCTTTGTGACCTACTATGCAGGTCCATCAAACCCTCGCTCCCTTCTGTCTCCAAATTTATCCTAGTTCACGCTAATCCCTGGGAGAGAAGTGCTGCAATATTCAAATGACATAAGCCTTTTACTGTGCCTTCAGCAATCAGTTCACTTGCCTCTCCAGTTGCCTGACTTAAAATACATGCCTGGTGTTTGGAAAACCAATAGCAGCTACAGGAAGTGGGCTGGGATCAATTAAGCCAGCCATAGCAATCAGTGGCTCTAAGCCTCTATATTAGTTTAATTAATTAATTATTCATTCATTCACTTACAATTTGTATGTCAAGTTCTACTATGTACCAAAATCCTTACTAAAATTGAGGAATGCAGCAGTAAAAATGAAAGTGAAAAGAGATAAAACATCCCTAACTTCATAGAGGAAAGGTACAGATAAAAAAACATACATAACTGCAACATGGAGTATGCAAATTGGAATGACTGTTTTGAGGAAACACAAGACAATAAGGAAGAGGGGTGAGGAGTGTGTATTCTTAAATGGTTGATTAACACATTTCTCATTAATAAGTTTATATTTGAATAGGGATATGAAGAATAAAGGGGACAAGTGATGTTATTAGAGAAAAACATCCTGGTCAGCAAAGCACAGGCAAGCTGTGGACATTTTAGGGTGTTCAGGAATACCAAGGAGGTTGGTAAGTCTAGAGCAGATTGAGCAAGAAGGAGAGTAATGAAAGACATCACCAGAAAGGAAATAAGGAAAGAGATTTTATAGAGCCTTATAGGGTGTTAAGGGGACTTTAGCTTTTCTTTTGAGTGAGACGAGAAGTTATGGGGATTCTAAGCAGAAGAGTGACACAATATGACATGTTTTTAAAAGGATCACTCTAAAGTCAGTGTAGAGAAGAGAATATAGAAAGACAAGGGTGGAACCAAAAGAACAGTAAAGATGTTTTGCAAATTTCCATTGAGAGATGATAGCGGCTTATACTATGTTACAGTGGTGGAAATGATGTGAAGTGTTCAGATGAATGCCTTTTGAATGTTGGGTTGATGAGATTTGCAACCAGAATGGATATTAAGTAGGAAGTAAAAACGAGTGAAAGATGTTTTTGGTATGAGTGAAGTGGAAAAATAAATTTAGCACTGAATTTATTCTGGGAAGTACAAGCTTTAGGAACAGGGAAGAGTTTTGGACATGTTAATTTTGAGACAGCTATTAAATCTTCAGTAGAGATGCTGTGTGTACTTTTGGATATGAAAGTGTAGAGTTCATGTCACAGCATCTATATGGAGATATAAATCGGAGAGTCATTAAAGTACAGTTGGTATTAAAGCCATCTAACTAAGTGAAATTGCTGAGGGACTTCGTATGGATAAAGATGATAACGGTCTGAAGACTGGGCTCTAACCACGAAAATATTAAGAGTTTGGGGAAATAAGAAGGAACCAGCAAAAGAGATCGACAAAGGAGCAACCAATATAAGAGGAAACCAGACAAACATGGAGCCTCAGAATACAAGTGAAGAACATGTATCAAAGAGAAAAGAGCAATCCCTTCTTTTAAATCCTCCGATAGGTCAAGCAAGATAACAATACAAATCACCATTGGATTTACCAATATGGAAATGATTAGTGATGAAGAGTATTTTTCTTTTTCTTTCTTTTTTTTTTTTTTTTTTTTTTTTTTGAGACAGAGTCTCACTGTCTCCCAGGCTGGAGTGCAGTGGCAGGATCTCGGCTCACTGCAAGCTCCACCTCCTGGGTTCACGCCATTCTCCTGCCTCAGCCTCCCGAGTAGCTGGGACTACAGGCGCCCGCCACCACGCCCAGCTAATTTTTTTGTATTTTTAGTAGAGACGGTGTTTCACCGTGTTAGCCAGGATGGTCTCGAATTCCTGACCTCGTGATCCGCCCGCCTCAGCCTCCCAGTGTGCTGAGATTACAGGCGTGAGCCACCACGCCTGGCCGATGAAGAGTATTTTCATAGAGCAGTGGGGGAAAAAATGTCTAATTTAAATAGTTTGTAAGAAAGAATGTCCAGGCATGACTTTGGAGGAGTATTTTCTGTACAGTGGTGGAGAATAACAGGTCAGTAGTTGGCGAATATATGGGGTATTAGGAGATAATTTTTTCCTTAAAAATACTGAACAATACGTAATTACTGATTAAAATGCTATTGTGGAGACGGAATAAATGATAATGTCAAAATTAGAATAAAGAATTCCGTTTCAGTAGGTAAGAGGGAACTAGTAGAAATATTGTCAGGAGAAATGGCAGAGTATAAGGATATGAGAGAAGATACATGGGTGATATGTGTTAATATATTAGGGGAGACTATACAAGTTCCCTTCTCAGTGAAATAGGAAGAAAAATGGTCAGCTGAGGATAAAATAGGAAGAATGTATAAACAGCTTATGTAGAGAGCATATGACATGAAATGGTTTTCTTATAAAATAGGAAAGTAAGACAGTAACATTATCTCATGGCACTAAATACCTCCTGGTAATTAGTATTCGGTTTCTTCCAAGGTTGAAATTTTGCCATATGCATATGATAAAGGAAGAAAAGGGCAAGGAAGTTATTATTGTGCAAAGAAGTGATTATAATGATGGACCATGGAAACCGAGCTGTGCACAAGGGGGAAATTTTATTTTTTCTCATCATTTTACATCAAGAGTTAAAATTAACCAATTTATTTATTTAGCAATGCCATGGTGCTTATGCACTAGTAAGTTTCTAGTAGACAAAGCAAATTTAACAAAATAATCAAACAAATAATTTAAAATTACTCTTGTAATAAGTATAACAACGGATAGGTGCATGATATAATAGAGGGATTTGAACATTTTAGATGATCAGATAGTTCTTAATTAGGGAATGTAGCACTCAATTTGTCATCTGAAGAATAAGGAGAGGTAGCCTCTGGCATATGAAAGAGTTTATGCAAATACGTTGAGTGGAGACGTAGTGTGGCATAGACCAAGGAATGAGCAAAAAGCTGGAGCTATGAGAGTGAGAAAGATCAAGATTCAGAATGAAGCTTAAGAGGAAGGGAGAAGGTAGATAATAAAGGGCCTTACAGTTAGGGTAAGCATAAAATTTATCATCAAATTTTGTACCCTTATGAATGAAAGGGCTGCTACTGAAAATTATGCCACTAAGATAACAGATATAAACTGAAACTGCCTTGGCAATGTAGTGTGTACAGTCATTTTATTCATAAAGCATTTTAAGGACTTAAATTTATCTACAAGTCACAGTGAATTATTGAACATTTTTGTGCAGGGAAGTGAGACAATCAGACAAATTTTGAAATAATCACTCTGGCCACAGGGTAGAGATTAAAATGGATAAAATTCAGATTGACTCTTTAAAGAGTAATTTAAAGAGGCCATACAGAAAATAACAGAAAGATAAATATAAATTGAGAGAAAGGATTAATTCAAGATATATTTATCAGGTGAAGTTTACCCAACTTTGCAACGCTGTGGTAATGGAAGGTGCTAGGACAGACTTGTGTATTTGAGGCTTTAATAACTGAATGGGTGATGAAAACATATTCTGAAATAGGGAATACTGAAAGAGAATAATATTAGAAGAAATATCATGGGCTCACTTTTGAATATATTAAGTTTGGAATACTCTTTTTTATTTTTTTTTAACAGTTGACTATAGGCACAATGTTCTACAGCAGACCTCTACAACCTACTCACCTTACATAA
The DNA here is from genome assembly GCF_000001405.40 of Homo sapiens. Taxonomy (NCBI): domain Eukaryota; kingdom Metazoa; phylum Chordata; class Mammalia; order Primates; family Hominidae; genus Homo; species Homo sapiens. Next base: position 47,908,701 of record NC_000014.9, on the reverse strand, counting down.
CTAAGAAATCACGCTTGTTAAACAGGAACCATTTGTTTTACCCTACACTCACTCTCTGACAACCATCACTCTACTCTCTGTCTCCATGAGTTTGCTTATTGCTTATTTACCTCATGCTGTGGTTGAATGTTTCCCCCAAAACTCATTGGAAACTTAATTCCCAATGCAACAGTGTCAAAAGGTGGAACCTGTTAAGAGGTGATTAGGTCATGAAGGCTCAACTCTCATGAATAAATTAATGCTATTATTGTGGGAGTGGGTTTCTTATAAAAGAATATTTGGCCCTCTCTTGTCTCTCTCTCACCTCACCCTTTCTTTGTCCTTCAGCCATGGGATGACACAGCAAGAAAGTCCTCACAAGATGCCAGCGCCATGCTCTTGGACTTCCTAGGCTCTAGAACAGTGGACCAATAAACTTGTGTTCATTAAGAATTACCAAGCTCAGGTATTTTGTTATATCACAAGACAGACTAAAACACAACGTATAACTGGATTCATAAAGTATTTTCCTTCTATGACTGACTTGTTTCACTTAGCATAATGCCTTCCATATTTACCCATATGGCAGGGTTTTCTTCCTTTTTATAGTTGAATAATATTTATTGTGTGTTTATTCCACATTTTCTTTATCCTCTCATCAGTTGATGGACATTTAGGTTTTTTTCCAAATCTTGACTATTATAAATAAAACTACGATGAATATGAGGTTGCAGACATATCTCATTTTTTTTTATATGTACCCAGAAGTGGAATTACTAGATCACACAGTAGTTTCTCCTTTCATTTTTTGAAGAAACTCCATGTTTTTCATATCAGCTGTGCCAACTTACATTCCTACCAAGTGTTCCATTTTCTCCATATCCTTGCCAAAATTTATTATATTTTATTTTTATGCCAATAGCCTTCCTAACAGGTATGTTGATATTTCATTGTGATTTTGATTTACCTTTGCCTGAGGATTAGTGATGTTAAAGATCTTTTCATATAACTCTTGGCTGTTCTTATGTCTTCTTTGGAGAAATGATCCATTCTAAATTGCCAAATGTTATAATTAATGTATTTGTATTAACTCTTTAGTTTTTTCAAAAATATCAACTTAGATATTTACCTAATATCTAAGATTTTTTGTAGTATATTTTTCTAAGTAAAGCTGCACAAAATTTTGAGGGAAATTGAATTGACTAGTGACTATACAGGAAGGAGAAAGCTGTAAGTTCAAAAGGGATAAAACATGTAATAAAGATAAAAAATGGTAAATTTGACAGTAAAAATTAAAATGTAGTGTGAAAATAAAGATAATTTGATAGTAAGTTAAAATAACATTTATACAAATTATTATAAAAGCATTTTGTGAAATATAACCAATTCACAAAATAAGAAATAAAAAATTTGGTATATGGTAAATTGTACTGGCCATGTAACATGTAATTAAAATAAAAGTAGAACAATATTGTCTATTACATAACAAACACAAAAATAATAGTAATAATTTTTTTTTTCTTTTTTTTTAATTATACATTAAGTTTTAGGGCACATGTGCACATTTTGCAGGTTAGTTACATATCTATACATGTGCCATGCTGGTGCACTGCACCCACTAACTCGTCATCTAGCATTAGGTATATCTCCCAATGCTATCCCTCCCCCGACCCCCACCCCACAACAGTCCCCAGAGTGTGATATTCCCCTTCCTGTGTCCATGTGATCTCATTGTTCAATTCCCACCTATGAGTGAGAATATGCGGTGTTTGGTTTTTTGTTCTTGCGATAGTTTACTGAGAATGATGATTTCCAATTTCATCCATGTCCCTACAAAGGACATGAACTCATCATTTTTTATGGCTGCATAGTATCCCATGGTGTATATGTGCCACATTTTCTTAATCCAGTCTATCATTGTTGAACATTTGGGTTGGTTCCAAGTCTTTGCTATTGTGAATAATGCCACAATAAACATACGTGTGCATGTGTCTTTATAGCAGCATGATTTATAGTCCTTTGGGTATATACCCAGTAATGGGATGGCTGGGTCAAATGGTATTTCCAGTTCTAGATCCCTGAGGAATCGCCACACTGACTTCCACAATGGTTGAACTAATTTACAGTCCCACCAACAGGGTAAAAGTGTTCCTATTTCTCCACATCCTCTCCAGCACCTGTTGTTTCCTGACTTTTTAATGATTGCCATTCTAACTGGTGTGAGATGGTATCTCATTGTGGTTTTGATTTGCATTTCTCTGATGGCCAGTGAAGATGAGCATTTTTTCATGTGTTTTTTGGCTGCATAAATGTCTTCTTTTGAGAAGTGTCTGTTCATGTCCTTCTCCCACTTGTTGATGGGGTTGTTTGTTTTTTTCTTGTAAATTTGTTTGAGTTCATTGTAGATTCTGGACATTAGCCCTTTGTCAGATGAGTAGGTTGCGAAAATTTTCTCCCATTTTGTAGGTTGCCTATTCACTCTCATGGTAGTTTCTTTTGCTGTGCAGAAGCTCTTTAGTTTAATTAGATCCCATTTGTCAATTTTGTCTTTTGTTGCCATTGCTTTTGGTGTTTTAGACATGAAGTCCTTGCCCATGCCTATGTCCTGAATGGTAATGCCTAGGTTTTCTTCTAGGGTTTTTATGGTTTTAGGTCTAACGTTTAAGTCTTTAATCCATCTTGAATTGATTTTTGTATAAGGTGTAAGAAAGGGATCCAGTTTCGGCTTTCTACATATGGCTAGCCGGTTTTCCCTGCACTATTTATTAAATAGGGAATCCTTTCCCCATTGCTTGTTTTTCTCAGGTTTGTCAAAGATCAGATAGTTGTAGATATGCGGCGTTATTTCTGAGGGCTCTGTTCTGTTCCATTGATCTATATCTCTGTTTTGGTACCAGTACCATGCTGTTTTGGTTACTGTAGCCTTGTAGTATAGTTTGAAGTCAGGTAGTGTGATGCCTCCAGCTTTGTTCTTTTGGCATAGGATTTACTTGGTGATGCGGGCTCTTTTTTGGTTCCATATGAACTTTAAAGTAGTTTTTTCCAATTCTGTGAAGAAAGGCATTGGTAGCTTGATGGGGATGGCATTGAATCTGTAAATTACCTTGGGCAGTATGGCCATTTTCACGATATTGATTCTTCCTACCCTTGAGCATGGAATGTTCTTCCATTTGTTTGTATCCTCTTTTATTTCCTTGAGCAGTGGCTTGTAGTTCTCCTTGAAGAGGTCCTTCACATCCCTTGTAAGTTGGATTCCTAGGTATTTTATTCTCTTTGAAGCAATTGTGAATGGGAGTTCACTCATGATTTGGCTCTCTGTTTGTCTGTTGCTGGTGTATAAGAATGCTTGTGATTTTTGTACATTGATTTTGTATCCTGAGACTTTGCTGAAGTTGCTTATCAGCTTAAGGAGATTTTGGGCTGAGACAATGGGGTTTTCTAGATATACAATCATGTTGTCTGCAAACAGGGACAATTTGACTTCCTCTTTTCCTAATTGAATACCCTTTATTTCCTTCTCCTGCCTAATTGCCCTGGCCAGAACTTCCAACACTATGTTGAATAGGAATGGTGAGAGAGGGCATCCCTGTCTTGTGCCAGTTTTCAAAGGGAATGCTTCCAGTTTTTGCCCATTCAGTATGATATTGGCTGTGGGTTTGTCATAGATAGCTCTTATTATTTTGAAATATGTCCCATCAATACCTAATTTATTGAGAGTTCTTAGCATGAAGCGTTGTTGAATTTTGTCAAAGGCTTTTTCTGCATCTATTGAGATATTCATGTGGTTTTTGTCTTTGGCTCTGTTTATATGCTGGATTACATTTATTGATTTGCATATATTGAACCAGCCTAGCATCCCAGGGATGAAGCCCACTTGATCATGGTGGATAAGCTTTTTTGATGTGCTGCTGGATTCGGTTTGCCAGTATTTTATTGAGGATTTTTGCATCAATGTTCATCAAGGATATTGGCCTAAAATTCTCTTTTTTTGTTGTGTCTCTGCCAGGCTTTGGTATCAGAATGATGCTGGCCTCATAAAATGAGTTAGGGAGGATTCCCTCTTTTTCTATTGATTGGAATAGTTTCAGAAGGAATGGTAGCAGTTCCTCCTTGTACCTCTGGTAGAATTCAGCTGTGAATCCATCCGGTCCTGGACTCTTTTTGGTTGCTAAGCTATTGATTATTGCCACAATTTCAGATCCTGTTATTGGTCTATTCAGAGATTCAACTTCTTCCTGGTTTAGTCTTGGGAGAGTGTATGTGTCCAGGAATTTATCCATTTCTTCTTGATTTTCTAGTTGTGTAGAGGTGTTTGTAGTATTCTCTGATGGTAGTTTGTATTTCTGTGGGATCGGTGGTGATATCCCCTTTATCATTTTTTATTGTGTCTATTAGATTCTTCTCTCTTTTTTTCTTTATTAGTCTTGCTAGCGGTCTATCAATTTTGTTGATCCTTTCAAAAAACCAGGTCCTGGATTCATTAATTTTTTGAAGGGTTTTTTGTGTCTCTATTTCCTTGAGTTCTGCTCTGATTTTAGTTATTTCTTGCCTTCTGCTAGCTTTTGAATGTGTTTGCTCTTGCTTTTCTAGTTCTTTTAATTGTGATGTTAGGGTGTCAATTTTGGATCTTTCCTGCTTTCTCTTGTGGGCATTTAGTTCTATAAATTTCCCTCTATACACTGCTTTGAATGCGTCCCAGAGATTCTGGTATGTTGTGTCTTTGTTCTCGTTGGTTTCAAAGAACATCTTTATTTCTGCCTTCATTTCGTTATGTACCCAGTAGTCATTCAGGAGCAGGTTGTTCAGTTTCCATGTTGTTGAGCGGTTTTGAGTGAGATTCTTAATCCTGAGTTCTAGTTTGATTGCACTGTGGTCTGAGAGACAGTTTGTTATAATTTCTGTTCTTTTACATTTCCTGAGGAGAGCTTTACTTCCAAGTATGTGGTCAATTTTGGAATAGGTGTGGTGTGGTGCTGAAAAAAATGTATATTCTGTTGATTTGGGGTGGAGAGTTCTGTAGATGTCTATTAGGTCCGCTTGGTGCAGAGCTGAGTTCAATTCCTGGGTATCCTTGTTGACTTTCTGTCTCGTTGATCTGTCTAATGTTGACAGTGGGGTGTTAAAGTCTCCCATTATTAATGTGTGTGAGTCTAAGTCTCTTTGTAGGTCACTCAGGACTTGCTTTATGAATCTGGGTGCTCCTGTATTGGGTGCATATATATTTAGGATAGTTAGCTCTTCTTGTTGAATTGATCCCTTTACCATTATGTAATGGCCTTCTTTGTCTCTTTTGATCTTCGTTGGTTTAAAGTCTGTTTTATCAGAGACTAGGATTGCAACCCCTGCCTTTTTTTTGTTTTCCATTTGCTTGGTAGATCTTCCTCCATCCTTTTATTTTGAGCCTATGTGTGTCTCTGCATGTGAGATGGGTTTCCTGAATACAGCACACTGATGGGTCTTGACTCTTTATCCAATTTGCCAGTCTGTGTCTTTTAATTGGAGCATTTAGTCCATTTACATTTAAAGTTCATATTGTTATGTGTGAATTTGATCCTGTCATTATGATGTTAGCTGGTTATTTTGCTCTTTAGTTGATCCAGTTTCTTCCTATTCTTGATGGTCTTTACATTTTGGCATGATTTTGCAGCGGCTGGTACTGATTGTTCCTTTCCATGTTTAGCGCTTCCTTCAGGAGCTCTTTTAGGGCAGGCCTGGTGGTGACAAAATCTCTCAGCATTTGCTTGTCTGTAAAGTATTTTATTTCTCCTTCACTTATGAAGCTTAGTTTGGCTGGATATGAAATTCTGGGTTGAAAATTCTTTTCTTTAAGAATGTTGAATATTGGCCCCCACTCTCTTCTGGCTTGTAGGGTTTCTGCCGAGAGATCCGCTGTTAGTCTGATGGGCTTCCCTTTGAGGGTAACCCGACCTTTCTCTCTGGCTGCCCTTAACATTTTTTCCTTCATTTCAACTTTGGTGAATCTGACAATTATGTGTCTTGGAGTTGCTCTTTTCGAGGAGTATCTTTGTGGTGTTCTCTGTATTTCCTGAATCTGAACGTTGGCCTGCCTTGCTAGATTGGGGAAGTTCTCCTGGATAATATCCTGCAGAGTGTTTTCCAACTTGGTTCCATTCTCCCCATCACTTTCAGGTACACCAATCAGACGTAGATTTGGTCTTTTCACATAGTCCCATATTTCTTGGAGGCTTTGCTCATTTCTTTTTATTCTTTTTTCTCTAAACTTCCCTTCTCACTTCACTTCATTCATTTCATCTTCCATCGCTGATACCCTATCTTCCAGTTGATCGCATCGGCTCCTGAGGCTTCTGCATTCTTCACATAGTTCTCGAGCCTTGGTTTTCAGCTCCATCAGCTCCTTTAAGCACTTCTCTGTATTGGTTATTCTAGTTATACATTCTTCTAAATTTTTTTCAAAGTTTTCAACTTCTTTGCCTTTGGTTTGAATGTCCTCCCGTAGCTCAGAGTAATTTGATCGTCTGAAGCCTTCTTCTCTCAGCTCGTCAAAGTCATTCTCTATCCAGCTTTGTTCCATTGCTGGTGAGGAACTGCGTTCCTTTGGAGGAGGAGAGGAGCTCTGCTTTCTAGAGTTTCCAGTTTTTCTGTTCTGTTTTTTCCCCATCTTTGTGGTTTTATCTACTTTTGGTCTTTGATGATGGTGATGTACAGATGGGTTTTTGGTGTGGATGTCCTTTCTGTTTGTTAGTTTTCCTTCTAACAGACAGGACCCTCAGCTGCAGGTCTGTTGGAATACCCTGCCGTGTGAGGTGTCAGTGTGCCCCTGCTCGGGGGTGCCTCCCAGTTAGGCTGCTCGGGGGTCAGGGGTCAGGGACCCACTTGAGGAGGCAGTCTGCCCGTTCTCAGATCTCCAGCTGCGTGCTGGGAGAACCACTGCTCTCTTCAAAGCTGTCAGACAGGGACCTTTAAGTCTGCAGAGGTTACTGCTTTTTGTTTGTCTGTGCCCTGCCCCCAGAGGTGGAGCCTACAGAGGCAGGCAGGCCTCCTTGAGCTGTGGTGGGCTCCGCCCAGTTCGAGCTTCCCAGCTGCTTTGTTTACCTAATCAAGCCTGGGCAATGGCGGGCGCCCCTACCCCAGCCTGGCTGCCGCCTTGCAGTTTGATCTCAGACTGCTGTGCTAGCAATCAGCGAGACTCCGTGGGCGTGGGACCCTCCGAGCCAGGTGAGGGATACAATCTCGTGGTGCGCGGTTTTTTAAGCCCGTCGGAAAAGCGCAGTATTCGGGTGGGAGTGACCCGATTTTCCAAGTGCCGTCCGTCACCCCTTTCTTTGACTCGGAAAGGGAACTCCCTGACCCCTTGTGCTTCCCAAGTGAGGCAATGCCTCGCCCTGCTTCGGGTCGCGCAGGGTGCGCACACCCACTGACCTGCGCCCACTGTCTGGCACTCCCTAGTGAGATGAACCCGGTACCTCAGATGGAAATGCAGAAATCACCGTCTTCTGCGTCGCTCACGCTGGGAGCTGTAGACCGGAGCTGTTCCTATTCGGCCATCTTGGCTCCTCCTTCATAAATTTTTAAATGTTATTGTGACATTAGTATATTAAATGCTGCTTGCAGAAATATAATTTAAATGTTTTTAATACATGATAATGTATATTTCTAGTTTGAACTAGTAATTTAATTTTTGTGACTTCACTAGAGCAATAGATCTAAAATATTAAAAGTTAAATGATAATGTTATCTGGTCTATACTATTCAAATTACTTTGCTATTTATTCATATTAACTTTATGATACAATATGTCACTCTTTATCAATATTCCATGTGCTTCTGAGAAAGATGTGCCTTTTTTGGGGGAAATAGAGAATTCTATATATGTTGTCCTATCAAATGTATTGATGTGTTACTCACTTCCTCCATACACTAATTTTCATCATTTTGATCACTTGATTTCTGAGGAGGTATATTAAACTTTTCTATTTTTGTTTTATTTGTTTTGTTTTGTACAGACAGGGCCTCATTATGTTGCCCAGGCTGGTTTTGAACTCCTGGGCTCAAGTGATCCTCCCACGTAGGCCTCCCAAAGTGCTGAGATTATAGACATGAGCCACCACACCTGGCAGGTACTATAATTTTGTAAAAAATTCTTATACTTCGTAAACAGTTTCTTCAAATGTATCTCATAACTTTGTTGGTAGTACTAAAATTTTATTTTTATGTCTCTCATTTCTCCCTTTAATTTTTTGCCTTGACTTCTCCTCAGTCTGCCGTGTTGTTATATTTCTATTTTTGTCATTCATTTAGTATGCTTTTTATCCCTTCATAGTCAATATTCTATTCTAATTTTGTTTTATTGGGGCCCTCATCAATTGCCTTTATTTGTTTCTCTGTTGTTGTTGTTGCAAGCTTGTTGGTTTTTACTGATATAATCATGTCTACTTTTTAATAGGTAAGTTTAAGGTATTTACACATACCATGATTTGTGATATACTTTAATACATGTTACCATTTTATTGTTTTCTATACCACAGGCTTTCTTTTCATGGGTTTTCTCATTCTTGTGTCTTCTTACGCAAGTCATGTTAACTTTTTGTTCTATTACTCTACTTTCTAATATTTTAGAAGCTGTGTTTTTAATCTCTATTTCCCTAATTATCCTTAAAAATATTAACATTACGGGGTCAATGAGTGTCTGATTTTTCTATTCGGAACTAGACCAAGGGTTAACATTCTTTCCATGCTCCCCGCCTTTTTCCGCTTCTCCATCTCCAATAATGATGCTATATAAATGTGACATTAAAACTATTATTATGTTTTTATAATCACTATTTAACTTGATTTAATTGATATTAATAATTTATAATTGTTTATTTTATACCATATTAATATTGATTTTAATATTTAATACTTAAATATTTATTGGCATTTATCTTCATTTCGTAATTCTTCTAGATTAAGTATGGTAAATTTTCTGATAATTTAAATGTCCAAAAGTGTCTTTATTTTGACCTCACATTTAATAGTAGAGTGAGTACATAATTTTATTTTTAAAACTAGTTTTGTTGATAACTTTGGCAATATCTTACAACATATATTTTCTCTTTGGAAGCATTTAAGATAGTCTCATCACACCTTATATGTTCTGATATTTCTCCAGAGACTGTACTGATCTTTTTAATGTTACTTATAACTTAGGAGGATTCTTCTAGTTTGAGGATGTGACATTATTTAGTTTTGAACACTTTCCCTCGATTGTTTCCTTGAGGTTTACCTTATGTTCATTTCCTGTTTTGTCTTTCTGAAAGTTCTATTTGCTGGATATTGTCATTTCTAGAATTATCTCTCAGGCTCTTGACTTTCCTTCCATGTTTTCTATTTACTTTTCTCATTGTTGGCACTTGGAAAGAATTTTTCCTGTTGACATAACTGCTAATTAATTTCCTCTTCACTTATGCCAGTTGTGCTAGTGAGCTCTTTATTTTGCTGCTGCTGCTGCTGCTGTCGCTGTTTAATTAGAGAAAATGTGAATCATGAGACAGACATGATTAAGCCACTGGAAAAAATTATGAGACCCCTATAATCCAATTCAGGAGAAGGACACAGAGAATTTCCCAAGATAACAGCAGAAAAATTTCCCAGGATAATAGTTGTGCAACATACCCAAGAGAAAGTAATTCAGATAGGAGAATTGAGATTCCCAAAGGAAAAGTTTCCAAGAGGGAAAAAAAATGAACATTTATTGTTATGGATTAAATTGTGTCCCCTCCCCACTCTCAAAGAAAAATATGCTGAAGTCCTAACCCTCAGCACCTCAAAATGTGACCTTATTTAGAAATAGAGTTGTTGCATATGTAGTTAAGTTGAGGTCATACTGAAGTAGGGTGGGCCCTTAATCCAATATGACAAGTGTCATTATACGAAGAAAAGAGACACAGACACAGGAGTGGCAGATTTGGGGGAGAATGCCCTGTGATGAAGGAGGTAAAGTTTGAAGTGCTGCAGCTGCAAGCCAAGGAATGAACACAAACCCCTAGAAGCTAGGAGGAGGCAAGGAAGGATTCTCCCCTGTTGTTGTTTTTTCTTTATAAACTTTTGTTTTAAGTTCAGGGGTACATGTACAGGATGTGCAGGTTTTTGCATGGTTAAACTTGTGTCATGGAGATTTGTTGTACAGATTATTTCATCACTCAGGTATTAAGCCTAGTACACATTAGTTATTTTTCCTGATCCTCTCCCTCCTTCCACCCTTCACCCTCCAATATGCCCCAGTGTGTGTTCCCCTCTATATGTCCATGTGTTTTCCTCATTTAGTTCCCATTTATAAGTAAGAACATGCAATATTTGGTTTTCTGTTCCCTTGTTAGTTTGCTAAAGATAATTACCTCCAGCTCCATCCATGTCCCTGCAAAGGATATGATCTCATTTTTTATGGCTGCATAGTATTCCATGGTATAGATATATCACATTGTCTTTGTCCAGTTTATAATGAGTAGTTATGTTGATTCCATGATTTTGCGGAGTATTTGGGTTTATTCCATGTCTTTGCTATTGTGAATAGTGCTGAAATGAACATACATGTACATGTGTTTTTATAATAGAACTATTTCTGTTTCTTTGGGTATATACCCACTAATGGGATTGCTGGGTCAAACAGTATTTCTGTCTTTAGGTCTTAGGAATCGCCACACTGTCTTCCCCAATGGTTGAACTAATTTACACTCCCACCAACAGGGAATAAGCATTCCTTTTTCTCCACAAGCTCATTAACAACTGTTATTTTTTGACTTTTTAATAATAGCCATTCTGACTGGCATGAGACAGTATCTCATTGTGGTTTTGGCTTGCATTTCTCTAATAATCAACGATGTTGAGCTTTTTTGATATGCTTGTTGGCCACGTATATGTCTTCTTTTGAGAAGTGTCTGTTCATGTCCTTTGTCCACTTTTTAATGGGGTTGTTTGCTTTTTCTTTTAAATTTGTTTAAGTTGCTTATATTAGATCCAGGTATTGACCTTAGTTTGCAATTTTTCTTCCCATTCTGTAGGTTGTCTGCTCATTCTGTTGATAGTTTCCTTTGCAGTGCAGAAGCTCTGTAGTTTAATTAGATACAATTTGTCAGTTTTTGCCTTTGCTGCAATTTATTTTGGCATCTTCATCACAAAATTTTTGCCTATGCCTATGTCCTGAATGGTATTGCCTAGGTTGTCTTCCAGGGTTTTTACAGTTTGGGGTTTTATATTTAAGTCTTTAATCCATCTTGAGTTAGTTTTTGTATATGGTGTAAGGAAGGGGTCCAATTTCAATTTTCTGCATATGGCTAGCCAGTTTTCCAAGCATCATTTATTGAATGGTGAATCTTTTTCCCATTGCTTATTTTTGTCAGGTTTTTTGAAGATCAGATAGTTGTAGGTGTATGGCCTTATTTCTGGGCTCTCTAGCCTGTTACATTGGTCTGTGTGTCTGTTTTTGTACCAGTACCATGCTGTTTTGGTTACTGTAGCCCTCCCTACAGGTTTTAGAGGGAGCATGGCCCTGAGGAAGGAATGCTTGCTTTTGAATTTCTGGCCTCCAGAACTGTGAGACAATACATTTCTGTTATTTTAAGCCACCTAGTTTGAGGTAACATTGTTATGGCTGACCTAAAAAATTAATACATCCATCAATTTTCACTGGGTGCAAAGATATTGACTAAATTATAAAACAAGGCAAGTATTAGCTAAACCAAAAAGTATTAAAGAGACATAATTGCAGCACACTAAAGTGTTCAGCTATGAGTAATATTTGAGCAAACATGATAGTATAGGCATTCAATATTGACTTTACTAAAATTTAATATAACTGTAGAAGTATAATGGGAAAATAAAAGTAGAAAGAATGACATCAAAGATCTAGATACTTATCTACCATCACAGAAAGTCAATATTCTTTTCCAAAATTGAGGAATCAAAAGATAACAGTATATGTTATTCAGATATATGGAAATATGAAAATAAAAAGCTGAGTCTATGCTGCAGATGAGAGGTGAGCCTCTGGAATAGTGAAAAGGCATCACTAGAACGTTCTTGACTTTTTGTTTTAAATATTTTATTTCCATTAATTTAGAAAATGCTGTTCATATATTGCTTGATAAAAGTAAAGCAAAGATATAAAAATTTACTGCCTATGCAATAAAAAGTAAACATACAAAGAATGTTTAGACTCTCAGAAATTAAAAAGATGACAATATCCTTAACAGAATAAAAGATATGAGATAAAATCTCAGAACTCTCCCAAAAGTTAAAATAATATTTGAAAATACAAAATTAAATAATTAAAAACACATACGATTATTTTTTAAAGTTCATCATATCAATTCCAGAAAAATATAAAACAGATAAAAGGTACAGAAATAGATAACTAAAGATACCATAGAAGTCAAAATATACAAAGACTTCTTTTGAACTCTTTATCTTTTCAGGTCAGTCTCCTGAAAGCCTTCATCCTCTCACATACAACTCTATAATCCAGTCTCACTGGGTTTGTTTGTTTTTTGTTTTCATTTCTAAAACTCTCTATGCTCTTTTTCACATCTGGATGTTCTCTTATGCCCTTTTCTATACATGGAATTTAATCTTTGATTTTGTTTATATGTCAGTTTTGATGCCTCTTCTTTCTGGAAACTTTCACTGGTGCCTTCCTACTTGTCTTGTGGGTAAGGTTTCCTCTTGGCACTCTTATAACTCTAATACCCATATTTGAGCACTTATTAAGCTCCCAATATTATATAAATATGTATTTCAACATTTTCATTTTCATCATGTTAGTCCCAAACCTATAGGTTCTTTGTGTTATACGAATAAAGAGTAATCTACATTATTAGGGAAACTTGAATGTATATGTGATTTCTGTCTAATGTTTATTGTTTAAAGGTAGACTATATTATTACAAAATAGCATCAGCCAGATGATAGTATTGTTAGACATTTATAGGTCTTTTTTACAGAACTGCCGCAAGCTATTTTTTCTATGCCATTCCTTAATTTTCAAATCAGTAGTCCAAGACCATTTGTTTGAAAATTATTCAGACATTCTATTTTCTAAATTTAAAACTATAATACTCATGTACAATTACTGAGAAAAAATATTAGAAGTGATAATATCACATATAGCTGAATCACATTCAGTATTGTTCTTCAATTCATAGCATAAAATAACATTTTTAATTTTTATTATAGTCTATATCTAATGCATTTTTATTAATTATTCAAAGACTATGCCAAATAACCTAAGAAATACATTCAAGAATCATAATTACTATTTTCCTATTGCCTGATAATGATGAATATCATATACATATGTTTATTAATTTCTTTGAACAAAAGTAATGTAACAAAAATAATATTTTATTTTTGCATTTCTGTGAAAGCTTTGTAAGTCTGGTAAATCAGATTTAAACTCAGCGCAAATTCTTAGAATGTCTGCTTGCCAGCTGGGAATGGAACTCCTGGGGATTCTGCAGGCATACTGAAGGATTGATACAATGATAAAGTGCTCTGAAGATCTCCAAAAATATTCTTGGATGAAAAGAAAAAGAAAAAGATAACCAAATGATACCTGTTTAAAAAAAAAAAAACAGCATTGAGATTGCATTTACATCCAAGCAAGAAAAATGTACCCCAATTATTTGTTATTCTTTTGCGTAACTAATTCAATAGTTGAAAAACAACTCAAAAGTCTAAAGACCCAGAACTCCTTGTTTATCAGAGTTCTTTTTATTTGTTTGTTTTGTTTTTTTGAGACAGAATTTCGCTGTGTCGCCCAGGCTAGAGTGCAGTGGCGCGATCTCGGCCCACTGCAAGCTCTGCCTCCCGGGTTCACGCCATTCTCCTGCCTCAGCCTCTTAAGTAGCTGGGACTACAGGCGCCTGCCACCACGCCTGGCTAATTTTTTGTATTTTTAGTAGAGACGGGGTTTCACCGTGTTAGCCAGGATGGTCTCGATCTTCTTACCTCGTGATCCACCCGCCTCGGCCTCCCAAAGTGCTGGGATTACAGGCGTGAGCCACCGCGCCCGGCCCATCAGAGATTTTAAATCACTATCTCTATTTCCCTTACTAGTCTGGCAATTTTTTGCTCAACACTCAAATGTATCCGTAACATGGATAGCATTTTAAGAAAAAATACCTCAAACGATGAATATATTTTTGATGATTTCCTTTTAAAGTATATTGTTTATTTTTTAAAAGTTTTAATTATTATGAATACATAATAGTTGTACATATTTATGGGGTATATGTGGTATTTTGATACAAGTATATAATGTGTAAGAATCAAATCAGAGTATTTGGGGTATCCACTACCTTATGCATTCATCAATTGTATTATGATAGGGACATTCCAATTCCATTCTCTTAGTTATTTTGAAATATACAATAAATTATTGTTAACTATAGTCACTTATTGTGCTACCAAATACTAGATCTTATTCCTTCTATCTAACTGTATTTCTTTTTTAACCATTACCATCTCCTCTTTATCTCCCTCTCCTCGTTACTGTTCCAGGCTTTTGGCAACCATCATTTTACTGTCTATCTCCATGAGTCCATTTTTTTTTGTTAGCTCTCACATATGAATGAGAACATGCAAAATTTGCCTTTCTGTGCCTGGCTTATTTCACTTAACATAATGTCCTTCAGTTTCATCCATGTTGTTGCAGATTACAAGATTTCATTCTTTTTTATGGCTGAATAGTAATTAATTGTGTATATGTACCACATTTTGTTTTTTTCTTTTTTCTTTTTTTATTATTAGTATTTTCGGTGGCACAGGTGATTTTGGTCACATGGATGAGTTTTTTAGTAGTGAATTCTGTGATTTTAGTGCGCCTGTCACCTGAGTAGCATACACTGTACCCAATATGTTGTCTTTTATACCTCACCCCTTTCTCAACCTCCCCTCAACTGAGTCCCTACAGTCCATTATATCATTCTGTATGTTTTTGCATCCTCATAGCTTAGCTCCCACTTATAAGTGAGAACATGACAGTATTTGGTTTTCCATTCCTGAGTTACTTCACTTAGAATAATGTCCTCCAGTTCCATCTATGTTGTTGCAAATGACAGGATTTCATTCTTTTATGGCCAAGTAATATTTCACTGTGTCTATGTACCATATTTTTCTTCAATTTTTATTTTAGATTCAGGGTTTACATTTGCAGGTTTGTTACCTGGGTATATTGCATGATACTGAAGTTTGAGAATGAATGAGTACCATCACCCAAGTACTGAGCATAGTACTCAATAGCTGATTTTTCAACCCTTGCCCCTTTTCCTTCCTCCCCCATCTAGTAGTCTCTAGTTTCTATTGTTGCTGTCTTTATGTCTCTGAGTACCCAAAGTTTAACTCCCACTTATAAGTGAGAACATGTGTCTACCAGATTTTTTTGGATTCATTCATCTGTTATTGGACACTTAGGTTGCTTTCATATCTTGACTATTGTAAATAGTGCTGCAATACACATGGAAGTGCAGATATATATTCAATATACTGATTTTCTTTATTTTGGCTATATACCCAGAAGTGGGATAACTGGATCAAATGGTAGTTCTATTTTTAGTTCACTGAGGAAGCGCCATGCTGTTCTCCATAGTGGTTATACTAATTTACATTCCCACCAACAGTGTATGAGGGTTCCCTTTTCTCCACATCCTCACCAGCATTTGTTATTGCTTATCTTTTGGATAAAAGCCATTTTAACTGGGGTGAGATGGTACCTCATTGTAGTTTTTATTTGAATTTCTCTGATGACTAGTAATGTTGAGTATTTTTTTACATACTTGTTAGCCATTTATATGTCTTATTTTGAGAAATATCTATTCAGATATTTTGCCCATTTATAAAGTGGATTATTTGGGTTTTTCTTCCTTATTGAGTTGTTTGAGCTTCTTATATATTGTGGTCATTAATCTCTTGTCAGATGGGTAGTTTGCAAATATTTCCTCCCATTCTGTAAGTTGTCTCATTCTTTTGTTGATTGTTGTATTTGCCAAAAAGCAGAAACTTTTTAACTTGATGTGATCCCATTTTACCATTTTTGCTTTGGTTCCCTGTTTTTGAGGTCCTACTTAAGAAATACTTTGCCCAGCCCAATGTTCTGGAGAGTTTCCGCAATTATTTCTTTCAGTTATTTCATAGTTTAAACTCTTAGATTTCAGTTTTTAATCCATTTTCGTTGGATTTTTGTATATGGTGAGAGATAGGAGTCTAGTTGCATTCTTCTGCATATGGAAATCCAGTTTTCCCAGCACTCTTTATTGAAAAGACTGTCTTTTGGCATGTTCTTGGTGCCTTTGTCAAAAATGAGTTCACTGGAGATGGATGGATTTATTTCTGAGTTCTCTATTCTGCTCCATAGGTCTATGTGTCTGCTTTGATGCCTATACCATGCTGTTTGTGTTACTATAACTTTGTAGTATAATTTGAAGTCAGGTAATGTGATGCCTCCGGTTTTTTTGCTCAGGATTACTTTGGCTATTCTGTCTCTTTTGTGGTTCCACATAAATTTTATGATTACTTTTTCCATTTCTGTGATGAATTTCATTGTTATTTTGTTGGGACTGCAATGAATCTGTAGAACTTTTTGAACAGTGTGTACCTTTTTTTCAGATAGTGTGCATATTTTAACAATATTAATTCTTTCAGTTCATGAACATAGAATGTCTTACCATTTGGTCTCTTCCATTTCTTTCATGAGTATTTTAGAGTTTTCATTGTAGAGATCTTTCCCTTCTTTGGAAAAGTTTATTTTTAGGAATTTCATTTTATTTTCAGCTAGTGTAAATGGGATTACTTTCTCGGTTTTGTTTTCAGATTGTAAACTGTTGGCATGTATAAATACAACTTTTTTTGTATGTTGATTTTGTGTTCCTCAACTTTACTGAATTTCTTTCAGAAGATGCGAGAGTTTATTCATACTAGTCATGAAATTAGTTTTCTATAAATTTATGGGTAAATGTTAATGAACTAAATTTACATATTTACTATTATTATCTTCTAAATATATTATTAAATAGTTTGTGTTTTGAATATATTCAAGTGACATTTGTTTCCAGGATAAGACACACATATTCAACACTTCTTAGGCTATGCTTTTAATCAATTGCTACTAATCTGTGGCCAAAAAAATCTAAAATCTACACTCCCTTATATGCTTACAAATACTGTGGACCACAATTAATACTGTGTTATTTCCCCAGTTTAAATTGAAATGTAGCAAATAATTTTATAAGCTATCTCTCTTCAGGAAATTCTGCCTTTAAAAAGTCACATTAAATCTTATATATTTTTAGATTACCGGGCCTATTTATTGCTCCGTTACTGCCATCTTTTTATCTTATGGGATAAAAAAAAAATCACACACAAAAAAATGTGGATTCTTAAATGTGCTGCTGGCCCTTGTATATTTATCTGAAAGGTAGGGGAAAGTACAAATTGACTACTTAAATGAGCCACTTGGGAAAGCAACAGGGACTAACCTCAAATAATAAGAGGTCAAATCCTGTCAAGGAAATGTGTTTGCTATCCAATGTTTTTTAAAACTCACTTAAAAAACTGCCTGTTAGATTGGGAAGCATGCTAAGTGCAAGAGCTGCTGTGAGAGGCACAGACAGTGGTGAACTATAATTTTAAGTAAATCTGTGTATGAAAGAAAACTGACACTACAACCCATATCCTTTGCCCTCAGAGGTTACAACATTTAGAAAGCACTTGAAATGTTCAGTGCAACATTTATATCAGTAAGAAATCTTAAATTGTTGAATAACTCGATTTTCTTATTGCTGTGGGAATTTAGTTAAATGCCCATTAATTCTCAAGATTTTGTGTGTGTGTGTGTGTGTGTGTGTGTGTGTGTGTGTGTGTGTGTGCTGGAGTTTCACTCTTGTTGACCAGGCTGGAGTGCAATGGCACGATCTCTGCTCACTGCAACCTCCCCCTTGCAGGTTCAAGTAATTCTCCTGCCTCAGCCTCCCGAGTAGCTGGGATTACAGGCACGCATCACCACGCCTGGCTAACTTTTTGTGTTTTTAGTAGAGACAGGGTTTCACCCTGTTACCCAGGATGATCTCGATCTCCTGACCTCAGGTGATCCACCCACCTTGGCCTCCCAAAGTGCTGGGATTACAGGCGTGAGCCACCATGCCCAGCTGTCTGAGTTTTTAAAAAGCCTCAAACTTAAAACTCATATCCACTTACATTCCCTGGTTAATTAATCTACAGTTAAGATAGCATTTCTCATTTTGCAAAGTCATCATTTCCACAAATTTTACTTTCTTCAAAATCTATAATGTTTTACCTTTAAAAAAAATCCTTAGCATTTGTGTACATGAGAGCAATGTAATTTTAGGGCTGAGATCTCAACTGCAGCCAGTTGTGCCATTTTCTCCTCTGTGGACATTCATGTATATAACATGTCAGTGGGCTGTATTTAGGATGACGTACACTATCAGATAGATTTTCAATATTATTTTGTTCTTTATTCAGTTGTTTTGTTAATATTGATATTAATCAAGTTTTCTTCAAGCATAAATGCCTTTAGCAAAATGCAATTGGCAGATCATTGGGCTACAATTGTTTGTACTCTCAATGATAATCCATATTTTATAAAGGTTATATATTGATCATACACATCAAGAATCAGAATGTGCTGGTTGAACCTAGTTCTTTTTTTTTACTGTGCTGTGCAAATTATGAGTAGCCCACATGTTCAGGCCTCACCAATCTAAATAAATATAAAGTCACGTTTTCATATTACAGAAGCTTGTGTTCCCTCCTCATAATTGCTGCATCTCAAACTTCTCAGCAAAACAGAATGCTCCCAAGTTATTACTGAGGGTTCACAAAAGAGTGTCACTTGTTCTTACAATGTAGTGTGCCCTCTATATTTGCAACACAGGGTCTTCCTTTGTTGCTACTCCAGCTACACCTGCCCAGTGTCCCTTCAATCACTTGAAAGGGATGCGCTATTTCCACCTGGCAGTGGAATTTCTTAAGAGACAAGCAATGTGCTTGTCCAGCATATTCTCCCTGATACTCCAATATTCCCACTCTCTGTGCAGTGCCGGGTTCTGAGTGTAAACAGAGAGAATGGCTGTCTTCACAACTCTGAGCTAAAATTATTCATCCGTTCCTCAAATCAACAGTACTTAGGCCCAAAGTTTGAAAAAGTTTCTCATGAAAGTAATTTTTCCTGCATCTCCCCTCAGCTGCTCAAATCCTGCAAGTAACTCTCAAAAGTAAAAATCAATAATGAAAACCACTCATTACAAAAATAACCTCTCTTATTCAAGCACACAGAAAAACATATTTATCCTGCTTCCTCACTCCAGCCCACAAGCAAATAAAGCAAACTTCTTCAGGAATATAACTCCAGCACATCTTCACCAACCAATACATGTTACCTTCTAGTATACATATTAACTTCTGGTTAACTTCTTCCCTGACAACTGACTACATCCCAAGCCCATTAAGACGATTTGCCAAAAATGAAGAAGCATCCTGCACCAATTGAAACAGTTCCATTAGCTATGACTATGTCCCAGAGCAGAAGTCTGCCAAACACATATTTGCCCTTGAATTAGATATAATAAAACACCAGTTCTAGTCATTTGTTGTAAATGGTTGTGTTGGAATGCAATATACCTAACAACTTGATTATTTTCTGGAGGATGGTACTAAAGAAATAAAATAGTATTCATCAAATATTTAAGCATGTGCCAAACACTATTCTAAGGATTTCACAATATTAAGAAAAATTCTAAGCAAAATGGAAATGAGTATATACAGAACCCTAAATTCAAAAGGTATGAGAAATTAGAAGTATTGTCAGCATGCCAGAAGCAAGAACAACACAAATAGAGTAACTACAGAAACCAACAGAAAAACCACATGCGAGTGAACTTGTGCTTGTTGTCCATAACTCAACTGCACCATCGGCAAATGTGCTACGCCTTGTATAGACTATGGACTATTCGCGATTTTTTTTTTTTTTTACTTAATAAATTTCGTACCAGCCCCCTTCCTCAAAGCACCATCTCTCAGAGCTTAACTATGAAACACTGTTTTCAGTTTGTTCCACAGCACTCTCTGATGCTCTGTTCTTGCTATGTTCTTTTTGTTTTTGCATCTGTTTCTGTTTTTTAAAAGAGATAGAGTCTGGCTCCGTTTCCCAAGCTGGAGGACAGAGTGCAGTGGTGCAGTCCTAGCTCACTGCAACCTGGAACTTCTGGTCTGAAGCAATCCTCGCATCTTAGCCCCCTGAATACCTGGGACTACAGGGACATGCCACCACACCTTGCCCAGCTAATTTTTTAAAAGTCCCCTTTCTCTGTTTCATTTTATATTGGTCTTGTTGTCGTTTTCAATTTTATTAACGTTTACTTCTACGATGTCTAATTTACCACTTATATGTCCAGCATATATTTTACTTCTCCCATTGTAGTTTTTATCTTTAAAAGTTCAGTTTGGGTTGCATTTATTTATTTATTTAATTTAGGGACAGAGTCTCGCTCTGTGGCCCAGGTTGTAGTGCAGTGGCAAACAGCTCACTATAACCACAACCTCCTGGGTTCAAGCAATGTTTCCCCCTCAGCCTCCCAAGTAGCACACCCACCGGGCCTGGCTCATTTTTAAATTTTTTATAGAGATGGAGTCTCACCATGTTGCTCAGGCTGGCACTGAACTCCTGGGCTCAAGTGATCCTCCTGTCTAGGCCTCCCAAAGTGCTGGGATTACAGGCGTAAGCCACTGCGCCTTGCTCGGGTGGCTTTTAAGTCTCCCTTTTCTCTACTTAACAGGTTCAAATCATTCCCCAAATTTCTTAAACATATGGAATGCAAGTATATGAACTATTTTAATGACGTATGCTACTAATTTTATCATTGTTAATTGATTTTAATTGACTAAATTTTCTCCATGTGAGGGGTCATAATTTTCCTTTTTTGGGGGGAGGGGGGCTGCCTGTAACTTTATTGAATGCTAGACATTGTAAATGTTGCTTTGTTAGGTGATGGGTATTTTTTTTTTGTATTTCTTTAAGTATGTTTTATTCTTATCCTGAGATATTTTAAATTAGTTGAAAACAGTATAATCTTTTGGGATCTTGGTCTTAAACTTTGTTGGGTGGGACCATAGCAACAT
Source organism: Homo sapiens (assembly GCF_000001405.40). NCBI lineage: Eukaryota > Metazoa > Chordata > Mammalia > Primates > Hominidae > Homo > Homo sapiens. Next base: position 47,887,573 of record NC_000014.9, on the reverse strand, counting down.
TTATTTGAGGCTTAATTTTTCTCCACTATTGAACATGCTACTAAATATCCTATCAATTTTGAAGTTTTCCACTATGATTTGTGAGAAAATGAACTATTTCTAGCCAAGTGTGAGCTCTGGGGATTTTCTTCCTTCTAATCCTTTCTGAACTCTATTCCAGGTTTGTTAGTTTCCTCATCCACATCCTGATTAGTGCTCAACAGAATACTCATGAGATAGTTGCATCTTTGGAGTTCTCTCTCTGTGTAACTCTGTCATCACTGATACTCTGCCCTGCAAACTCTGGCCATCTTGGCCTTCTTAGACCGCCAGTTCTGTTTTTTGTGCTCATGTAGAGTAGCAGACTCCATCTTGCTTTTTTACTCAGTGCCACAATCTAGTATCTCTCTCTAGGTAGTAAACTGGGGATATTGTAGGGCTCATCTACCTGTTTTCCTTTTTTTAGAGATCATGGTTCTTTGCTGTGATGTCCATTGTCTTGAAAAGCATTGACTCATGTATTTGTATTGTTTTTGAAAATTGTTTTAGGCAGTTTTATGGACAAATTCAGTGTCTCCCCAAAATACATATGTCGAAGCCCTAACCACCACTGTGGCTATATTTGGACATGGGGCCTCTAAGGAAGTAATGAAAGTTAAATGAAGTCCTAAACATGGGGTTCTGATCTGAAAGGATTGGAGTGCTTGTAAGGAGAGACATCAGAGTATATATATTCTTTATCTCTCTCCCTTGCCTGCCTTCCTCTTCCTTTGTCTCCCTACCCATACACAGGAAAGACCACTCACTTGAGAATACAGTAAGAAGGCAGCCATTTGCAAGCAAGAAAGATGGCCCTCATCAGAAAATGAATCTGCTGGCCCCTTGATCTTGGACTTCTGACCTCCAGAACTTGGAGAAAATAAGCCAAGACACAAATTTCAGTGATACAGAGAACATAGAAGTGAAAGCATGGAGCTAATATCAGCAAAGTCCAGTAATATTAATACTAGTAACATTTATAAAGTATTTACTCATGTGTTAGCTACACATGTGATAAGTACATCATATGCTAAGTGTTTCTTTTCAGGATTATGTAGAAAAGCTCAGAACTCCTAATCAGAAAACCAACTCTCTCTAGACCTCTAACCCATTATAGAAAGTAGTGAGGAGGGTTCTTGAGAACTCTGGGTGCTTCAGTGACCTAGCAAGAACTTCATGCTTGCTTGTATTTCTCCTTCTTAACACCAAAATTCTGCCTTGTGACTTAGGAACTAACATCACTGGTCATCCATTTTCACCAAGTAATTCCAATTTATTTAAAAGGCCAAGTGAACATATTAGAACTAAAAATAATATGGTTGGAATTGGGAAGTCAGCAAATGGAATTAACAGCAAATTGGATACAGCAAAGGAGTACATTTGAAATCAGATCAATAGAAAATATTCAAATAGCAGTAAAAAAGGGGAAAAATGGAAAATATAGAAAAACAATACAAGACATGTAAAACATAGTAAAAGTTTTATATGTATGCACATAAAAAGAGAGGTAAAAGACAGTGGATCAGAAGAATTATATAAAGGAAAAACATCTGAAAATATTCCAAAAGTCATGAATAACATCAATCTGTAAATTCAAGAAACTGAAAGTCCTGAGAATAAATGCTCAGTAAAAGTCCTAAGAAAACCATTATAATAAGCATCCTAGTAAAACTGCTGAAAACCGAAAGCAAAAAGAATATATAAAAGCAGGATGAGCACTAGGCTTAATACTTGGGTGATGAAATAAACTGTACAATAAACCCCCATAACACAAGTTTACCTATGTAACAAAGCTGCACTTGTACCCATGAGCTTAAAATAAAACTTAAAAATAAATAAATAAATAGAGATGGTGATGAAAAAAGAATATATTAAAGCACAAATAAAATGGATATGTTCTCTTCAAAGAAGTGAGGATAAGAAATTTCTCAATAGAAATAATTGCAGACAAAAGCTAATGGAATGACATATTTTAGTGGAGAAAGAAAATAATTGCCATTCTAAAAGTTTATAATAAAAACAATCTTCAAAACTGTATGTAAAATCTGCATGCTTATAGCAACACAATTTGCAATTGCAGAAATATGGAACCAACCTAAGTGCCCAACAACCAATTAGTAAATAAAGACAATGTAATGTAAATAGACGACGGAATACTACTGAGACATAAAAAAGGAATGGAATAATGTTCTTTGCGGCAATTTGGATGGTGCTGCAGGCCATTATTCTAAGTGAAGTAACTGAGGAATGAAAAACCAAATATTGTATTTTCTCACTTATAAGTGGGAGCTAAGATATAAGGATGCAAAGGCATAAGAATGATACAATTGACGCTGGGGACTCAGGAGGAAGGGTGGGAGGCAGGTGAGGGATAAAAGACTACAAGTTGGGTACAATGTACACTGCTCAGGTGATAGGTGTACCAGAATCTCAGAAATCACCACTAAAGAATTTATCCATGTAACCAAAAACCAACTGTACCCCAAAAACTATTAAAAAAATTTTAACTATATATGAAATAAATACATTTCCAGACAAATAAAAAGTGAAAGAATTTTTTCCAGAAAACTTGCATTTAAAAACAAACAAACAAAAACCCAGTAAAATGAATTCTGCTGGCAGGAAGAAAGTGATCCAGAAGGAAACAAGAGAATGAAAGAAGAAAAGAGGAACATAGGTAATGATAAATGTGTGTGCAAACACAGATGAATACTGACTATAAAAACATCAATAAGCATGTATTCATTGCATATGTATGTGCATGTACATGTATGCTTCCTGGTGACTTTCAAATATTGTCTTCAACTTTGACCTCTCATCTGAAATGAGCACCCATATATTAAACTTTTGTTTCAACGTCTCCTTTTTTAAGTCTAATATACATCTCAAATTTAGTATGTTCAAAATTCAAATTGTGGCCTTCCCTCCTAAATGATTGCATTTTCCATAGTTGTCAATTTCTTGATGAATGGCCAGTTTAGTTTTCCAATTACTCAGGTAAAATATCTTTAAGTCAACTTTTACTCGTATAGTTTTTCGTAGATAGATATACTTTCAACAAATTCTGTCTTCACACTATTGCCAGAACCAGATAACACCATCTCCACTGCAAACATTCTGATCCATCTTTCCCTTGGATTACCCCAATTGCCTCCTGAGTGGTATCCCTTCTTCTCCCTTCCCTCCACACAGGTTATTCTCAAAACAGCAACTAGAGACATCCTTTTCAAAACCTAAATCAGACCTTGCCACTGTTCAAAATGATCCAGTAGATTCTATTGCATTCAGAATAGAAGTAAAGTTCTTTCAGCAGTAAACAAGGCTATCCTAAATATGCCTCCTGTTATCTATCTGACCCCGTCTCATACCTCTCTCTCCCTTTTGCTAACTCTGCCTCAGCCATAATGTTTTCCCTTATTTTTTTCAAAATTCCAAGCCTGTGCCTCTCTAAGAAACTTTGTAATTGCTATTTTCTCTACCTAGAATGCTCTTCTTCCAGGCATTTGCACCTTTTCTATTTCATCTCCCTCACCTCCTTCAAATCTCTTCTCAGACATCTCCTTATTTATCAGGCCTTTCCTGACCACACAATTTTTAACATTAACCATACCCAGCACTCCCCATTTTTTTCCATATGGCACTTACCACCATCTGATAATCTATACATTTTACTTTTTTTGTCCATATTTTTTTTTTCCCAGATGAAAGCGAAGTAACATGAAGGCAGGTATTTGGCAGATATCTTATTTCAGTGAGTGCATCCACAGCATAGAAATAGCCAGAAACATTTAGACACCTAATCTTACTTGTTCAGAGGAACATGTAGCAATACTGAACATTTAAAATACACATTTTACAGATGGGAAACAAAGTAACTACTTTTGTGAAGCTCATCAACAAATAAGTGCTGAAATCAGGAGTAAAACCCAAAATACACCAATCTGTCCTTTCTGTTTGCCATTGAGCTGTCTTCAAACCTTGCTTCAAACCACTGAGGAGGAGGATTTAATCAGTCTTTGTGTTCCCACTGGAAAGACCTTGAGCTAATGTACACAAGGAATTTTTAAGACAGCAAAGCCGAACCTATATGTTTCTTTCAATAGGTTGGATCTCAGAAAGCGATTATCTTACAGTATGTCTGGCAAAACTGTTTACTCCTTGGAGCCTTTTAAGATAAAATTAATAGAAAGTATTTGAGGGACTCTAACCGCCTGCTGAATTAATCATTATTTTTCACTGGGATTCTTGAACTTGAGATGTAGTGAATGGAGTCTAGAATTTTAAGTGAGAAGTCTTCGGAGAGACAGCACCCATGTTTCCCACAAGAGAAGCAAAGGGAGATGGTCTTCAGAAGCAAAGCTAATGATGAAGCAGAATCAGGAGAGGAGAGAATAGGAGAAAGAGGCTTTTGATCATTCTTCTAGTGCACTTTTTTACTGACTTTTAGTAGAAATGCATAAACATTTTCTACCATAATATAACCTGAAAGTTTTCAGCGTTTCTTTTCTGTTTTTCTTTATTTGAAATCTGTTTTCATTGCAAGAAATGAGGATATAATTTTGTATATATGTGAACATCAACTGCCAAAACATCATGCATTGAATTGTTTCTATTTTTCATAGTGATTTGGGATCACTTAATCAAAACAATCTGTATAAAAATAACTTTTACACATTTTAATGAGATATGCTTTCTAGATGCAAGCTAAAATACTGGTGAGTAAGAATGTTAAAGATCAGACATATCCTTGAGTATAATTCAGGGGCCATTTATTGCCCTGAAAACCTCAAAATTCATGTGTAACATGGCAAAATATATTTCAAGATTACTATGCTATAAACACATATTATGAAGAACAATCCATCTTATTTCTGTGCTGTTTAATAATCAGATTATATGGTTAAATGTTTTCATTAATACAAATAGGTAGATAGTAAAATAAACATTTATTTTAAATAAATTGTATAGTAACAAATACTTCCATAACAAATTGGCAAAAACTTAGTACTTATTAAAAATTGGTATCATTCAACAGTTATATAGAAATGATAGGCTTGTTTCTATGTATAGGACTGACTTTTGATAAAATCCACATTTTCTTCCACTGGAAAAAATTATCTACTTTCTCTTTTACCACGACATGATGTTTTTCAAGTGTCAATTATACAAGGAACTAGTACAAAGAGTTTCATATGTTCATGTATTTGGTACATATCTTACATGTTTTTATTAGAAAATAAAGTCTAGTCATAATTTTTTAAATATTCCCAGGTTTTTATAGCTTTAATATTGACACCCATTATTCTCTATTTGGAAGTGTTTACTATTATTTTAAAAAGTGGTCACATTTTTAAGAAGGAACTGTCTTTCTAGGAAATAAGATTACTTCCTACACGTCACTCAGGAAAATATTTATCTGAGTATACATCTAATATTTAGATGATACCAAACCGTACCAAATTGGCCATGACTCATCTCATCTATAGTTGATCTCCATATCTCTTACTACTGCCTACTTATATTTTATTTTAAACATAGTAGAAGTGTATTTCAATGTTCTTAATATGAAGAACAATTGATATTCCAGTCTTGTGTGGTGCTTCTCTCTTACTTTTTTAACTTCTCAAGGGTTACATGTGTTTCTCTGTTTTTATAACATTAAATAAATCATACATTACTTGAAGAGTTAGTTTCCATTTGCATCACTTCCCAGATCATTAATAAAACTTATGCTAAGATCAATCCCTATATAAGCTCCCTTTAACTTGACAGTCTACTGTTTTTCATGATTCTTTGTTTGCTGTCCTTCAGCATGTTGTCAGTCTTGCTGACAATCCTCATGGCACAGGGACTGTGAGTTAATTTTTCAAGCAAGACAGTATGAGAAATATGAAGCAATTTTAAAAGACTTGCAATGATGGATTCTCCTAAAGCAAAATTCTTCCATTGCTTATGAAAGTTATTTACGAAGTTATTTATCATTAATATGAGATGAGAATTATCACAATTCATTTTTTTTGATTTATAAAGGAGAGCTTTACTTCTCATACAGGGTTGCAGCCTGCAAGGTGGCCATTCTGACAGGCTGGAAAGCATAGCCTCAGTTCAGAAGCCAAAAACAGACACTTCTAAAGAGGGACAAAGGGAACTGGAATTTATGCTGAACAGGGAGGCCAAATATGCATTAATCACAATTCTGGTTTTTGTTTTGTTTTGGTGTGGTTTGGTTTTTGAGGCAGGGTGTCACTGTGTCACTCAGGCTGGAGTCCAGTGGTGCCATCACAGTTCACTATAACCTCCACCTCCTCAGCTGAAGCAGTCGTCCTGCCTCAGCTTCCCAAGTAGCTGGGATCACAGGCATGTGCCACCATGTCCAGCTGTTTTTAAAAATTTCTTGTAGAAATAGGGTGTCCCTGTGTTGCTCAGGCTGGTCTCAAAACTGCTTGGCTCAAGTTATCCTCCTGCCTCGGCCAGCGAAGGTGCTGGGATTACAGGCATGAGCCACGGTACCAGTTATTATTGTTGATATAATGTATTTTAGTGCTGTCTCCTTTAATACATGTATAGTAAAATAGTAATAAAATGTGATTAGAAATTCTATCAGGCCATTTAAACCATTATATGTAAAAGCTTTGCTCCTATTTATTTGTACTTGTTCTTAAATGAAAATCTGGATCATTTTTGTGTTCCAATTATGAACCAGCCCCAACTACTTCAATATGATTCTTCAATTATCTAAAATATTTGTCAGTTTGCTAATCGTGTATAAAAATGGTATCATTCATTCCACAGAGAGACTCACAAAAAGAGCAGTTGAAGCAACGCAGTATCTCTCATCTAGTTTATAATAGGAGATATATTTCATGATGAATACATTGACAGTTTCCTTTAAGCATTTTCTACAGCCTTCAATCAATATTCCTTAGGTTTTGTGAAATTTATATAATGTTTTCGGATATCCCCTTAACAGTCAGCCTCCTCAAAGATACCTGTTTTGTTAATTATGAAAGAATGTCTTTCATTTCCTGTTTTACAGATATAAGATTTGTATTAATTTCTATTTATATTGTCTAGGTAAATTTTTCTAGTTTATCAAAGAGGAGAGACAGTGGTTGTACTTGATTTAACTGTATTTGAATGATAGCAATGCCTAAAATCTTGATGACTTTATTCACAAATATACAACAACAGTTTCCTGAAATCTAAATTAATGGCATTAGCCCAGGTGTTGGCAAATGTTTTACAGAAATAAAACACCTTTTTTTCCAAATGAAATCATGGGAATATCTCAAGATATATAACAGATAAAAGCAGGTATCTTTATGTGAAACAGGTGCATGGGTCTGGAAGCTTTTTCCATCTGTGTCTAGACCCCCAAGATTTTCCACCTCACACCCTAAGTCATCTCCAGAGAATTCTAATATGGTGAGAATATCATTCTGTTGATTGGGAAAGTTGGCATGGAGATGTACAATCAAGAGATACACATTCAGAGGCAAATCAATGGCCTATGCAGATATTAGCAAATAAGGGTTAAACACCCATTCCCCCACCACACACACACTCACACACGCACACACATTTGCTCTGAAAACCTGCAAGTGTTCTATAGAAACACAGGTGATCACAAGGAAGATTCTACTCTATTGGCTGAGATGTGCCAGATGTATACTAGGTTTGTAGCCTAGGAGTAGTAGGCTATCCTATATTGCCTAGGTGTGGGTAAGTGCACTCGATTTAGGTTTGGGTAAGTGTACTCTGTGATGTTCTTATGAACATGAAACTGCTTGACACATTTTTGTGAACATGTCCTTGTCATTAAGTGATAGATGACTATATTTATAAATGTGATACAGGAATCCCTCTCTGTACTCTAGCCCCGGGCACCAGAAAATCAGTCATGAACCTGATTACAATGACAGTCTACTTAGCAAATAAAGGAAGAAAACACTCAGGAAAGCCATCTTAATAAACAACTAATTGGAATAATTTAATTTCCAAATATTTGATTTGTTTTTAGCTTGTTTCTCCCCCTTTGGGTGAGCTGAATTGACAAGTTACCTGGTCTAAAAAAATGGCATAAATAGACACATTGACCAATTTCTCATTCTATTTGGAAATGGGTGAGAATTAAATGAATAACACAAAATAATTATTGGTCATACGCGGTGGCTCATTCCTGTAATCCCCACACTTTGGGAGGCCAACGTGGGCTGATTGCTTCAGCCCAGGAGTTTGAGACCAGCCTTGGACGACATGGCAAAACCCTTTCTCTACAAAAAATACAAAAATCAGCTAGGCATGGTGATGTGCATCTGTAGTCCCAGCTACTCGGGAGGCTGAGGTGGGATGATCGCTTGAGCCCGGGAGGTGAAGGTTGCAGTGAGGGTTGCACCACTACCCTCCAGCCTGAGTGACAGAATGAGACCCAGCCTGAAAAAAAAAAAAAAAAAGCGTCGTTTTCCATTTACAAATAAGTGTAGACACAAAAATCCTGAATAAATTATTTTTTAGAAAATGTTTTATATCTTTAATTTTTATAAACATACATCATCAAATATACTATATGTATGTCATACACATGACATAATATACATGTGTGTTATAATATCTTTTTGAGAGCCTAGTACACTTTAGAATAAATTCATCATAAATGCTTTGGTTTAAAATTCCAAATTTAATTGTTTTGATTTAAATGCTAAATGGCACTGAGAAAAAACTGCACGTTACATGAATTCTTGAATAAAAAGGTAATATCTATAAATTTATAATAATATTATAGTAAAAGTGTATTTATAAAATTAGGCATTACTCAAGTGTCCCAGAAGAAGTCAAGTTATCTTTTAGAAAACAGAAATTTTTAATATATTTTCTTAGAAGTTATGCATGAAGTAAAATATTTTATTAACCTAAGAAATCTGAATGATGATGTACTTTTTTAGTCTGAAGGTTTACACATTTATATTTTTATTTCCTGCTATTTAAAAAACATTTATTTATGTTCAGGGGAATATGTGCAGATTTGTGACACAGGTAAATTGCATATCACCGCAGTTTGGTGTACAGATTATTTCATGACCCAGGTGATAAGCATAGTACCTAATAGGTAATTTTTCAATCCTCACCTTTCTGTCACCCTCCACCCCCAAGTAGGCCCCAAAGTCTGTTGTTCCCTTATTTGTGTTCATGTGTACTCAATATTTAGCTCCCACTTGTAAGTGAGAATATGCAGTATTTGGTTTTGTCTTCCTGTGTTTTTTCACTTAGGATAATGGCCTCCAGCTTCTTCCATGTTGCTGCAAAGGATGTGATCTCTTTCTTTTTTATGGCTGTGTAGTATTCCATCATGTATATGTACCACATTTTCTTTATCCAGTGTATCATCAGTGTGCATTTAGTTTGATTCCTTGTTTTTGCTATTGTGAATAGTTCTACATTGAAGATATGCATTCATGTATCTTTATGATAAAATGATTTCTATTCGTTTGGGTATATAACCAATAATGAGATTGCTGGGTTGAGTGGTACCTTTCTTAAACTTCTTTAAGAAATCACCACATTGCTTTCTATAATGGCTGAACTAATTTACATTCCCACCAGCAGTGTATAGGCATTCTGTTTGCTCCATAACCTTGACAGCATCTGTTATTTTATTTTTTGACTTTTTAATAATAGCCCTTCTGACTGGTGTGGGATGGTATCCCATTGTGGTTTTGATTTGCATTTCTCTAATGATTAGTGATGTTGAGCATTTTTATACACTTGTTGACCATGTGTATGTCTTCTTTTGAAAAATATCTGTTCATGTCTTTTGCTCACTTTTTAATGGGGTTGTTCTTTACTTGTTAATTTGTTTATATTCCTTATAGATTCCTGGATATTAGAACTTTATCAAATGCATAGTTTGCAAGTATTTTTCTCCCATCATTTGGTCATCTGTTTACTCTGTTGATAGTTTCTTTTTCTGTGCAGAAGCTCTTTAGTTTAATTAGGTCCCATTTCTTAATTTTTGTTTTGGTTGCAATTGCTTTCGGAGTATTTGTCATAAAATCTTTGCCAGGGTGTATGTCCAGAATGGGATTTCCTAGGTTATTTTCCAGGGTTTTTATAGTTTCAGGTTTTGTATTTTAGTGTTTAATCCACCTTGAGTTGATTTTTGTATATGGTGTAAGAAAGAGGTCCAGTTTCAATGTTTTCCATGTAACTAGCCAGTTATCCCAGCACCACAATGCTAGGATTTTGATGATCACAAATTATATATGATTATATTTTAATGGAATTTATCTGAGCACCAATCTCATGTGTGACTGATTTTCAAAATGTGTTAAATGAAATATACTTTCAAGGTCCATTTATTCAAGATGAGGTTCATGTCATATAAAATATAAATAATTTCTTAAAAGTTATAAAGACAAAACAGTCTTCTAAACACCAGAGTTCACATGGATTCCTAGAGTAAAGAGAATGTTTTTTATTAAATGATACAATAGTTTTAATCAGTGCTTCTACAGAGTGTAATACATAGCTCAAAAAAAGTTCAGTATATTCTTTAATCCGATTTTTCAACTTTATTTCCTCAATCAGCAGACAAGGAAAAACATTTTTCTCCAAACATTTCTGTAATGAATAAGTGTATTAAACTACCAAGTTCTCATTCATTCACTCACTAATTCATGTATACATTTATTTATTCAACAAATTTTAATTGAGAGCCTACCACATGGCAGAGACTATGCTAGGAGTTAGGTTATGAGCATGCACACAAACACAGACACACACCGATTACTATAAAAGGAAGTTAATAATATATAGAGGATGACAGATACATAATTGGATTTAATGTAGATTGCTAAACTTTGTGTTAGAATAAAAATTTCCTCCTTGAATATATCTGCCGAAGGTTAGCAAGGTAACTTTATCTCCGTGCAGTGTGGACAATATGATTTCCTTCAGTATATTAAAGTTAATTCATGGTTGTATATGTTCTATATTTAGATTCATACACCACTTCCCCCAAAACAAATCAAAATTTGGAACTAACTGACTAAGAATTGACATTAATGTTAAAATTAAGGGAAAAAGGCTGGATGAGGTGGCTTACGCCTGTAATCCCAGCACTTTGGGAGGCCAAGGCGGGTGGATCACCGAGGTCTGGAGTTCGAGACCAGCCTGGCCAACATAGTGAAACCCCATCTCTACCAAAAAGTACAAAAAGTTAGCTAGGCGTGGTGACACATGCCTGTAATCCCAGCTACTCAAGAGGCTAAGGCATAAGAATCGCTTCAATTTGGGAGGCGGAGGTTGCAGTGAGATCGTGCCACTGCACTCCAGCCTGGACAACAAAGTAAGATTCTGTCTCAAAAAAAAAAAAAAAAATCAGACAAGGACAAGAAAACAGTTATAAGAACCCTATTTGATATGTTCAAAAGCTTAGTAGAACATAAAGATACAAAAAACACAAATTTGTAATGATGAAAATTCTAATACCTGTTATTAAAAAACTAGATGGAATTAATAGTAGATTAGACTTTGCAAAAGAAAAAATAATGAACTTGAAGACATGGTAGTCCAAGTGAAGCACAAATTGAAACAATACGGAAAGAAAATTAAGACAGTAGCATTAGAGAGTTTTGAGACAAATGCAAATGACCTAGAAACTAAAATTGGAGTCCCTAATGGAGAAAAAGTAGGATGGAGGGACAGGAGAGAAAAAGTATATGCATATTTTTCTAATTTGAAGAAAATTATAAATTTAGAAATCCCCCTCCAAATCTAACAAACCTCAAGCACGAAAAAAATGAAGAAAAAATATATCAAAGCACATTATAATCAAATCACTCAAAATTGGTAATATGGAGAAAATCCTAAGGCAGCAAAAGAGAAAAAGCACAAATTACATACAGAAAACCAAAAATAAGGAGAATGGCATATTTCTTTTGAAAACATTGCAAGTGAAAAGATAATGAAGTAACATTTTAAAAGTACTGATTTTTTTTAAATCCTATAAACCTAAAATTCTATATCCAGTGAAAAATCTCTTTCAAAAACAAAGATGAACTAAAATCCTTTTAGACATTGAAAAGCTGAAAGAATTATTCACCAGAAGGTCTGAACTATGAGAAATATTAAAGGAACTCCTTCACTCAGAAAGAAAGTTATACCCAATGGAAATATAAATCAATGCAAAGGAATGAATAGCACTGAAAATGGTAACTATGTAAGTCAATATATTTTTGTATTATTTATAAGTCTTTAAAAGAGAAATAGTTGTTTAACAAAAATAATGTGTTGTGAGATTTAAACATATATAGATTTAAAATGTATAACAATAAGAGCAAATGGCTTGGGGAGAAAGAATGGAATTATATTGTTGAAAGGTTTAATAATTTATATGAGGTAATATCATATCATTTGAAAGTAGACTTAAATAAGATAATTATACATATGCTAAACCTTGAAGCAACCACTAAAATAAGAAAACAAGATTTATAGCTAATAGGCCAACAAAAGACATAAATGGAATTATAAAATGTACTTCCTTGATCCAGAAACAAAAAAGGCAAAGAAAGAGAAAAACAAATGAAGCATAAATGGAATGAACAAAAAGCAATAGAAAGATTATAGATTCAAATGTAACCATACTGATAGTCATGTTAAATGTAAAAATCGCCTAACCATCACATTGAAAAGGCAGAGAGTACCAGACTGGATAGAAAAGTAAGAGTCACCAATATGCTGCCCAGCCAAAAAGCAAACAAACAAAAAACACTTTAAAGACGCAATTAAATAAAAGATAAAAGCAATAAATATTATTGGCTCTTCTGAAACTCAAAGGTTTAATAAAATTAGTCCTGTTTTCCATCAAGTAACATGGAATCAGCAGTTCACTCTGGAACATATTCCCAACGGTCAAGGTCAAGAACATTACTGTCAAGTAGATAATTGTGGCCCTTTATTTATTGTTACAGGTGGAGTTAAATAGATTTATGTATATTCTGGGTTTGGCTCTGCAAACTAGTGACTGAAGCCAATGCTATTGAGATGGAGTCTCGCTCTGTCACCCAGTCACCTCCCATATTTAAGCAATCCTCCCACCTCAACCTCCCGAGTAGCTGGGATTACAGGTATGGACTACCATGCCCGGCTAATTTTTGTATTTTTGTTTTTTTCTTTTTGTGACGGAGTCTCGCACTGTCGCCCTTACTGGAGTGCAATGGCACAATCTTGGCTCACAGCAACCTCCACCTCAGGGGTTCCAGTGATTCTTCTATCTCAGCCTCCCGAGTAGCTGGGATTACAGGTGCCCACCACCACACCTGGCTAATTTTTTGTATTTTTAGTAGAGATGAGATTTCACCTTCTTGGCCAGGTTGGTCTCGAACTCCTGACCTCAAGTGATCTGCCTGACTAAATTTTTGTATTTTTAGTAGAGACAGTGTTTTGCCATGTTGTCCAGGCTGGTCTCAACCTCCTGACCTCAAGTGATCTACTCGCCTTGGCCTCTGAAAGTGTTGGGATTACAGGTGTGAGTCACTGTGCCCGTACTCTTAGTTACATTTCATCAAATCAAGGCACTCACTTCACTTCCTACTTGGTATGACAATGGAATAACAAATATTACCTTCACTGGGCCAATCATATTCCTTATTACCCTCACAGCAATGGGTTAACAGGAAATGGCAATAGATAAGTGAAAATTGGCTATAAAGGCTGGCAAAGGGGACGAAGTCACAAAGAATTAAAGAGCTGGTTCACAAACTCCAGTATTGTTTTACAACTTAACGTGAAGGCAACTAAAGATATATCTCCATTATATAAGCTATTATACTTTTAGGGGAAATTGTGAAACAGGAACTGAAAGATGACAAGGGAATTTAATAGAAATCTTTCTTGCTTTACCATAACTTTTAAATTACAAGTCTAATAGTCACTAGACTGGCTACAATTAAAGATACCAGATGCCACAATTTTTCAAAAGGAATACTTTATCTATTAAATTGAACTAGCATTCTAGATGTACCCTAATTTATAAAATAAGGCTTTTTTAAAATTTTTGAATCTAATCATATACAACACAATCAAATTATTGCTAAGTGAAGAAATATCTACCTAGCCAAAAAAAAGTGACAAAAAGTCATAACACGGCATTTTTTATGGAGCTTGGTCTGCAGTTTACACAACAGTAAAAGAGCATGGGGCTTTGGAATGAAAACACTCTGGTGATGGTTCCAATCTATCTGCTCAGTAGCTCTTTTGGTAAAAATTAAAATTGTAACATTTTATTTAGCCAACTTTATTGTCCAAATGCTGTCAGCACAGTATCTCACATTCCACATGCTTTTTCAATGTGACTTTACCACTTCCCCTTCAAGATGTAGAGTGTCATCTCTCTTTCCTTGAATCTGGGCCGGTCTTGGTGACTTGCTTGTAACCAACAGAATGTGGCAGTAGTGATGCTATATGACTCTTCAGACTAGGTCAGAAGGAGGTCTACAGGTTCTGGCTATGTCCCTTGGAACACTTGTTCCCCAGAAATGCAGTTATCATTCTGTGTGAAGCCTGAATCTCATGAAGTCACAACTGAGGGTCTCCAAGTGACTACCTTACATAGCCTAGCCTTAAATTCATCCCAGCCCAGGCATCAGACATTTGAGGTAAGTTCTTAGATGATTTTAGCCCACAGCAATTCAAATAACTCCTGCTATTCCAGTGGGAAGCCAGTAGGCTTGCAGACATGGAACAGAGACAAGCCCTCATGTATGCTGTCTGAATCGCTGACTCAAGGAAATCATAAGCATAATATAATAGTTGTCGTTTTGTATCATTAAATTTGGATAACTTTGAGGTTTGAAGAATTAAGGAAGATAAGGTATAAAGATGACTAATTTATTAAACAGTCCATTGTCAGCCCTCACTAAGGGTAAATTTCCTTCTTTTATTTACCTTTAGATCAAGAGATCAGACAATTAAACTAGAATTGATCATGCATCAAAACTTTACAATGCCCTAATTAGGAATGATAATAATGACATAATATACACCTTTGAATGAAGTATTGAACAATTTTTTGAAAAAATTGTTCAGTTGAACTAAACAAATTTTTAGTCTCATTTTAATAGCTAATATGCCTCTTATTTTAAAGTTATATAGTGTGAATGAAATAAAAATTCAATCTAGATTATACTCAATTTTCCTATGTAGTTTAGTTTCTTTTTCTTTAAGGAATGGCTTTGCTTTCTTTTGAACGTTAACACCCAGTAATAATGATGACTTTATTAGTTACACAGATAGGGGAGTAAGTCTTGATTCATAGGAAGAGTCAACGCTAAGTTGGGAGCCTGCAGTCTTCTCAGCATGATTTTCGTGTAGTGAACTCTTTGGGACAACAGGCTATTTCATTAAATCATTCCTCTTCTAGCCAGTTTTTACTACTACTTCCCCACACAGCTCTCCCTAACAACGCTATCATTCTCTTACTTCTAATTGTGTCTACACTAACTGTATAATGTTTTGTATTTTGCAGAAAAAGCATATTAGGTGGCACTAATTTCGTTCAGGAAAGAGCACTAGTTCTAGGACAAACATGAATTATTCTTGCTGTAAAACAAGAGATGACTGCCTGTAAGTTTACTTGTTTTATCCTGGAGGTGCTGTTGAGTTTGCCCAGCCTGGAAGAATCTTACAGCAGATCTGAAATTATTAATGTTTTAAAAATATAAATGTTAGCATTTAAACATGTTTGAAAAACTTTAATTTCCTAAAAATGGATTAAAGGAAATGGCAAAAGATTAAAATTGATATAGAAATATATAATGTTGTTTAATAAATATTCACTTCAATTTTACTGATTCATATCATCTGGGGATAAAAACCAGACCATAATAATAACTACTATTCTTATTGATATAAAGCATATTTCAAAGAACAGTGGTAACACGAATACCTTAAAATTATTTCAAATGATTCAGAATGATACCATATGCTTTTTGGCTATGATGTGACTTCTAACTTTTCTTCTTAATTATGTCAGCTGTTATAATGAATTCAATGACACCTTTTTCCAGCCTAGATTTTGCAACAATATATGTTTTGCAACATATCTATAAAAGAGCCTTATGTATCTTTATCTTTATTGGGAATATACTCCCAATAAACGGGGTATCCATTAGACAAGTGGTAAATTTAATTTTTCCTCAAAATTTAAAATAGGGCTGGGCATGGTGGTTCACACCTGTAATCCCAGGACTTTGGGGGACTCAGGCTGGTGAATCACTTGAAGCCCAGAGTTGGGACCAGCCTGGCCAACATGGTGAAACCCCATGTCTACTAAAAACACAAAAAAATTCGCTGGGTGTGGTGGTACACACCTGTAATCCCAGCTACTCGAGAGGCTGAGGCATGAGAATCGCTTGAACCCGGGAGACGGAGGCTGCAGTGAGCTGAGATCGAGCCACTGCACTCCAGCCTGGGCGACAGAGCAAAACTCCATCTAAAAAAATAAAAATAAATAAATAAATAAATGATTCTCATTTAGTTCTATCTGCACATCTAGAAGTTAATTTTAAAACAATTTAATATGAAGGAAACAATTTATCGAGGTAAAGCTCACTTGAAGAATTTGTGTCTGATTCCTTACTGTGGCTTCCTCCTTGTCTTTTCACATACTCAGTAAACTTCATATTTGTTTTCCCTGTGTGTGTATAATATCTAGAGAGAGTAAAGTCATTTATGTTCAAGTGTGTGAGTTTATATTAACATATCTGTTTGGTTTATGTTTTTAAAAATATTTAGGTCAGAGTAAGTAAGAAAAGGGAAAGACCTCATTTACTATAATTTTTTTGGGGGGCCAGCTAAGAAGTACAGTTGTATGTAGGTAATAAGAATTAACTACAGTTAGAAGTTTCTTTTGTAGCAGGAGGTTTCATGACTGTAATGAAGATATCCTTCTTTGTGTGTTGGTTTTATTACTTGTTTTACTGTAGGCTTACATTACTTGAGGCATTAGTTTCTTTCTGTAATTTGCAAAACTGACATTATTAGGAATCACTGTATCAGAGGTCATCATGCCTGCCCACCCGCTGTCAATACATGCATGAGCAATAAATTTAGTTAACTTATCTTGAAGCCTAGCCTTGTTGGAAATGAGGACTGCTGAGTCTTTTGACCTCTCACAGTATCCCTCTTGCTTTAAGTTTCAGGCTATTAGTTTCTGCTAGTAAAATTATAGCTTCAAATGTTCATATTCAAAAATTTAAAATGTCTAAAATTGAGTATCCAAGCTTCTGCCTTAAACAACTAAAAAAGAGTAAAATAAGTAAGTGTAAATAAGAAAAAATTAAAAAGTAAAAAATAAATAGTAAACCAAAAAAATGAGAAAAACAATGAAAACAAGCTATTTCTTTTAAAAGACTAATAACATTGTTAAATCACTAGGAATAGTAGTAAAAAAAAATGTAGAGAAAAGACATGTTTTCCAGTACCAAGATTGAGTGTGGATAAATTATTATAGTTTCTTTAGACATCAAGTAATACATTGTTAACGTTATGAGCAACTTTATGCCAATCAATTAAACATCTTTGATGACTTGGAGAAATTTCTTGAAAGGCACAAGTTAACCATGAAGGTTCAAAAAATCAGTAAGTGGAACTAACTGTATATCAATTAAAAAATTGAATTCATAATTTAAAACAGTTCCACAAATAAGGCATGCACATCTGCTTACATTGCTTGGATTCTACACTGTACCGGAGATGCTAGTCAGTGCAATAAAGCACATAAAAAATAAAAGACATACAGCGTGGAAAGGAAATAGAAAACTGTCTTATTCACAGATCACTTGATTGACTATAAAATCCCAGGAGTCTACCCCAAAATCCTCTATGACTAGGACATGAAATTAGAAAGGTACAGTGTACAAGATCCAGTATATATTTTTATACTAGCAGAAAAATATTAAAATACAATATTGAGGGGAAAAGTGGAACTTACAGTAACATCAAAATTGAAACGAATTCCCCTTCCTGTGTCCAAGGGGAACATCACACACCGGGGCCTGTCGTGGGATGGAGGGAGGAGAGAGGGATAGCATTAGGAGATATACCTAATGTAAATGACGAGTTAATGGGTGCAGCACACCAACATGGCACATGTATACATATGTAACAAACCTGCACGTTGTGCACATGTACCCAAGAACTTAAAGTATAATAAAAAAAGATAAAAAAATATTGAAACGAATTTATCAGAAGGCTTGTGAGCCTCAAACTGAAAACATGAACAATTGCAAAGATAAATTAAGTAATATTTAAATGTATGAGAAATTATAGTATGTTCATGGGTGGGAAAATTAAATTTTAAATATATAAATTTTCTGCAAATAGCTCAATAGTATCAATACAATATCATTCAAAATATCAAGTCATGCTTATGGACAAGCTCATTCTAAAATTTCTGTGGCTATGAAAAAGACCTGAATAGATAAAAGTGTCTTGGGCCGGGCACGGTGTCTCACGCCTGTGATCCCATCACTTTGGGAGGCCGAGGTGGGCAGATTACCTGAGGTCTGGAGTTTGAGACCAGCCAGGGTGACATGGTAAAACCCTGTCTCTACTAAAAATACAAAAATTAGCTGGGCTTGGTGGCACACGCCTATAATCCCAGCTACTCAGGAGGCTGAGACAGGAGAATTGCTTGAGCCCGGGAGATGGAGGTTAAAGTGAGCCGAGATCCTGCCACTGCACTCCAGCCTGGCTGACAGAGCAAGACTCTATCTCCAAAAAAAAAAAAAAAAAAAGTCTTACAAAATGAAAATGTAAAATATTATTTCCACTCACTATCTGATTTCAAAACTTAAATAAAGCAACAACATTCAAGACAGTATGATAGTGGCATGAGGAAAGATAAATGTCAATGGAACAGAACATAAGAGTCCTGAAGTTAACCTACACATATAATGTAAATAGATTTTTGACAAAATCTCCAAGGCAATTCAGTGGAATAAAGAAACTCTTTTCAGGTTGTGTTGCTGGAGCACTTGCATAAATTCTGGAGATATATTGACCCTGATCTCACATCATAAAAGTAAAATAATTTGAAATTATTCATAATCCCAAATAAAAAGCTAAAACTATGAAGCTTCTGAAAGAAAACATAGTATACACTTTATAGTAAACAAAGTTTTCTTAGAAAACTGAAACGTCAGAAAAAGCACTAACTACAAAACATGATAAAACTGAACTCCATTAATACCATAAACTTCTGCTCATCAAAAGTCACCATTAAGGAAATAAAAACATAGAAGCCACAGACTGGGAGAACATATCTGCAAACTCACATATGTGACAAAATACTTCTTTTATTCAATATATATGAACAACTCCAATAAAGCATTTTAAAAATTTCAACCAAATTAGGACAAAAAAATCAGAAAATTTAAAGAAAGACATAAATTGGAAATAAGTGTATGAAAAAGTGCTCCATATCTTTAGTCATCCGTGAAATGGCATTAAAAATACAATGACATACCACTTCTCATCTACTAGAATAGTTAAAATTAAATGTCAGCATCAACATTGGAAAGGATATGGAGCAACTGGAACATTCCTACATTGCTGGGGCTGTGTAAAATTGTACAATCTCTTCGAAAATTGTGTTTTTTAAAATTAAGCTAAACATGTTTAGCATATGACACCACAGTTTCACTTGTTAGGCTATCCCCTCAAGTAAAACATATGTACTGTTAAATAATTACAGATAAAATATTTGGTAGATTTATTATTAGTTGCCAAAAAGCTAAATGTCAATCAACAGGAGAATGGGTTTTAAAAATTCTGATATATTCAGAGTGGAATATTACTTAGGAAATAAAAATGAATTGCTGACTTATGCAGCAACAGGCATGAACCTCAATATAATGTTAGCATTATGTTAAGCATTGTCATATATGGCAAAAGTAACATATGTTAGTATAATCAGAAGTGTGATTGTTTATGGAGACTGGGATTAATCTAAAGAGAAAAAGAAATTTTCTGAGTTGATAGAAATATTCTACATTGTGACACTTGTCAAATTTCATCAAAGGGTATACAATATATGAATTTATCACTTTATATAAATCTTACCTCAAAAAGAAAAATGTCCAAGAAGTTCAAGTGTTGATGAGGATACAGAATAGCTATACTTTTTATACATTGTTGATAGGAGTGTAAAATGGAATAACCTCTTTGGGACACCTGTTGTCAGTATCTACTAAAACTGAACAACATATATCCTGACAACTAGCATCTGTACACCTAGTTATTTATCCAAGAAATATAAATGCCTATGTCCCCAGGAAGATATTAAAAATGCTCAGACTGCATTATTTATAATGGCCATAAACAGGAAACAAGCCAAATTTCCACCAAGAGGAGAAAATAATCCAGCTTATTTAGGAGTGGCAATATTGACATTTTGGACCAAATAATTATTTTTGTGGGAATTATCTTGTGGATTATAGGATTTGACAGTATCCATGGCCTCTATCCACTAAATGTCACTAGCAATCTCACAGTTATGACAATCAAAAATATCTCCAGACATTGCCATATGTACCATCAGGGCACGAAAACTACCTCCATTTGAGACCCACTGAGATAGAATAACATGGTATATTAATTTTCTGGTATATTACTCAACAATAAAAATTAATGAACCATTAATCAACACAACATAATAAAACTAAAACAAGGTAGTGTGTTGATAAATGTTTAACAACATGTTCTCTGAGGGGAAGGTGACGGGGAGGCGGATATGGAGCATTTGCCATGGTTTCTACAACTATTTCAAAGTCTAGGTTTTAGATGGTAATAGATTTATGTTTTTTGGAAAATATTCTAATATTTAGGCTATCCCAATGTATCTGGATATGTGGTATACCTTCATTAATTAGTTTATAGGTGCCATTTCACAATTTATTAAAGGTATTATATAAAAGTTTACGAATCTATAAACTTTGAAGTCTTCTAATGTTGAGATTCTATAGTATTTATAAGATTGACATTTGTCCTCAGAATCTATTGCTTGTTTGTGGTTTTTAAAATGAAATGGACCTAAATTTTTAGTGATTTTTTTAATAAATGTTCCTTTTGCGTTCATTTGTAAATTCAAATGTGTCTTTTTATCAGTCACTAAGAAGAAATTGCTTTATATTTTCAAAATTTAATGTATTTACATACGTATATGTATATGAAAGATCCCTTTAATATATGCAAATAAGTAAAGGTCAGGCCTTACTTAGAAGTTAAAGATGATATTGGGACCACTGACATTTTTTTTATTGAGCCTGTGGTTCTGAATTGCTGATAATATGGATATTAAATGTGACATTGAATTCTATCGAAAGATGCACTCACAGGAGTAATTAAGAGGGGGTCAAGAAAGGAAGCCTGGCTTTTGATTCCAAAAGAAAACATTTGATTTCTAGATCAAATCGAAGGACCAACCAATCATGCCATTACAAATTCTGTAACATGGCTATAATATCTAGATTTCAAATAAATAGCACAAGTGAATTCTTGAAATTTAACTTTCTATCTTCATCCCCATTTCACTACTCTTTTTCTCTGCAGACTCAAGATGAAAGCTGATTACAGACTGTACTTGATCACTAACAAATGAGTCAGCATCTTTTTCAGATTTGAAAGATTCCTGGATTGAGTCCTCAATTAATACCTCACATACTAATACAGTCACTAAAGCTATCAACATTTCTTTGCAAAGCAAGGAGTACTTTGTTATACCACTCCAAATCAATGTCATTCAGTAATTTGGGGAAAACATTATCTGTAAACTACATCCACTTCTATCACAAAATGTACAAGTTCTTAGAAAGCAAAGGAGGGTAAACACTGGGCTTCATTCTTCCTCGTGTTAGTTTAAAAATGTAAACTAAATTAGTATTAGTAAAACACACTTGTGAATGCCACTTGAACATCTCTTTTGCATCCTTCACTAGAGTTCGAGATAATTTCAAAAGCATTTCACAAAAGTTGTTTACACTTTCAGTAATGGCTTAGGTGCATATAATAGAAGTAAGTTTGTGTCACTCAGTAACTGTATCTATTCTCATGTACATTTATCTCTAAATTTCACCAACTCCACATCAACCTTCCTGATCATAATTCATCTCAGGGACACTAGATAAAAATCCAAAATGTTTTTTTTTTTTTTTTTTTTTTTTTTTTGAGACGGAGTCTCGCTCTGTCGCCCAGGCTGGAGTGCAGTGGCGCGATCTCGGCTCACTGCAAGCTCCGCCTCCCGGGTTCACGCCATTCTCCTGCCTCAGCCTCCCGAGTAGCTGGGACTACAGGCGCCCGCCACCACTCCCGGCTAATTTTTTGTATTTTTAGTAGAGACGGGGTTTCACCGTGTTAGCCAGGATGGTCTCGATCTCCTGACCTCGTGATCCGCCCGCCTCGGCCTCCCAAAGTGCTGGGATTACAGGCGTGAGCCACTGCGCCCGGCCAAAATGTTTTTTAAGGAAGGAAATTGGTATTTGTCTTGGAAGCAATACTTAATGTATGTCATTTGTGAATATTTAGTTACAGCAAAGTTATGTTTGTTGTGAAGAGCAAAGCAACTGCCCCTTTCAAAAATGAGAACATAAATTACTCTTGCCCATAAATGTAAAAGCATGCCCTTGCTAAATAATACATGGTCAGTACCAAACTATAACTGCAGTGAGAAAATTGATTTCTTTGAGAAATTTAGCCAGTGCCAGGTGTTAAGAAATCTTATTTCATGTAACTGATTATAAATTATAAATATAAACTTACACTTTAGCCATTACATGTCTAATGCAATTATTTGTTGTCTCTTAAAAGTTTATAAAACTCACAATATTAAAATCGTCTCCAAACATTCCCAAAGATATGAAACACATTGAACTTCCTTGTAATTAAGAACGAAATGCAGTTTGCTTTATTTAGGCTCTTTCTGCCTCAGTTCTTCAGATTATGACCATAATCTCCTGTAATTAGGAAGTACTTCATACCTTAAGCAAGTTTTACAACCCACTAAAAAGCTAATTAATTTTAAGTTCGAATTGGTTCTCTTGCACTGACATTGCTGTGAGTAGTTGGCTTGGCTCAAATATAAAGTGCACTTATCTTTGACCTTATATAACTGAATGCAAGGGTAGCTCATTAGAAGAATTGTAGCATTTCTCTTGCATGGATATATTACTAATGGTTGGTTTTCAGATGGAAAAAAAATGATATGGGGCTGCAAACTAGTGAAAATTCAGGCAAGGTCAAATACCACATGCAGTTTAAGGCCTCTTTTCATTTGCTAGTGACATTGGGAGGGAAGCAAGCATCTAGAAGTCAGATAGAGTGTTTATGCCTTCTTCGCTGTGCTAATCTTTCTAATTTTGGTTTTAAAGCATTCAACCTAAGGTTATTTAACCTTACTGGGCATCTTTACAAAGCAATGTTCTTGCATTTTCAGAGAAATATATGTATTTACCTATGTGCACAAGATGCCTCTTATAATCACCTCAAATCCTTCTGGCTCCACCGCTTCCTAAGCCATTGTTCTGGTCACCATGTCCTTGCAAGCTTTGACCAGCTTTGTGAAGATGCACTTGGAAATGCGGCAATGCCTTGGCTCATGCCAGTGTCCTGTATTTTTTCTCTTCTGCCCTCAGATACATGGGTTGCCAAGAAGTATGGAGAGTTAACAACTATGAAACTGCTCTCAACTAATGGAGATCAATGTTTCCCCTTCTTCCAACTGTACAGTTTCCTGAGATAATTTACTAAAACTCCTTGGGAGGTCCACCTGTATAAAGCTCAGGTGGCTAGTAACAAATGCCAACTTGATTGTTTGCTCATTTTCCTGTTTTATTACTTAACTCCTGCTCCCTGAGATCATTTCCCAAGTAAACTACCTGCATGCCAAACCCTCCCTTAGTCTTAGCTTTCAGGAACCTGAGACAAGACAGTAAACAAGACATGCAACAATGAACACATTGACAGTCTTTTTTGAATATAATTGTCTCCTACTTTATAACATGATAAATATTAAGAGACTAATTTCTAGGTTTCTTAATTTCACCAACAGGCAAAATTTTTTAAAAAAATAAAGGACTAATGTAGCATTGACAACTATTTTTTTAACAAGTATGAACATTTAAAACAAGATAATCATCTTCTTATAATCCTAGGTTCGAAAATTTAACCTATATCTGGATGTAAAGAATGTGACTTGTTAGGGCATTGGGTAAGTTATTAGGACTTTAGTCAAGTTATTAATATCTTGAGCCTCAGTTCCTTCATCTGTAAAATGGAGATAATAATAGCTTAATAAAAAGTTCTAATAGTAGCACAGTAGATAATCGATAATAAAGTGTATCAGATATTTCTTGTGGCATAACAAACCAGCCTCCATCTAAGTAGCTTAAAGTATCAACCATTTAATTTTCTCAGGATTCTAAAATGTGGGCTGGAATCAACAGGCCTGTTTCTACTGCTTTCTCTCTCTGGGGTCTTTCATGTAGTTGTCACAATCTAGAAGTTTCACAAGAACTAGGTAGTTAGTTCCAGATGGCCTCACTCACATATCTATCTGGTGGGTTAGCTGGGTACCTTGGATCTCCTCCAGGAGGTCTAATGAGAGGACTGCTGGGGTTTCTTACACTGAGGCAAGCAACATTCCAAGTGGGAGAGAGGGGAATCTGTAAAAACCCCTTGAGGCTGAGACTGATAAGTAACAAAATGTTAGTTCTTTCTCATTGGATTGGTCATAGCAAATCATAAGGATTTGGAAAGGAAAGAAATAAACTCCACATCTTAATGAGAGAAGCAGTAAATAATTTCTGGCCATTGTAAGGTATCTACCTCAGGAGTAGTACTTGTAAAGAACTAAGTACAGTGCCCAGCACAGTCTCTACTATTTAAAAAATAGCTTATTTTCATTACATATTGGTATTTTGTATTCCTGTTTTATAAAAGAGGAGTTAAATTCACTTTTCTTGGATGTGCAGAAAATGTATTAAGCTGAAGAATAGTACTTTATATGTAATAAATCTAGCCTAAGAGAAACTAAACATATTTATTTTTCTCATTTCACACAAAATATCAAATCAATGTATATGTAGATAAATATCACTAGTTCCAGCACCACAGCATCAGCGTTTAGTAGTTACTTGTGAAAAACACCATTTTTATTTATTTATTTATTTTTGAGGTAGAGTCTCACTCTGTCACCCAGGCTGGAGTGCAGTGGCACGATCTTAACTCACTGCAACCTCTACCTTCCAGGTTCAAGTGATTCTCTCACCTCAGCCTCCGAAGTAGCTGGAATTACAGGCACCCGCCACCACACCTGGCTAATTTTTGTATTTTAGCAGAGACAGGGTTTCACCAAGTTGGCCAGGCTGGTCTTGAACTCCTGACCTCAGGCAGTCCACCTGCCTCAGCCTCCCAAAGTGCTGGGATTACAGGCATGAGCCACCGTGCCCAGCCACAACACCATTTTTCTTTTACAATCCAGTCATATGGAATCCAGTTTGCCTCCTTTTTGCACAAAAGTTCTTACCAAAATATGACCATAACATGATTTCCATGTAATTTTCTGCCCCATCAGACCTAGAGCATCCAAATATAAGAACATATCTATTCTGCTTGGGAACAAATTACAAGGTTAGGATTGTGTGGTTCCCTTTCTACAAATATTCCTAAACTTCATGTGTAAATTAAGGCATAAACTTAATTATAGCAATGGACACAAAACAAGTACAATCATCCCTCTATATCCATGAGGGATTGGTTCCAGTATTTGTATTGGAATTTGATATTTTCCCCCACATGTACCAAAATCAATGGATGCTTAAGTCTCTTATATTAAATGGCATAGTTTGAGTATAACCTACACATATGCTCCTGTATACTTTAAATCATCTCTAGATTTCTTATAATACCTAACACAATGTAAATACTGAGTAAGTCATTTTCATACTGCCGAGACCAGGCTCGGTCATGGAGACCCTAACCCAGCGGTGCTAAAGGAATTAGACACACACACAGAAATATCATGTGTGGAGTGGGAAATCAGGGTTCTCACAGCCTTCAGAGCCGAGAGTCTCAAACAGAGATTTACCCACATATTTATTGACAGCAAGCCAGTGATAAGCATTGTTTCTATAGATTATAGATTAACTAAAAGTATCCCTTATGGGACATAAAGTGATGGGCCGAAATAAAGGGATGGGTTGGGCTAGTTATCTGCAGTAGGAGCATGTCATTAAGGCACAGATCGCTCATGCTATTGTTTGTGGTTTAAGAATGCCTTAAGCACTTTTCCGCCATGGGTGGGCCAGGTGTCCAGGTGTTCCTTGCCCTCATTCCAGTAAACCCACAACCTTCCAGCATGGGTGTCAAGGCCATCACGAGCATGTCACAGTGCTGCAGAGATTTTGTTTATGGCCAGTTTTGGGGCCAGTTTATGGCCAGATTTTGGGGCCTGTTCCCAACACATACTGTATTTTTAATTCATACTTTTTCATTGTTATATTATTATTTGGGATTTCATCCAAATATTTCTGATCTGCAATTGGTTGAATCCACAGATGTGGAATCCATAAGTAACCAGGGCAAACTGTATAAAGATTTCGCCTGGGAATATATGGCCAAGTGTCAACTCCATTCTTGTTACTTCAGTAACCTCCTGTTACTCTCTTCAATATAAGAGTAACATTTTCCATAGGTGGTTTTAAGTATTAGATGAAATAATGAATGTGTATGATGCCTTAGAGCAAAAGTCATTATTTATAATACACACACACACGCACTCAAATGTAAGCTATATTTACTATGTAACAATAATGCACTTCATATCTAGTTATAAACTACTGAGTGCCAAGACTTCCACATTAGTCTTTGATTGTGCAAAGAATGTTGGTCCACGAATCACTTTCACAGGAATTTGATTTCTGCATCACTTGGTTTGCTGAATGTCACACCTCATCTCTGTATGCCTGAGTGCCTGACCACTACTCCTTGTCCTGTAGACCTACACCCTAGGCAAAATAACTAGGATTACCTGCTAGCTTCCCTTCAGTTAAATCAAATACACTTCCTACCAGATGACTTGGCATTGTAGCTGCTCAAGACCCATAGTGAAAGGATTAGAAAGTGATAATCAAAGTAGCTAACCTTGCTGCTCTACTACTTGTCCATTTTAGGAGAATTGGATCAGCTACACCAAGATAGTCTCTAAACAGCAATAAGATTCCACCAGACACTCTAATTACTATCATAAGATCTCAGTACATTGTGATCTTGGTAGGATTGAATTAAAATCTTCCATAACCCAAAGAAGCTATCCTCTAATTTCCTGATTTAGAATTTTTTCAGGGCATCTCTGCCTGCCTTCTGGAATTGATACAAGTTGATAATATGTAAACAAAGACTCATACCTATTGCACCCAGGCCTTACAAAAGACCAAATCAGTTACGTTATTTTCTAAGGTACACTAAGTATGCTTTTTATTTTGATGAGTTACTTAGCAGGACTTGTTTATTCAAACAAACTTTCTGAAAACCCTTTAGAATTTCTACAGTTTTCAATGATTCTTATTTTGCCTAGTATATATTCTCAAAATTCACAGAAATTATATGAATCGGTTTGTTCTAAGCATAATTTGTATCAAAGAGGAAATAATTAGGAAATATTTATTATGTTCTATCCCTAGAATAATACTTATTCTAGCGTCTTTTCAGAGAACAAATGAGCAAAAAAGGTGAAAGAGCAAGCAATTCAAATAATATAAACACTCAGGTTAAGAAATCTAGTTATTTAAAATCTGTACTTGGGAGAAAATATTCACAAATTATGCATCCCACAAGGTCTAATATACAGTATCTATAAGAAACATAAACAAATCAACAAGAAAAAAATATTAAAAAGTGGGTAAAAGACATGAACATAATCCTATCTAAAGAAGACATACAAATGACCAACAAATATATGAAAAAATGCTCAACATCACTTATCATCAGAGAAATACAAATTTAAAGCACCATATAATACTATCTCACACCAGTCAGAATGGTTATTATTAAAAAGTTTAAGAATAACAGATATTGGTGAGGTTGTGGAGAAAAGGGAATGCCTATTCACTGTTGGTGGAAATGTAAATTAGTTCAGCCACTGTGGAAAGTAGGTTGGCGATTTCTCAAATAATTAAAAACAAAACTACCATTCTATTTTTAGCAATCCCTGTAATGGATATATACCTAAAGGAAAATACATTGTTCTACCAAAGAGACACCTGTATTCATATGTTGATTGCAGCACTATCCACAATAGCAAAGTCACAGAATCAACTTAGGTGCCCCTCAATGGTGGATTGGATAAAGAAAATGTGGATGTGGCACATACATATCATGGAATACTAGACAGCCATAAAAAAGAATGAAATCATGTCATTTACAGCTACATGGATGCAGCTGGAGACCATTATCCTAAGTGAATTAACATAGGAAATACTGCGTGTTCTCACTTATAAGTAGGAGCTAAATATTGAGTACACATGGCCATAAAGATGCAAGGCAATAGATAGTGGGGACTCTACAAGGGGAGAGAGAGGGAAAGGACAAAGTTGAAAAACCGCCTATTGGATAATATGTTCACTATTTGGGTGATAGGATCAATAGAAACCCAAACCTCAACATCACACAGTATAGCTATGTAACAAAACCATACATATAACCTCTGAATCTAAACTTTACAAAAAATTAAAATTAAAAATAATAAAAATTATTCTTGGTTTATCAATAGTGAAGTCTTAAATGGATTTTAGTTATTGAAAACAAAATAGTATTGTTTTAGTCCATTTGTGCTGCTATAACAAAATATCTAATGCTGGGTAACTTATAAATAACAGTAATGTATTCCTCACAGTTACGGAGGCTGGCAAGTCCAAGATGAAGGCACCAGCAGGTTTGATGTCTGGTAAAGGCCTATTGCTCATAGGTGGTGCTATCTGCATGTTCTCACATGGCAGAAGGGAGGGAAAGGGCAAAAGAGGACAAATGCTGTATCTTCTCATGGTAAGAAAGTCTAAGAACAAAAAGGGCCTAATTACTTCCCTCCAGCCCCTTTGTAAGGTGCTAATTATTTCATGAAGACACTACCCTGATGACTTAATCACTTCCCAAAAGTCCCTACCTCTTAACACCACCACGATAGGGGTTAAGTTTCAACACATAAATTTTGGAGGGTACACATTCAAACTACAACAATTATTTAATAGCACTGTATTATTTTCTAAACCTAATTACCAAGGTAAACCAAATAATTTATATCATGAAGAGTCATGTAGTTTAATGTAAGGTGAACACATGTAAATGTGGGTGAGCAGTGGAAGATTATAAGTCAAATTTACTAATTCATCATGTTGGCATTCTTTCTAACAATCTTTGAGATACTTATGTAAATGTTCTTTTGAGCAGAAGGTGGTTTAAATTTGAGGAGAAAAAGATTCACAGTGAAGACATTTGTGATGTTTTCAAGAGTATTTGTTTTCCTCATGGGGCTTACTCGGGAATAAGATGTTTCACTCTAAACGTTGAGGTCTTTAAAACAAAAGAAATGATCCTTTACATGACGACTGGAAACAGAAAATAAAATACCACTACAGGAAGCAAAGTAATAGTAGGAGCAAATGGTTGTAGAATGGAAAACAAGAAATGAAAGTGAATCATAGGCTGTGTGGAGAAAATGAAAGAAACATAGAAAAAAGATTATTCAGAAGAAATGGAAGTCAAGAAAAAATGAGTCTGAAAGAATATGTTGCTGGTGTAAGAAAGTCTTAGAAATACCGGTGATAATAGGACAGTGAGATATTTGTGGAAGCAGCATTTTAGCACTTTGAAACAAGCCAAGGGGAAAGACTGAAGAAGATAAATCAATCCAATTCTTGAGGGAAAATTACCACATTCCCAATGAACAGCAATTAGAGGCCAAAATTTAACTCACCCCTGAGTGCTTATGTAATTAGATTTGGAATATTTGCAGTGATAAATAGTCTAGTAAAAATATTGATTGGAAGAATGGTACAAAATGAAAAGATCTTGGAATGTATAATATGACAAAAAAAAAAACTGTGGTTTAACTTTCAGCTTGAGCTCTTAATAGCAATGTGACCCTGGGCAACTTATTTCAGTTCTATCAAGATAATTTTTTTGATATATTTATTGAGATAAACCTCAATTTCCTTATCTGTGAAAAGATATTTTAACTGTCTCATTCTGTTGTGTGTAAAATTATTAAATCTAATGGATTGTAATAATTAGAATTGCCTTATCTGGGCACTGCTTGGGAGAGAAATACTTATTTTTGAGAGACAATAATAGTCCTTTAAATCAACACCCTCATGTCCAGCACTGTATATCTTCTCTTCCCTCTTATTTCTTTAAATTAGGAAAGGTTAAATAGAAATGATGGAAGTGGCTGGATCTAATATCATTAATATCATTAGAGTAGTTAAATTTATAAAATCATAACTTCATTATAGAATTTAAGAGCAGTTTTAGCAGTGCTAGGAAAGAAACTACTTAAGCATTTATTCTTTTTATAGTTTAGCCTATAACACAGCAATTTGCTATTTTATTTTCCCTCTGTTTTATGTATTCTTAAAAGACAAGTGAGCATAAAAAATCCTATTAAATGTTGCATAATTGATGTTTGAAGGTTATAGTCCCACTTTCTTCTGTAAAACTTTTAAAATCATAAACCTTAAAATAATTAGAAAAAATACATGTTTGTCCAAATTCATAAACCAGATTTTAGCCTTATGAAGAGTTTCTTAGAGCTTCTCTTTTCTCATCACCTATCAGTGTAGCATATTCAGAGTTCAGAGATTTTCCTACAAGAGAAGGTACTTTTCTTTTTCTCTATTCACCACCTGTCCCAAGAACTTCCCATTGAGAAAATAAGAAACATTAGAACAAGTTTCATGCTATTTATTTAGCCATAATGGAACTTTGGTGATTTAAGAGAGATACCTGCAAAGATGGTTAGGATATGACATGATCAGATCTTTATCTTGGACTATATTTCACTCAAATATAAAGTACCTTATATCATTCAAAATGAGCATCCTTTTTCAACAGTTTGTACATATAATGTTTATGTCTACCTCTATAAATATTATTCCCATTATCCCTCCTTCTGACAATTTTTATGTAAATTTGATGACATTCTTCTTGCATTCTTATCTCCAGGATAATTCAGACTGCTTCCAGAATGGGTAAAAGAGGGCAAGAAAAGATGTGACTACAATAGTCTGGGACCCAAACAGATTAAAGTATGAGATATTTCATAGCATAAGCAGTATATTATTAATCATATTTCCTAGTACATAATACATGCTCAATAAGAAGTTATTGCATTAATTTAACTGAAGACTGAACTAGAATTATCTGAGTGAAATTGCACAGGATCTAGGAGATATAAGAAATGGTGGAAGGCTTGCTAGCACTATCTGACACTTGATTGGCCATACAGATTCATCAAATGGGAAAGACAGCTGATACAAGGAGGAACACATGACTGGGAGAATCATGTGAACTAAGAGACTAGGCTTTAAAAAAGAGAAATCGGAGCACATTTGTGGATGGAAGATGAACTATTTTTATTTTGAAATGTTAAAAATTAGACGCCTTTATTGTGTTAAAATATCCTTCGTGGAGTTGGAAAAAGTTTAAGATTGTAGAAATGTCCTTACAATGTTAATTTATCTGGAGCTGGGGATTTAAATCCATTTAATATGGCTCAATTCTGTTGAGCAATCTCCTTAACTGTCTTGGGATTCATTCCCCTGTTATCATGATTCGTTTCAGACTGTGAGTTCCTAACAGAGAAGTTAGAAGAAAATGGGAACTTAATCTCAAATAATATAATAGATTTCTTCAAGCTATACAACTTTCTCTCCCAAGTTTTTCTTCCTGTACCAAGTCCAAAGTATGAACATGCCTTGTTTCCCTGTTTAGCACTTTTAAGGTTTTACTCAAATATAAAGTAGCTTATATCATTCAAAATGAGTACTCTTTTTCAACAGTTTGTGCTTATAATGTTTATGTCTACCTCTATAAATATTATTCCCATTATTCCTCCTTCTGACAATTTTATGTAAATTTACAATTTATATAAAGCCTTCTATCCCTAGACAAAATTATTTACCACTCAGAGGTTACAACCACTCTGCTCTATATTACATTTAAAGATTTTTATGAACTTCAAAACTCCCATTTCCTAAAACTTCTACTTCCTCAATCAATTACTCCTGGTCAGTTTAAATAAAATATAGCAGCAATACCTTTCTCATGACTTTCTCTATCTTCTAAAATTACTGTTCTCAGAAAAATGGGTGTGGCTTCATTTGATTTCTGCTTTTGCTGAGTGTAACCTCTAGTAAACATACACTTTGCAGCATGGTACAGTGTTTAAGACCATTGTCTCAGAGCCAGACTGTCTGGGTGCAAACCTTGAGTCTACCACTGGTTTAGTAGTTGTGGCACTGATCAAATCACTTAAACTTCCTGATCCTCAGTTTCTTCATCTGTACCTGAGTAGAACAGTAGTTCCTATTTCATAAGGCTTTGTGCTGTGTATCTTATATTTGCCCACCAGATTCCCCTCTGAACCTAGTTCCGGTCTGTTCTGCGCTCTGGAGGGTCTATTCATATGAATGGAATCATTGAGTTCTCGTGCCTGATAGCTTCCAACTGGACCAGAGATGAAGGAGGTGGAGTGTGAAGTAAGAGTATTTATTCTCCTTTCTTCTTGCCAGGTTACTGTACATTGGCTGCATTCACCAATCAAGGGCTATAGCTTCTGGTTGGCAACAATTCATATAACTATAGCTTCCATTAATTCCTCCTTTCATTTGCCCCTTCAGGTCTAGGGATGGTAAAAGACTTCCACTATGCTAGCCCCATGCTATCAGTGCCCTTCTTGAGGTAGATTCAACTGTCCTTATATCATTTGTTTAAAATATGCCATTATTTTCCTGTTGGCACCCAGAGAGTAATTGAAGAAATTAAAGGAGGTAATAATGTGTCCAGTGCATAGCAGAGTCAGTTCTATAAAAAGGGTTAGATATTATACCATATTATTATCATTATTATTCTATTATCTCTGGATATTTGAAGTTTTTATGACATAATAACATGTATCATTTACATACAACTGGTAAGTTCAAAGTGCTTAATGTAAATCAACTAATTTAATAACACAACCCTGCTGAGTAGCCACTATCATTATACTTTACCAGAAGAACTAAGGAATAGAGATACTAAGTAACCTGCCAAAGATCCTACCTGTAGTACGTACCAGAACTGGAATTTAACCTGTCAATCAGCCTTTGCATTATTTGCTCTTAGCAATCTATATTGCTACCTTCATATCTTCTCTTGAGCCAGTAACCCTGAAGTGCATTTTTACTCTGACCTGTCTTTAATATCACTCTGTTTCTCTCTTCTGCTCTCTTTTATGGAAATTTATTTCCATAAAATTTATCTTGTTCTTGCCCTCATAGTTGTGCATGTTTGTGCTGATATAAATTTTCTCACCAACTACTAATTTATCTTGCCTCCTAAAAATCAATTGAGGTAAATGAGGTACATAATGCATTCACAAAATAGAAGCAAAATGATGTACACATGCACCAAAAAATAGAAGCAAAGTGAAGAACTTAAGTGAACATGTTTTAATGATGGAGCTTAAATACGAGCAAACAAAAATCATATAATCATAAATAATGCTAATACAGAGAAAAAATGATAAGCATGGGATTACTACATCAAGCATCATAGAGATAATAGAAAAAAGTATCCAAATACAAAACACTTTTGCCATTTCAAAATATTAAACATAATAACATAATTTTAAATGTAATCTGAAACCTAATTCTAATCCTTTACTGTTTTGAAATAAGGAGTACCACTTAATTTTAATTGGATTTAGTTTAAATAAGATATAATCATCAAGTAATAGCATATGTTTATAGTACATATTCATCATGTTATTAATTTTAAAATATAATTCTTTTATTTCCTATGTCTTATACTATTTTTATATTTCCTAACAATGGTACTTTTCATGTTTATCTCAGGAGGAAACAAATTTATATTTTAAATATGAAGTGATACTTGCTCTTATGAAATAACACTCAGAAATATAAGTATTATTTACTTTGATTTACTATTTGATACACATAAATATATATTATTATAATCTTTAATGAAAATAAATGTATATCAAAGGCCTACTATATTCCAGATACTTTGCTAGTTACTGTGATTTGGAGAAAAATTAAGATTCTGGATCTACTCCAGGAAGCTTAATATCCAGTAGAGAAGATTAGCCTTAAGAATAAAATATTTCAATAAAAAGAACAAAATATCCTGAGGAAACCCCCAAGTGAAGGAAAAGTATAGTGATTATAAGCTATCAAGGAACGTTTACAGGAGAATTAATCATTCGAGCTAGGTGTGATTATTTTAAAAGCTTTTAAAAAGGAGAGATCATGAAATTGAAGAAAGAATCATTTCCAGTAGAGAGAAATGCTTAAGTACAGGATAGTGACTGGAAAATTAAGCATATTTTCAGCCTAACCAAACTCATCTTCCTCTGGAGTGTACTGTATACCAAGTATAATAGTAAAAAGTAAGACATGAACACCAGGGTGGTGGCAACTCATGTAGATTATTGAATGTTAGTCGAGGAGTTTAGACTTCCTTGTTGAAAAACTGAATGTCACCCCTTTAGAAAAATGTATGATGTCATCAGCATATGGGCTAAATTTAGGGTAAGAGAAAATAATGGCAAAGAGACCAATAAGAAAGCCATTGAAATAGTGAATGTAGAGTATACTATGCACTTGAATTCTTTCAATATCTTTGTGAATATAAAGCAGGGGAAACATATAAGAAACATTTGCTGTGTCCTGTTCATGATCACTCATAGAGATTACATAGAATAGGTTCACACATTTCCTCTCAAAGGCATTTATTATTTGACTAGATGACTTTCTACATCCTTTATGAGAAACTTTATGAGTAAGTAGTTTGCATTTACTAATGTAATAGTAAAGAAAAGTAGGATAAGAAAAGAGAGCAAGCTGTTTTGGTTCCTGTGGCTTTATAGTATAGTTTGAAGTTGAGTA
Organism: Homo sapiens; assembly: GCF_000001405.40. Classification (NCBI taxonomy): domain Eukaryota; kingdom Metazoa; phylum Chordata; class Mammalia; order Primates; family Hominidae; genus Homo; species Homo sapiens. The sequence goes on along the minus strand of NC_000014.9, from coordinate 47,852,342 downwards.
GTGTTATGCCTCTGGCTTTGTTCGTTTTTAGGATTGCTTAGGCTATTCAGGCTCTTTTTGCTTCCATATACGTTTTAGAATAGTTTTTTTCTAATTCTGTGAAGAATGACATAGTTTGATAGGAATAACATTGAATCTGTAAATTGCTTTGGGGAGTATGGCTATTTCTATGATAGCTACTCTTTTAGTCCATTAGCATGGAATGTTTTTCTCATTTTTATTTTTAGTTCTGGGGTACATGTGCAGGATGTGCAGGTTTGTTGCACAGGTAAACGTGTGCCATGGTGGTTTGCTGCATCTATCAACCGATCACCTAGGTATTAAGCCCAGCATGAATTAGCTATTTTTCCCAATGCTCTCCCTCCCCCAACCCCCCCGACAGGCCCCACCCACTATGTGTTGTTCCCCACCCTGTGTCCGTGTGTTCTCATTCTTCAGCTCCCACTTGTAAGTGAGAACACGCGGTGTTTGGTTTTCTGTTCCTGCATTAGTTTGCTGAGGATAACAGCTTCCAGCTTCATCCACATCCCTGCAAAGGATATGAGCTCATTCCTTTTTATGAATGCATAGTATCCCATGCTGTATATGTACTACATTTTCTTTATCCAGCCTATTGTTGATGGGCATTTGGGTTGATTCCATGTTTTTGTTATTGTGAATAGTGCTACAATGAATATATGCATGCATGTATCTTTGTCATAGAATGATTTATATTACTTTGGGTATATAACCAGAAATGGGATTGCTGGGTCAAATGGTATTTCTTTTTCTAGATTTATGAGGAAATGCCACACTGTCTTCCACGATTGTTGAACTAATTTAAACTCCCACCAACAGTCTAAAAGTGCTCCTATTTCTCCACAATCTGTCCAGGAACTGTTGTTTCTTAACTTTTTAATAATGGTCGTTCTGACTGGGGTGAGATGGCATCTCACTGTGGTTTTGATTTGCATTTCTCTAATGATCAGTGATGTTGAGCTTTTTAAAATATGTTTGTTGGCTGCATGAATGTGTTCTTTTGAGAAGTCTCTGTTAATATCCTTTGCCCACTTTTTAATGGGGTTGTTTGTTTTTTACTTGTAAACTTGTTTGAGTTCCTTGTAGATTCTGGATATTAGCCCTTTGTCAGATTCATAGATTGCAAACATTTTCTCCCATTCTATAGATACCCTGTTCACTCTGATGATAGTTCCTTTTGCTGTGCAGAAGCTCTTTCGTTTAATTAGATCCCATTTGTCAATTTTTGCTTTTGTTGTAATTGCTTTTGGTGATTTCATCATGAAATATTTGCCCATGCCAATGTCCTGAATGCACGTACATCTAGATTTTCTTCTAGGGTTTTTATAGTTTGGGGTTTTACATTCAAGTCTTTAATTCATCTTCAGTTAATTTTTGTATAAGTTGTGAGGAAGAGTTCCAGTTTCACTTTTCTGCATATGGATAGCCAGTTGTCCCAGCACCATTTATTAAATAGGGAACCCTTTTCCCCATTGCTTGTTTTGTCTGGTTTTTGCTTGTTTTGATGGTTGTAGATGGGCAATCTTATTTCTGAGTTCTCTATTCTGTTCTATTGGTCTATATATCTGTTTTTCAACCAGTATCATGCTGTTTTGGTTACTGAGCCTTATAGCATAGTTTGAAGTCCCATAGCATGATGACTACAGCTTTGTTCTTTTTGCTTAGGGTTGTCTTGGCTATATGGGCTGTTTTTTGGTTCCATACAGATTTTAAAATAGTTTTTTTTTAATTCCTTGAAGAATATCAATGGTAGTTTAATGGGAATAGCATTGAATCTATAAATTACTGTGGGCAGTATGGCCATTTTTATGATATTGATTCTTCCTATCCGTGAACATGGAATATTTTTCCATTTGTTTGTGTCCTCTCTGGTTTCCTTGAGCAGTGGTTTGTAGTTTTCCTTGAAGAGACCCTTCACTTTCCTTGTTAGCTGTATTCTAGGATTTTATTCTCTTTGTAGCAATTGTCAATGGGAGTTCATTCATTATTTGGCTCTCTGCTTGTCTGTTTTGGGGTATAGGAATGCTTATGACTTCTGCACGTTGATTCAGTATTCTGAGACTTTGTTGAAGTTGCTTATCCACTTAAGGAGCTTTTGGGCTGAGACAATGAGGTTTTCTCGATATAGGATCACGTCATCTGCAAAAAAAGACAATATTACTTCTTCCCTTCCTATCTGAATACACTTTCTTTCTTTCTCTTGCCAGATTGCCCTGGCCAGAACTTCCAATACTATGTTGAATAGGAGTGGCAAGAGACAGTATCCTTGTCTTGTGCCAGATTTCAAGGGGAATGCTTCTAGCTTTAAGAGAGAGTATCCTTGTCTTGTGCCAGATTTCAAGGGGAATGCTTCTAGCTTTTGCCCATTCAGTATGATATTGGCTGTAGGTCTGTCATAAATGGCTCTTATTATTTTGAGGTAGGTTCCTTCAATACCTAGTTTATTGAGAGTTTTTAACATAAAGAGATGTTGAATTTTCTCGAAGGCCTTTCCTGCATTGATAATCATGTGGTTTTTGTCATTGGTTCTGTTTATGTGATGAATTACATTTATTGATTTGCATATGTTGAACCACCTTGCATCCCGGGAATTAAGCCAACTTGCTCGTAGTGGATAAGCATTTTGATGTGGTACTGGTTTCAGTTTGCCAATATTTTATTAAGAATTTTTGCATTGATGTTCATCAGGGATATTGGCCTAAACTTTTCTTTTTTTGTTGTATCTCTGCCAGGTTTAGGTATCAGGATGATGCTGGCATCATAGAGTGAGTTAGGGAGGAGTCCTTCCTTTTCAATTGTTTGGAATAGTTTCAGAAGAAGTGTTATCAGCCCCTCTTTGTATTTCTGGTAGAATTCAGCTGTAAATCTATCTGGTCCTGGGCTTTGTTTGGTTGGTAGGCTATTTATCACTGCCTCAATTTCAGAATTCATTATTGGTCTATTCAGGAATTCAAGTTCTTCCTGGTTTAGTTTTGGGAGGGTGTATGTGTTCAGGAATTTATCCATTTCTTCTATGTTTTCTAGTTTTTTGCATAGCTATTTATAGTATATTCTAATGGTTATTTGTATTTCTGTGGGGTCAGTGGTAATATTCCTTTTATCATTTTTTATTGTGTCTATTTGATTCTTCTCTCTTTTCTTCCTTATTAGTCTAGTTAGCAGTCAATCTATTTTATTAATTTTTTTCAAATACCAGCTCCTGGATTCATTGATTTTTTTTAGAGTCTTTCGTGTTTCTATCTCCTTCATTTCCTCTCCAATCTTGGTTATTTCTTGTCTTTTGCTAGCTTCAGGATTTATTTGCTCTTGGTTCTCTAGTTCTTTTAGTTGTGATGCTAGGGTGTCAACTGAGATCTTTCTAGCTTTTGATGTGGGCATTTAGTGCTGTAAATTTCCCTCTTAACACTGCTTTAGCTGCATACCAGAGATCCTGGTATGTTGTCTCTTTATTTTCATTGGTTACAAAGAACTTCTTGATTTCTGCCTCAATTTTATTATTGCTCAGGAGTCATTCAGGAACAGGTTGTTCAATTTCCACGCAATTGTGTGGTTTTGAGTGAGTTTCCTACTCTTGAGTTCTAATCTGACCACATTGTTGTCTGAGATACTTTTTGTTATGATTTCAGTTCTTTTGCATTTGCTGAGGAGTGATTTACTTCCAATTATGTGATCAGTTTTAGAGTAAGTGCCATGTGGCACGAAGAGGAATGTATATTTTGTTGTTTTGGGGTGGAAATGTCTGTAGATATCTATCAGGTCCACTTGATCCAGAGCTGAGTTCAATTCTTGAATATCTTTGTTAATTTTCTGTCTCAATGATCTGTCTAATATTGACAGCAGAATGTTAAATTCTTCCACTATTATTGTATGGGAGTCTAAGTCTTTTTGTAGGTTTCTAAGAACTTGTTTTATGAATCTAAGTGCTCCTGTATTGGGTGCATGTATATTTAGGATAGTTAGCTCTTCTTGTTGAATTGTCCCCTTTACCAATATGTCTTTTTTGATCTTTGTTGGTTAAAAGTCTATTTTGTCAGAAACTACCATTGCAAACCCTGCTTTTTTCTGTTTTCCATTTGCTTGATATATTTTCCTCTATCCCTTTGTTTTCAGTCTATGTGTGTCTTTGCATGTGAGATGGGTATCTTGAACAGCACACCCATGGGTTTTGACTCTTTATCCAGCTTGCCACTGGGTTACTGTAGTTGTAATTGGGGCAATTACAATTACTGTGTAATTGTAATTGAGGCAAATATAACTGGGACATTTATCCAGCTTGCCACTGGGTTACTGTAGTTGTAATTGGGGCAATTACAATTACTGTGTAATTGTAATTGAGGCAAATGTAACTGGGACATTTAGCCCATTTACATTGAACATTAATATTGTTATGTGTGAATTTGATTCTGACATCATGATGCTAGTTGGTTATTTTGCAGACGTGTTTATGTTTTTGCTTCACAGTGTCACTGGTCTGTGTATTTCAGTGTGTTTTTTTGTAGCAGCTGGTAACAGTTTTTTCCTTTCCATATTTAGTGCCTCCTTCATGAGGTCTTACAAGGCAGGCCTGGTGTTGATGAATTCCCTCAGCATTTGCTTGTCTGAAACAGAAAAAAAGATTTCTCTTTCACCTATAAAGCTTAGTTTGGCCGGATATGAAATTCTAGGTTGGAAATTCTTTTCTTTCAGAATGTTGAAAATTGGCCCCCAATCTCTTCTGGCCTGTAGGGTTTCTGTGGCTTCTGCTATTATTCTAATGGGCTTCCCTTTATAGGTGACCTGACCCTTGTCTCTAGCTGCCATTAACATTATTTCTTTCATTTCGACCTTGGAGTATCTTATGATTATGTGTCTTGGGGTTATTCTTCTTGTGGAGTATTTTACCAGAGTTCTCTGGATTTCCTGAATTTAAATATTGGCCTGTTTTTCTAGGTTGTGGAAGTTCTCCTGGATGATATCCTGAAGCATGTTTTCCAACTTGGTTCTGTTCTCCCTGTCTCTTTCAGGTACCCCTATCATACTTAGGTTCAGTCTTTTAATATAATCCCATAGTTCTAAGAGGTTTTGTTCATTCCTTTTCATTATTTTTTCTCTAATCTTATTTGACTTATTTCAGCAAGATAGTCTTCAAGCTCTGATATCCTTTCTTCCACTTAGTCTATTTGGCTATTGGTACTTGTGTTTGCATTTTGAAGTTCTTGTGTTGTGTTTTTCAGCTCCATCTGATCATTTATGTTCCTCTTCAGACTGGTTATTCTGGTTAACAGCTCCTGTAATGTTTTATCATGGTTCTTAGCTTCTTTGCAGTGAGTTAGACCATCATCCTTTAGCTTGGCAAAGTTCATTGTCACCCATCTTCTGAAGCCTGCTTATGTCAATTCTTACATCTCAGCCTCAGACCCATTCTAAGCTCAGCTGGAGACTTGTTGCAATCTTTTGGAGGAGAAGAGGCACTCTGGCTTTTTGAGTTTTCAGCATTTTTGTGTTTATTCTTTCTCATCTTCATGGGTTTAACTACCTTTGGTCTTTGAGGCTGCTGACTTTTAGATGGGGTTTTTGTGGTGTCTTTCTCATTGATATTGTTGCTTTCTGCTTTTGTTTTTTTTTAGTAGTCAGGCCCGTCTTCTGTAGCGCTGCTGTGGTTTGCTTGGGGTCCACTCCAGCCCCTATTCACCTGAGTCTCTCCCATCCCTGTAGATATCACCTGTGGAGGCTGCAGACCAGCAAAAATGGCAGCCTGCTCCTTCCTCTGGGAGCTCTTTCCCAGAGGGCCATGGCCTGATGCTGGCTGGAACATTCTTGTATGAGGTGTCTGGAGACTCCTGTTGGGAGTTCTCACTCAGTTAGGAGGAGTGGGGTCAGAAATCCACTTAAATAAGCAGTCTATCTGCCTCTTGGCAGGGTGGGTATGCTGCACTGAGGGAAATCCCCCTCTTCTGGGCTGCCCTGACTCTCCAGACCCAGCAGGCAGAAACGACTAAGATCACTGATCCAGGATACTGCAGCCAGCCCTCCTCCCAGGGGCTCCTCTCAGGGTTATCAGTGTTCTATCCATAAACCCCTGGCTGGGGATGCTGAGATTCCCACAGGGATGCCCCACCCAGTGAGGAGTGGATCTGAGTCCCACCCCATCTCGCTGGCACCAGCAGCAAGGGAAAGCAGCCACTGGAGCCATGGTGATGGCGGCCACCCCTCCCCCCAGGGAACTCAGTCTTCTTAAGCAGTTTCTAGCCAGCTGTGCTGGCCAGCAGAGATACCAAACTAGTGGGTATTAGCTTGTGGAATTCCTTGAGAGCGAGGCTGCTTGTCTCCCTGTCTTCAGCCCCCTTCCCACAAGAGTGGATGGGTCTCCTGCCTCATGGGAATTCCCGGAGTCGGAGTATGCAAATACTCCTGTGTCTCAGTGCCTGCTCAAAGTGGCCACCCATATGAGCAGTCCACCTGAGCAGTTACCATGATTCTCCACAGCTTTGTGTTTGGGAACCAAGACTCTGGAAGCGTGGCTCAGGAAGTGACCTCCTAATCCATAGGTTGCAAGGATCCCTGGGGAAAACCTGGTTTTCAGGGAGAGGAAGCTCAATTCCTCACCATCTCCCTTGGCTGGGGGAGAGAGTTCCCTTTGGCACCTGCAGTTCCCAGGTGGGTGGGTGGGGTCTTACTCCACCCTGTTTTTGCTGACTCTCAGTGGGTCACACCAACCACCTAGTCAGTCCTAATCAGAGAGCTGTTGTACCTCAATTGAAGATGCAAAGTGCACTCACAGTTTTTTGCTTTTTAGTGGGAGCTGCAGAATGGAGCTTACTCTATTTGAACGTCTTGGCTCCACCAAATGTTTTCCCTTTGTGTTGTCCCTGATTCCTTTTAGCAGTGTTTTGTAATTCTCCTTGTAGAGATCTTTTACCTCCTTGGTTAGGCGAATTTCCTAGGGATTTCATTTTCTTTGTGGTTCTTGTAAGTGGGATTTTGTTCTTGATTTCACTCTCAGCCTGAACATTGATTATGTATAGAAATACTACTGATGTTTGTATATTGATTTTGTATCTTGAAACTTTGCTAAAGCTGTTTAACAGTTCTAGGAGCCTTTTGGCAGAGTCTATAGGACTTTCTGAGTACAGAATCATATTGTCAGCAAAGAATGATAGTTTGAGGTTTTTTTTTTTCCTATTTGGATGCCTTTTATTTATTTCTCTTGCCTGATTGCTCTGGCTATGATTTCTAATACTATTTTGAAAAGGAATGTGAGAATAGGCATAAAAACAGACACACAGACCCAAAGGAAAGAATAGAAAACTCAGAAATAAAGCTACACACCAACAAACATCTGATTTTTGACATGGCTGACGAAAGCAATAGGAAAAGAACTTCCTATTCAAGAAATGCTGCTGAGATAACTAGCTAGGACCCCTACTTTTCACCACATACAAAAATTATCTCAAGATGTGTCCAAGATTTAAAGGGCAGGCCTCAAATTATAAAAATCCTGGGAAACAACCTAGGAAATACTCTTCTTGACATTAGCCTTGGCAAAGAATTCTCAACAAAGTCCACAAAAGCTATTGCAAAAAAAAAAAAAAACAGACAAGTGGAACCTAATTAAACTAAAGAGCTTCTGTACCACAAAAGAAACTATCAACAGAGCAGACGGACAAGCTACAGAATGGGAAAAAGATATTCTCAAACTACGCATCCAACAAAGTCTAACATCCAGAATCTATAGGAAACTTAAACAAATCAACAAACACAAAACACATAACCCCATTAAAAAATGGGCAAAGGACATGAACAAACACTTCTCAAAAGAAAACATACATGTGGCCAACAAACATGAAAAAATGCTCAACATCACTAATGATCAGAGAAATGTAAATCAAAACCACAAAGAGGAATCATTAAATAGTCAAAAGACAACAGATGCTGGTGAGGCTGCAGAGAAAAAGGAATGATATAAACTGCTGGTGGTAATGTAAATTAGTCCTGTCACAGTGGAAAGCATTTTGGAAATTTCTTAAGGAAATTGAAACAGAGCTACTATTGTACCCAGCAATCTCATTATTAAGCATATACCCAAATGAAAATAAATCACTCTACCAAAAAGACACATGCACTTGTATGTTCATCACTGCACTATTCACAATAACAATGACATGGGATCAACCCAGGTGCCCATCAATGGTAGATTGGATAAAGAAAATGTGATACATAATCACCATGGAATACTACACAGCCACAAAAAGGATAAAATTATGTCCTTTGTAACAGTGTGGATGGATCTGGAGGCCATAATACTAAGTGAATTAACATAGAAACAGAAAACCAAATACCATATGTTCTCACTTATAAGTGAAAACTAAACATTGAGCGTACATGGACATAAATATGGAAAGAATAAACACTGCAGACTACTTGAGGGTGGAGGAAGGGAGGGGGAATACGTTGAAAAACTACCTATTAGACACTGTGCTCACCATCTGGTGATAGGATCCATACCCCAAACCACAGCATCATGCAATATTCCCATTTAATAAATCTGCATGTGTGCCCGCTGTATCTAAAATATTGAAAATATTTTAGAAAAATATTGAAAATATTGAAAAAGAAATGAAAAAAAGAGCAAACTTTTAGGAATGAGGAACAGGCTAAAGCAAGGGAATAATTGTTAAAAAGGAGAATTGTAGAATTTACCCAAGAAATGAAGAGCTCCCTACAAAAAAGGGAAAAACTTTGCTATCAGAGGGGCTATACATTAATAGAGGCTGACCCCCATCCTCTGGCATTGAAAGTACAGCAGCCTGAAAGTTGCCATAGCAGTCTGAAAGATTCCATCCAGACCTTCTGTCCATCTGTAGAACTAGCACCTCACCTTTTCACAGCTAGCAACCTCGAGCCCACATGCCCTACACAAGCCCCATGACTCATTTCGATCCTGTATGCCTGCTCTCAAAACCCACCCAAAGTTATTTTTTCAGACATCTCTTTCAGCATTTAAGCATTTGGGGTTTTCATGATAAGTATTTGGGGTTTTCATGATACCAGTCATCATAATGGGGAATGCTTTGTTCTTAACAAGTTTTGTTAAGATATACTTAGCAAACTTACATCCTTTAAAACACAAAAATGATTAAAAACAATATTTAGTATAGTTAATAGGTAAGCACATTCTTGACAACCAGACAAATTTATATTTCTCAGAAGGGCAGTATGTGGGAGTTTAAAACCGAGTTTAGAAAAAATTTTAAAAAGCACACTGCTATTTTTTATTTACCTACGCAAATTTGTTTACGATTTTACCTGTCATTTTAGACTTACCTATGTAAATTTTTTAAATGACCCCAAACTTTAATGTTTATGGAAAATTTGTTCTCATTTTATTATACTAATAGTAATATGATGTTTGTAACTGTTTAGTCATTAGACACAATTGGTTGCTGACCAGTCTGCAAATAAATGTGAAAAACTATAGTGCTGCTTAAAGATGTCAATGACTAAGAGAATAGCATACACACTAGTATTAAAAAACCCACCAACCAGAAAAACCTCTGGACCAAATGGATTCACAGCCAAATTCTACCAGATGAATAAAGAGGAGCTGGTACCAATCCTACTTAAAGTATTCTAAAAACTCAAGGAGGAGGCACTCCTCCCTAACTCATTCTATGAGGCCAGTGTTATTCTGATACGAAAACCTGGCAGAGACATCATGAAAAAAGAAAACTTCAAACCAATAACCCTGATGAATATAGATGCAAACATCCTAAACAAAACACTGGCAAATCAAAACCAGCAGCATATTAAAAAGCTAATCAGCCACAATCAAGTAGGCTTTATTCCTGGGATGCAAGGTTGTTTCAACACACACAGATTAATAAACGTGATTTATTACATAAGCGGAACTAAAAAAACCACATGATCATCTCAATAGACACAGAAAAGGCCAACAAACTAGGCATCAAAGGCACATTCCTCAAAATAATAGGAAATATCTTCAACAAACCCACAGCCAACATCACACTTAATGGGCAAAAACTGGAAGTATTCCTCTTGAGAACCAAAACAAGACAAAGATACCCCCTCTCATCACTCATATTCAATATTGTACTGGAAGTCCTAGCCCAGGCAAAGACATCATGATGAAGTCTCCAAAATCAATTGCAATAAAAACAAAAATTGACAAATGAGACTTAATTAAACTAAGGAGCTCCTGCACAGCAAAAGAAACTATCAACAGAGTAAGCACACAACCTACAGAATGGGAGAAAATATTTGCAAACTCTGCATCTGACAATGGTCTGATATCTAGAATATATAAGAAACTCAAAGAAATCAACAAGAAAAAACAAAAACAAACAAACAAAAAATAACCTCATTAGAAAATAGTCAAAGGACATGAATAGACACCTCTCAAAAGAAGACAAACACATGGCCAAAAAGCATACAAAAAAATTCTCAATATCACTAATCACTAGGGAAATGCAAATTAAAACTACAATGAGATATCATCTCACACCAATCAGAATGGTTATTATTAAAAAGCCAAAAAATAACAGATGTTGATGAGGTTGCAGAGAAATGAGAATGCTTATACACTGCTAGTGGGAATGTAAATTAGTTCAGCCACTTTGGAAAGGGTCTGGAGATTTCTTAAAGAATTTAAAATAGAACTACAATTAGACCCTGCAATCCCATTACTGGGTATATGCCCAAATAAATATAAATTGTTCTACCATAAACACAGATGCATACATATGTTCATCGCCGCCCTTTTCACAAGAGCAATGACAAGAAATCAACCTAGATGCTCATCAGCAGTGGGCTGGATAAAGAAAACTTCGCACATATTTACAATGGAGTACTATGCAGCTATTTAAAAAAAAAATAAGATCATGCCCTTTGCAGCAACATGAATGGAGCTAGAAGCCACTATCCTAAGTGAATTAATGCAGGAACAGAAAACTAAATACTGCATGATGGAGCTAAACGTTGAGTACACAAGCACACAAAGATGGGAACAACAGACACTGAGGCCTAGTTGAGAGTAGAGGGTGACAGGAAGATGAAGATTAAAAAAACTACCTATAGGATATTATGCTGACTACCTGTGTGACAAAATTACCAGTACACCAAATTCCTGCTACACACAATTTACCACATAACAAACATGCACATATATCCCTTGAACCTAAAATAAAAGTTAAAAGAAAAAAATTAAAATTAAAATAGCATAATACTAGCCACTACTAGAATATCTTACAAATAATTAAAGAATAAAATAGAAAAAGATTTTATAAATACAGTCAGAGGGAGTAAATGCAAGGAATATTAAAAAGACAAATACATAAAATAATAGAGAAAGTACTCAGATTGGTCTAAATACTAAATCTATACACATCGTAAAAGAGCAGACCTAACCATTATAGGATTATATCACTATGAAACAAAACAGAATGAGATACTTAATGCAAATAAATTCATTATGATACCTCCACAAGATATATTCATTGAAATTATGTTATTGAAGAAGATGTAAGGTTATAGAAAAAGCTTGAAATAGGATAAGTAAAATAGATATTCTAAAAATTATACGTTATATATGGACCGGGCTCAGTGGCTCATGCCTGTAATCCCAGCACTTTAGGAGGCCGAGGCGGGAGGATCACCAGGTCAGGAGATCGAGACCATCCTGGTCAACACGGTGAAACCGCGTCTCTACTAAAAGTACAAAAATTAACTGGGCGTGGTGGTCCTCACCTGTAGTGCCAGCTACACGGGAAACTGATGCAGGAGAATCGCTTGGGCAGAGGTTGCAGTGAACCGAGATCATGCCACTGCACTCTAGTCTAGCAACAGAGCAAGATTCTGCCTCAAAAAAAAAATTATACATTATGCATACAGATATTTTATTATATAAAAATATTTACTTAGATATTAGAGATGGTTAAATATAGAAACATATAGATATATATTTGCAACAACAAAACCAACAAAGATACACACCAAAATATTAATGGTAATATTTTCTGAATAGTCATAATATCTGAATTATGTGATTAATGTTAATCTTCAAATTTTTGGTAGTTTTCAAACTATGCCTCAAATTTTGTTTTTATAAAAGAGGAAAAGGCATGAAAAGCACAACACAAGTTTCCTTGTTTCCTTTTGTTAAAAAAGAACAAAATGACTAATTATTTGAAGAAAGAATTATATCATTATCGCCTGAACTCAAAATTTCATTGACATTATTTTGTTTTGTAGAAAAACACTACCTAATATTTAAACAGTTTGAAAGAAACAAATTACGTGTTGTCATTTTGCCACAAATTTTTGTATCTGAATGTTTGGGAAATTTGGATTCCATAATATATATTGCATTAACTGAACCCTCTAACTTGATCAATATCTCTAGAAATCATATAATCATGTTGAAGTTTGAATTTTGATTTGAGGAACTGAATTTGCCTTGAAGATCTCTTCCTGCTTCAGATAGAGTTCCCATGTGAAAGAGCATCAAAAAAATATGGTAATAATAGAGAATCATGTTATAAAGTATAGTTTAATATAAACCACCTCTTTCAGAATTGCCTATAGTCAACAGATAAGTCATGTATAAACACTAATGTTTAAGGACCATTACTTTAGAGTTTCCAAAGGTCTAGCCACTCCATCGGCTTACTGAAGAACTCTAATTTTATGTAGTTGACCTAAAATACTTTTAGAAGGCTTTTTCAGAAAACTTGGCAGGGCCTCCAAATAGATTTGGAAATGAATCTCATTAAAAGATATAGATCACAATAATCTAAGTAGATTTTACTGCTGACACTAGTCCTTTTGTGCCTTTTGTTGATGTTTTGATGTTATTTGGGAAGCTCTTCTAGGATTCAGAGCATCGATCAGCATATAGGTGATTCTAAGTTTTTAACTATGGAAACATATCCCCCCCAAAAAATATCTTCTATATGCCTACTTATATTTGTACAAAGGAACAGTCACTGTAAATGAAGAAATTTCTGTGACAAAAATTTTAACAAAAGAGCCTCTTAATAGTTCACTATTTCTTCACTATCCCCTTAAAGCAAATTGTCATGCAGAGTAGATATGTGGCATGCTTGTCTATTCCAGATAAATTGAAAGGAAGTTTAATGTAGTTTTTGTACCCAAACTTCTTTGAAGTCTTCTATTTTCAGAGAATATGGAAAACTCATGTGGACATTTGGCTCCTTCCTCCAAGGCAGTCCTAGATATACAATATAAATAAAAAGACATTGATGGATCAAAGAACAAAATGTAAAATTATGAACTTTTGGCAAAGAAGAAAGTCATTGTTTCTCCATGTGTGTGAAAATGGGCAGTTCAGATAAGTTCATTGGACATCTTCGATGGGGAATGCTTGGGGGATCTTTTCTCTTCCCTATTTACTAGGTAGGTCAGTGCCTCCTTAAAACTGGAAAGGTAGCTGTGATAGTCAATTTTATATATTAACTTGGCCAGGTCACCGTAACCAGTTATTTAATGAAATCAAACCTACTAGGTGTTGCTATGAAAGTATTTTATACATGTGGTTAAGATCTACAACCTTTTGACATTAAGTGAAGGAGATTATCCTCAATAATGTGGGTGAGGATCATCCAATCAGTTGAAAGCTTTCAGAGGAAAACTTGAGGTTCCCCATTGAAGAAGAAATTTTGCCTCAAGACTGCAGCATTTAACTGCTGCCTATTTTCAGTATATTGGACTGCCTTACAGAATTTTAGCTTGCCAGCCCATACAACCTCATAAGTCTACAACCACATGAGCCATTTCCTTATACTAAATGTCTCTCTGCTTGACCCTTTATATATGAAGATTTATATAGTTTTACATATAGTTTTTATATTTTATATATAGACAAAGGATAGAAAATTCGTTTTATATAATCTTTTATATATATATACAAGATAAAAAACAATCCAAAAAGATTTATCAATATGCACACATACATCTAGATAAATTATAAATTATAGTGAAATTCAAGCAAGAGTATCTAAAATACCATGACATTTCCCAAAGCTTCTAGAGAAAGCTTTTGCCCTAAATGAGCAAGCAACCTATTGACATGAGGAATCACTTACACTGCAGGCAAGAAAACAGTGTTACATCATTTTCAAGGTATTAAGGAAAAATAACTTAAATAAATAAATGCCATAATTTTATACTAGCAAACTAATTTTAAATAAACATATAATATAAAGTTATTTTTAATAACACAAAAAGTCTCAAAAGTTTTACAACAAAAGAAGCTAATCAAAATTATAAATGGAGGAAATAACCAAAAAAGGATTGTGATAAATCTAAGAAGATGCTAATACGTAAATTGTGTGTAAGGGTCAGTAAATAACTTACTGAATTATACTATTATCTAAATGTATAATAAACAAAAATATTCAAAAGAATGCATAACTGAATAAAACAATACCAAATGATGGTTTTGGAGGTTGGAGTACTGAGGGAACAATCAGGAAATGAATATATGCCAGGTATTTTGACAGGAAGGAAATTTTCATTATGTCAAGCAAGTAATAGAGGAAAAGGTTTTAAATTACCTTTATAAATGAGATGTTAAGTGAAGCACAAAAAGTCAAACTTATGCAATTTGCATATGTACAGAAGAATATTGTATCTATTCACTGATTAAAATAAATGTAAATAAGTTAAATTCATTTACCAAAAGAGAAATCCTAAAAATTTGTAAAAACAAGATCCAGCATTATGTAACAACCATGAACACATTTTGAAAGAGGACAGTGGTAGATAAAGAAAGCTTGATAGTAAAGGAATGGAAGAAGATATTCTAAGATAAATAAACCTAAGGAAAGCAAAAGTGTAACTTTGAACACTAGGTGAAATAAAATTTATTTTAATGGAATTGTTTATTATTTATAATTGCTAAAACATCAAAAAGGACCGATAATGTAAGTGGCCACTAAATATAAAACTTTTATAAGTAAACATTGGATAAAATCTTTGTGACCTTGGTGGCACAATTTTCTCGACAGGTCATAAAAATTGCTAGCGATTAAATTTAAAATCTAGAGTATATTAAGAACTTCTGCAATTCAGTTAAAATAATAAATAAATAATTTCAATAAAACAAATAGGCCACATCTTAAATGGACACTTCAAAAGAAAAGATAGAAGAATGGCCAGTAAGATTATGAAATATTGCCCAACATCATTAGCAATCAAGAAAATCAGCTAAAGCTACAATAAGATGCTACATCAAATCCACTAAAATGGCTAAAATTAAAAAGATTGATAACACTGAATGTTAGCAATGATTAGCAGCAACCAGACTCTTAAATGTATGTAAAATATCCTACTATTTTGTAAAACAGTCATTAAACAACTATTATATGACTGGGCAATTCCACTCCTATATATTTACACAATAAATTTTTTTAATATATTAAAAGAAGATTTTAAAAAGATGCTCATAGTAGTTTTATTCATATTGCCCCAAACTGAAAAGAGCTTAAATGTCAATCAATAAGAGAATGAATAAGAAAATTGTGGTGCATTTATTTAATTAATACTGTCTGGCAATAAATGGAACAAATTACTAATATATACAACAATATAGATGATTCTCAAAAATGTATATTGAACAAAAGATGTAAATATAAAAATTAACATACTGTGTAATATATCTTTGTGTGTCTACTACCTCAAGTGACATATTAACAACTTCAGACAGGAGAGGAACAATCTTGTCAGATAGGGAAGGATTGTTTCTGCTGACAAGAAAGGCTGAGTGGAACTTAGACTTCAGATACTGAGAAATACCTGATTACACCAAAGCATCACATATCAATTCTTAGAGTCCCGCTCTTTTCCAACAGATGTCCTAAATTTAAATAAGATATTTTCAGAAGCAATCAATACAACTTATTTTGTAATTTGGCAACCCAAAGAATCAGACTCTTTTCCTGATTTTTTGTATAATAGCATTGTGCCTTCAAGAGATAGATTCTACTAAGAGGCAACATGGATCTCTCATCCTCTGACAATTCATTGAGGAAGAATTTTAGGCTCTAATCTAATCATTTTATTTTTTCTATGAGAGTGCTAAGTAAGTGGAAAAGAGACTAACACACAGTCTTACATTACATGTTACATGATAAGCACTTTATTCTAAGCAACTACGCATAGAACTATAAGTACCTCTTCACAACTATGGACTATGTGCTGGGGCATTGCCTTGTTCTCTGATATTTAATTCTAGGATCTATCTAGAAAGATATTTATTACTTTCAAACCCAACCAGATCAATTTAGCAACTTAGGCCTTCCCTTTTCTTGAGATTCTCTGGCCTTCCATATCTCCGTGTAATATTTAGTCTATCAGTCTGTGTTCTGTACCAAAAAAAGATAATCCCTTCTAGCTAATTTAGGGATTTATTTCAAGGTAGTAATTTAAAGGATTTCTGGAAGGGCTGATGAAACATAACAGAGTGTGAGCTGGTAGGAATGCACCAAAAGCCACCCCACACAATTTTATCTTCAGCTGTTGCTCTAACCCACATCAGGAGGCTGCCTGACAAGTTGGGAAGCCACTTCTATGGTATCCTCTGCTACGATGAATCCTTTCATTACATGAATTAAATTATATATGAGTGCTAAATGACATAAAAAGAACATAGTGTATAACTGCATTGGTTTATAAGAAAGCTTCCCAGTTTGTTCACCTTTTATACTAAGTAATAACATCTGAAGGCACAGTACACTAATATAGTCTATGCAGCAAACACCAATAGTTGTCACTTTCTCCCTAAACATGATATCCGTTCACCGTCACCTTTCTCCTGGGCCCAGTTTTTGAAGCACCCTTGGAGGTATTTAATATGCAGTTTGAACTATATTAGAGTTTGAGTTTCCTATTTGATTATGTCAGATTGGCCAAAACATAGGGGATATGCATTTTATTTCACCCAGAGATAGGAGAGGTTTATGGAAAGCTGAAGACCTGAAGTGAGAACAAAATTATTTGCCTTTTGATTGAATCTTACTGCATACATCTCATTCAACAAACCATTTAAATTCAATGATAGACTTTCCAACTCTTCACTTGTCTCTGATATAATTATACAACTATAGCCATAGCTTCATTATTGGCAAGGTGTACTTGCCCTCATCTTGACACTGAACTTGAGCATGGAATTTCTCTGGCTAATGAGAAGTTAGTGTAAGTTACTTAAGCAGAGTCTCAAAATGTATTTGTGGAGTTCAGTTTGCCTTCTTCAACCCTGGTGATTCACCATGAGAAGAAAATGACCCCAGCAAGCCACTGATCTTCTACGTGGATCACAGAATAAGATGCATGGAGATGGGCACATGCACTGGCTGATTGCTAGACCCAGAAGATTGAGCATCATAAGCAGCATACCTGAATCCAATCTGTAGTCTACAGCTGGAAGCCTGGAGCCTAGATGTTAGAGTACATCCTTGGCCAGCCACAATGTGGTCACCCCATGACCCATGAGTATGAAAATTAATTGCTACTGTTTTAAACCACTGATTTTTAGGGTGACTTGTTACACAGCATTACTGTAGCAATAGCTGACTGATACACATTAATATTTTAATTATATACTTGTATTCCTGTGTGTAATAAATTGTTATGATTCATCTAGCTTACCCAAACTAACATATTCTAGATAAGATGTGGTTGAAAGATGTTAAAACTATTATAGAAGAAATAATTAGAAAATGATAACTTTTATAATTGAAATAAAATATATATTAAGATTTTAGCACACATCTAACAATACATTTTTTAACCTTGCAAAAATCTTTCTTCCTTTTGCAGAATATTTCTTTTTGTTGTTAGTTTAAGGCTAGTTGAAAGCATATTCATAGATGGAGAAAAATCTAAACTAATAGAAGTAGCTCTAGGGAGGAAATTCAATGTTTGCTAGAATGAATTTTATCAAAAATAGTCTAAGTAGAACTCATTAATTACATCAATTATGAAAAATATTTATGAAGTACAAATATGGGTAAATTCCATGTATAAATTAAATTTCAGGTATTATCTCATTTGGTCCCTAGTATAATGTTGAGATATTCTTTTTTAATAATTATTCCTCTTTCACAGATAAGAAGACCAAAGTAAAGTTTCTTGTTGAAAATATTTATAAACAAATTTACTTAGTAACTATTTAAGTAAAATGTGCTTGTAATAAGTTAAATCAATATAATACAAATATGTAAACATTTAGGAATTGATACTATTATGTTCCCTCACCATTTTAAACCAGCTGTTTGGCTGGGCACAGTGGCTCACGCCTGTAATCACAGTACTTTGGGAGGCCGAGGTGGGCAGATCACTAGAGGTCAGGAGTTTGAGACCAGACTGGCCAACATGGTGAAACCCAGTCTCTACTAAAAACACAAAAATTAGCCCAGCGTGGTGGTGTGTGTGTGTGCCTGTAATCCTAGCTACTCCAAAGGCTGAGGCACAAGAATCGCTTGAACCTGGGAGGCAGAGGTTGAAGTGAGCTGAGATTATGCCACTCCACTCCTGCCTGGGCGACAGATCAAGACTCCGTCTAAAAATAAAAATAAAAATAATCCAGCTATTTTAGCCACTTTCCTAAAATCCAATACTCTACATGTGTCAAAGTGATAATGGGTAAAATTTCCAAGGTAATCGGTTAAGTTTCCTTTAAATATTTCCTAGAAAAACACTTCAAAGAATATAATGCTTCACCTTTAAAATGAAGACCAAAAAATCAGGCTATTGAAATTAGTTCCCTCAAAAACATGAGTGCCCCCTAATGTACAGAAAACATATTTTAAGGAAATAAATACTTCTGAAGTCCCTACTCCTCTTTATTGCAAGATAACGTAAGTGATTTAAAGTTACAAAATACACAAAATTAATTAAATTTTGAAATGTATGAGAAAGATGTAAAACCTGAAGGGCAAATGACTGCAAATAGCAAGAGCAGACTAATAGCAAAGAAAAAAAAGAGCAAGTTATGTAGGACTAGCATATTAGGTGTGTGTGATCTAAGAACAGTGAAGTCCTCTGCCTTTGAAATGTGACTACAGCCCTGTCATGCTCTAATACTCCACAGGGCAGCAGAATGATTGGAGTGAATATTAACTCAGACAGTTCTGGGGAGTCTCTATTTAGCAACAGCTGTATGACTAGCACAAACCTAATATTGTAGAACAGGATAGATAGTAAGACACCACATAATCTTTTGGTCATGGGGCACTGTTACATAAATGCATCTGTGTTGTTCATTTGAAGACTGCTAGCAACAGTTTATTAGATTTAAACAAAAGGACTAAAGTCAAAACTACACAATATGCAATTGTAATAATCTTCCCTTACATTCTAGGCAGGTGTGTTAGTGTGAGGCATCAATCCATCTGTTAAAATCACATTTATATTTCACGGTTTGTATTTCCTTGTAAAGAAAGATATCATAATTCTTAGGATCAAAAGTTTGCAGAACTACAGATCTAGGTGAAATTCTCAACTGAGTTACTTAGTACTGATCTGAACTGAGCAAATATCAGCTTTAGAAACAACCATACAGTCTTCAAAGAGTGTTTGGAGATATGTCAACTAATATATATTAAACCATTAAGCCCTTAAGACAGTAATTAAAACATGGTAAGTACTGAGTATATGTCATTTTTTTATTGTCAATATTATTGATCCATTTTCTTATGCTTTTTCTGTTCTCACTTCAAATTTTAGAACACTTAATTTGAAGACACAGTCTAACGTGCTTAGTGAAAATATGAGATAGACAGGAATTATGACAAAAGTTGGGAGAGATGGAATCATTGTAAAAAGAATGTCAGTATGATAGCCACTGAAGTTTTGCTGTGCTCAGAGTTAAGCTGGTGTAGCAGTTTAACAAGTCTAGAAATCAATCAGAGAACACGGCTTGTTCTTCCTGCTGCAGAAAGTAGAAAACTATTACTGTGTTCATGTAGATCAGTGGTCTTACATTCTCTAATATTTTCTAAAATTTCCTACACTGTACCTCCTTATCAGTTCAGGCTGCTGTAACAAAATACCATAGACTGGATGCGTTATACACAACAGAAATTCATTTCTCACAGTTCCGGAGGCTGGAAGTCTAAGATCAGGGAGCCAGCATAGTTAGGTTCTGGTGAGCAACCTCTTCTGGCTTGCAAACTGTGTACCTATTACATCTTTCGACGGTGGGAAGAGGGTGGGAAGAGACCTAGCCAGCTTTCTGGTCTCTTCTTATGAGGGCACCAGTTCCATTCCTAAGGGCCCCACTCTTATGACCTAATTACCTCTCAAAAGCCATCACATTGGGATGAGGTTTTATCATGCAAATTTTGGGGGGAACACAGTCTATTGCACAGCTTAAAATCACATTTATAGGAAATATAATCTAAGAGCCAGGCACGGTGGCTCACTCTTGTAATCCCAGCACTTTGGGAGGCCAAGGCGGGCAGATCACGAGGTCAGGAGATCGAGACCATCCTGGCTAACACAGTGAAACCCCATCTCTACTAAAAATACAAAAAATTAGCTGGTTGTGGTGGCAGGCACCTGTAGTCCCAACTACTCAGGAGGCTGAGGCAGGAGAATGGTGTGAACACAGGAGGTGGAGCTTGCAGTGAGCCGAAATCGCGCCACAGCACTCCAGCCTGGGCGACAGAGTGAGACTCTGTCTCAAAAAAAAAAAAAAAAAAAAGAAAGAAAGAGAGAAAGAAAGAAAATAAAATATAATCTAAAACAAGTCATTAGAATAATTCAAAATCACACATTATTGATGCAAAAATCTTATATTATATTGATTCAAAAGTATCAGTATAGCTCATAACCGAAAGAAAAGAAACAAGATTTATTGCAAATAATTAGCTATTATAAAAGACCTTATGAAGTCATTACATTCCTGCACCTTCTCAAGGTAAGTTTGAACGTAAGAGAAGGAGCTTAATATAACTAGTGCAGGAAAATAAAAAAAGAGACATGTGTCCAGATACTAACATAAAAACTGTATTAAGCTAATTAATAGTTGTCAGTAAGATAGCTAATAACAGTAATAAATAACAGTACAGCCCAGTGTTGTCTAATATGATAACCCCTAGCCTGGTGTGATTATGGAGCATTTAAAATGTGGTCAGTGGTACTGAAAATTGAATTTTTAATGTTATTTATTTTAGTAAAGTTAGATTTATATTAAAAACTAAGAAAATGTACAATATCTCAATAATGTTTACACTGATTAATTATAGGTTTGAATTACAGTTAGGAGATGCACTGTGTTAAATATAGTATATAATTAAAATTATTTTTTTCTGTTTTTTTCCGCTTTTTGTAATGTGGCCACTAAAACATTTCAAATGATAAATGTGACTTACATTTGTATCTCCATAGCACAGTGTTGCTCTTGTCAAAGTGAGCGCTAGACCTCTGAGCATATAGCAGGATAAAATTGATTAATGATAAATTATCTCTCTAATTTGTTGAAACAATTATGTGTTGAAACAAAATATGTGATTTTTATAACTGAGACATATTATTTCAATATGTGATTTCTGCAACCTAGATTTATGCATGTTACAAAAAATTAAATTGCATACATATGGGTGTGCATATACATATATATATAAGATTTTAAAACAATCTTTATTCATTAAATTCAGTGAGAATTCTGAATTTTATGTGTTCTATTGAAGTTGCTTAAAGTGTATTAAAAGGAATCTCATGTTTCCTCTGCTACACAGACCCATCAGTAATCTTGCTTTTGCCAGAATTAAATTGTAACCCTGACAGCCTTTCACCAAACATGTTCTTGGAAATTCCAGAGCAATTTAACTTTCTTCTTTCCAAAGAAATGTATATAAGACATCAAACACCTTGCATAATTAGATTGATTAAAGTGTACTTTGGTCCCTGAAAACATTGATTTTCAGCTCAATTAAATTTTTCAGAAAATTTTTGGCTAACAATGTTCTTCCTCTATTTCAAATAAATTAATTACTCAGTCCAGTTTTGTAAATTAAACTAAAATTTAAAAAAACTAATCATGTTCTCATTTTAGCAGCCATTCAAAAAAAGCAATCTACTTGGATTTATCTAACTTCTGCAAAAATAAAAGCTGTAAAAATGTTTGATGCTCAGGCTACTTTTAAATAATATATGTTTGCTTAAATATCTCATGACAATTCTGGTTACTATAAGATTGATCTTATTTTCTAGCAGCTTATAAAGGATATCATTTAACTATACAAATATATAAAGATATCTGAAAGATGTATCATATCATTTTGTGATATTTGAATTATGATGCTTAATTTTTCATTTAATGAATCAAAAATTTTTTAATAATTTTATATAATTAAAAATTAAATATACATTAAAAACTCATCTGAATTCCAATTTCAAATGAATGCAATTACCATTGCATAGTTTATTTTTTATTTTGTTGGTAACACTGTGATATGCTTTGGCTGTGTCCCCACCCAAATTTTATCTTGAATTGTAGTTCCCATAATCCCCATGTGTTCTGGGAAGGGACCCAGTGGGAAGTAATTGGATCATGGGGGCGGAGGTAGGAAGATGTGGGGAAATTTGGAACTTCCTAGAGACTTGTTGAATGACTTTGGCCAAAATATTGATAGTGATATGGACAATGAAGTCCAGGCTGAGGTGGTCTCAGATGGAGTTGAGGAACTTGTTGGGAACTAAAGCATAGGTGATTTTTGCTATGCTTTATCAAAGAGACTGGCAGCATTTTGCCCCTGTCCTAGAGATCTGTGGAACTTTGAATTTGAGAGAGATGATTTAGGGTATCTAGCAGAAAAAGTTTATACGTGGCAAAACATTCAAGAGGAAGCAGAGCATAAAAATTTGGAAAATTTGCAGCCCGATGATGCAATAGAAAAGAAAAACCCATTTTCTGGGGAGAAAGACAAGCCTACTGCAGAAATTTGCATAAGCAACATGAAGCTGAATGTTTACAACCAAGATAATGGGAAAATGTCTCCAGGGCATGTCAGAGACCTTCGTGGCAGCCCCTCCCGTCACAGACCTGGAGGTCTAGGAGAAAAAAGTGGTTTAATGGGCCAGTCCCAGAGCCCCCCACACCCTTTGCTGTGTGCAGCCTTGGGACCTGGTGCCCTGCATCTCAGCTGCTCCATCCATGGCTAAGAGGAACCAAGATACAGTTCAGGCCATGGCTTCAGAGGGGGCAAGTCCAAAGCCTTGGCAGCTTCCAGGTGGTATTGAGCCTGCAGGTGCACAGAAGTTAAGAATTGAGCTTTGGGAACCTCCACCTAGATTTCAGAAGATGTGTGGAAACACCTTGGTGTCCAGGCAGAAGTTTGCTGCAGGATGGACCCCTCATGGAGAACCTCTGCTAGGGCAGTGCAGAAGGGAAATGTGGGGTTGGAGCCCCCACACAGAGTCCCCACTGGGGCACTGCCTAGTGGAGCTGTGAGAAGAGGGCCACCATCCTCCAGACCCCAGAATGGTAGAACCACTGACAGCTTGCACCATGCAACTGGAAAAGCTGCAGACATTCAATATCAGCCTGTGCAAGCAGACAGAGGGGCCTGTGCCCTGCAAATCCACAGGGGCAGAACTTCCCAAGGCCGCAGAAACCCACATCTTGCATCAGCATGCCCTGGATGTGAGACATGGAGTCAAAGGAGATCATTTTGGAAACTTAAGGTTTAATGACTGCCCTATTGGATTTTGAACTTCATGGGGCTTATAGCCCGTTTGTTTTGGCCAATTTCTCCTATTTGGAATGGCTGTATTTACCCAATGCCTGTAACCCCATTGTATCTAGGAAGTAAGTAACCTGCTTGTGACTTTACAGGCTTATAGGCAGAAGGGACTTGCTTGTCTCGGGTGAGACTTTGGACTTGGACTTTTGAGTTAGTGCTGGAATGAGTTAAGACTTTGGGAGACTGTTGGAGCGGCATTATTGTGTTTTGAAATGTGAGGACATGAGATTTGGGAGGAGGCTAGGGCAGAATAATATGGTTTTGCTGTGTCCCCACCCAAATCTTATCTTGAATCATATAATAGTTCCCATTAATCCCCATGTATCATGGGAGGGACCCAGTGGGAGGTAATTGAAACATGGGGGCTGTTCTCATGACAGTGAGTGAGTTATCATGAGATCTGGTGGTTTTATAAGGGGCTTTTCCCTCCCTTTACTGCATACTTCTTGCTGCCACCATGTGAAGAAGGGCATGTTTGCTTTCTCGTCCACCATGATTGTGAGTTTCCTGAAGACTGACTTCCCAGCCCTGCAGAACTGGGAGTCAATTAAACCTCTTTCCTTTGTAAATTACCCAGGCTCAGGTGTTTCTTTGTAATGGCCTGAGAATGGACAAATACACTGAATGCAACATTCATTGATTTTGAAGCATCCCTTTAACATCCTTAATGCTTTCATATTGTCACTTAATAATGCAGTGAATTACTAAAGTACCTAGAGCTATTGAAGTTGACTCTAAATCCACTTTGTTGACCCATCATTGCTGATAGCCAGGTAGTGGTCTTTGAAAGTGAATATGTTTTTCTATGAGATATTTTTTAAGGGATTTGCAAATTGACAATCTCTTTGTATCTATTCTCAGTACTTTTGAAAGTAACATTTTTTCATGTTATTTAATCTTTATGAAACTTATTTATAAGCAGCATTGAATCATTTTCATATAGGATACTTTCATCTGTTGTATGAAAATGTGCTTAGCTGCAGTTCATTGCACATTTTCATAGAAGTGTCAATGATCTTTGACATTTTTCACAATTTCCTCAAGCCTTCTTAATACAATATCATTGCTTAGTGAAATACAAATTTTTTTATTTGGATTTCTTTCTAACATAAAATAACAATGTTTCATACAGCTGGAAATATTAATATTCTTTAATATTTTGGCCTTATGTATCTTATAATGCATTGTGCTATCCTGTAAGAAATAATGAGACCTTTATTTCTCCAATTAGGACGTATTTAAAACAGTTTGGTGACAGTAATACAGTTTTCAAACTTTTCTCATAAATTTCAGAAACATGATACTATATCCTTGCTAATTTAATCAGTGTGCTCCTTAGAAAAATTTACATTCAATCTTGTAGTTTTATTGTTGCATTTAAAAATCTGTTGCTCTGTGGTGGCTCATGCTTATAATCTTAGCACTGTGGGAGGCTGAGGTGGGAGGATCGGTTGAGGCCAGAAGTTCAAGATCAGCGTGGTGAAACCTCCTCTCCACAAAAAATGAAAAAAAAATCTGAGTGTGGTGGTGTGCAACTGTAGTGCAGCTACTCAGGAGGCTGAGGTGGCAGATGGCTTGAGTCCAGGAAGTGGAGGCTGCACTGAGCCATGATCATGCCACTGGATTCCAGCTGGGGAGACAGAGTGAGATCCTGTCTCAAAATTAAAAGTGTTGGCAGACTAGTCATATGATAAATGGTTCAATTATTAGATAAGCTATAAAACTATGTTAAATAACCAGCTAAATATAATTGATACCTTTTCTTTGTATTTGACATTTTAAAATATTTTTAAATTTATATTTAAAATTTTCATAAATATATTATAAATGCAAACATACACAGGTATGTTACATTGATAACTCAAATATCATTCGCAACTTTGACATTGTAATATCATTTTCCAAAATAGGCAACAACTTTTGGTAAAAGTTGAGCAAAACAGTAGAAAACGTTCCCTTGATTTATAGATGAATTCCAGGAAAATTCAATGTATATTACAACCACTAAAAATATTTTGGTTATATGTATAATGGAGTTAGATTCTAGGCTCAGATGATTTTAAATGGCAATGAGGAAAATTCAAAATTTGTGCAGCATTGGAGAATTTTGTTTGTTTTGCAGGACAGCTCCATGGTTTATAAAATGTCTAATATTCTTGGTCTTCATCTACTAATGCAGCAACATCCCCTAATATTTTAGCAATAATCAAAGAAATGCCTCCAATAAATTTCTAAACACCCTGAATGGTTGTGGCTCTGTTATCAAGGAGAGCAGACTCGTTATAAAATAGTGAATTCTGTTATCCATGGGAAACCCATTGCAGACTTGTGCCACATTTCCCTCTCATCTGCTATTCTGTGTCCTTTTATATTAAATCAGTAATCTTAGTTATATCATAATCTCCTTCATAAAAGCAGCTATTATTAAAAACTTAACCTTTGCAAGAGACTTTTGGGTTCATCACAGAAAGATGATATTAGGGGGCTTTTTAACAAGTTCACAAGAATTAATTTTTTTTAATATTTCTGACATGAAATTTCTGTTTCTGTATGCTAGACACATAGTTTTACATTAAACATATAATATACAGATTCATCTTTACATATCCTTTATATAAATATAGTCATTTAGTAAATGTTGTAGTGACTACAATATATATTTTAAATGAAAAAATAACATAGCTTTGCCCTCTGAAACACAAATGAAAGTGATCATTGACTTGCTTTTGCATACAATATTTGTGTCTTTATTTCAAACGAAGGAAGGACTTCGTGTGCATTTAATATTATCAAAACATTAAAATACACATTTAATCCTCACAACAATCCCAAGAAGCTATTAAAGATGAAGAAACAAATATCAGATTAAATGACATTGTCAAAGTCATAGTGAAAGTCAAGTTTGGTTAAGCCTTTCTACTCTACCACCCTGCCTTCCATCTCAGCTTGTCTGTGCATGGAGTGTTCCAAACTTTTCCTTTTAAAAGGCCCCCTTGTTAATGATAAATAAATATCATAATGACCCGGAATATAAAAATAATTTTGGAAGTATGTTTTAATGCATCTAGTTTTTGTTTGTTTGTTTTGATACTTTGCCTCCTTATTGTCGTTATACTCAACTTATTCTGTTCATTTTTAAGGCTATTGAAGCATCTTGCTATTTTTAATTATGTGCTGTTCAATGTAATGAGCATTTTGGTTATTGAATAAGTGTTAAATGCATACTTCCCCTAAAATATGTTTGCTATAGTCTGTAGACTAATAACATGGATTTTGGAAATAAACAAGCCAATGCTACTGTGTTTCATATCTACACTGAAAGTACTGAATTTCCTTAAACAGGTAAATTTAAAAGTTGTACTTGTATGTGAGGATTTTAAGAATATTGCTAGTTTTATAATTAGAACTGTGAGAAAATCCATTTCAGAAACCTCATCAGAACTATCAGTGTGAATAAATCTATTTACTTCTTTTCAGACTCTTACTCCTCTGTATTTTTATTTTTCTAAGACGCTTTGTATAGTCACAATTTCTTTGGAATACCCATAAATCATCTATTCCCCTAATATTAGTCTCATTGAAAAGCAGTATTTATGATGGGATGATTGGAAAACTATTTATCATCTCTCTATGGTCACTCAGGCTTTGATCCCAGTCTTACTTGTATCTGCATTTCTTCTCACTTTTAAAGAGACAGTTTCAGCCCAGCCAGGTTATTCATTAGTCTTTGATATAAACTTAGGTTTTTAAGCACTTGTTCCTGTGAAGACTTATGTAGTTTCTCTTGCAGTTTTACGTTGTTAATTGGGACAGTCAGCTATTCTCACAGCTTCGTTTCTAATCATCTCCCATTGAATTTCCCACCACAGACTAATTTTCCAGAGTTGGAAAATAATAAGCACATTCTCTCTTTGATTCTGATGTCAGTTTCCCAGTACCTGAAATACTCTACATTATTTTCCTAGGCAACTTTTTTTTTCCTTTAAAAAACTAGACCTAGCCAGGTACAGTGGTTCATACCTGTAATCCCTGAAATTTGGGAGGTGAAGACTGGAGGATCACTTGAGCCAGGTAGTTTGAGACCAGCCTAGGCAACAAAGTGAGATCCCTGTCTCTACAAAAAAATGTAAAACATGGCCAGGTGTGGCAGCACACACCTGTAGTTCCAGCTACACAGGAGGCTGACGCAGGAGGATTGCTTGAGCTCAGGAGGTGAGGACTGCAGTAAGTCAAGATCGAGCCACTGCACTCTAACCTGCAACAGAGTGAGACCCTGTTTCAGAAAAAAAGAAAACTGGAACTAGACTCATGGGCAGTAGGGCAAGGTGAAGGAGAAAGTGAAATATTTTCTTCCTAGGCATACTGAGCTAAATATCTGCTGTTGGTATGAGTTTAAGATTGTCTGCAAAACACCTGGTTATCTTCATTATGATGCTCTCTCTTTTTGTGTTTTCTTCTCCACAAACAATACTTTCTAGTGTCACAAACCCACAGTATAAATAAATGTAGAAATATTAAATGGGAAAGCTGCATAAAAGTGTCCCTCTTCTTCATTCTTATTATTGATATGTTCTAAATTTCTATTTATATATGTGAACATTATAGGAACAAATCGTTGCTTTTTGTCGATTCTTCACATCCACAAGGTTCTTTCACTCATGGATACCCCCATAAATGTTTGATTTTTTTTAAGAAATTAACTTGTAGAACCACTACTGATAAAACTTGAGAACAGCTGATATTAGTTTCCACCTTAAAATAAATACATACTTATAAATTTAAGGTTGTTTATATATTTAATTTTACTGGATGCTGTGGTGAAAAAAGAAAAGTGATAAATAGAAACTGCAGGAAAAAAGCAATACCTATAATTGTTAGAGATGAGAGAATTAATTAATTTGAAAGTGAAATTGCACTGCCTTATTTTGACCAAAATGGAAAGAAAATAGCGTGGCTAAAATGGAGAGAATGAGAAGATAATCAGATCACTGACCTTAGAAATAAAGTACACTATCCAATTCTCTAGGGATATGCATTCTCATGCAATTAAGATATATAGTGGAGACTAAATAGAAATTTTGAGAATTAAAATGATATTTTAAATGAAAATCTAATGTAAGGAAACTAAAAGAAAGAATCCAGAAATAACAAGTCATGCACATCGTACAAAAGAAAGGAATTCTTTAAAAAATTAATAAAACAACTTCAAATACTAATTCACTTTATATTTATAAACATGTATATTAGGATACTTGTTTTCATATAATCGAACATGACCTAAAATAATTTTAAAACAGTTTATGCTGTAAACAAATAGCTGCTCATAAGAGAATCCTCATAGGAAAACAAACATTCCAGAATGGAGCCTCCTTAAAAATATATTTTATAAAATCATTTCCAATTTCTATATTCAAGTTCCCTGTAGTTTTCATTAATTTCTATGGAGCAGAAATACATTTGCTTGTAAATGTATGCCTTATTACAATGACTTATAGTGTAAGGTGCTTAAACAAGCAAACATATACGACATATTTGAAATGTTTAATCTCACTAAAAAAGTTTTAAAACTCAATTTTATTAATAATAATTATAAAGATTTACATGTTTACTATCAGAAATAAACAAATACATGTGCATTAAAACAATGGGGCTGGAGCAGAGGAGCAAGATGGTTGAACATAAGCCTCCACTGACCATTCCATCTGCAGAAACACCCATTTTAACAACTATCTACACACACACAAAAAAAAACACCTTTATAAGAACCCAAGCTCAGGTGAGCCCTTAGTATCTGTTTCTAACTTTATATTTCCTAAAACGAGGCATTGAAAAGGTAGGAAGACAGTCTTGAATTGCCAACACCACCCTTTCCCCCATCACCTAGTAGCAGCAGGTGGTGCAGATAGAGAATTTGTGTGTTTGGGTGAGGGACAGCACAGCAATTGTTGAACTTTGCATTGAACTCAATGCTGACCTGTCATAGTGTAAAGAAAAACTGGGCAGAACTCAGCTGATGCAAGACCATAGAGGGAGCAATTAGACCAGCCCTAGCCAGATGGAAATTGCTCATCCCAGTGATCAGATCTTGAGTTCTGGCAAGCCGGATCAGTGGGGGTTAAAGGCCTCTGGGTTCCTAAATAAACTTGAAGGGCAGTCTAGGCCACAATGACTACAATTCTTAGGCAAATCAGAGTGCTGTGTTGGCCTCAAGTCCAGTGTACATAAGGGACATGTGACTTAGTGAAACATGAGCTGGGGTGAATAAGGGAGTGCTTGTGCCACCCATTCCCCAACCCCAGGAAGCACAGCTTGTAGCCCTAAAAGTGACCCCTTCCTTCCATTTGAGGAAAGGAGAGGGAAGAATAAAGAGGATTTGTCTTGCATCTTGGATACCAGCTCAGCCACAGCAGGATAGGGCACTGGACAGAGTTGTGAGGGTCTCATTCTAGGCCCTAGCTTCTGGACAACTTTTCTAGACACACCTGGGCCAGAAAAGAACCCACTTCCTATAAAGGAAGAACAAAATATTGGAAGATTTCATTTGCCACTCACTAAAGAGCACCTGGGCCCTGAATAACCAGCAGCAATACCCAGGTAGCATTCATCATGGGCCTTATATGAGACTCTAGATTGTGATGGCTTCGGATACTAGCTCAACCACAGTTGGGTAGAGCACCAAGTGGGCTCTTAGGGTCCCCAATTCCAAGCACTGGTTCTTGGATGGCAATTCTGGACCCACTAGGCCAAAAGGGAGCTTGCTACCCAAAAAGTGAGTCTCAGGCCTGGCAGCATTAACCACAAACTACAGAAGCACCCTTGGACCTTAAGTGAACACAAGAGGTCACCTGGAAGTACTCTATGTAGGCCTGTGATGGGGCTAGCCACAGGAGAGGCTCCTCTGCCTGTGGAAAAGGGAGAGAAGAGTGGGAAGGATATTTTTCTCATGGTGTGATGGCCAGGTTAGCAGCAGTAGAATAGAGAGAGCGTCTGGTAGAGTTTTAAGGTTTGTGACTCCAGTCCCTGGTTCTTGGACAGCATACCTGGATCCACCTGGGGCCTGAGAGAACTTGCCAACCTGAAGGGAAAGACACAAGCGTGATTGAATTCACCACCTGTTAATTGTAGAGCCCTATGGCCTTGAGCAAACATAAGCAATAGCCAAGTAGTAGTTACAGTGGGCCTTGGGTGAGACCCAGTGCTGTGCTGACATCAGGTCTGACTCAGCACAGTCCACATAGTGGTGGTCACAGGTTTACTTAAGTCACCCCACACCCAGCCCCAGGCAGCTCAGCACACACAGAGATATATACTCCATTTATTTGGGAGAAGGTAAGGGAAGAGAACAAAAGTCTCTGTCTGGTAATCAAGGAATTCTTCTGGATATTATCCAACATCACCAAGGCAGTACATCTATGAATATGCAAGAACCACAGTGGTACTGAACTTAGTGTGCCCCCTAATGCAGATATGGCTTAGATCAGAATGCCCACATCCCTTCAAATACCTGAAAAGCCTTCCCAAGAAGAGCAAGTACATCCAGCCCAGATTGTGAAGACTACAATAAATACCTAACTCTTCAATGCTCAGATACCAGTGAACAGCCATGAGCATCAGGTTGCTCCAGGAAAACATAACCTTACCAAATGAAATAAATAAGGCATCAAAGACCAGTCCCAGAGAAGCAGCTATATATGACCTTTCAGAACAAGAAATCACAATAGGTGTTTTGAGAAAACTCAAAGAAATTCAAGATAACACAGAGAGGGAATTCAGAATCCTATTAGATAAATTTTAAAAAGTGAATAAAATAATTAAAAAGATCAAGCAGAAATTCTGGAGTTCAAAAATGCAAGTGACATACTAAAGAATATATGAGTCTCTTAATAGCAGAATTGATCAAGAAGAAGGAAGAATTAGAGAGCTTGAAGACAGACTATTTGAAAATACACACTCAGAAGAGACAAAAGAAAAAAGAATAAAAACAATGAAGCATACTTACAGGATTTAGCAAATAGCCTTAAAAGGGCAAATCTAAGTTACTGGCCTTAAATAAGAGTTACAGAGAGAAATAGAAGTAGAAAGTTCATTCAAAGGGATAATAACAGAGAATATCCCAAACTTAGAGGAAGAAGTCATCATTCAAGTACAAGAAAGTTATAGAATAATAAGCAGATTTAACTCAAAGGGGACTACCTCAAGGCATTTAATAATTAATCTCCCAAAGGTCAATGATAAAGAAAAAAATTGTAAAAGGAAGAGAAAGAAACAGATAACATACAATGGAGCTCCAACATGTCTGGCAGCAGACTTCTCAGTGGAAACCTTATAGGGCAGAAGAGAGTAGCATGACATATTTTAAGTGCTGAAGGAAAAACAAAACACACTGTTACCTTTTACCATAAAAGAGTATACCCACTGAAAATATCCTTCAAACATGATAAAGAAATAAAGATTTTCACAAACAAACAAAAGCTGAGGCATTTCATCAACAGCAGACCTGCCCCAAAAGAAATGCTAAAGAGATTTCTGCAATCATAAAGAAAAAGGATGTTAACGATCAATAATATACCATCTGAAGGTACAAAACTCACTAGCATTAGTAAGTACACAAAAACCCACAAAATATTATAATACTCTAATTGTTGTGTGTAAATTACTTTTAAGTAGAAAGGTTAAAAGATGAACCAATCAAAAATAATAACTACAGCAACTTTTCAAGACATATACAGTACAATAAGATAAAAATAGAAACAATAAAAAGTTAAAGAGTGGGGAGACAAAGTTATAGTGTAGAGTTTTTATGAGTTTTTATTTTGCCTGTTTGTTTGCTTAGACAAGCAGCGTTAAGTTGTTATTAGCTTAAAATAATAAGTTATAATATAGTATTGCAAGCCTCATGGTAACTTCAAATAAAAAAAACACAATGGATACATACAGAGAAAAAAGCAAGAAATTAAGTCATACCAGCAGAGAAAATCACCTTCACTAAAAGGAAGACATGAAGGAAGAAAAGAAGAAAGAGAAGACCACAAAACAACCAGAAAACAAATGATAAAATGGCAACAGCAAGTCCTTACTTACCAATAATATCATGGAATTAAAATGGACTAAACTCTGCAATCAAAGACATAGAGTGGCTGAGTGGATGAAAAAATGAGACCCCAATGATCTGCTGCCTACAAGTAACACAATTCACCTATAAAGACACATATAACTGAAACTAAAAAATAAATAAATAAATAAATAAAACAGAAAAAGATATTCCATGACAAGGGAGCCAAAGAAGAGCAGAAGTAGCTTATACTTATATAATAAAAAAGGATTTCAAGGCAAAAACTATACGAAGAGATAAACAAGGTCACTATCTAATGATAAAGTGATCAGTTAAACAAGAGGATGTAACTATTGCAAATTTACACGCACCCAACACTGGAGCACCCAGATATAAAAAGTAAATTTTATTAGAACTAAAGAGAGAGATAGATCCCAATATAATAATAGCTGGAGACATAGCAACCCACTTTCAGGATTGACCCAATCTTCTAGACAGATAACAAGGAACCATCAGATTTTATTGGCACTATAGACGAAATAGACCTAAGAGATATTTACAGAACATTTTATCCAATGGATACAGAGTACACATTCTTCTCCTTAGCACATTGATCTTTCTCAAGGATAGACCATATATTATTTTGTACATATAGTGCACAAAACAAGTCTTAAAACATTCAAAAAACAGAAAAAATATCAAGCGTCTTTTCTGATCACAATGCAATAAAACTACAAATCAATAACAAGGGCATTTTGGAAGCTCTGCAAACATACCTCAATATGCTGCTGAAGTAATAGTGGGTCAATTAAGATGGTAATTTAAAATTGTCTTGAAATGACAATGGAAACACAATATACCAAAACCTATGGGAAACAGCAAAAGTAGTACTGAGAGGAAAATTTATAGCTATAAGTGCCTACATTAAAAAGTAGAAAAACTTCAAATAAATAACCTAACAATGCATCTTAAAGAACTGGAGAAGCAAGAACAAACTAAAGCCAAAATTCGTAGAAGAAAAAAAATAATAAATATCAGAGCAGAAACCCTCTGTTGCTGACCTCCACCTGTGGTCCTTCCTTTACAATGGCAATGAAAGTTTTTCTTTTGTTCTTTCAGCCCCAGAACAGTGTGTGGAGGCTCACATTGTGAACATTTACTCCTAGAACTACCATAGCAACATACCAGGAAAACTGAAATAATTTTCAGTTTGAAATAAACAGCTTTGCTGCTGCAAACTTTGTTAGACAGCCAAAAAACTGAATGCCCAAAGTGTGAGAGGGGGAAACTTCCCCTCTGAACACACATCCTCACTGGGGAACCTGAAAATCCAAATCATGGGAGAAGGATTTAACCTTACCCAGAGCTGAAATGAATTTAGAGAGCTAACCAAAGTATGAAAGTAGAAGAACAGCAGGAAGAGCCCGATAGGCACTCCCAGTCCCCACTGGGAAGCCATTTTTTACTTTATCTCACAGGGGTACTAGGGGAGGGCTGCCGGTGGACTTGGGGAAGGATGAAAGGGAGAAGGAAACTTTCAGCTGAACTTTGTAATAATTTTGCCCAAGAGTAAATTTTCCTGGGCAGAATCTGGGGTTAGGTAGCAGGGGGGTGAATAGGAAGTACAGAAAAGAGCACAGAAGCCATGGCAGGGTGGAAGGGGTGAGTCCTGAAAGCCCTGCTTGCTTTCTCAGTGAGAAGGCATGTAGACTGGAGCAAGATCTCAGCCAGATACCTGGATATAAACTCAGTGCTGTTGATGAAGCATGGAGGGAGTGAGACTGACCTTGCTGGTGGCATGGGAGCTGGGTAAGACCTGTCATTGCTGGTGTTACCCCCACTTCCCTGGTGACCTGTATGATGCAGCAGAGGTGGACATAATCCCCCTGGGAACATAACCCCATTGGCCTGAGAACCACACCTCCATCTCTCACAGCAGCTGCAAGAAGCCGCACCCATGAAGAGTCTGAGCTCAGACACATCTAACCCTGCTCCTAGTGGACTTTCTCTACCCACCCTGGTAGCCAATGACAAAAGACATAATCTCTTGGGAGTTCTATGGCTCTTCCCATAGCCTGAGAAACCAAAATGCCTATCCAAGTGACCCTATGGCAAGCTTGTATCCGCGCTATACTACTGCAGCTGATGCTGTCTTGAAAGCACCACCTCCTGGCTGGAGGCTAACCAACTCAAGCCATTACAGCAATTCATAAAAGAATGACCCTGCTCCAAGAAAGGAGAAAACAACAGCTAATTCTACCACCTGTAATATCCTGACTAACCGGAGGTCTTGAGTCTGTCCATGTGACAACTTCACTGCCTGCACAACTAGCGTTTGAGAAAACCAGCATACTAAACAAAGCTAAAACCAAGGACCTTCACAGAGTCCAAATCACTCCCCTGCTACCTCCACTGCAGAAGGAGGCTGTATCCACAGCTGAGAGACCTGAAGACAAATCACATCACAGGACACTTTGTAGACACTCCCCAGTACCAGCCCAGGGCCTGATGGCTCCACGGGGTGGCTAGACTCAGAAAAGCAATAAAAATCACTGCAGTCTAGCTCTCAGGAAGCCCCATCTCTAGGGGAAGGAGGAGAGCACCACATCAAGGGATCACCCTTTGGGACAAAAGAATCTGGACAGCAGCCCCTGAATCCTAGATCTTTCCTCTGACATAGTGTGCTCAAATGAGAAGAAACCAGAAAAACAATTCTGGTAATATAACAAAGCAAGATTCTTTAACACCCCTAAAAGATCACACTAGATAACCAGCAATAGATCCAAACTGAAAAGAAATCTCTGATTTGCCAGAAAAAAAAGAATTCAGAAGGTTGATTATTGAGCTACTTAAGGAGGCACCAGAGAAAGGTGAAAACCAAGTTAAAGGAATTTTAAAAATAATACAGGATATAGATGAAAAAAATCTCCAGAGAAATAGATACCATAAATTAAAAATAATCACAACTTCTGGAAATGAAAGACACACTAAGAGACATGCAAAATACACTGGAAAGTTTCAACAATAGAATCAAACAAATAAAAGAAAGAACTTCAGAGCTTGAAAACAAGGCTTTAGAATCAACCCAATCCAATGAAGACAAAGAAAAAAAGAATTTAAAAAATGAGTAAAGCCTCCAATAGTTGTGATTATATTAAATGACCAAACCTAAGAATAATTTGTGTTCCTGAAGTAAAAGAGAAATCTAAAAGTTTGGAAAACTTATTTGAGAAAATAATCAAGGAAAACTTCCCTGGCCTTGCTAGAGACCTAGACATCCAAATACAAGAAGCACAAAGAACACCTGGGAAATTCATTGCAAAAAGAACACTGCCTAGGCACATAGTCATCAGGTTATCTAAAGTCAACATGAAGAATCTTAAGAGATGTGAAGCAAAAGAGTCAGGTAACCTATAAAGGAAAATCTATCAGATTAACAGCAGTATTCTCAGCAGAAACCCTGCAAGCTAGAAGTAACTGGGTCCTGTCTTTAGCCCCCTTAAACAAAACAATTATCAGCTGAGAATTCTGTATCTAGATTCCTTAAACAAGACAATTATCAGCCAAAAATTTTGTATCTAGCAAAACTACACTTCATACATGGAGAGATAAAGTCCTTTTCAGACAAACAAATGCTGAGAGAATTCTCCACTACCAAGCCAGCACTACAAGAACTTCTAAAAGGAGTTCTAAATCTTGAAACAAAACCTCTAAATACACCAGAATAGAACCTCCTTAAAGCATAAATCTCACAGGGCCTATAAAACAATAACACGATGAAGAAAATAACGAAGTCTTCCCACAACAGCTAGCAGGATGAATACAATAGTACCTCACATCTCAATACTAACATTGAATGTAAATGAGCTAAATGCTCTACTTACAAGATACAGAGTGGCAGATTGGATAAGAATTCACCAACCAAGTATCTGCTGTCTTCAAGAGACTCACTTAACACATAAGGACCCACATAAACTGAAGGTTAAAAGGCAGAAAAAGATATTCCATGCAAATGGACACCGAAAATGAGTAGGAGTAGCTATTCTTATATCAGATAAAACAAACTTTAAGGCAACAACAGTTAAAAAAGACAAAGAGGGACATTATATAGTGAATGATAAAAGGACTAGTCCAACAGGAAAACATCACAATCCTAAATATATATTGTAACACTGGAGCTCCCAAATTTATAAAACAATTAATATTAGATATAAGAAATGAGATAGATAGCAACACAATAATAGTGGGG
Source organism: Homo sapiens (assembly GCF_000001405.40). Classification (NCBI taxonomy): domain Eukaryota; kingdom Metazoa; phylum Chordata; class Mammalia; order Primates; family Hominidae; genus Homo; species Homo sapiens. The sequence goes on along the minus strand of NC_000014.9, from coordinate 47,815,261 downwards.
GAATTCAATACCCCATTGACAGCACTAGACAATCATCAGGACAGAAAGTCAACAAAGAAACAATGGACTTAAACGATACCCTAGAAAAGAATGGATGTTAACAGACATTTACAGAACATTCTACTTAACAACTGCAGAACATACATTATATTCATCAGCACATGGAACATTCTCCAAGATAGATCATATGATAGGCCACAAAACAAGTCTCAATAAGTTTAAGAAAATCAAAATTATCTTGAGTATTCTCTCAGACAGCAGTGCAATAATATTGTAAATCAATTCCAAATGGAATCCTCAAAATTATGTAAATATATAAAATTAAATAATCCACTCCTGAAAGATTGTTGGTCGATAATGAAATCAAGATGGAAATTTAAAAAAATCTTTGAACTGAATGACAATAGTAATATAACCTATCAAAAACTCTGGGATACAGCAAAAGCAGTGCTAAGAGAAAAGTTCATAGCATTAATCGCTTATGTCAAAAAGTCTGAAACAGCACAAATAGACAATTAAGGTCACATCTCAAGGAACTAGAGAAACAGGAACAAACCCAACAGAAGAAAGGAAATAACAATGATCAGAGAAGGACTAAATGAAATGCAAACAAAAAATACAAAAGATAAACGAAGCAAAATGCTGATTCTTTAAAAAGATAGATAAAATTGGTAAGCCATTAGTGAGGTTAACCAAGAAAAGAAGACAGAAGATTCAAATAAGCTCAATTAGAAATGAAATAAAAGATATTACAACCAATACCACAGAAATACAAAAGATCATTCAAGGATACTATGAACCCCTTTATATGCACAAACTAAAAAACCTAGAGGAGATGGATAAATTCCTGAAAATACACAACCCTCCTAGATTAAATCAGTAAGAAATAGAAACTCTGAATAGACCAATAACAAGCAGTGAGTTTGAAGTGGTAATAAAATAATTTCCAACCAAAAAATGTCCAAGACCAGATGGATTCACAGCTGAATTATATTAGACATTCAAAGAAGAATTGGTACCAATCTTGTTGAAAGTATTAGATAAGATTCCATAAGATAGAGAAAGAGGGAATTTTAACCAAATTATTTTATGAAGCCAGTACCACCCTAACACCAAAACCAGGAAAGGACATAACAAAAAAAGGAAACTACAGACCAATATCCCTGATGAATACAGATGCAAAAATCCTCAACAAAATCCTAGCTAACTGAGTCCGACAACATATACAAAAGATAAGCCACCACGATCAAGTGGGTTTCATGCTATGAATGCAAGGATAGTTTAACATATGCAAGTCAATAAATGTGATACACCACATAAACAGAATTTAAAATAAAAATCACATAATTATCTCAATAAATGCAGAAAAAGCATTTGACAAAATCCAGCATCACTTTATGGTTAAAACCATCAATAAAATCTACCTAGAAGGGGTATAGTTTAAGGTAATAATAGCTATCTGTGAAAAACCCACAGCCAACATTATACTGAAGGGGAAAATTTGAAAGAATTCCCACTGAGAACTGAAACAAGACAAGGATGCCCAACGTCACCACTTCTTTTCAACATAGTACTGGAAGCAATAACCAGACCAATAAGACGAGAAAAAAAGAAAGGTCGTTCAAATCAGTCAATAACAAGACAAACTGTTGCTGTTTACCCATGATATGAGTGTATGCCTAGAAAACTCCAAATACTCATCAAAAAAGCTCCTAGATCTCGTAGATGAATTCAGTAAAGTTTTAGGACACAAAATCAATCTACACAGATCAGTAGCACTGCTACACACCAACAGTGAGCAAGCTAAGAATCAAATCAAGAACCTGACCACTTTTACAATAGTGGCAAAAATGAAATAAAATAAGTAAAAAAATAAAATACTTGGGAATATCCTTAACAGGAATATCCTCAAAATGTGAATGACTTTTACAAGGAAAACTACAAAACACTGCTGAAGTAAATCATAGATGACACAAGCAAATGGAAACACATTTCATGCTCATGGATGAGTAGAATCAATATTGTAAAAATGCCAAAAGCAATCTACAAATTTAACTCAATTTTCTCCAAATTGCCATCATCATTCTTCACAGAACTAGAAAAAACAATCCTAAAATTCATATAGAACCAAAAAAGAGCCTGCATAGCCAACGCAAGACTAAGCAAAAAGGACAAATTTCAAGGCATCACATTACCTGACTTCAAACTATACTATAAAGCTATAGACACCAAAATAGCATGGTACTGGTATAAAAATAGGCACATAGACCAATGGAACAGACTAGAGAACCCAGAAATAAACCCAAATACTTACAGGCAAGTGATCTTCAACAAAGCAAACAAAAACACAAACGGACACCCTATTCAACAAATGGTACAGGGATAATTGGCTAGCCACATGGAGAAGAATAAAACTGGATCCTCACCTCTCTCCTTATACTGAAATCAACTCAATATGGATCAAAAACTTAAATCTAGGACCTGATACCACAAAAATTCTGGAAGATAACATCAGAAAAATTCCTCTAGACATTGGCTTAGGCAGAGATTTCATGACCAAGAACCCAAAAGCAAATGCAACAAAAATAAAGATAAATAGATGGGACTTAATTAAACTAAAAAGCTTCTGCCCCACAAAATAAATAATTAGCAGAGTAAACAGACAACCCACAAAGTGGGAGAAAATCTTCACAAACTATGCATTCAACAAAGGACTAATATCCAGAATCAATAAGGAACTCAAACAAATCAGCAAGAAAAAAACAAATAATCCCATCAAAAAGTGGACTAAGGACATGAATAGGCAATTCTCAAAAGAAGATATATAAATGACCAACAAACACATTAAAAATGCTCAGCATCACTAATGATCAGGGAAATGCAAATCAAAACCACAATGTGATACCACCTTACTTCCACAAGAATGGCCATAATAAAAAAATCATAAAATAATAGATGTTGGTGTGGATGTGGTGAAAAGGGAACACTTTTACACCGTTGGTGGGAATGTAAAGTAGTACAACCATTATGGAAAACATTGTGGAGATTCCTTAAGGAACTAAAAGTAGATCTACCATTTGATCCTGAAATTCCACTACTGAGTATCTACCCAGAGGAAAATAAGTCATCATATGAAAAAGACATTTGCACACATGTTTATAGCAGCATAATTTGCAATGGCAAATATATGAAACTGGCCCAAATGCCCATCAACCAATGTACGGATAAAGAAAATGTGATATATATATATATATGTATATATACACATACACACCATGGAATGCTATTCACCCATAAAAAGGAATGAAGTAATGGCATTTACAGGAAACTGGGTGGAGCTGGAGACCATTATTCTAAATTAAGTAACTCCAGAATGGAAAACTGAACATTGTATGTTCTCACTTATAAGTGGGAGCTAAGCTATGGGATGCAAAGGCATAAGAATGATACAATGGACTTTGAGGACTCAGAGGGAAGGGTGGGAGGGGAGTGAGGGATAAAAGACTATACATTGGGTACAGTGTACACTGCTTGGGTGATGGATGCACTGGAATTTTAGAAATCACCACTAAAGAATGTATCCATGTAACCAAACACCACTTGTTCCCCAAAAACCTATTGAAATAAAAAAAAAAGATCAGAGCAGAAATAAGTAAATTTGAAATTATGAAAACAATACAAAAGATCAATGAAACAAAAAGGTGGGTTATTTTTAGAGATAAATACAATGAACATATCTTTAGTCAGACTATGAGAAAAGGAGAAAAGACACAAATAAATAAATCAGATTTGAATAAGTATACACTATAATCCATACCACAGAATTTTAAAGGATCGTTAGTGTCTACTATGAGCAACTATATGCCAATAAATTGGAACATCTAGAATAAATACATAAATTCTTAGACACACACAACCTACCAAGATTAAACTATGAAGAAAGCCAACACTTGAACAGACCAATAACAAGTAATGAGAAAGAAGCTGCAATAAAAATTATTCCAGCAACAAAAAGCTCAAGACATGATGGCTTCACAGCTGAATTCTACCAAACATTTAAAGAAGAACTAATAGCAGTCCTACTCAAACTATTCCAAAACATAGAGGAGGAATCACTTCATATCTTACTCTATGAGGCAAGTTTTAGCCTAATAACAAAAGCAAACAAAGATACATCAGAGATAGGAAACTAAAGGCCAATATTCCTGATGAATATTGATGCAAAAATCCTCAAGAAAATACTAAAAAAACCAAGTCAACAACAGAATAAAAAGATCATTAATTGTGTTTAAGTGGAATTTATCCCTGGTATTCAAGAAAGATTTGACATATGCAAATCAATCAATGTGATACACATTATATCAACAGAATGAAGCACAAAAACTGTACAATCATTTCAATTGCTGCTGACAAAGCATCTGATAAAATTCAACAGCCATTTACTATCTAAACCCCATAAACTGGGTTTAAAAAAACATACCTCATCATAAGAAAAGTCATCTACAAGAGACCCACAGCTAGTATTGTACTGAATGGGAAAAAAACTGAAAGCTTTTCCTTTACGATCTAAAATACAACAAGAAAGCCATCTTTCACCACTGTTATTCAATGTAGTACTGAAAGTCCTAGCTGGAGTAATCAGAAAGATGAAATAAATAAAGTCCATTCAAATTGGAAAGGAAAAAGTCAAATCATCCTTTTTTACTGATGCTATGACCTTCTGTTTGTACAAAACTAAATACCCCACCAAAACACTATTGAAATTGATTAACAAATTCAGTAAATTTGCAGGATAGAACATCAATCCACAAAATCAATAGCATTTCTATGTACCAACAGCAAACAATCTGAAAAATAAATCAAGAAAGGAATCCCATTTACAATAGCTGCAAATAAAATACTTAGAAATTAACTAAAGAAGTTAAAGATATCTACAATAAAAACTACAAAACCTATGCATGAAATTGAAGAGGACACAAAAATTGAAAAATATTCCCTGTTCATGGATTGCAAGAATAAATATTGTTAAAATGACCATATTACCCAAGGCAACCTATAGTTTTAATGCAATGTCTATCAAGGTATCTATGGTATTCTTCACAGAAACAGAAAAAAAAATTCTTAAAATGTATACGGAACCACAAAAAGCAGAATAGCCAAAGCTATCCTGAACAAAAAGAGTAAAACTGGAGAAATCACATTATCTAACTTCAAATTACACTGCAGAGCTATAGTGATCAAAACAGCATGGTACTAGCATAAAAACAAACACATAGATGAATGGAACAGATTAGAGAAACCTGAAATAAATCCATCCATCTATAGGATACTCATTCTCAACAAAGACACCAAGAACATATATTGGGGAAAGGATAGTCTCTTCAATAAATTGTGCTGGGATAACTGGATATTATAGCAGAATAAAAGTTGACTCCTATCTCACCTTGTACAAAAACCAAATCAAAATGGGTTAAATACTTACATCTAGGACCTCACACCTCACCCTATGAAACTATTAAAAGAAAACATCGGGTAATCTCTCCAGAACATTGAATGGGGCTGGAATTTCTTGAGTAATACTTCACCAGCACAGACAACCAAAGTAAAAGGGAACAAATGGGATGACATCAAGTTAAAAAGCTTCTACACAGCAAAGGAAACAATCAACGAAGTGAAGAGACAACCTACAGAATGACAGAAAATATTTGTAAACTACCCATCTGTCAAAAGATTAATAACTAGAATATATAAAGAGCTCAAACAGCTCTATAGAAAAAATCTAATAATCCAATTTTAAAATGGGCAAAAGTCTGAGTAGACATTTTTCAAAAGAAGACATACAAATGACAGATATATGAAAAGGTGCTCAGCATCACTGATCATCAGAGAAATGCAAATCAAAACAATGGGATATTATCTCACTCCATTAAAATGACCTTTATCAAAAAGAAAAGCAATAACAAATGCTGGCGGGGAGGTGGAGAAAAGGGAACCCTGGTACACTGTTGGAGGGAATGTAAATTAGTACAATCACTATGTAGAACATCTTGGAAGTTCCTCAAAAAAACAAAATTAGAACTGCCATATAATCCAGCAATCTCACTGCTAGATATATACCCAAAAGAAATGAAATCAGTATATCAAAGAGATATCTGCACTCCCACATTCATTGCAGCACTATTCACAATAGCCAAGGTTTGAAAGCAACCTAGATGTTCATTAGCAGATGAACGGATAAAGAAAATGTGGTACATATACAGAATGGAGTACTTTTCAGCCATAAAAAAATGAGACCCTGTCATTTGCAACAACATGGATGGAACTGGAGGTCATCATGTCAAGTGAAATAAACCACGCACAGAAAGACAAATTTCACATGTTCTCACTTATTTGTGGGATCTAAAAATTAAAACAATTTTACTCATGGAGATGCTTGAGGTGGCAGATACCCCATTTACCCTGATGTGAAATGAGAGGTAGCTATAGAAATCCTGAGTAATGATTTCCACATTACATGCCTGTATCCAAATATCTCATGTACTCCACAAATATATGTACCTACTATGTACCCACAAAAGTTAAAAATTAAAAAAGAATGAGATAACAATGAATGCTATAAAATCAATAGAATTAAAAATATAAATTAGATTATTGAAATTATTTTAATATATGACTCTACATAATATATATTTAAAGTATTATAGCACAATATTTCCATTAACAAAAAAATTAAATGTCATATTTATATTATCAGAATAAAAAACTGAATCTACAAAATTCATGCCAATGAAAATAAACAATTTTAACATATAATCTAACTGAAAACTATGAGAAAATTATGGTTCTTAAATACATAAAAATAAATTTTAATGTTGCTAATTAAGCAACTCTTTCTTGAGAGAACTTACTTTAATACAAAACAGACTAAAAAACTTTGCAAGAAAAGCCCATAACATCAAACACATTCTCTGTCTACATAAACCCTGGCACAGAGTGAAGAGAAAGTGATTTCGACAGCCTTTCAGGTACTTCTCGTTACCCCTAGTGGCAAATAAAATTTACCAAATATGTCATGTGCTTCCATATGAAGAGAGAGCCATGAAACTAATTCTAGGCAATGAATCTAGAAGTGAATCGTGCCGCTTCCGGGATAAGAATGGACATGAAGGTGTGCTTTCTGTCTGTACATTTCTCTGACCCATGTGCTCTTCTGAATGGTCTCTCAATGGCTGTGAAGCAGAGCCCCACCATGATGCACATTGGACATGCATCCTCAGAGAACATTAAATGTTGTGCTGACACATTGCAATTCTGAGATTGTTGCCTATCATGAATCAGACTCCCGAAATGAGAAACGTTTGAAGTCTGCATATTCAGGCCTGCACTATTTCACCAGCCTCACCAACAGAAATGCCTGGCCTCTCCTCTCAAAATACAACACCTTCATAGAGAAGCAAGATAATTGAGATTATTACTATTTCCAGAGGTAGGGTTAGGATTAGACATAAGTTTGGGGTTTAGTTTAAGTCTTAGGTTGAGGTTCTCATTAATTAACATGCTCTCAGGGAGCCACAGTCTAAGAGTTGTATATTATCTCTGAGTCTGGAGATAGCTTATGATATTAAAAATATACATAGCTCAGTAGACAAAATAATAAATGTTGGAGTCAGGGAAGTATGAATTCAAATACTTGTCATTTACTGACCCTGTGAGTATGGACTAGTTACTGAGTATCTGCAACTACGCTTTGTCTGGAAAACAGGATATCAAATCTGTTCCCATAGACCAGTTATTTTGATAGAATATAATACATTATGAAAATACTTAGCACAGTATTTGGCATATGATAATAACTGGTAATTATCATAGGCTTACTAAGTGCTCAGTAAGTAAAAGTTATTATTAACTTGCCTTGATTCTTCTCCAGTGATATCATTCTATAACTCATAGTGTATATGTTGTGAAGAATCATTGTTCTAATCCTGTCTTTTTCTATTTTCTTCTCTTTAAAAGTTTGAAAAAATTTGTTCTAATATTCATTTTTATATAATTATTATCTATACTTTTAACCAGATTATAGCATACTTATGATTTAATATTAAATTTTATCAAATATTTGTTTGTTTGTTTGTTTGTTGAGACAGAGTCTAGTTCTGTGGCTAGGCTGGAGTGCAGTGGCGCGATCTCGGCTTACTGCAACCTCTGCCTCCCGGGTTCAAGTGATTCTCCTGCCTCAGCCTCCGGAGTAGCTGGGACTACAAGCATGTGCCACCACGCCCAGCTAATTTTTTTTTTTAATAGAGACGGGGTTTCACCATGTTGGCCAGGATGGTCTCGCTCTCTTGACCTTGTGATCCGCCTGCCTTGGCCTCCCAAAGTGCTGGGATTACAGGCATGAGCCACTGCGCCCAGCCTATCAAATATTTTTATAAAAATTAATAATTTAGGTGTTGAGCTTCATACCTATGTCTAGTCCGTAGTATGATTCAAAAAATGTAGTTTTATAATTTTGTAACAAATCTTTCAATGTTTTCATTGGCGTGCAACTTTAATACATTGACTAGATAAATTGACCTAAATTCTCTTTCATCCTTCATCCTGAACTCAAAATCTCAAGCAAGCTAAGCAATAATACCCCGGACTTCAAGGATGAATGTTGGGGCAAGCAGGAATGATGGTGGAGAAATGAGAGGTAGCTGTAGAAATCCCGAGTAATGAATTTAGTCTCTAATTGTTTGTCCTTTTTTCCTAAGACATTTCTCTCACTGCTTTCAATTGAGCTTACTCTTAAGTCTCGCTCCCCCTCAGAGACCTGGTTTACAACAAACTGGACCTGTTCAACTCATTTTTGTCTTCCTCGCATGCTATTTCCATTTTTGACTTAAATTTTCAGTGAAACGTGCTCTCTTTTTTCCTACAAAGCTAGTTAAATTCCTGCATTATTCTAAATGGTCTTATTTCTCTTCCACAGAACATTTCTCATATTTCAAATGGGGTCTTTGAAAGGGAAGGGTCACAGAAATCCTATTTTCTTCTTTTTCTTCCTTTTTTTTTTTTGTTAACTATAAAAGCACGTGGATTCTAGATGCCAGGGCATCCTCTCCTGAAAATATGTTCTATATTGGAGAAACTTAACATCATACAATTTTGTCAACAGAAACTCGCACCACCCTGGGCTGTGTTGGGTGATTGTAGTGAAATACAGTTCTGACACATTTGCAATCACTTGTGCATTGTCTGGCCCAAGCAGCCTGCACTCCATTGGCCCCTCTGTCTCACAGTGCTCACCTGCTGGCTGTCATTTTATGAAGGGCCTTGATTGCAAGTGGCCTTAGCTTCAGGGTACTCTGGAGCTATATATTTTTCTGTTTTTAGCTATTTTTTTAATCTGCCAGTTGCTTTTGAGTCCTGAAAAAGAAAAAAATACCAATACATACATATATATATAAATGTATGCATATATATGTCCACATTATATTGAAATATGATACATTAATATAATCACTGACAAAAGTTTTACTCTTTTTTTCCAGTTTTATAAAATCAAGGCTTTATTTTGTTTGACTCACTTAAACCTGAGTTATTTCACTTCTCTTTTAATACCTTTAGAAGTCACAAAGCTTCCCAAATTTCCCTTAACATTTTTTCAAGACTTTTATGTAGAAAACCTACTCAACTCTGTAGCATTGCAACTAGGTCAGATAGAAATTCCCTGGAGGAAGTAGGGAATGTATCTATCATTTTCATATGCTTATTACTAGGAGCTCATCTGAAATCTTATTAGGGTTGAGTACAGGGATTTATTTATTTCCCTTCCCTTTGGCTAATGACTTATTTACATATTGACCTGTTCCATGGGATTTTGGAGGGAATAAAAAAACAATAAATAGGCATTTGTCTCGAAAATGAAATAGTATTCAAAATTATATTTTTATGAAAATCCTTCTTTTGTTGCATTAGCAATTTGAAATGATCATTGTGTCATGAAATAATCACTAAATGACATATGGTCCTTAATCAGCATTGTTCACTGCTGGCAGGATCATAGAGTCATTGGACTTGCAAATTCAGGTTTTAACTTATGGTGGCTTAGTGTATTGTATGAAAATCGGAGATTGGGTATTTTAAGCCAAAAATATTCAACTCTGATTTTACATACGTGGATACTACTGGCCTGCATAGCAAAATGAAGTTTATTATCTGCTTTTATTCCATTATTGTGAGGTTTGCTTAGGATATTTGTGTGAGATTTTATATTAAATGAAAGATACATGCTGCACCTTTTTTTAAAAAAAAGCAAATTGTGTATATTTAAAGATAATTCTCCTAATGATGTAGCTAACCTTATTACAGTGTTGATCCTAAACAACATTCCTCATATGATTTATGGAAATGTATCTCTCTTCAGCAAATATCAGCTCACAAAACTGATCTGCATAAGGACTAAGATTATCATAAATAGAAACACTATTTTTGATTGAAGACGTTATCTCCACAAAATCAAAAATTTTAATCTGGTACAGTAAGAATTAGAAGAAATTAAAATATTATCCTTCCCTAATTACATGGTGCCAAATACAGCATTGTTAATTTTTTAATGACAAGTATATTACCGATATCAATAGCTTTTACTAATAGATATTATTGAGATAGAATATATAATGAAGATTATTTTAATAAAATAGCATTGCATATATATTTATTATGGGTGAACAGAAACTGCTAAGGCATAGATTTCTCTCTATTTACAGCAGAAAGTAAGTTCCAAGATAAAAACCAACTGGCTCTTTTTTAGCATTATATCATGTATCACTGAATTTTTATATATATATAAATACTTCAGGTTATTAATCCACTTTGATGTTACTAAACCTTTGAGGAGAAATAGGAACAAGTACAATATTGCTTCTTTTACAGATAGAGCAAACAAGATGATAATGCATAATATCACAAAATTGCCCAAATAAAGTTCTTGTCAAGAAATTTTTTCAGATATACTGGGTATTCTGAATATATGCTTGCTTTCATTTGTTTATCTTATCTAAATTTTAGTTATAACAATCTGAGATTGTTACTTTCTATTTGTTTAGGAAAATAAACTGTCTTATGGAGGTTAAGTGACTTTCAGAAATTCCAACAACTTGTCAACAAAAGAGTTAACATTATGATACTGTTCTTCTGTCTTCTATTCTAAGGTGTATTCCATGTCTATTGCAAATTGAAAAGAATAAAATTAATTCATAATAAGAATATATCAGCTATTTCTATGATAAACAAAGCCTATATTTCCATTGTCTTCTCTAAGAAAAATATTTCTGTGCAGTGAGACAAATTTTGTCTTTTCTGGCTACCTGATTTCCTGGATTACTTTGTTGGAATGGATCCTAAGAACACAGTTCATTGCCATGATTCAGAGTAAGTATTTGGACATAGATGCTGCTCCCTGGATTTGTTTCAGGGCTACAGTTTGGCAGTCTCAGCCCTACCTTTGATTGATAACAAATCAAGATGGCTACTATAGTAAGCTTTACTCCTAAACTTAGGGAAGACAAAGAAAAAATAAATCTGTGAACTCATAGCTTTATGTTATCATTTATATTTATTTCTAACTAATAAATACCATACTTCAAAAAGATCGATCTTATCTCCAGCAGCACTTGTGCACACAAATCATGGAGTACTGGTTATGTGCTCCTTACAAAGCCTTTCTTTTACCAGTGTCTTTTATCTTTTTAGTTAGGATCTGAGCTTTTTGATACCAATGATATATTTTATGCCCTTTGCCATTCATAGTGCACTAAGTCAAAGCCTTTACATAGTAGATTCTGGAATTTTTTAAATTTCCTTTTTGATTATTTAATTTATTGTGTTTGACTCCACTTAATATTTGAAAATGTTACAACTTTAGAAACATTGTTATTTTCTTTTTAATTTTGTATATCCAGATAAAATTATTTAAATAATATCCTCTATTTTCCTGATAATTATCTGCATCTCATTTAATTTAAATACTTTTTTATTCCTAATTTTCTTAATGTTAATAATAAATCCTCAATTTAACATTCTTTTTCTTTACTAGTACTTTAGTCACGTAACAGTTCATCAAATTCTGTTAGAAATGAATTCTGTTCATTTATAAAAATTTTTATATGTGTCTTCAGAAATCAAATTTTAATTAAACAAATCACTACGTTCTTTAAAAAAATGCATCTTAGTGCATATTTTTATATATTGTAATTATACATTTTCAAACCAGTATTCATATTTTCTTTTATTAAATGGATTCATATTTATTTATAAACCATTTCTTACAACTGTATTTTGGCATGTCTTTGGAGAAATTACATCTTTTAGAATATATTGTCACAGAAGGGCCTCTCAGGGTTTCTCTTCCTCCTTCTATTTTACAAAATAAAGTGATATTTGATTTAATGTAGCAAAATGTCCAGTGATACTTTTTGAGTCTCCACAAATAATGTCATGAAGATATTCTATTTTTGTCCACAGAAGTCTTTTACTTTTAGCTTTTATGTTAGGTCTATTATTCATATTCTATTAATTTTCAAATGTGATATGGAAGTCAAGGGTTCATATATATATGAATGTGTATATGTGTGTTTGTGTGTGTGTATATATATATAGTTGTTTAAACACTATTTGTTGTAAATAATTTTTGTTTCCCAATTGACTTCTTTGGCTACTGGGTCAAAATCATTTGAGGCTTTTATCTGGAATTTTTAAAAACTTTTTCTTCTATGCCATACCATTCATGGTCCTTTGTTTCACCAATATCACAATATCCTGATGATTATATATTTTATTGATAATGAATCTTGAAGCGAATTAGAGTAAGTTCTCTAAATCTGTTCTTTTTCTCAGAATTACTTTGTTGTTTTTCTATATAAATTTTTAAACAGTGAGTTAATTTATTTGTAAATTTTTGCTAGGATATTGAGATTGCATTAAATCTATATATCAATTTGGGGAAAATTAAAATATTCATAAATGAAGTGCTTTAATCCATACACATGCTATATATCTTTATTTCATTACTCATTTCCCACCCAGCAGGAAGCTCTGGGCACACAACCACCCTCAAGTGCCAGATGTTTCTTGCCTGGTCCTTGCTATGAGACTCAATGTTAGGCAGATCAAGATATGGGAGATGCAGACGGGGCTCCTGCTTTTGAATCTTTCCAGCCACCAAGATGTTGTAGCAGATCTGAGCTTTACACCCAGTGGCGGTTTGATTTTAGTCTCTGTGTCATGGGGTAAGACTCTTCGCATCTGGAACCTGAAGAACCATGATACGGAGGTGAAGGAACTACTTGGCAATTCCAAAAATACTGTATTTGCTCCTTTCTCCACTTTACCAGTGTCATTTTTACCTTAGAAAAAGGACTTTGTTCACTTCTCTTCTATCCCTAAAATACTCTTAGAGTCTACTCAATGAGCTTTCAGAGAAGAAGTCTTAAATATTTTTCATTAAATTTACCATAAAGTATTTTATGTTTTTAAATGTTAGTGTAAATTGTTCTTTTAAAAATTTTGTTTTCTAATTGGTCATTGCTAATGCATAGAAATTAAGTGATTTTTTGATACTAACTTAGTGTCTTAATTCATTAGTGCTGCTATAACAAAACACCATAAACAGGATACCTTATAAACAAAAGAGATTTGTTTCTCACAGTTCTCGTGGCTGGGCAACCCCATGATCAAGGTGCCAGCAGAGTCAAAGTCTGTTTAAGGCTATTTTCTGCCTCATAGAGGACACCTTCTAGGCGTGTTCTCACGTGGCCGAAGGGACAAGGCAGCTCTCAAGTTGTTCTTTCATGAGGGCACTAATGCCATTCATGAGGGCTCTGCTATCATGCACTAATTAATTCTCAAAGGCCCTACCTCCTCAAACCATCGCACTGTTGATTAGGATTCAACATATGAATAAGAGGGGAATGCAAACACTCAGACCATAGCACTTAGTGACCTGAATTTTTGTGGAATTCACTAATTGCCTCTAGTAGATATTTTTATAGATTTCCTTAATTTTATTTTCCATCATTTAATTGATAGTATTAAAAGATAGAATTAACTTTTGCGTATTAACATGTTCTGCAACACTGGTATATTTATTTTTAGTCCTAATATGTATTATTTGGTAGATTCCTTAGAGTTTTCTACACACAAAAGAGGTCATATGAGAAAGACAGTTTATTTTTGTCTTTGTAAGCTCTATATCTATTTCTTTTCCTTGACTTATTATATATACTAGCCAGTATCTCCTCATATGTTAAATGAAAAAGTGAGAGAAAAATCATTTGCTATGTTTTTAACTTCAGGGGGGAAATGCACTATGTCATATTCAGTATGATACTAGCTACAGAAATTTTTAATAACTTCATTCATTAAAGATATGTCCTTCTGTTTCTAGTTTGATGAGATAATTTTCATCAGTGGATATTAAATTTAGTCATTTTTTAATACTCTGAAAGGATCACATAATATTTTTCTTTTTTCTATTAATGTGTTACACTAAATAATTTTTGTATATTTTTGTATCTTAAACAAATCCTATGTTATTGGGATAAGCCATATTTTCTTTTTTTTAATTAATTAATTTATTTTTTATTATACTTTAAGTTTTAGGGTACATGTGCACATTGTGCAGGTTAGTTACATATGTATACATGTGCCATGCTGGTGCGCTGCACCCACTAACTCGTCATCTAGCATTAGGTATATCTCCCAATGCTATCCCTCCCCCCACCCCACCACAGTCCCCAGAGTGTGATATTCCCCTTCCTGTGTCCATGTGATCTCATTGTTCAATTCGCACCTATGAGTGAGAATATGCGGTGTTTGGTTTTCTGTTCTTGCGATAGTTTACTGAGAATGATGATTTCCAATTTCATCCATGTCCCTACAAAGGACATGAACTCATCATTTTTTATGGCTGCATAGTATTCCATGGTGTCTATGCGCCACATTTTCTTAATCCAGTCTATCATTGTTGGACATTTGGGTTGGTTCCAAGTCTTTGCTATTGTGAATAATGCCGCAATAAACATACGTGTGCATGTGTCTTTATAGCAGCATGATTTATAGTTCTTTGGGTATATACCCAGTAGTGGGATGGCTGGGTCAAATGGTATTTCTAGTTCTAGATCCCTGAGGAATCGCCACACTGACTTCCACAATGGTTGAACTAATTTACAGTCCCACCAACAGTGTAAAAGTGTTCCTATTTCTCCACATCCTCTCCAGCACCTGTTGTTTCCTGACTTTTTAATGATTGCCATTCTAACTGGTGTGAGATGGTATCTCATTGTGGTTTTGATTTGCATTTCTCTGATGGCCAGTGATGGTGAGCATTTTTTCATGTGTTTTTTGGCTGCATAAATGTCTTCTTTTGAGGAGTGTCTGTTCATGTCCTTCGCCCACTTTCTGATGGGGTTGTTTGTTTTTTTCTTGTAAATTTGTTTGAGTTCATTGTAGATTCTGGATATTAGCCCTTTGTCAGATGAGTAGGTTGCGAAAATTTTCTCTCATTTTGTAGGTTGCCTGTTCACTCTGATAGTAGTTTCTTTTGCTGTGCAGAAGCTCTTTAGTTTAATTAGATCCCATTTGTCAATTTTGTCTTTTGTTGCCATTGCTTTTGGTGTTTTAGACATGAAGTCTTTGCCCATGCCTATGTCCTGAATGGTAATGCCTAGATTTTCTTCTAGGGTTTTTATGGTTTTAGGTCTAACGTTTAAGTCTTTAATCCATCTTGAATTAATTTTTGTATAAGGTGTAAGGAAGGGATCCAGTTTCAGCTTTCTACATATGGCTAGCCAGTTTTCCCAGCACCATTTATTAAATAGGGAATCCTTTCCCCATTGCTTGTTTTTCTCAGGTTTGTCAAAGATCAGATAGTTGTAGATATGCGGAATTATTTCTGAGGGCTCTGTTCTGTTCCATTGATCTATATATCTGTTTTGCTGCCAGTACCATGCTGTTTTGGTTACTGTAGCCTTGTAGTATAGTTTGAAGTCAGGTAGTGTGATGCCTCCAGCTTTGTTCTTTTGGCTTAGGATTGACTTGGCGATGCGGGCTCTTTTTTGGTTCCATATGAACTTTAAAGTAGTTTTTTCCAATTCTGTGAAGAAAGTCATTGGTAGCTTGATGGGGATGGCATTCAATCTGTAAATTACCTTGGGCAGTATGGCCATTTTCACGACATTGAGTCTTCCTACCCATGAGCATGGAATGTTCTTCCATTTGTTTGTATCCTCTTTTATTTCCTTGAGCAGTGGTTTGTAGTTCTCCTTGAAGAGGTCCTTCACATCCCTTGTAAGTTGGATTCCTAGGTATTTTATTCTCTTTGAAGCAATTGTGAATGGGAGTTCACTCATGATTTGGCTCTCTGTTTGTCTGTTGTTGGTGTATAAGAATGCTTGTGATTTTGGTACATTGATTTTGTATCCTGAGACTTTTCTAAAGTTGCTTATCAGCTTAAGGAGATTTTGGGCTGAGACAATGGGGTTTTCTAGATATACAATCATGTCATCTGCAAACAGGGACAATTTGACTTCCTCTTTTCCTAATTGAATACCCTTTATTTCCTTCTCCTGCTTAATTGCCCTGGCCAGAACTTCCAACACTATGTTGAACAGGAGTGGTGAGAGGGGGCATCCCTGTCTTGTGCCAGTTTTCAAAGGGAATGCTTCCAGTTTTTGCCCATTCAGTATGATATTGGCTGTGGGTTTGTCATAGATAGCTCTTATTATTTTGAAATACGTCCCATCAATACCTAATTTATTGAGAGTTTTTAGCATGAAGGGTTGTTGAATTTTGTCAAAGGCTTTTTCTGCATCTATTGAGATAATCATGTGGTTTTTGTCTTTGGCTCTGTTTATATGCTGGATTACATTTATTGATTTGCATATATTGAAGCAGCCTTGCATCCCAGGGATGAAGCCCACTTGATCATGGTGGATAAGCTTTTTGATGTGCTGCTGGATTCGGTTTGCCAGTATTTTATTGAGGATTTTTGCATCAATGTTCATCAAGGATATTGGTCTAAAATTCTCTTTTTTGGTTGTGTCTCTGCCCGGCTTTGGTATCAGAATGATGCTGGCCTCATAAAATGAGTTAGGGAGGATTCCCTCTTTTTCTATTGATTGGAATAGTTTCAGAAGGAATGGTAGCAGTTCCTCCTTGTACCTCTGGTAGAATTCGGCTGTGAATCCATCTGGTCCTGGACTCTTTTTGGTTGGTAAGCTATTGGTTACGGCCACAATTTCAGATCCTGTTATTGGTCTATTCAGAGATTCAACTTCTTCCTGGTTTAGTCTTGGGAGAGTGTATGTGTCAAGGAATTTATCTATTTCTTCTAGATTTTCTAGTTTATTTGCATAGAGGTGTTTGTAGTATTCTCTGATGGTAGTTTGAATTTCCGTGGAATCGGTGGTGATATCCCCTTTATCATTTTTTATTGTGTCTATTTGATTCTTCTCTCTTTTTTTCTTTATTAGTCTTGCTAGCGGTCTATCAATTTTGTTGATCCTTTCAAAAAACCAGGTCCTGGATTCATTAATTTTTTGAAGGGTTTTTTGTGTCTCTATTTCCTTCAGTTCTGCTCTGATTTTAGTTATTTCTTGCCTTCTGCTAGCTTTTGAATGTGTTTGCTCTTGCTTTTCTAGTTCTTTTAATTGTGGTGTTAGGGTGTCAATTTTGGATCTTTCCTGCTTTCTCTTGTGGGCATTTAGTGCTATAAATTTCCCTCTACACACTGCTTTGAATGCGTCCCAGATATTCTGGTGAGTTGTGTCTTTGTTCTCGTTGGTTTCAAAGAACATCTTTATTTCTGCCTTCATTTCGTTATGTACCCAGTAGTCATTCAGGAGCAGGTTGTTCAGTTTCCATGTAGTTGAGCGGTTGTGAGTGAGATTCTTAATCCTGAGTTCTAGTTTGATTGCACTGTGGTCTGAGAGATAGTTTGTTATCATTCCTGTTCTTTTACATTTGCTGAGGAGAGCTTTACTTCCAAGTATGTGCTCAATTTTGGAATAGGTGTGGTGTGGTGCTGAAAAAAATGTATATTCTGTTGATTTGGGGTGGAGAGTTCTGTAGATGTCTATTAGGTCCACTTGGTGCAGAGCTGAGTTCAATTCCTGGGTATCCTTGTTGACTTTCTGTCTCGTTGATCTGTCTAATGTTGACAGTGGGGTGTTAAAGTCTCCCATTATTAATGTGTGGGAGTCTAAGTCTCTTTGTAGGTCACTCAGGACTTGCTTTATGAATCTGGGTGCTCCTGTATTGGGTGCATATATATTTAGGATAGTTAGCTCTTCTTGTTGAATTGATCCCTTTACCATTATGTAATGGCCTTCTTTGTCTCTTTGATCTTTGTTGGTTTAAAGGCTGTTTTATCAGAGACTAGGATTGCAACCCCTGCCTTTTTTTGTTTTCCATTTGCTTGGTAGATCTTCCTCCATCCTTTTATTTTGAGCCTATGTGTGTCTCTGCACGTGAGATGGGTTTCCTGAATACAGCACACTGATGGGTCTTGACTCTTTATCCAGTTTGCCAGTCTGTGTCTTTTAATTGGAGCATTTAATCCATTTACATTTAAAGTTAATATTGTTATGTGTGAATATGATCCTGTCATTATGATGTTAGCTGGTTATTTTGCTCGTTAGTTGATGCAGTTTCTTCCTGTTCTTGATGGTCTTTACATTTTGGCATGATTTTGCAGCGGCTGGTACCGTTTGTTCCTTTCCATGCTTAGCGTTTCCTTCAGGAGCTCTTTTAGGGCAGGCCTGGTGGTGACAAAATCTCTCAGCATTTGCTTGTCTGTAAAGTATTTTATTTCTCCTTCACTTATGAAGCTTAATTTGGCTGGATATGAAATTCTGGGTTGAAAATTCTTTTCTTTAAGAATGTTGAATATTGGCCCCCACTCTCTTCTGGCTTGTAGGGTTTCTGCCGAGAGATCCGCTGTTAGTCTGATGGGCTTCCCTTTGAGGGTAACCCGACCTTTCTCTCTGGCTGCCCTTAACATTTTTCCTTCATTTCAACTTTGGTGAATCTGACAATTATGTGTCTTGGAGTTGCTCTTCTCGAGGAGTATCTTTGTGGCGTTCTCTGTATTTCCTAAATCTGAACGTTGGCCTGCCTTGCTAGATTGGGGAAGTTCTCCTGGATAATATCCTGCAGAGTGTTTTCCAACTTGGTTCCATTCTCCCCATCACTTTCAGGTACACCAATCAGACGTAGATTTGGTCTTTTCACATAGTCCCATATTTCTTGGAGGCTTTGCTCATTTCTTTTTATACTTTTTTTCTCTAAGCTTCCCTTCTCGCTTCATTTCATTCATTTCATCTTCCATTGCTGATACCCTTTCTTCCAGTTGATCACATCGGCTCCTCAGGCTTCTGCATTCTTCACGTAGTTCTCGAGCCTTGGTTTTCAGCTCCATCAGCTCCTTTAAGCACTTCTCTGTATTGGTTATTCTAGTTATACATTCTTCTAAATTTTTTTCAAAGTTTTCAACTTCTTTGCCTTTGGTTTGAATGTCCTCCCGTAGCTCAGAGTAATTTGATCGTCTGAAGCCTTCTTCTCTCAGCTCGTCAAAGTCATTCTCCATCCAGCTTTGTTCCGTTGCTGGTGAGGAACTGCGTTCCTTTGGAGGAGGAGAGGCACTCTGCGTTTTAGAGTTTCCAGTTTTTCTGTTCTGTTTTTTCCCCATCTTTGTGGTTTTATCTACTTTTGGTCTTTGATGATGGTGATGTACAGATAGGTTTTTGGTGTGGATGTCCTTTCTGTTTGTTAGTTTTCCTTCTAACAGACAGGACCCTCAGCTGCAGGTCTGTTGGAATACCCTGCCGTGTGAGGTGTCAGTGTGCCCCTGCTGGGGGGTGCCTCCCAGTTAGGCTGCTCGGGGGTCAGGTGTCAGGGAACCACTTGAGGAGGCAGTCTGCCCGTTCTCAGATCTCCAGCTGCGTGCTGGGAGAACCACTGCTCCCTTCAAAGCTGTCAGACAGGGACATTTAAGTCTGCAGAGGTTACTGCTGTCTTTTTGTTTGTCTGTGCCCTGCCCCCAGAGGTGGAGCCTACAGAGGCAGGCAGGCCTCCTTGAGCTGTGGTGGGCTCCACCCAGTTCGAGCTTCCCAGCTGCTTTGTTTACCTAATCAAGCCTGGGCAATGGCGGGCGCCCCTCCCCCAGCCTGGCTGCCGCCTTGCAGTTTGATCTCAGACTGCTGTGCTAGCAATCAGGGAGACTCCGTGGGCGTAGGACCCTCCGAGCCAGGTGCGGTAAACCATATTTTCTTGTAATATGTTTTATATGTAGCATTCAATTTGCTGATATTTTTAAAAGAAATATTTGCCTCTTATTCATGAGAGGTATTTGTCTGCAATACTTCTCTGTTTGAGTATCCTTGTCTGGTTTTGGAATCAAAGACATACTTGCCTAATAAAATAAGTTTTAAATACTTCTTTTTCTTCTGTTTTCTAATATAATTAGTATATTGTCATTTTCTTAAATGCCTAGAATCCACTAGTGAAGCAAAACAGTCCTAGAGTTATCTTTGCAAGAAGATTCCATCATTAAAATTTTATTTTTTTAAATATTAATAATACTGTTGAGATTTTTCTATGTCTTGTGCCAATTACGTCTTTCAAAAAATTCAAAACAATTTTTTTCTACTCCATTCACGTTGTCAAACTTATTCACACCGAATTATTTGTTGCATTTTCTTAGTAATGTAGTACTGAGAAATGACATCCATTATTTCATTTCTTATTTTGGTAATTTGTAGCTTTTCTCTTTCCAGAGGATTACAAATTTTACTAGTCTTTTCAAGTATTGCCTTTTTACTTTGTTGACATTCTTTACTTTTTGTTCATTTTCATTTTTAATGACTTCCACTGTTATCTTTAGTTTCTTTTTTCTAACTTTATAAATTTGAGACATATATTATAAATTCCATGTATTTTTGATTTGTAAACATAGTTACTAAATTACCTTGTAGTATACACTTTAGCTTCATCTCACACATTTTGAAAATTCATGTTGTTACTAATATTCATTTCTAAGTATTTCCTAATACTGATTTCTTTTTTTTTTTTTTTTTGACTCATGGCAATTTAGAGTATGTTGAGTAATTTTCACAAATTTGGTGTTTGTCAAAATTATCTTTCTGTTATTGATTTCTATTTTAATTCCCACATGGTCAGAGAACATACTCTGTTGATTTCTGTTCCTTAAAACTTATGTTAACATATTTTGCTATATTTATGTCTATGTGCTTCAATGTTTATGCTACTATAATTAGTATTTTTTAAGTTTAAATTTTTTTTTTATATTCAGCAATGAAAAAAAGAAAGAATTGAACATTCCATAATGTTTAGATGTTAATTTTTCCCAATTCCATCTATTAATTTAACAGAATCTCAATAAAAATCCCAGCAAGATGAGAGGCTGAGGTGGGCGGATCGTGAGGTCAGGAGTTCCAGATCAGTCTGGCCGACACAATGAAACCCCATCTCTACTAAAAATATAAAAATCAGCTGGGCATGGTGGTGGGTGCCTGTAATCCCAGCTACTCAGGAGGCTGAGGCAGGAGAATCACTTGAACCTGGGAGGCGGAGGTTGCAGTGAGCCGAGATCGCATCACTGCACTCCAGCGTGGGTGACAGAGCTAGACTCTATCTCAAAAATAAATAAATAAATAAAAATCTCAGCAAGCTTTTTGTAGATGTTCTGTTCATAAGATGGTTCAATATTTATGTGGAAAGGTAAAGCTACTAAAATAATCAGAACAATTTTTCAAAAAAAAAATTTGCAAGACTCCTATTACCTGATTTTAAAGCATGTTATTAAGCTTCAGTAATTACAACTGTTTGCTATTAACAAAAAGATAGAAATACCGATCACTGGAACACAATAGAGATTCCAAAAATATACTTACACAAATAGGGTCAAAACACATAAAAACTTACAGCAAAAAGAGTGAAAAAGAAATTCTGCATCTAGAAGAAAACATAGGACAACAATCTACATTACCTAGGGCTTGACTGTGTGTTTTAAAGTACAGCATTAACAGTATAACTCATGAAAGAACATAATGAAAAATTAAACTTTAAATAAAATTTTAAAATATTTTGCTCTGTGAAGGATGCAGTTGCAAGAATGAAAAGACAAGTCATAAACTGGGAGAAAATATTTACAAATAATATATCTGATAAAGAGCTTGTACTTAATTAATAACAAGGCAAAAGATCTAAATAGACTCTTCACTGACAATTCCCAAACCTGGCAAGGACTCAGAGCAGCAGGACCTCTCATTCATCGCTGCTGGGGATACAAAAAGGCACTTTGCAATGTAGTTTGGCAGTATCTTACTAAATATAACTTAGATTTATCATACAAGGTAGCAAGCGTGTTCCTGAATATTTACACAATTGATTTGAAAATATATGTCTAAGAAATACATGCAGATGAATGTTTTTAGCAGTTTTATTCATAATCACCAAAAATTTCAAGCAATGTTGAAATAATATCCTGTAGTTGGATTAATGGATCAATAAACAGTGGTACATCCATATAATGGAATATTACTCAGTAATAAAAATAAATAAGCTATTAACTCATGGAGCTACTTAGATGAACTTTAAGTGGATGTTGCTATACATAAGAAGTCAGGCTGAAAGTCTATGTTGAAGTCCATTCGTATGACATTTTGGAGAAGGGAAAACTGTTGGACTGAAAGACAGATCAGGATATTCAAATGATTGTGGAAGGGAGAGTATTTGACTAGGAGAGGCACTAAGATGTTTCAGTTCAATGGAATTAATCCATATTGTAGTGTAGTGGTGGATATAAAATGCTATGCGTTTGTTGAAACCCATAAAGATGTACCACAAAAAGGCCGGGCGCAGTGGCTCACACCTGTAATCCCAGCACTCTGGGGACCGAGGCGGGCGGATCACGAGATCAGCAGTTTGAGACCAGTGTGGCCAACATGGTGAAACCCCATATCTACTAAAAATACAAAAATTAGCCAGGCATGATGGCAGACCGCTGTAATCCCAGCTACTCCACAGGCTGAGGCAGGAGAATTGCTTGAACCTGGGAGGTGGAGGTTGCAGTGAGCCAAGACCACGCCATTGCACTTCAGCCTGGATGACAGAGCAAGACTCCATCGCAAAACAACAACAACAACAAAAAAAAGATGTACAACAAAATGAGTAAACCTTAATTTATACAAATTAAAGGAATTAACCAGAAGACTGTATTGTATGCAATGAACATAGTGACGAAAAGATTCTAGCTGTATCACAAATTTATGGAAAATCCTCACTGAAAAGGGTGGGCAGAAAACTAGCTGACAAGTAATTTTGGAAAACGGTGCTTTGATTGGAAACTCTAAGACTAGAAACAAAAGGAACTGTACATAAACACTATAGTTGTTTTTCACAGCCACCTGGGTTAACAATTCTGAAAAAGCTGTATATGTAGAGTAGGGTCGAACGAATATGTAAATACATGGTGGATGCTGTGAGGCAGGTTTATTTCTATTGGGAGAGCAGTTTCAGATAGGCAAGGACAGGGGAAACTAGAATGAACCACGTGGTAATGGATTAGAGTTAGGGACAGCTGTGTGAACTTATGTCTAGCGTAATACAGATACAAATATATAAGTAGGTAAATGATTATATATATTTGTGTAAACATGAGTTAGTACACATATATATATTCTCTAGTTCTATCAGTTGAAGACCTAGAAGTAGCAACACTACAGTAAAACTGACACACTCAACTACCAGGTCTTTGTTTCTAAAACTGTTCTCCAATAAAATAAATCAAGATTCCTTGGAGAAATGGCCTAATCCAAAGATGAGCAGGGAATACACAAGATGAGCCTAGAGTACAGCTACTCTCAAAAAGATGAGAAATAACGACTCTTGGTGAGGATGTGGAGAAAGAGAACCCCAGTACACTGCTGATGGGAATGTGAATTGGTACAACTACTACAAAGAACAGTTTGCAGAATCCTCAAAAAATTAAAAATAGAACGATCATTTCTGGGTATATATTCGAAGTAAATAAAATCATTAGCTCAAAGAAATATCTGCACTCTCTTGCTCATTGCAGCATTATTTATAATAGCCAAGGTATGAAAACAACTTGAATGCTATCAACAGATGAATAAATAAAGAAAATGTAGTACATATACACAATGGAATACTAATCAGCCATAAAAAAGAAGAAATACTGTCTTTTGCAACAACATGAATAAATCTGGATGGATTATGCTAAGTGAAAAAGCCAGACACAGAAAGATAAATACTGTGCAATCTCACTGATATGTGGAATTCATAAAAATCCAACTCATGGAAACTGAGAGTAGAATACTGGTTGCTAATGGACAATGGCCTGGCGGTTAGGGGAAATGGATGCATGTTGATGAACGTGCACAAACTTTCAGTTATAAGATGAATAAGTTCTGAAGATCTGGTGTACAGCATGGAGACTAGAGTTAACACAATACTGTATTGTATACTTGAAATTTTGCTAGGCCGGGCGCAGTGACTCACCCTGTAATCCCAGCACTTTGGGAGGCTGAGGTGGATGGATCATGTGAGGTCAGGAGTTCAAGACAAACCTGCCTAACATGGTGAAGCCACATCTCTACTAAAAATACAAAATACTAGCCAGATGTGGTGGCAGATGCCTGTAATCCCAGCTACTCAGGAGGTTGAGGTAGAAGAATCGCTTGAACCCGGAGGTGGAGGTTGCAGTGAGATAGCTGCCTCACCCCATTCTATCATCTAAGAACACAGCAAGAAGGCGCCCTCTATGAAACAGAAAGTGGACCCTAACCAGACATTAAATCTGCCAATACCTTGAACTTAAGAGTTCCAAGACTCCACAACTGTAAGGAATAAATTTCTGTTATTTTTAAGCCACTCAGTTCATGATATTTTGTTATAGTAGCCCAAATAGACTAAGACACTGTCTCTTGAGTGTGGGTTGTAGCAAATAGTGACTTGCTTTCAAAAACTACAGTGTGGAAGAGAGGAGAATGCCTTTACAGTTGAAAAAGCTGTTCAACACTACTTTGGTCAGGTAATCAAAGTTAATATCATCAACAATAAGTCACGCTGTTAGCATATATCCTTACTACAAGTTGATGAAAAAGATACTTTACAATCTAAAGCTCTTTTTATGCAATCTGTTTTCCTTCTCTTTCTAGTTTTACCAGTATTAATACATTGGCAATAGAAATGCTTTCCTGCTATTCCTAATGACCCTCGTGTTTGTTATTCACAGGTGTTACCGTGAGAAAATATCTTGAACTTCTACTCTGTGTGAGTAAACTTTCTAGAAGAACCAAATGACATTTACTTTTAATGTAATAATTACTATGTTTGAGTTTAAGTCTACTAAAATGGTATTTGTTTTTCATCTCTAGAGTGAATTGATATTTTTAGTATTCCATTTTATCTCTTCTTTTCATTTTTAGTCGTGTTTCTTTGTGTTATTTATTTTGTCGTTTCTCTTATGTATCTTTAATCTATAACAATCTAGCTTCTAAAATAATGTACTACTTTATAAACAATAAGAATTTTACAAAAATATAATTTGAATTATTACCTTCCTGATTTTTGTGTTCTCATCATATATTTAATTACACAAATGTTACAGGATATCACAGTTCATTGTTATATTGCTTTAAACAGTCCATAGTATCTTAAAGACATTTAAAGAGATAGATACAAATATTGATATAAAGTTATGAACATAGATGTAGATATTTCAAAATTTTTTGTAAATATGTTCTATATATTTACATCTTTCTGATGTTCTAGGTTTATGTGTATTAGATTTATAGATATTCACTTTCTATAGCCTGAAGAACTTATTTTAGTCTTTCTTGAAATGCATTGCTGCAAATTCTTTGAGCTTTTATTTAAACATACCTTTATTTTACCTTTATTTTACAAGATTATTTCTTTGAATATAGAAATTTTTATGCATAATTTTTTTCCAACAGTATAAATATTTCATTCTAATTTTTTTTGGTTTCAATCATTTCTGGTAAGAAATCAGCAATTGTCTCAATGTTATTCCACCTTAAAGAATGTAATGTCTTTTTTCCTCCACCAGTTTTTACTGTTTCCTCTTTTCCTTTGTTTTTCAGCAGTTCCACCATGATATGTCCACGTACAGTTTCAGCATACACATTGTGCTTAACCTGTGAATTGATGTAATACCAATTTTGAAAAAACATTTGCTATTCTATCTTTAAATAGTTTCTTCTGTGCAATTTTACTTCAACTTCTTGAGCTTCAATGACTATGTTTCATATTATGATTTAATTTTATATTCAATATTTGTATTTTATAGCATCCCTTTAATCTTGCAAGCTCCATTTTCTTTTATTTACTCTTTGATATGGTTTGGATTTGTGTCCCCACTCAAATCTCATGTAGAATTGTGATCCCCAGTGTTGGATGAGGAGCCTGGTGGGAAGTGATTGGATTATGGGGATGGATTTCTCCTGTGCTGTTCTCATGGTAGTGAGTGAGTTCTCATGAGAGCTGGTTGTTTAAAAGTGTGTATCAACTCCCACTGCTCACTCTTCCTTCTGCTCCATCCATGTAGGATGTGCCAGCTCCTCCTTCACCTTCTGCCATGATTGTAAGTCTCCTGAGGCCTCCCTAGCCATGCTTCCTGTACAGTCTGTGGAACTTTAATTCAATTAAGACTCTTTTCTTTATAAATTACCCAGTCTCAAGTAGTTCTTTATAGCAATGACAGAATGGAGTAATACACTCTTTTACTTTTGGTGTTTCAATTTGAACAGTTTCTACTTACTTGCCTGTTGGTCACTGACTCACTGATTCTTTCCTCTGCTGTGCAGTCTTCCAATAAGCTAGCTGATCAGAATAATTATTCATTTCTGTTGCCATATTTTTAATTTCTAGCATTTTCCGTTGACCTTATTCTTTATAATATATGCTGTGCTAGTAGTTCCCATCTGTTCCTGCTTGTTGTCATCTGCTTTTTGCCCAAGGTCATTTAACATATTTCACATAGTTACTTTAAAATAGCTGGCCTATCCTTAAGACCGTTTAACATTTTTATTACAGTTATTTTTAAGTCCCTGTTTGATAATTCTCACATCTCTTGACTGCTTCTCTCCTGAAGCATTTTCTTTCCTCTTCATTTGTCTAATAAATTTTGCTTACGTTCTGGACAATTTGTGAAAAAAAATAGATGCTGACGTAAATATTTTTGGCTATAAAAGGGCATGCTCCTTCTGAGTCAACCTAGCCTATAGTTGACCTAGGTCTAAACTCTGTTGTTGCTTCAGTTAGATTTAGTTCCCTACAGGTTTCAAATTATTTGAGGGTAGTTTTAGAACCTTTATTTTAATAAACTTGGGATCTGAGTGTCTGAGCCATTTATTTTCATGTCATCAGATCTCATGCTCATGCACTTGGGATAGTTTTATTTCATCTTTCTTTCCCCACACCCAGCTACAAATGGCATCTGCTGCATGCTTATTGTCAGACCCAGAGTGCATATAGGGATGCCCTCCATTTTTTTTTTCTCATTGTCCTCAGACCTCAGTAATCTCTGTACCTTTGCACCTTTAGAAGTCATTCTCACCTGTTCTCTAGGCACAGAGAGGTGCTTTTCCCTATTAAGTATAAGGCACCATGGCCTAAGGGCTTTCTCGCAGTTATACTGCTCTGCCCTCACATTTTAGCAGGCTCATCACATTACCACATGATGAGTATCTGAAGTGTCCAGAGGTTTCTCTCAGTCCTACTTCTTCCCCTCAGACTTCAGCAGGCCCTACACACCTGAACCTCCCATGGAATCTGTCTCAGCTCTCCTGTGCTGCCCACAATCTTTCTCATGAGAGCTCAATAAGGCTTGTGGGAAAGAGTTGGCGGATAGTTGCAGATATTTTTCATCTATGTCTCCTAGGGATTCTGTCATACCAGTCTGTTATTAGTCTTTAACAACTCATTGAAAGTATAACTGTTTTCTTCTTGCTCATAGCTTTGGTGGCTTCTTCATTATTCAGCTGTTTGGCCACAGATTAAAGCATTTGTGGATCACTTCTATTCTAAGCAAATCACTGTGTGGGTTATAATTTAGTAGGTTTCTTTGCATGCTCCCATCTCTAATGAGCTTAAGAAACTATGACTTTAAGTTTCGCGTGGTTAGGATTGAAGAGACAATCCTCTTGCAACTCTATGTTCTAAGTGGAAGAAGAAGATATCACCCATTATTTTTAATGGACTAATTCTCCCAGTAGTATCTTTGTAAAATGATTAATGAAAAATGTTTTGAATTTTTTTAAAAAATTGCAATTTTTTTATTTCTATAAGCTTATTTAGGAATAAAAGCTTTTAATTTTTCTAAAAATATTGGGATGCCCATGATATTGGAATTTCTCAGAAAAATAGACAGTTTCAGCCAGGCATGGTGGCTCACACAGTAATCTCAACACTTTGGGAGGCCGAGGCGGGTGGATCACCTGAGGTCAGGAGTTCAAGACCAGAGTGGCCAACATGGTGAAACCCCATCTTTACTAAAAATATAAAAAATTAGCTGGGTGTGGTGGCGGGCACCTATAATCTCAGCTACTCGGGAGGCTGAGGCAGGAGAATCACTTGAACCGAGGAGGCAGAGGTTGTGGTGAGCCAAGATCACGCCATTGCACTCCACCCTGGGTGACAGAGCGAGACTCCATCTCAAAAAAAAAAAAAAAAAAACTCTCTCTCTCTCTCTCTCTCTCTATATATATATATATATAGTATATATATATATGTATATGTATATACACACACAAACACACACACACACACACACACACACAGTTTCTATGTCCTGGGCTTACTAAATCCCAGGCATAAATCCAATTTACAGTAGCTAAAATAACAAACAAACATGGTTAACTGCTAAGAAAATATCATGGTTTTACACCACAAGTTAAAAGCAAAATTCTCCTGTATGTAAAACTAGAACAATATTGCTATGGAACTAAGAATCCTGAAGTGTAAGTATAAAATTCTAGGTGAGATTAAGATAGTTTTGGGAACATAAAAGTCATGTTGAATACAAAGATTGATCACTTAATAAATTGATTACTTAGACCTTATTTAAATCAATGTTTAAAGCTTAAGAGAGGCAAAACAATATTTTTTACAAAACCTGAATATAAAATATTTGCATTTTAACATACAATCGCCTTGAATATAAATTTGAAAACTCCAGGTTAATATATTCTAAAGTACTAATGAATGGTTTAATCATAAAAATTACTATTATTCAATAAATTCAAAAATGTGCACACTCATCCAAATGTAGTAACAAATTGGTATTGCTCTATTTCAACCATGTATTTCTTATTTAAAAAATGCATAGTTGTCCTATTAATCAGAAAAGTTCTGAGTTACAAATTAGCAACCAGTTAACTCAAGAACAAAAACAATAAAAAAAATTATTGATTAAATCTGATTATACATATGCAATAAATGTTGACTGAAGACTATATTTATTATTAAAAAGTCCATTAGTTCTTCAATACAAAAGAACAAATTATAATTGCAATATGAGTAAAAGGGAAAGAGATAAACTGAAGTTTATTAAGTAGTTACCATGTGACTGGCACTATTACATCACAACTTTATTTTTTACAATGTGCAGTTTATGGAACTTGTGGTAAAGAGGTCAGTTTCTTAGCCTTAGTCAAACACTAGTGGGGCTTAGTTTCAAAATCAGGTATGACTGCCTTTTAATTCCATCTCTAAGAAAAAAAAAACTGGAGGTGATAGGATTAGAAGGATAAGAAGATGAGGCCTAACTTCAAAGATAATAAGTTTTGTGTAAAACCACAGACCGTAGAAAACAGAATGAGGAGGGCCATCAAACAATGAAATTCTCTCAGGGAACATTAAGTCAGTTCTTGGCCACAGAGAAAGGAATACAAATATTCTGGCAGGTCTACACACTGGTTATCTAATAGTGAAACAACTTAGGCAAGGATTTAAAGTATTACCAAATCACCGAGGGCTATGGCTGGAAGAATCAATCAAAGGAGGCATAAAAATGCCTCATAGTTGCACCTAGGGACTCTTTATAAAATAAAGTTTGGTTAAAACATAGCTAGAGATCAGCAAATAGCTTGAATATCCTCCAGCAATGCTCAAGGCAATGAAAGAGTTGACTATGTTCATATACACAGCTCCAAGATATTCAAGTGGTAGAAAGACTGGCAATTTTAAAATACAAAATGACCCTGAAATATCAACCAGCTGGAAAAAGCAACAACTTTCTACTTTTCTGAACAATGTCTTCTTCAAGCTACTTATTGTCCCCTGGACATTCTTTATGAAATTAACTTAGAATTAACTTTTTACGTATTAATTTACTAAACTCAGTCCACTAGCCATGATCTTTAAAATATGTAATATCTCCAGAGAATGCTTTATATTTGGATGACAGCTTTTATTTAAGCATTAAAGTGTAGATGTTTGAATGACAAAAATTAAGAGCTTTCTATCTGGGCTTTATCATATCACAAAGGGCAGAATTGTGTTTTTGGAACAATTTTGAATATTAGAATTTAAACACATAGATAAATACACATACACATATATTAAGTCAGGTATCAAATTAAATAGAAATTGTACTATCATGCTATAAAACTATATTATAGCTATGAAATATGGAAATGTAAATGCTATATTATAAGGGAGATTACTTTCTTTAAAAGCTCTGCCTATGAAAATCAGCAACAGAGGTCAGTAGGTTTGTTTTCAAATATGATGCTTCAAAATGTACCCCAGAAGTATCAATTCTGTAGGTTATTGGCAGTTCCTTTTCTCCTCACGTAGAGAAATTAATATAACAAATAAGGATAATTATCAAATCTATGGCTATATCTGTGAAGTCTTTATTTTTTATAGTGAACACTTTTCCTATAAGCAACAGAAAAACCAACCATGAAGTAAGAAAATATTTCACTTAACAAGAACCTAAAGTTAAGCAGTCACGCTTTTCCTTACTCATCTCACAAAAATCAGGATTCTGAGTCAACACCAGTATTAGTTAAGATTAGTTTTGGATTTAAGGGACAGAAAATTCAAAATAAAAACTGGCTAAAAATATGGAAATTTAATTATTTACTGTGTAAAAGTTCAGATACATGAACCATGGCTGAAAGATGCCCTACAGAATTGGATATCTAACATTTTCTTTTGTTGTTACATCATTTTTATTTGGAATTCCATTTTCAATTCACCTTAAGGTAAAAAAAATTGCTTTAGCTAGAGCTGTATGCAACAGGATAAACTAGAAAGAGGAAAAATATCAAAAGTTGCATATCTTTCGTCAGAACTTAATGACCTGACTGCAACTAACATCAAGAAAAGTTGGTACATATATAGACGTTAAGCTGTTTCTATTATAATTTTCTTGTTTTTCCCTGGGAGACCAAAGGATTGTCACAGCTTCAGCCACTGCAGAGTTAGGTTTTATTCAAGGGCAGGAGGCAGAAGAAGCAGGAGCTATCTCCATCTGTTATCCCCTTATTATCTAAGAGGATATTCTTTTTCCAATTGCTTCCTCAGGATATCTCCAGTTACAACTCATTGGACAGAACTAGGTCACATGCCCAGCTCTAGCAGCCAGGACAGTCATGAAAGCAAGGATTTATCAAGGAGAATAAGATTGGTTTCTATGACCAAAACCAATGATAATGAATCCTCTGCAACTGGGAACTTTGGAGTCAAAACAAGGAGTTTTGTTGGTATGCAAAATTGGAGAACACCTATTAACTAAGCAAACCATAGTGTTTGCCAGTATAACAATGTTTTGGATTTTAAAAATCCAACAACATTATAAAGCCAAACACAAAAATATTTAGCACAAATTGTTCAGTTTTGGAAAGTGGTATTAGAAAATTGAAAGGAGAAGAAAAGAAGAAAGGAGGGAAGGAAGAAATGGAATAAAGATCAAATGTTTTACATTTCCAAATATTTATTCAAATAAACAGGAAATCAAAGTATGTAATAAACTAGAATTGAACAAAACTGAGAATACAACATATAAAAATATTACACAATGCAGCTAAAATTTTTCTACAAAAATTAAGTCTTAAATGTTATGAGAAAGTAGGAAATAATAAAAATACATATTATTAGATTAAAAAAGAAAACTACAAATATATTTTAAGATATGAAAAAATAATTTGAAATCAGTATGCATTTTTAATTTTTAAAAAACAATCATGTGACAAACTAAGAATAGGACACAAGATATTTACCCTATTGAAGAATATCATGAATCAATAGAAAACCCCTTATTAACAGAGAACAAAGAAATGATGCCCAATTGAACAACTATTATTTATATTATTATTTTAAGAAATATAGTAGAAAATTGAAGAATTTAGTCATCTTAGTAGTGGAATGTTAATAATGATAGCTTTTATTATTAATAATACATAGAAATATAGGTACATTAACATTATATTCAAATTTATGAGAGAATACAGTAACATTCAAGACAAGATATATTATACCTTATGCCATATCCCTGCTCTATACTGTAGTTCTATAATATCAGAAATAAACAGATTTTTTAAAAGTAATGTAAAAGTGTTGATATGGTTTTGTTGTGTCCTCACCCAAATCTCATCTTGAATTGTAATTCCCATAATTCCCGCATATTGTGGAAGGGACCCAGTGGGAGTTAATTGATTCATGGGGGCAGGTTTTTCCCGTGCTGTTGTCATGATAGTGAATAAGTCTCATGAGATGTGATGATTTTATAAAAGGGCAGTTTCCCTGCACACGCTCTCTTGCTTGCTGCCATGTAAGACATGTCTTGCTTCCCCTTTGCTTTCTGCCATGATCGTGAGGCTTCCTAGCCACGTGGAACTGTGGGTCAATTAAACCTCTTTCCTGTATAAATTACCCAGTTTCAGGTTTGCCTTTATTAGCAGCAGGAAAACAGACGAATACAAGTATCTTTCCCACAATACAAATAAAAGAAGGGTTAAACAACATTAATCTGCAAGACTGTTATGAAGAAAGTAATAAATCTCTACTTAAAAATGTAAAACAAGACCTGAATAATTAGAGAGATATCACATATTCCTAGAAAAAAAGAGTTACCATGGAAAATATTTTACTTATATTCAAATCCAAATAAATACAATACAATCATGTTTCTATAAACCAATAAAATCTGAGTCAATGGACTTCCCTAGAATATTATCTATATAGGATTCTGAAACTCAAATCGGAGGTGCTAGGGAGACCTCAGCTGATCTGAGAATCAACAAAAAATCTACTGGCCTGCTAAATTCAAAAGATATGCATTAAAATACTGTCATTAGGCAAAATAATTCATGGTTTCTATCATCACCCTCACACACACAGAACAATGAAAACCACAAGCTCCACTGATCCATACATATTACATGTCATAAATTGAAATAGTGCTGCTGTTCATGTGAATTATGATGACGTCTTTGGGCCACATGGTATCCATTCAGCCTCCAACAGTCCATAGACTAGAGGTCAGCCATGTGGGCAGTCAAACATAGAGTTCCAGTAAAATCTCTGGAAACTAAAGTTCTGAGGAGCCTCCTCGGTTGGCAATATTCTATGCATATTGTCACACATTGATGTCAGGAGGGTAATGCATCCTGAAAATAATAGAAGCCTCACATTTGAAACACCCACACCCCCACTTCATTGAACTCCACCCTGTGCATCTCTTCCCTTGGCAGATTTTATTCTATATTCTTTCTCTGTAATAAACCATAACCATGAATATATCACGGCTTTCAGTGAGTTCCCTGGGTCTTTCTAGTGACTTGTTAAATCTGAGAGTGATCTTGGGAAACCCCCAAACATACAACTGGTATTCAAAGTGAGGATGGTCTTGAGTACCGTGTCTTCCAACTTCACAGAAAATATCTCACGTTTCCCCTTACAGATACTCCTTCTTTAATGACATTGTACAGGACACCAAATGCTTGTAAAATCATGCCTAACATGAATTTTTAACATGGAGTCAAGAAAGTAATAATGAGTTGTGTAGCTACCAAGAGATCATAAGAGATAAGGAGGTTTTCTCAGAGGTATTTTTCCTAGAAGTACCAGTTACTGAAGGAAAGAAGAAATTCTGGGTCATCGAGGAGACTAAAATAAACTGCTGCCATAACCGGTGCTGCTGGTGTTTGTTGACTGGGGTATCCACTGGGAGGATGTCAATGTGGAAACACACTATGGGCTAGAGGAGCCTGGTGGCCTCTACTATTCCAAGGTGTGAAACCATGAACATCCGGGGGAAATGGTAAAGATGCTTAGTCTATGAAATATTGCATCACAGAGGGAAACCTGACTCTCCAGTAAGCCTGATGAGCTCAGATGAATTGTACACAACCATAGAGACTTGAGGTTGTAGATTATCTCTTAGGTAGCAAACAGAAGATGTGGTCTGCTAAGAGAATACTGTAGTGCTATTTTCCAATTGAATTTTATATAAAATTAGAAATTCATTAATCCGGAAAATAATTTACTTCTAAGGTTTACTAATTATTTAACACCTTTTAATTAAACTAAAGTTTAAAATATATATGCATATATACTACATAAATGTCAGAAAATAATTTTAATAAATTTGTAATAGTATTTATGATACAGTGTGAACTGTACATTTGGCAGAGTTGCTTAAACATCTAGGTAAAACAATATAAGCTTAAATATAAAAGAAAAAAACACTAAGTTTGTTTTAAATTACCTCATTTACATAACAGAGTGTGACCATAAAGCTCAGTCTTTGCTTGGTCATGTTTAATTGTTTCTAAAATGATTGGTTTTTAGTAAGAAGCAGCTTACCTTGGGCTTAGAGGGGAAATCAGAATGTTGTATCAACAGTAAATAATAAGATGCTAGTACGATAAAGGAGATTAAGGAAAAGTATGAGAAACACTTATTAAAAAACATATGCATTGGCTGGGTGCATTGGCTCACGCCTGTAATCCCAGCACTTTGGGAGGCTGAGGCAGGCAGATCACGAGGTCAAGAGATCGAGACCATTCTGGCCAACATGGTGAAAACCCAAATCTACTAAAAGTACAAAAAAAAAAAAAATTAGCCGGGCGTGGGGGCACACACCTGTACTTCCAGCTACTCGGGAGGCTGGGGTAGAAGAATCTCTTGAACCCGGGAGGAGGAGGTTGCAGTGAGCAGAGATTGTGCCACTGCACTCCAGCCTGGCGACAGAGTGAGACTCTGTCTCAAAAAAAAAAAAAAAAAGCATTTTAAATATGTAAAATTAACCCAAGCAATGAGTATTTAATCAGTTCACTGCTTAAAAATCTTGTGACAATGAATCCCTTATCATTGTTTCTATATAATAAAGAACACTTGTACCAGTGTTCGTGATAAATTTTTAAAGTGTGGAGACACTAATGAAAGTCATATCAGCTTATTTTCAAAGAATCCCAGAGTATCTAGGCTGAGTGGGGGAAAACAGCCACTGAACTTGATACTCAAGGACATATCAGGAGGGAAAGGGCCGAAAATACATTGGTAATCAGCAGTAGTTGATATTTGAAAATAGGCTAGGAGGCCCTGTACTAAGTGCATTCCATGTGTTGCTTCACAGGAAGCAAAAGCTGATGTCAATTATGATAACTGATCAAAATGGTGAATTATATGAAGCCCGATTTAGTAGCACAGTCCGACCCTTTCTACCACTCTCCAGTGTCAGGAGAGGGTGTGGAGAGTTTGTATTTGCATATTTAGGAGTTGGAGGTAAAATGATCTTTGTCCTTTGATAAAATTAAGAACTGTATAAATTTCAGTGATACAAGGGATTGCAGCTACCATACCCTGGCTGCTGGAAATTGGTTTATTTTAATTGTGAGATCATATCCAGACATAATACATGTTCCTGAATGAGCATAACTGATTTTTGCAATGTTCTCATACCTAGAAATATAATGCTGTGAATGACAGCAGAATGACAAGGGTGGCTAAAGAATAGCTCCCCAAACACGCTCAAGGCAACTGGTGAAGAAATGTGACCCAATATTTTAACCAGGTTCTTAAATCATTGCAGTTTGGCAGTAGACCTGGGGGAGGGAGTGGGCAGGAAAAAGAGGTTTTTTAAAAAAAGAAAAGACGAGAGACAACACAAAGATCTGCAATAATAAAGCTACAGGCATTTCAAGTGATTTAAACAACTCTCTTTTATCTAATTGCACCTGTGTATGCAAGGCAGTGTTGTTTAACATAACGGTAGAGGAGTAACTGGGAATTATTGATAGCTGTTCAGGCTCTTTCAGAGGAAGGCAGAGCTGAGCACTTCTCCAACCTGCAGCCTTATCTCTGTGAAGCAGCAGCCGTGAGAACATAGCTCACTCCATCTGTGTTATATTCTCTGATCTTAGCAGCTGAGGAACAGCAGGTGATAGACTCCTAACGTCTAGGGAGTTGGAGCAATTAGACAGCAAAGAAATAAATACTCGACACAAATAGCTCACTGCATCACCACTGTTTACCTATACAGAGCTCTTTGGAAATTATGTGTTATCAGTTTCAAATCATACACCTTAAGTTACCTGATGTTTGAAGATGTTATAATATTTGGCTGGTAGCCTGAATTTTAGTGGGTTATAGATTCCAAGTGTTTTATGAATATCGTGCCTTTGACTCTTGTTTCCTTTCATTATAATGGACAATGCTTGTTATTTAACATATTGCATTATGCAGTTTGTCCTATGTCAGTAAGCCTGATGTTTTGGTGAACATTTTTGTGAACAGTAGAAGGAAAAACTTTGACAGAATTCTGTATTGAAATTTCATATTATTATTTGTTCCGTTGCTATTGTTGCTTCAACAAGCTTGAATTCTGGTTTGTTTGTTTGTTTGTTTGTTTGTTGCCTATTGTTTGCTCTGCTTAATGGAAAACAGGAACTGGTAGTTTTACTTCATACCTAAGTAGCCTGATAAAGTTCTGGTCTGCAACAGGGAAAGGATATTGGATCTCTTGGAATTGCTGAGGAATCTATATAATTCTCTAAGGTACTCATTTTACTGAGGTTTACATGGCGTGTAAAAACAGCCAATGTTTTTAAAGGGATACAGATTGCTATTATGTTACATAAAAGTTTTGCCTCCCAAGTCATGGAAAATTAATAAATTAACAAATGAGAAAGGGAGAGGAAAAATAGTAGTGAACTATAAGCTGGTGAGTAAAGAATGTAGTAGCATATGTTAAGAATGTGGTATGAGCTGGACACAGTTGCTCATGCCTGTAATCTCAGAACCTTGGGAGGCCAAGGTGGGTGGATCCAATGGACTCAGTAGTTCGAGATCAGCCTAGACAACATGGTGAAACCCTGTCTCTACCAGAGACGAGATTGTGCCACTGCACTTCAACCTGGGTGACAGAGTGAGATCCTTTCTCAAAATAAATAAATAAAAAGTGATGTGTCAAGTCTTTTCTCCAGCTGAATATGTGTGTCTCACCGGCTTTTCTGCATGTGCTATCTGTGAAACTGTAGAGGAGAAAAAGCTATTTCTTTTCCTCGCCCATCGCTAGGTTCATGACTGTGACTCCTGTAACAAAAGACAGATTACAAGAGAAAACCATACAACGTATTTAATATAAATTTTACGTAATATGGAAATTTCAGAGGTGAAAACTGTGTATATTCGGAGGGGAAAACTGTGTTTCCCAAAGAAACAGGGAAAACTGTGTATATTTTATGCTAAGCATGATGAAGAAGTAGACAGTTGTGGAGGAACATGATTGGGAAAAAGGAAGATATGATCTAATAGCTATAAACTGGGAGAAAATTTAGCAAGACCTGTTTGTTCTGACAGAAACCAGAATATTTCACCACAAAATATACTTTTTTGGTGTATTTCTATATGGCTATTCTGAAGGGCTGCAACCCACAGAAATACCCCTGAAAAAATTGCCCTTTTGTGTGGGAGATTTGCATTATAGAGAAAATCTGCATTAGTAAAAAAATACAGCAACGCAAACAGACTTTTTCTGAGGGTCCTCTTATCCGGATCCAGGAAAGATTAACTCACAGAAAAAGAGACTAAAATCTTATACCTTCAAAGAAGTTTTGACAGAAAAATGTTACTGCAGGCCACCATGTATTCTTTCTGAGAGTTGCTATCTGTGAGATTTCTGCAATAACAAGTCTGCTTTTGCTCACCATGCCTTTCCTCCTCTCTCCCTCCCATATCCTATCTTTCCCCTATTCCTTCTGTAACCTCAAGATGGTACAAAAACTTCAGCTATCTGGCACTTCCTTTGAGTCTCATACTCAGTGCATGGCTCCTATATCTATATACATGTTAGTAAAATTTGTATACCTTTTTGTTCCTGTTCATTTGTCTTTTTTTTTTTTTTTTTTTACACAGGTATCCTAGCAAAGACCTTGTGAGGACTCAGAAAAAATATTTATATTTTCTCCCCTTCAGATTTTTCTTGGTGTTCCTGTGTGACATTCCTTTCTTCTGGGTATATTTCAAAAATCCCCTGAAATAAGAGTCTTATGACCTATTTTCAGGGGAAGCTCAGC
The DNA here is from genome assembly GCF_000001405.40 of Homo sapiens. NCBI lineage: Eukaryota > Metazoa > Chordata > Mammalia > Primates > Hominidae > Homo > Homo sapiens. The sequence goes on along the minus strand of NC_000014.9, from coordinate 47,776,625 downwards.
TAGGTTTTATGGTCTGCTTCAGGAGACAAGGTCAAGGTGAATTACTTTTATTAACTGTTTCTATATCCTGCTTCAGAGACATCTTCCTGTTTCTGTGGTTTGATCAATTCCTTCAGCTTAAAATACTCATTGTGTCAAGGTGCTGTATTTTGGATAGCACGTCCTGAACCACATCCCTGTGTAAACTTGGGCAAGTTCCATAATCTTAGAATATACTTAGTTTTCTCATATGAAAAATATGCGAAAGGAGATTAAATAGGACTCTTGTGAAAAGTAAACAAATAAACTATATTAGCAGCCTATTATCATGCCTGGAACATGTTAAGTGCTTAGAAAATATCAATTATTGTAACTACCTAAATAAGTCACCAAGTAAAAAGCCAGTGTATCTAAATTATAAATCCAGTCATTCTAATTCTAATTCTTGAGATTCAGTCATGGAAACTGTCCATTTTGTTCACTAAAGATTATTTGTTGTGCTATTAATAAAATCTGCACATAATACCTATCACTTTATGTTTCTTATATTTTTCAATGTTAGTCATTCAGGTTTCAGGGAATAGGACATGGCATTCACATAGGAAATGAAATCTGTACTCAAATTGGGCAACATTTGGCAGATGAGACTTTTGATGTCTTTTGTAGTGTTGGCACACATTGCCTATTTTGGATTTAATTAAGACTTCAAAAATTTAATTTTCTTGGAAGTAGTCTTTTTAATGTCCACATCCAGAGACATTGTTTTGTAACTAAAACTGTTGACCTTTTTGAAAAAGTTGTTCTGTGTTTTTTTTGTGTTATATATATATTAAAACTGGTTTTTATGCGTAGTTTAAGAAGTAATTGTTAAAATTTTAAAGGGCTATTGAAAGGTTTCACTTCTTCACCCATGAGTTAATACTTGACATTTAACAGCTAGTGTTTTATTTTAGCTAGCAAAATTTTAATTTTTGTAAAACAGACACTATTTCTGTGCAGTGTGTAGAGCCCACTCAGCTGATTTAAATTTTTTTTACCTCAGAATGAGTTAATTTATTCCACAAATTTCTCAAATGTTTTGAGATGATAAAAAGGTAAAATACTATGAATGTTAGTGAGTGAAAATGGGGGCATACTTTGAAAGGAAAATGATGTAAAGTTGGAAATTGAAGTACTACAGAAACATCTTCGCCTACTTCAGAATTCCCTAGGATCTTATTTCTTTACTCAGCAGGCCTTTAAAAGTCAGATTAGGGAATGAAGACCCATGAGGTTATTGTGCAGAGACAGTGCTAGGGAAGTTCAGTTCATTTGGGCCATCATCATGGAGATAGAAAGGACTAGGAAACCCCAGAGTCAAGAAGAATAAATCTCTTCCTCAGTGCCATGACAAGCCATGTCTGAGCCTGATGCAAAAGAAGAAATGGGCTCTGCAATATACACTTATGTAAAATATCTGTAAATTTCATTTGTTGAACCAAATCGAAAAAGGTAATAAAAGTTAATAAAAATCAAAAACCATGAGTATACATAAAGGCCTGCATTGCCTCACTTGTTCCAACACTATTGTCAGCCTTTATTGGCCCACCCCATGGGGGATGTGACAGTTTTGTGGCCCTGACTAGGACCTAGGGCTCATTGGGAACAACTTTTTCTCTTGCACAAAGCACAGGGTTGTAAAACAAACAAGAAACAATAGCCTGTCTTTATAATTTTCTTCACCATGGATTTTTTAAAGTATTTTTTTTAGAACAGTTTTATATTCACAGCAAAAGTGAGAGGAAGGGTCACAGCATCAATGTACCTACCTCCTGTCTCCACACATGCATAGCGTTTCTCATTATCAACATCCCCCACCAATGTGGTACATTTCTTATGACTGATGAACCTACACAGACACATTATTATCACCCAGAGTCCAAAATTTACATTATTGTTCACTGTTGGTGTTATACATTCCATAGGTTTGTACAAATTTGTAATGACATGTGTCCATCTTTATAGTATCAGACAGAAGATTTTCACTGCCCTGAATTTGCTCTGTATTTCACCTATTCATCCATCCCTCCCCTCAACACCTAGAAACCACTGTACTGTTTGACTGTCTCAATACTTTTGCCATTTCCAGAGTGTCATATAGTTGAAATGATACAGTATGTACCTTTTCAAATTGGCTTTTTTTTTAGTAGTATGCATTTACGTTTCTTCCATGTCTTTTCGTGGATTGAGAGCTCATTTCTTTTTAGCAATAAATAATATTATATTGTCTGGATATACCACAGTTTACTTATTCATTTACCTACTGAAAGACAACTTGGTTGCTTCCATGTTTTGGCAATAATAAATGAAGCTGCTTTAAACATCCATATGCAGATTTTTGCTTGGACATGTTTATAGCTCCTTTGGGTTAATATTAAGGAGCATAACTGCTGAATTGTAGGATAAGAGTATGTTTAGTTTTGTAAGAAACTGCTAAACTGTCATTCAAAGTGGCTATACCATTTTGCATTCCCCCCAGAATGAATGAAGGTACCTGTTGCTCCACATCTTCATCAGCATTTGGTGCTTGTCAATGTTCTGGATTTTGGTTACTGTAATAGACATTTAGTGGAATTTCTTTATTTTAATTTGCATTTCCCTCATGATATAGGATGTGGAGCATATTTTCATATGCTTATTGCTATTTGTGTATCATATTTGCTAAGGTGTCAGGTCTTTTGCCCATTTTAAAAATTGTTTTCTTATTGTTATGTTTTAAGAGTTCTTCGTATATGTTGAATAACAATCCTTCATGACATATGTCTTTTGCGAATATTTTCAGTCTATGATTTGTCTTTTCATTATCTTAACAATATCTTTTACAGAGTGGACATTTTTAATTTTCATTAAGTTCAGCTTGCCAATTCTTTCTTTCATGAATTATGCCCTTGCTGTTATATATAAAAAGTTATCAGCAAATCCAGGCTCATCTGCAATGTCTCCTATGTTTTCTTTTAGGAGTTTTATAGCTTTGCATTTACACTTAGGTTTTTGAACCTTTTTGAATCGATTTTTGTGATGGGTATAAGGTTAGCATTTAGATTTAGTGTTTTGCATGTACATATCCAGGTATTCCAGCACCATTTGTTGAAGGGACTATCTTCTCCATAGTATGTTTTTGATCCTTTGTTTAAGATTAGTTGAGTACATTCATGTAGCTTTATTTCTGCATGCTCTCTTCTGTTCCTCTGATCTGTTTATCCTTTTGCAAATATTAGGCTACCTCAATTACTGTAGATTTAAAGTAAGTCTTGATGTCAATACTACCAATCCTCCAATTTTGTTCTAGTCTTTCAATATTGTCGTGGCTATTCTGGTTCTTTTCCTTTTGCATATAAATTTTAGAATCAGTTTGTCAATATCTACAAAATGACTAGTGAGATTTTGATGAGGATTGCATTGAATTTACAGATCAAGTTTGGAAGAACTGACATCTTGGCAATATTGAGTTTTCCTGTCCATGGACGTGGATTGTCACTCTAGTTCTTGGATTCCTTTCATCATAGCTTTGTAGTATTCCTTGTACAGGTCTTGTATATATTTTCTTGGATTTACACCTAAGTTTTTATTTTTGTAGGTTCTAATATAAATGATATTGTGTTTTTAATTTCAAATTCAAATTTTTATTGCTGGTATATAGGAAAGTGATTGACTTTTGTATTTTAACCTTTTGTCCCACAACCTTGCTATAATTGCTTATTAGCTCTAGGAGGGTTTTTTGGTCAATTCTTTAGGCTTTTCTACATAAATGATTACGTCATCTGTGAACAAAGTTTTATTTTTTCCTTTCCAATCTGTATACCTTTTATTTCTTTTTCTGTTTTATGTCATTAACTAGGACTTTGAGTACAATGGTGAAAAGCAGTAGTGACAGGAAATATTCTTGCCTCTTTCTATTTTGGTGGGACAGCTTCCAGGTCCTCATCATTAAAGATGATGTTAAGCTGTAGGCTTTTCGTAGATATTCCATTTCAATTTGAGGAAGATTTCTTCTCTTCCCAGTTTACTGAGAGTTTTTGTCATATGTCAGTGTTGGATTTTCTCAAATACCTTTTCCGCATCTATTGATACAATTTCACGACTTTTTAAGCCTCTTGATGCAATGGATTGCATTAATTGATTTTTGATATTGAACCAGCATTGCATATCTGAGATAAATCCCACTTGGTTCTGATGTATAAATCTTTTTATATATTGTTGGATTAAATTTGCAAATACTTTGTTGAAGTTTTTTTTTTTTTGCATCTGTACTCATAAGAGATATTAATCTGCAGTTTTCTTTTCTTATAAAGTCTGTCTGGTTTTGATATCAGGATGATGTTGGCCTCATAGAAAGAGTTGAGAAGTACTCCTTCTACTTCTATTTTCTGAAATAAATAGTAGAGAATTGGTATAATTTCTTCCTTCAGTCTTTGTTAGAATTCACCAGTGAACATCTTTGGGCCTGATGCTATCTGTTGTGGAAGGTTATTAATTATTGAGTCCATTTCTTTCATGGATATAGGGCTATTTGGATTTTGTATTCCTTTTTGTGTGAGTTTTGGCAGATTTTGTTACTTAAGAAATTGATGCATTTCATCTAGGTTATCAAACTTATGGGCATGCAGTTGTTCATAGTATGCCTTTACTATCTTTTTGTTGTCAATGGAGTTGTAGTGATATTCCCTCTTCCATCTCTGATATTAAAAATTTGTGTCCTTTGTCCTTTTTTTTTAGTTGGCCTGGTAGAGGTTTATCTATTTTATCTATTTTATTTACCTTGCAAAAAATCAGCTTCTGGTTACATTGATTTTATTTATTGATATCTTACTTTCAAATTCATTGATATCTTACTTTCAAATTTATTGATTTTTTGCTCTAGTTTTCATTATTTCTTTTCTTCTGCTTATTTTGAATTAAATTTTATCTTATTTTACTAATTTCCAATGGTAGAAGCTTAAATTATTGATTTTAGATCCTTCTTCTTCTTCTTCTTCCTCTTCCTCTTCTTCTTCTTCTTCTTCTTCCTCTTCCTCTTCCTCTTCTTCTTCCTCTTCCTCTTCCTCTTCCTCTTCCTCTTCCTCTTCCTCTTCCTCTTCTTCTTCTTCTTCTTCTTCTTCTTCTTCTTCTTCTTCTTCTTCTTTCTTTTTTGATGGAGTCTTGCTCTGTCGCCTAGGCTGAAGTGCAGTGGTGCGATCTCGACTCACTGCAATCTCTGCCTCCTGGGTTCAAGCAATTCTCCTGCCTTAGCCTCCTGGGTAGCTGGGATTACAGACACGTGCCACCACGCCCAGCTAGTTTTTGTATTTTTAGTAGAGACAAGGTTTCACGATGTTGACCAGGCTGGTCTGGAACTCCTGACCTCAAGAGATCTGCCTGCCTCGGCCTCCCAAAGTGCTGGCATTACAGGTGTGAGCCACCTCACTTTTCTAAAATATGTATTCAATGCTATAAATTCTAAGACCTGATTTTACTATATCTCACAAATGTTATAGTGTTTTCATTTTCATTTATTCCCTTTTTTTGTTTTTCTTAACTTTTTTTTATTTATATGTTATCTTGAAATGTGTTATTCTGAGATTTTTCCAGTTATCTGTCTGTTATTGTTTTCTAGTTTAATTACATTGTGGCTTGAGAGCAGACAATTCATCATTCTTTTTTAAAATTTTTCTTAAGGTGTGTTTTATGGCCCAGCATGTGTTCTATCTTAGTTAAGGTACCATGTGAGCTTGAGAAGAAATGTATTCTGCTGTTGTTGGATAAAGTAGGTCTATAGATGTCAATTATATTCAGTTGATTGATGATGCTATTGAGTTCAACTGTGTCCTTAAATTTATTTTCTGCTTGTTGGATGTGTCCATTTGTGATAGAAGGATGAGGCCTTCAACTAAAACAGTGGATTCATCAATTGCACCTAGCAGTTCCATCAGTTTTTGCCTTCCATACTTTGATACTTTGTTTTTAGGCACATATACATTACAGGTTGTTATGACTTCTGGAAGAATGAACCCCTTTACCACTATGCAATGCTCCTCCTTTTAAGTTAATATTATTTTTAACAGACAAATCATAATTGTACATTTATAGGGTACAATGTGATGTTTTGATATGTGTGTACCATGTGAAATAATTAAATCAAGCTAATTAATATACACATCACCTACTTTATCCATCATTTTTCTGGTGAGACATTTGAAATATACTCTCTTAGTTATTTCGAAATACAAAATACATTATTGACCATAGTCACACTGCTGTGCAATAAATATCAACACATTCCTCCTAGCTGAAACATTGTACCTTTTGCCTAAAATCTTCCCATTTTCTCTATCCCCGTCACCCACCCAGCCTCTGGTACCTATTATTGTAGTCTCTACTTCCATGATTTCAGCTATTTTAGATTCCAAGTATAAGTGAGATCATGCCATATTTGTCTTTCTGTGTCTGGCTTATTTCATTTATCATAACTTCCTTCAATCTCATCTATGTTGTTTCAGATATTTTTTCTTTTTTATAAGGCTGAATAGTATTCCATTGTGTATATGTACCACACTTTCTTTATCCATTCATCCATTGGTGGACATTGAGGTTGAATCTATGTCTTAGCAAATAATGTTGCAATAAACATGAAAGCGCAGATAACCCTTTGACATACTGACTTCATTTCTTTTGGATATACATTCATAAGTGAGATTGCTGAATCATATGCTAGTTACATTTTTGGGGGTTTTTTTTTCTTTTTTTTTTTGAGACGGAGTCTCACTCTGTCGCCCAGGCTGGAGTGCAGTGGCATGAACTCCGCTCACTGCAAGCTCTGCCTCCTGGGTTCACGCCGTTCTCCTGCCTCAGCCTCCCAAGTAGCTGGGACTACAGGTGCCCATCACCACGCCTGGCTAATTTTTTGTATTTTTAATAGAGAGGGGTTTCACCGTGTTAGCCAGGATGGTCTCAATCTCGTGACCTCGTGATCCGCCCGCCTCGGCCACCCAAAGTGCTGGGATTACAGGTGTGAGCCACCGCGCCCGGCCTAGGTTTTTTTTTTTTTTTTTTAACAGACTAGTCATACTGTTTTCCATAATGGTTGTACTAATTTACTTCTCATACCTCTGTTTGTTCTGAAGTCTGCTCAGTCTAAAATTAATATAGCTATTCCTGCTTTTTTATTAGTGAGATCATAGCATGTCTTTCTCTCTCCCTTTATTTTTAGTCTAATGTCTTCCACTTTTTTACTGACTTCTGTGGTTTTAACTGAACATTTTATATAATTCCATTTCTCTCCTTTCTTAGCATTAGTTTTACTTCTTTTATTCGTGTTTGTTGGAGGTTGCCCTAGAGTTTGAAATATACATTTACAAGTCCACTTTGAAATAACACTATACTACTTCATGGTTAGTGCAAGTACCTTATAATAATAATTTTTAAATATCCCAATTCCTCTCTCTCATCTCTTTTATCATCACTGTCATTCATTTCACTTATATATATGTGCACACATGCACATATACACATACATAATAAAGTACATTATTGTGATTAATATTTTGAACTAATCATTATTTCTTAGATCACTTAAGAATAAGAAAAATAAGTCTTTCTTTTAGCTTCACTTTTTAAAAATGCTCTTCCTTTCTGTTTGTAGATCTGAGTTTCTGACCTATATTTATTTTTTATCCTCCGAATTTGTCCATAGAATTTAATTTTTTTTTTAATTTTGGCAGACTTCACCATACAAGAATTGAGCCTGGTGTTTTCTTTAAATTATTTTATGATTACTTAAAGCCATTCTTTATAAATTTTGGTAAGTTATATTTATCTATGTATTTGTTAATTATTTTTCTCTTTTCAAAATTTTTAGCAAAGTTTTTCACGGTTCTGTTTATTCTAATGTCTGTTTTGGTAAATTCTGTTCTTCAAGAAATATATTCTTATTATATAAGTTGAAAATTTTATTGGGATAATATTGTTTATAATATCCTCTTGTTATATTTTAACATCTTTAGGGTCTATAGTGATATCCTCTTTTATTCTGCATATTTTAAATTTGTGCTTTCTGTGTTTGTTGATCAGTCTTCCTAGGAGTTTATTACTTTGATTCATCATTTCAAAGAATTCGTTGCTTTGTTGATTTTTCACTTTTACATGTTTGTTCTCAAGTTTTTAATGTTGCAAGTTATGCTCCCTGGGAAGCAGACTATAGGTAAAACATAGCACAGTAGGTTGATTGGGTAGTGTTCTTGGAATTAACACCAGGAAGGAAAGGAAAGGAAGCAGAATTGAAAGACAAAGAAGTTTGACTTTGATAGAGACCACCCTGGCCAACATGGCGAAACCCTGTCTCTACTAAAAATACAAAAATTATCTGGGTGTGGTGGTGCACACCTGTAGTCCCAACTACTCAGGAGGCTCAGGCACGAGAATCACTTGAACCCCGGAGGCGAAGGTCGCAGTGAGCCGAGATCATGCCACTGCACTACAGCCTGGGCTACAAGATGAGACTCCGTCTCAAAAAAAAAAAAAAAGTTGGATTTTGATTCATTCACAACAAAAGCTTCTTTTAGAGTTCTGGAACTGGGATAACTTTTTAGCATTTCTCTGATTTATTGCAACCGGACCAGAACTTTTTACTCCTGTATCCACCAGTATTGGATGTGAGATGCTTCAGTAAAAGATGAAAAGATGAAGGACTTCCAGGAAGGCAGTTCTATTAGGCAGCAGCACTCCAACAGTTTATATAATAAGCAGCTTAGGAAATGGGTAGTGAAGCACAGTGTCCACTTCAGTTAATCCATGCTGCTCGAATCCATGTGTACATATATGTTGGGAGCAGCTTCTCCATGATTCTAGTATGTGTGTATTTTTTTCTTTCTCTAGTGGAGACTTATTAAATGAAGAAACCACACAGCTTCCAACTCTGCAGTAGATCTTGGGCTGTAACTGATATTCAACATTACCATCCTTGTTGTAAACTGAATGTCATATCCCTCAAAATTCATATGTTGAACCCCTAACTTCCCCTGTGATGGCATTTAGAGGACGAGCCTTTGGGGCATAGTTAAGTTTAGATAAGATCATAGAGGTGGGGGCCCCATGGTGGAATTGCTCTCCTTATAAGAAGTGAAAGACCAAAGCTCTCACTCTCTCCCCACCATGGGAGGACACAGCAAGAAGGCAGCTATCTGATAACCAGGAAGAGGGCCCTCACTAGGAACTGACTGCCAGCACCTCAACCTTGATCTTTCCATCCTCCAGAACTGTGAGAAATAAAGTTTTGTTGTCTAACCCACCCACAGTATTTTTTACAGAGGCCTGAGCTAAGATACTTCTTAGTTACGCATTTTCACCCTCTTCGCCCTTAAACAGCACCTCTGCTGGTCAGGTGGCCTAACTTTGGAAGACTCAGACCTTCATCTGTGACAGTTCTATAGTCACAGTCGCTATGCCTTCTCAGGTCCTGGCTGCTGTATTATTACATTGATTCTCAAAGTTGTACAAGAGAATATCAAAAGACACCAAAGTGGATTAAGATTAGTTACTGTTAAAAATATTCCTCCTGCTTTACGTTCTACAAGAGCTCTACCTTTTTCCGAAGTTCAGATCAATTATCCCTATCAGGATAGTGACTTCTCTTCAAGTCACTTGGGAAAAGTCCCCTGAAGTACACTGGAAGAAGCCATAACTTAAGTTCATTGAAATTTTTGCAGTGTCCCAGAGTCGATGTATTCTACCTTTGTCGACCAGAACTTCTCCATCATACAGTCCAAACTTGTGGGTCTGGAAAGCACAAACTCTGTAAATGAGAAACTGGTGATGATGTTAAGTAAGTTATTTATATTTTAAGTCCCTGATTTTAGACTCATGTATTTTACCTACTCGGAAAAAATCATATTATGGTTGTTGATTTAGAATACACATCCTAAAAAGTGACATCCCATCTTTGTATGGTCTCATGTCTGAGCTAGGCATCCCACTGAAATCTTTAACTTAACATGCCATTGTTCCACTACGCACCACCCAGCAGCTAATTGGTCTCCACGCAGAATGGTGCTATTAGGGGGACTCAGTGATTGTCTTGTATGTATGGACATCATGCAGTAACAGGAGATAAATTTGTGTTGGAGACAGGGAACCCATGCTACTGAATTTATGCATAGTCTTCCTTACATCACCATGGTTACCATGTCTACATGCACCTCATGCTCACACTTGGGTTGCGTGATGGTTAATATTGAGTGTCAACTTGATTGGATTGAAGGATGCAAAGCATCGTTCCTAGGTGTGTCTGTGAGGGTATTGCCAAAGGAGATTAACATTTGAGTCCGTGGACTGAGAAAGCCAGATCCACAATCAATCCGGGTGGGGACAATCTAATCAGCTGCCAGCATGGCCAGAATAAAAGCAGACAGAAACACGTGGAAAGACCAGACTGGCTAAGCCTTCTGGCCTCCATCTTTCTTCCATGCTGGATGCTTTCTGCCCTTGAACATCAGACTCCAAGTTCTTCAGCTTTTGGATTCTTGGACTCACACCAGTGATTTGCCAGGGGCTCTTGGGCCTTCCACCACAGACTGAAGGCTGCACTATCAGCTTCCCTACTTTTGAGGTTTTGGGACTCGGACTGGCTTCCTGGCTCCTCAGCTTGAAGACAACCAATGGTGGGACTTCACCTTGTGATCCTGTGAGTCATTTCTCCTAATAAATTCCCCTTCATATAGACACTATCCTATTAGTTCTGTCCATCTAGAGAACCCCGACAAACATGGGTTGCTATCAACTGGACAAATCATTGCCAACTAAGTTTTTTAGTGCTTCAGCACTTCTACCATAGTTAGTGTGCACTAATGAATGCAAACATTTGTATTACCTAATACATGGTCTGGTACAGCATCCTCAGATGTGAACTATGCTGCCTCCTGTATCCAAAAAGGACTACCAAATGTTGTACTTCCATCTTATTGCAGTGCAGTAAGAAATATTTTGTCCTTTATTTTGTAGATGTCCCATCATGCCCTCAACCACAAAACACCTAAATTTTACGGTTATAATCGCTGTCAGTGGTTGTACGTTGATATTCTATTGTTCCAGCACCATTCTTTTCCTATTAAATTACACTGGCAAATTTGATTAAAAAAAACAACTGACTATATATGCTTGTAAACATTTCCAGATTATGTTATTCTTTTAATCTAAATATGTGTCCTTATGCCAATACCCCACTCCATCTATTACTGCAGTGTATGATAAGTCTTGAAATCTAGTAGTGTAAGTTCTTCAACGTTGCCCTTAATTTTTAAAATCACTCTTGCTATTTAAAATTGTTTGTATTACATGGAAATTTTATAATCAGCTTGCCAATTTCTACAAAAGTCCTGCTGAGATTTTAATTGGTATTTTGCTTGTTCTGCAGCTTAATGCAAGAAAATTATCTTAACAATATTGAATTTTTCAATCTATTAACATGTTATATATTACTGTTTACTTAGGATTTTTTCACTTTTCCTGCCTTGTTTTGAACTGATATTGTGGTTTTAAGTAATTTTTTTTATTTCTACTATTGGCTTAGTAACTATGCCCCACTTTTTGATTTTGTAGCACAGTTGACCATTGAACAACACAAGTTTGAATTGTGCATGTCCAATTGTCTATGGATATTTTTCAATAAAAGTTACACTGAGTGCATCAGCCTCTCTCCTTCTTCTCCTTCTACCTCCTCCAACTGTTCCACCTCTGCCACCCCAAAACAGCAAGAACAACCCCTCCCTTCCTCCTCCTCCTCCTCAGCCTACTCAAGGTGAAGCTGATAAGGTAAGGATGAAGGCTTTTATGATGGACCACTTCTGCTTAATAAATTGTAAACGTATTTGCTCTTCCTTAGGATTTTCCTAATAACATATTCTTTTCTTTAGCTTAATTTATGTTAATAACACAGAATATAATACATGTAACATACAAAATATGCGTCAATTGTTTATGTTTTTGATAAGGCTTCTGGTCTAAAGAAGGCTAATAGCAGTTAAGTTTTTTGGGAGTCAAAAGTTATACGTGGATTTTTCGACTGCATGGGGGTCAAGTTGTTCAAGGGTGAATTGTAGTTCTTCTCATGTTTACAAACTTACCATATTATGTATTTGAATAATAGCACACTAATATCATATATTTACTTACAACATAAGAATCTTACAATTTTATGCTTCTACTTCCTACCTCTCATCCTTTTTTTTTTTTTTTTTTTTTTTTCCTGCCAGCTCCACCTCCCGGGTTCATGCCATTCTCCTGCCTCAGACTCCCGGGTATCTGGGACTACAGGCGCCCACCACCACGCCCAGCTAGTTTTTTGTATTTTTAGTAGAGATGGGGTTTCACCATGCTAGCCAGGATGGTCTTGATCTCCTGACCTCGTGATCCACCCGCCTGGGCCTCCCAAAGTGCTGGGATTACAGGCGTGAGCCACCGCGCCCGGCCTCCTCATCCTTTTATTGTTACAATTGTTATTGTTGACATTCCCTTTATTTCCACTTGTTATAATCTGTTTGCTTTTAACAATTTCTAAATATTTTTAAATGAGGAGAAACAATGCATTTACCCACATAAATATAAACCATATACTTTCATTGTTTTCTGGATTGTAATATTTCAGATGAGAAATGTGCCAATATTCTTATTTTGGTTCCTGAGTAAGTAATGTGTAATTTTTCTTTAGCTATTTTTAAGGTGTTCTCTTTTATCACTGATTTTTTCAACAATTTGGTTATAATGTGCCTCACTGTGATTATCTTTTTCTTTATATGAGGGCAAAGGTGTGTTAAGTTTTGAAAACTTAGTTGTCTATAGTTTAATTCAAAATGGGACAAATTTGTGGTAATTATTTTTGCAAATATTTTTACATCTTCGTTTTTATATCATCAATCACGTAATGTCTGTGCCACTTGAAATTGCTTCACACATCACTGAGACTGTTCAGTGGCTTTTTATTATTTTTCTTTGTGTTTCAGTTTGGATAGTTTCATATCATATGTGTGAGTTCATTGACATTTTCTTCTTCAGTGTCTGGCTACTATTAAAAATCAGGACTTTTTTATTTTATGTATTTTACTTCTTAATTCTAAATTTTGCATTTGCTTCATTTTTATACCTTCCATATCTATTTTTATTCATGTTTCTTTTAAAATTTTTGAACACATTTAAAACAGCTTTTGTGAAGCCCTACTCATATAAATCCACCAATTCTTTCAGTTTCTGTTTCTCTTCACTGATTCTTCTCATGGTCATGGCTCACATTTTCCTGCTTCTTCTCATATACAGTAATTTTAAATTTGGCCCCAAACTATGAGAGCTATATTGTTGAGTGTTTGGATTTTGTTGCCATCCTTTTACAAATGTCAATTTCATTTGGCTAAGTAAGTATGTAATTGTGGATCAGTGTGATTCTTTAGAGGTTTGCTTTTAAGCTTTTTAGGCTGGACTTAGAGAATTCTTTACCTCGGGACTACTTTAGCACTTATACTAAGGCCTGAACCTTCTCATGTTTCCACTGAATGTTGTAGATGTTCAATCTATTCTGGTTGGTTCAGAAGTAAACATTTCCCCGCCCTACCTGAGCTCTGGGAGTCCTTCAGCTTAAAGCTCCCAGCCCTTTGACTTTTCCCATGCATGTACAACTTAGTACCTAGAACATTCTCAAGGAGACCCCTGTGCATATTCCTGGAGCTCCTCCTTCACCTACTTTCCTTCTCACTGGTAATGTGTCCTACACATTCAATATTCCAGGTAAGTCAGTCTTCCCTAACTCTGATCTCTGTTTACTCAACTCAGTGAGATCATGCTAGTGACCCCCTCTGCACCACAGGTTGGAAAGTAGTTCCAGGCAGTTAATAGAGCTCACTTTGTTTCCACTTCCCTTGGACCATAATCCTAAATTGCCTAATCTCCTATATCTGAAAGAATTTGACTCATACATTTTCCAAGTTTTCCAGATATTTATAATGTTAGGAAAGCTCCTGTCTCTGTTAATCAGCATGGCCAGAAGTAAAATTCTGTGTCTGTTCATTCTTGACATTTTCGTGTTTACTGATTTTGTAATTTCACCTATTATTTATTTAAACATTTCATATATAGCATTTTACATTCAATTTCTGATAATTTCTATATCTGAAGCCATTGGGAGTCTTAATTAGATGTTTGCTATTTGTTGTTTCTGCTGTCTCACTCACCATGGCTTGATTTCTTTAATCTTAATCTTTAGGTATCCTAGGGTCAACTTTTTCTCCAGGGTAGAATTTGAAATTATCTCTGCTAGGAGTTTGATGTAGTAAGACCTGGGACCAGGCTTGCTGACATAATGCCAGGTTTCCAGGATCAGCTCCCTCAAGCTTAGTCTCTGGAACACAATGCTAATTTCAACACTTGTCTCAGGCTAGCTCCAACTTTCCCATTTGTGTCTTGCAGGTAGCGCACTGTTCTTTGATTCTATCTCAGGATTCAGGTCATTTTTTGCATGTTTATTAGGTTGTTTATTTAAGGGGTGCTTGGAGATTTACTTATTTCCCTGCAACCACAGCAGTGCATTGAAATGTAGATTTTATAAAGAAGCTAGTAGTTTTCCTCATAAGTTATTTATGTTGATTCTGAAGATCTTTATGTCTTGGGTGTTTGGTTTTGGTTTTAGCACTGTGTGTGTGTGTGTGTGTGTGTGTGTGTGTATGTGTGTGTGTGTGTCTGTGCGTGTGTGTGTAATTTCATCTTATTTTGCAGCAGATCCAGTGTGCTTCTCAAATATTAGGTTCATGCTATTGATTTTGAAAAAATCATCATTACCATCTCATTCCCTCTTATTCTTTCATTGAATCTATCCCATTTTAATCTATTATCTTATTTATCTCTTAAACTTGCTTTTAGTAACTGTAAAATCCTCAGCTCTTTCTCTCTGTTAATTGCCTGTTGAGAATTATCTGCTTTTTAATCATCGTGTCGGAGTCTATTATTTGCTTTCTCAATATCCATATATTTCGTGTAGTAATGCTATTTTTAGCTGAATATGTGTCCATTTACCTAAATATAACATTTTTCAGCACTTTTTGCAGCTACTTTGGGTCAGTTAAATGGTATATACGTGAAATTGATGTACAACATTTGGATCACAGTTTTAAAAGGAAAAGAGTAGGTCTTCCCATTCTTCTTTCCCACTACAATGGAATGTATGTTTGTGGCCCCCTAAATTCATATGTTGAAACCGTAATCCCTCATCTCAATGTGATAGTGTTTGGAGGTGGTACCTTTCAGAGTCGATGAAGTAATACTGTTAGTGCTCTCATGGATGGGATTAGTGCTCTTATGAGAAGAGGCCATAGAGTAGCTAGCTCTCTTCCCTTCATATGAAAATAAGATCTTGGTAGTCTATAAACCAAGAAGTGAGCCTCAACAGACACATAATCTGCCAGCACCTTTATCTTGAACTTCCTAGCCTCCAGCACTATGAGAAACAACTGTTTGTTGTTTAAGCCACCAGCCTATAGTAGTTTGTGACAGCAGCCTAAACTATTAGGTTGGTGCAAAAGTAATCACTGTTTTTGCCATTACTCTCAGTGGCAAAAACCGTGATTACTTTTGCACCAACCTAGTAACACCTTCACTGTGGGGGTGCAGACATGGCAGATGTGGAGCATCCAAGCTGGACTCTGATTAAAAAGCTAATTGAGGAAGTTACAATAAAGGATCTGGTTTGTTGACAATGTGGAAATGTCTTATCTATCATCGAAGTCCTGAAATGCTTACAATTTATGAAAGAGAAATAGGCCGGGCGTGGTGGCTCACGCCTGTAATCCCAGCACTTTGGGAGGCAGAGGCAGGCGGATCATGAGGTCAGGAGGTCGAGACCATCCTGGCTAACACGGTGAAACCCCGTCTCTAACAAAAGTACAAAAAATTAGCTGGGCGTGGTGTCGGGCACCTGTAGTCCCAGCTACTCCGGAGGCTGAGGCAGGAGAATGGCGTGAACCCGGAAGGCGGAGCTTGCAGTGAGCCAAGATGCATCACTGCACTCCAGCCTGGGCGACGAGCGAGACTCTGTCTCAAAAAAAAAAAAAAAAAAGAAAGAGAAATAAACATCTATCTTATCTGAACTACTGTTTATGTGGAATTTTGTCAAAGCCACCCATATCCTGTTCAGGATTTATATATATTATATATATATAAATCTATATATTAGAAGGTTTTTCTTATTTAATATATTTTTCATTTTATAACTTCTATTTGGCCTCTTTTCAAATATATCTGCTTTTTATGTCACCTTATCTCTTATAGTAATTGATTTCCTCTTTCCTGCTTCATTCAATTTAAAGCTACTTATTTTATAGTCTCTATGTCAGAGTCTGATCTGAGAAGCAGTACCACCAGATTTGTGTATAATAAGGGATTTGTAATAGGGATTTGCCTTATATATTTGTGGAAACTGTTGAAAAGTCTTTGTGAAACTATTGTTTCTGTGTCTAGTGCTGAGCCTAAAGTCATCAGCGCACACAGTCTGAAAGATAAAATGGACGTAAAATGAGGGAAGCGAGACAAACTGGTACCTGCAAGAATAAACCCGAATCTATCAGGACAGAGTTGCAACCCTGCTTCCATGTGTCCAACTTTAAAGTTGGGGTAATCTGCAGGAGGAGCTGCTATGAGCTAAACCATACCTCACTGAAAGTCAGAGTGATTGAAAGTGGGTGTCTGGCAGCTGTGGCATTTCTGAGGGCCCAGCTACTGCCCTACTCCAACAATGTGATCCCACAGATAAATGACACCTGTGTGAGCTACAACAGTGCCATGTGCCCAGTGCTGACTTTCTGAAAATAAAAAGAATATAGATGCTGTTTCATTTCATCCTTCCAACTCTCATACAAAATATCTCTCATGGCCCTCACTAACAAAGATGATATGGTTTGGCTGTGTCCCCACCCAAATCTTATCTTGAATTCCCGAGTGTTACGTGAGGGACCTGGTGGAAAGTAACTGGATCACGGGGGCAGGTCTTTCCCATGGTGTTGGGTGGGTCTCATGAGATCTGATGGTATTACAAGGGGGAGTTTCCCTGCACAAGTGCTCTCTTTCTTTGCCTGCAGCCATCCATGTAAGACATGACTTGCTCCTTCTGCCGTGATTGTGAGGCTTCCCCAGCCACATGGAACTGTAGGTCCATGTTAAACTTCTTTCTTTTGTAAATTGCCTAGTCTCAGGTATGTCTTTATCGTCAGTGTGAAAATGGACTAATACCAAAGAACTATGCTTGGAGGGGAATTCTGGGGAATGCAATTCCAGTTTAGTTCATTTGGCATGATACAAATCCACCATAGTCTCTGTAGTAACCAACATTCAATATTTTCCTAGTAAACATTGGCTCCTGGTATTCACACTCCTATCTAATTCCATCCCACAATTAATAGGACTTACATATATGACAGATAGAATATTGTTGAAGTGAAAGTGTGTGATGTAAGAATTAGGTCATTAAAAAGTTTACAGCCTCCTCTCTGGTCTTCCATTTTTCTCATTTTGGGAGGAGTTAGCTACCGTGTTCTGAGGACACTCAAGTAGCCATGTAGAGAAGATCATATGGAGAAAAAACTCAGGCTGACTGCCAACAGTAAGCACCGATTCTCCAGCCATGTGAAATAACATTAGAAGCAGCTTCTTCATCCCCAATCAATTCTTTAGATAATTCAAACCAGTCAGCCCTCAAGTCTTCCAGCTGATACGTCAAATAATGTGGAAGTGGAAAGAAATCACCCATCTGCACTGAGTGTGTGACCCTTAAAAACTGAGAGATAATATGATTAGTGTTGTTTAAGCCACTAAGCAACAGTTAAATAACACAATCTTTAGTGCTAGATACTGCTTTGAATGGATTATTTCTTCTCCTGGTTTGCCATTTTGTATTTTGAACTCATTTTGGAAGAGTTTTATTTGGAATGACACTAGATGGTTTGGTTTTAGAGTGTTTACCATCAGAGTGTCTTGCATTTGTTTCTGTCAGATGCATGAGGGGATCCACTGATCTAAGTATAATTTGACACCAATATTTTAGCTTGAGGATGCCCACATCTTATAGACAATTGAAAAAAAAATGAAGCCCAGATTCACATGACATGAAATGCATTGTCTTAATTTGTATTTTCCTGAAAGCATTGCTTGATACAATGACTTATGTATAGGTGGCATATTTGGGAGGGGGGTCTCAGTAATTCAGAATGAGGCAGGGAAGAACATGATACCAATAAAGAGTATGCTACTGAGCTGTCATCATCGCTGGAGGGAGATGGGGCTCAATCCTTCTGGGGTGTTCTCAGAAACAATATCAAGTATCCCTCAGAATCTTCCTTTGGAAAGGAGTTGAGAAATGTTTTTCCTAACTCCCATCCTCCATTGATTGAGGATTGTCCAAGATGTGTTATGGGCTTTAGAGAAAAGCTGGGGGGTGGGACAGTTACATGAGTTGAGGACTCCACTAAAGGCATAGAAAGTCTCTACTACAGCTGTAGCAGGAATTGAAGATGGACACAGAGCATGTGATATAGAACCTCAATATCATCTGATTACAAATTCTAAGGAGGATGTTTTTTACTCTTTACCCAGAGACCGAGTCACAATAAACAAGCTTACATGTATATATATATATATATATACACATCACAATATTATTGTGCCACTGCACTTCAGCCTGGGTGACAAGGTCGCTCTGTCACCCAGGCTGGAGTGCAGTGGCATAATAGTGCCTCCACACCCTCACATCTCCCTCACACACCCTCAACTTCCAAGGCCGAAGCCATTCTCCCACCTTAGCCTTTTGGGTAGCTGAGACCACAGGCATGCATCACCATGCCTAGCTCATTATTGTATTTTTTGTAAGGACAAGGTATCTACATGTTGCCCAGGTTGGTCTCAAATTTCTGGCCTCAAGTGATCCCCCTGCCTCAGTCTTCCAAAGTGTTGGGATTACAGGTGTGAGCCACCACGACTGGCTTAAGTTGTCTTACTGTGCCAGCAGGAAAATTATGTTTTCTTATTCTGTCATTCCAGTGAAGGTCTAGCACTTTTGCAGATCTAGCACTTTCTGCTTTACCTGAAAAACTCAGTTCCAATTCACTATCAGCACTCTCTACTTCATCTTCTATTCTAATGTGAACATTGGAACCAAGCTACTAAAATTTCTTTCTTCCCTGAGAGTAAAGCTGCAGCATCACCTCCTAAATTTATCGCTCTAATTTTCCATCTCATCATCAATCTGAAACATAAATATTTTATTTACTTTATTGAGAGTTTAGCTGTCCATTTGTAATATTTGTTTTTCAATGTTTTATCCATAATTTTAGGTGCTTTACAATAGAAAGATATTCAGGGTATCTAGTCAAACACATTAACAAAATGGAAATCCCTGGCCTTCTTGCTTGATTGCAGTGTGGAAATTCTCTGAGGAAAGAGATGCTAGCCTTTCTGTCATTAAATTCTAATCATTCTCCAGTGAATTCTCCAGAAGGGATTTTGGATACAGTGATCCTTGATAGGATCACTAAAATATGATTTGGGAACTAATGAGATTTGGGTGGGTAGTTGGGAGGGGAAATGCTATTGGAATGCAAGACAAGACTGTGAGCTTTGGCTGCAAAAGTAATTCCCCAATGTTTAGCCTAAGATTGAAACCATTCTTAGTTTCAAGCTAAATTAAGTAAAGCATTGCAGAAATCATCTAAATAATTCATGCCAAAACAAGACATAACTATGTTTTGCCAATATTTTGTAGCTGTTTCAGATTGTTATTTATTTTTAGGGAGTAACGAATGGCAAGGGGTAAAATTGTGATATCAGTCAGAATTTCTATAATTATAGTCTGAACATATTATTATATTTTATATGCTTCTATCAGGATATAAACTAAAGAAACATTTACTCTTCTCCACTTCATTTTACACTTGCCTGGGCTCTTTGGCAAGTGCCCATATTCCCCTTTTCCTTCTGTAGTTAAGGAAACAAGTCTTTTTACTATCTTTGAGAAGTAAACTGATCTAAATTGTTAATCACAGTCGAGTCTCTCCTTTGAAGAAATGTATATGGTATACGTATTTCCTTGATCTTATAAATTGATGTAAATCCACTTATCAGAATTTTTCTACTTCTTACTGCTTCTTAGGAAGTCCTACTGTTCAGAAACATCCAGTGGTTCCCAAGACTGGCCATGCATTACATATCAACACACGAAAGCTTTTAAGAAATAAAGATTGTTCACTCCTGATAGGATTTAGGATTTACAAAGGTGTGGATCAAGTACTGATAATATTAACAAACTTCTCCAAGTAATACATATAAATTTTGCTTAGCCCAGATTCTCAGACTCCAGTGAGAATCACTGAATTAGAATATGTCAATTATTTTCCTCCAGGATTTAGACAAGATCTTCTAGCAACTAATGTACCCTTGAATGAACAAGGAAACTATGGCTTAGAGAAAAGGAATGAAAATTACTATTGTCAAAATGGGATCTGATTACTAATGAAAAGTAAATTGTTTAGAAGAAAACAGTAATGGGCATTTTTAGACAGAGGAGTTAATTTGCTGTTTTATTTATCTCTACCTCAGTAAGACTGAAAGAAATTTATTTTAAATTAGACAAGAACATAAGGAAATACTCCTTCAGAGTAAAGCTACAGGATAATGTCCAGTTATTTTTATAAGATCAAACTGGTTTTATATGTGAGCCCAACATATGAATGTAATTTTTTAGAATTAAAAGGTTTAATATTTTTATTTTCATTGTTAACTGAGGTATAATTGATGTATATCAATTATACGTACTTAAAGTTAAAACTTGAGAAGTTTTGACAGATCTGTACACCTGAAGAACCATCATTACAATTAGTGTAGTGAACATATTCATCACCCCCCACCAGAAGATTCTTCCTGCTTTTGTGCAATCCCTCCCTCCTTCTGTGTAATTCCACCCTCCATCTATGTATATCTCCCTCCAACTTCATCGCAGCCCTCCACAGGGAATCACTCTGATCTGCTTGCTGTCTCTATTAATTGATTTACATTTTCTCAAATTTTAGATAAATGGAATCATGTAATATATAAAGATTATTGTCTGGCTTCTTTAATTTAGTATGGTTATTTTTAGATTTATCTACATTGTTGTTTGTGTAAGTGGTTCATTTTGTTATTGCTGAATAAGATTCCACTGTATGGACATACTACTATTTGTTTATCAATTCACCTGCTAATAGAGAATTGGATCATTTACAGTTTTGGGCTATTACAATAAAGCCGTTATGAACATTTATGTGTAAATCTTTGTATGACTATAGGCTATATATTCACTTGCGTAAATACCTACAAATCAATAGCTGGATCAAATGGTAGGTATTTCTTTTTTTTTTCCATATATTTTTAAAAGCTGCCAAACTGTTTTTTTTTTTTAAATGATTGCACCATTTTCTAATCTTATCAGCAATGAATGAGAATTTCAGATCCTCCACATTCTTACAAACAATTTGTATGGACAGTCTTTAATTTTAGCCATCTAATAAGTATGTAGTAATCTCTTATTGTGGTTCCAGTTTGTATTCCTGTAATGACTAATGATACTGATTATTTTTGCATGCTTATATTTTATTCATATATCTTCTTTAGTAAAGTATCTGTTCAAATTCTTTTTAATTTTTTTTTGGTTGTTTTCTTATTGAGTTTAGGGATTATTTATATTTTCTCTGTATCTTCTAATAAGTCATTTACAATTTTTTTTCCTACAAGTTTGTAGTATTGGGAACAGGCCCCCCAAAATCTGGCCATAAACTGGCCCCAAAACTGGCCATAAACAAAATCTCTGCAGCACTGTGACATGTTCGTGATGGCCATAACGCCCACGCTGGAAGGTTGTGTGTTTACCTGAATGAGGGCAAGGAACACCTGGCCCACCCAGGGTGGAAAACCGCTTAAAGGCATTCTTAAACCACAAACAATAGCATGAACGATCTGTGCCTTAAGGACATGATCCTCCTGCAGATAACTAGCCCAACCCATCCCTTTACTTTGGCCCATCCCTTCATTTCCCATAAGGGATACTTTTAGTTAATCTAATATCTATAGAAACAATGCTAATGACTGGCTTGCTGTTAATAAATACGTGGATAAATCTCTGTTCGGGGCTCTCATGTGAGACCCCTGATTTCCCACTTCACACTTCTATATTTCTGTGTGTGTGTCTTTAATTCCTCTAGCGCCGCTGGGTTAGGGTGTCCCAACCCAGCTGGTCTCGGCATTGCAGTTTTTCTTTTTATTGTCCTAACAGTGTCCTTTGAAGCACTAAATATTTTAATGTTGATAAATTCAAGTTTATCAATTTTTTATTTCATTATTTTTGCAACATATAAGGCCCGAAGTCACTGATATGATTTGGCTCTGTTTCCCCACCCAAATTTCACGTCTAATTTTAATTCCCAGTGTTGACAGAGGGAGCTGTTGGGAGGTGATTGAATCATGGGGGTGGACTTCCCCCTTGCTGTTCTTCTGATAGAATTTCCACAAGATCTCATCAGTTGAAAGTGTGTAGCACTTCCCCCGTTCTCTCGCCCTCTCTCTCCTGCTGCCATGTGAAGAAGGTGCTTGCTTCCTCCTCACCTTCCGCCATGGTTGTAAGATTCCTGTGGCCTCCCAGACATGCTTCCTATTAAGCCTGCAGAACTGTGAGTTAATTAAGCCTCTTTTCTTCATAAATTACCAAGTCTCAAGTAGTTCCTTATAGCAGTGTGAGAATGAACTAACACAGTCACAAAGATTTTTTTGTTTTCTTTTAGTTATTTTATTTTATTATTTTATTTATTACTATTATTTTTTTGAGATGGAGTCTTGCTCTGTTGCCCAGGCTGGAGTGCAGTGACACAATCTCAGCTCACTGCAACTTCCACCTCCCAAGTGGAACATGATTCCACTTGAATCATGTTCAAGTGATTCTCCTGCCTCAGCCTCTTGAGTAGCTTAGACTGCAGGTGCCTGCCACCACGTCCAGCTAATTTTTGTAGTTTTAGTAGAGACAGGGTTTCACCATGTTGGCCAGGCTGGTCTTGAACTTGATCTCAGGTGTTTCCCCAGCCTTGGCTGCCCAAAGTGCTGGTATTACAGGCATGAGCCACAGATCTGGCCTTTTTTAGATATCTTATAGTTCTATATTTTACACTTAATTATAAGATCCAATTTGTGTTAAAATTTTTGTATTCGTGTAGACATGAGTTCATTTTATAAGGAAATAGGGATGATATTGAGTTTTAAAAAAATTTGTTGTCCATTTCTGAACTCATGTTCTGACCCATTAAACTGTTTGTCAATCTTTATGCAAGTATCATACTGAATCCTATTAAATACTTCAGCTTTATATTTTGAAATCAAGTAATGTTAGTATTCCTACTTTGTTTCCCTTCAAAGTTATTTTGACCATTCTTGTTTTTTTTGCATTTCCATATGCATTTTTACAATAAGCTTGCTAACTTCTACAAAAATAAAACTGATAGAATTTTTATTGGAATTATGTGGAATCTACAGATCTATTTTGGGATAGGTGTTATCCTAACAATACTAAATATTTTTACCTATGAGCAAAATATGTCCCACCATTTACTTATGTTTTCTTTAATTTCTCTCAGCAATGTTGTGTTTTTATTCAGTGTTCAAGCATTGCATATTTTAGGTCAGATTTATTTAAGTATTTAATAGTTTGTGATGCCATTGTAAATTACATTTTTTAATTTTTATTTTTCTATTTTTATTGCCAGCAGATAGTAATATAATTGATATGTTTCAAATCAATATTTCACACTGAAGACTTTCTAAACTCCATTATTAGTTTTAGTAGATTTGTTTTAGATTTCATCAGATTGTTCATATGGATGACTAGGTTATTTGCTAATAAACACAGTTTAACTTATTTTCCCATTTGTATGCCTTTGATTTTATTTTCTTGTCATATTACACTGGCTAGAACCTCCAGTACAATATTAAGGAAAAGTGGTGAGGGTAGTCATTCTTGTCTGTTTCCTGATTGTACCGGAAAAATCAGTCAGTATTTTACAATGAAATAAAACATTAGTTGTAATTTTTTCATAGATGCCATTTATAAATTTTGAGGAAGTCTTTTTCAGTTTCTATTTTTCTGATAGTTTTATCAGGAACAAATATTAGATTTTTGCCAAATGCTTTTTCTATATCCATTGAGATAATCATACAATTTTTCTTTTTCAGTTTGCAATTATGATAGGTTTCAATAGCTGATTTTCAAATGTTTAAAAGAACCAGGTTGGGGATGGTGGGTCACGCCTGTAATACCAGCACTTTGGGAGGCCAAGGCAGGTGGGTCACGATGTCAGGAGATCAAGACCATCCTGGCTAACATGGTGAAACCCCATCTCTACTAAAAAATACAAAAAATTAGCCAAGTGTAGTGTCATGCACCTGTAGTCCCAGCTACTCAGGAGGCTGAGGCAGGAGAATTGCTTGAACCTGGGAGGCAGAGGTTGCAGTGAGTCCAGATCGCACCACTGCACTCCAGCCTGGGTGACAGAGTGAGACTCTGTCTCAAAAAAAAAAAAAAAAAAAAGAACCATGCAAGTCTGCATAAATTCACTTGCTCATAACATATTATACTTTTAAAAATATCATTTCATCTGACTTGCTGATTAAAATTTTTGTACCTATGTTTATAATGGATATAAGTTTATGAGAATATAGGTCTGTGTTTTTGTGTGAGTTTATGTTTCTTGTAATGTCTTTGTCCCTTTGGTATTAGGAGAAAGCTGACCTATAGAACAAGTTGAGAACTATTTCTTTCTCTTCAATTATATGAAACAGTTTGTGTAGAATTAGTATTATTTATTCCTTAATGTTTAATAGAATTCACTAGTGCAGGAATATAGGGTCAGAATTTTCTTTATGGGAAGATTTAAACTGCAAATTCAATTTCTTTAGTCGATATAAGGCTATTTTGGTTATCTATTCTTGTTCCATGACCTTTAGTAGTTTGAGGTTGTTAAATAATGTGCCTTTGTTATTGACATTGTTGAATTTATTTATATATTATTATAACATTGGTTTTAATATTTCCTTAATATCTGTAGAATTCATAGTGATGTCACTTCTTTAATTCCTTCTGCTGTTAGTTTGTATCTTCTCTCTCTCCCTCTCTCTCTCTCTTTCTCTGAACAGCCTGGCTATAGTTTAGTTTGGTTAATATCCAATCAATTTAATGTGAACAAAGTGTTTTACATGTGAGCACAACATAAGCATTACATTTCAGAATTAAAAGGTTTCAGACCTTAGTCTGTGCAGCATGGCCACTGTGTCTGGTCAGGAGGTGAAGCATCTAAAGTTTGGTATGAAGTAGCTTATTAGTACTGTTATCTCCTCTTTCTAGCCTATCCAGGTTTCAGGATTTTCTCAGCAGTGTGTAAAGAGAAAGATCCAGAAAGGGTTCATTCTAAGGTTTAATTCTTGGAAGTCAGGATTTGACTGGTTACTCATCTGGTTCATGGAATGAAAGGCAAGAGTATCTAAGTTTGTCTGGAGCCACAGTTTGCTTCCATGAAGGTAGCCAATCAAATATAGGAAGAGAGAGTTTAGTTTACTGATTACTTTTTGGATAGGTTTTGAGATATTTATATTATGACATTAGTCAGAGCTTTTGCATATGTTTCAAAGCAAAGCCTAGTATTAGGAACAATACAAGTACTGATATAAAGGAGAAGGACAGAAAAATTCCTAGAAGCCAACAAACATTTTGGAGGGTAGTGCTGAGGTATGTGAAAGGACTGGTAGTGAGAAGCAGCTTCAGAGCCTGATTGCCAGGGAAGAAAAGTCAAGGACAAAGAAGAAGCTCTAGTAGGTGGGAATTGAACCACTAGAGACCAGGAAATCTCACTTAACAATGTACCTTAATAAGTTTGCAAGGAGGACAGGAGAAGAAAGGCTAATAGTATTGTCACTATTAATGCCTTGGCAGGCATTAATTTTAATAATTGAATAGGAATTTAGAAAAACCTATGTTGAAGTAAGCAGTGAGAAATCTCTGGGGAAAGCAGAGGCAGGCAAATACCGTAGGACTTGAAGAAATGGATTTTCGAAGAAAATTTGAAAGCACATTGTAGTATTTTGAAAAAGTTGATAGGATTTCATAAGACTTCTGGTATTGTCCTTTCTTAGTAAAGGTGAAGGTTTGGATTAAGTGGTTCTCAGAAGTTCTTCATGGTCTGGTGCCAAACTATGCTGTTCATAAAACTGCAGGTATGTTCAACGCCACGAATGAGTTACAAAGTATTGTAACATTTCCTTACTTCAAGGTTGGCATCACAAGATTATTTTGAGCAACGAATATTTAAAATTATGTATATGGCATTTATTAGCGAGTTACATTTTCTACCTGATATTATGTTTCAACTTCGCACAGACATGCTTTAGAAATAAAACACTATTTTTTATTTAAGCAAACTTTCAGTTGATCAATTCATCAAAAAAACTCTTCATCTGCTTAATTATTAGATAGCTGCTACGATCATTTCCCACTAAATGTAAAGAAGGCTCTATAATATTATCGATCCATTCTGTGAAAGAAAAACAAAAACTCAGGATTCCAATTCACTACGCCAATAAATCAATAAATAAAGCTGAAAACTGAGTCATAAAAGAAACTGCCTTTCCTTTTGTTCCTAAGCAGATAGCTACAGATAAAAGGTTAAATGTCTCCATAGGTAGCTACTCTATGCTCACCTTATCTTATGTAAAGTGCCAATTTACTGAGCACAAGATGAATATATAATGGAATATTTCCCTACCTGCTCCTTTTCCCTGACAACATGTGAATTACCAGACCCACCTTATTTCTCCTTCAGCCCATTTTTCCCTTTTACATCTTGAAGCACTCAAGGTCATCTATGGAGAAAGGCACAGACCACAGACTGTTTCTGTGATTTCAGGTTTATTTCTTCCGGGCATGCCCTTAACCTTGGCAAAATAAACTTCTAAACTGAGTGAGAGCTGTTTCAGATACTTTTTTTTTTTTTTAATTGAGATGGAGTCTCACTCTGTCACATAGGCCAGAGTGCACTGGAGCGATCTTGGCTCACTGCAACCTCTGCCTCCTGGGTTCAAGCAATTCTCCTGCCTCAGCCTCCCGAGTAGCTGGAATTACAGGTGCCTGCCACCACAGCTGGATAAGTTTTGTATTTTAGTATAGACGGGGTTTCACCATGTTGGTCAGGCTGGTCTCGAAATCCTGATCCCAAATGATCAGCCCACCTCGGCCTCCCAAAGTGCTCAGATTACAGGCATGAGCCACCGCGCCCAGTCACAATTCTAACTAAATTTTTTATTTAACAAATATTCAGTATGATTCATACTATTAAATGTAATCATTGTTTTTCATTTGTCTTTATCTCTGTATTTCATATAATCATTTCAACTATAATAATTTTTGAACATATATTTCCAATTGAAAAACACTCACATAGAAAAATCAACAATAATGACAAATATAAAGAAGAATGTTAAATATGTACATGTGGCTCTTGAACAACACGGGAGTTAAGGGCTCTGACATCCCAATGCAGTTGAAAGTCTATGTATAACTTTTTACTCTCCCCAAACTTAACTACTAAGAGCCTACCATTGACTGGAAGCCTTATGAATAACATAAGGCCAATTAACACATATTTTGTATGGTATATTGATGTGATTCTGTATTCTTACAAAAAAAGTAAGCAAGAGAAAATAAAATGTCATTAAGAAAACCATACAGAACAGAAAATATAATTACTATTCATTAAGTGTAGGTGGATTATGGTAAAGGTCTTCATCCTCATCATCTTCACCTAGAGTAGACTGAGATGGAGGAGGAAGAAGGGTTGCTCTTGTTGTTTCCGAGGTGGAAGAGAGGGAGGCAAGTAAGCAGGCACACTGGGTGTGACTCTTATTGAAAAAAGTCTTATGTAACTGCGTCCGCATAGTTCAAACCAATTATTGTTCAAGGGCCAGCTAGAAATATAAGAAATAGTGTTAAAACCACTCAAAATCTCACAAGACAGAAGCAAAGATTTTTAACAGTTTTTCTGTACACATGAACTCTGTCTAGAACCACACTTCTATAGATAAAAATGCAGATGTCTTCCTTTGTACTTTTTTTCCTTCTTAGGGGCCTCTGTTAAGTTTTCCTGTAATCAAGCACATGTTACAACAACAAATATCAAATATCACTTAAAATGTTTTAACGTCTACTGGGGTGAAAATGAGTGTAACATTCCCAGTTTAGAAGTCTTTTGACTGTCCCAGATCCGTATAGATAAATAAGAGGTGAACCTCCAAACGAATTCCACCTATTCAGATAGCATCTCAAAACTATGCCTGGGAAATGGGGGTAAGGAGGAACTAGAACCATTATCCCCTTCTCTCCTTTTCCCTTCACTACTGAGAATCTCCACCTTTAATTCTCTTGAAGTGTTTTCAATGACTGAGAGTTAAATAAATTTGTAGGTTGCAAATTTGAATCTTGCATTTAACAACCATTCTTTCAAAAGACACCACATTTGAACAATCTTCATTTTCTTTGGATGTTAATTTTAAACATAAAAAAAAAGAAGCTTTCTGTTTTGTTCTCTAATTATAACCCGAAGGTTTGGACAATTTTCCCAAAAGATGTTTATTTTCTTTGGAAAATAAATTAAAGGGGTTTTTCTCCTTAGTTATACACACAAAATCTGTTATTTAATTTATGGTGAATTTAATGAGAAATTAGCAAATGTGTTATAACACAGTCTGCACTTAATGGGGAATGGCAATTTCTGTTTAATGATTATTAAATGGTTTTATTGCCAAAATGCATCATTAATACACAATATTAAATTGGCATGGAATCTGAAACACAAACTGCATTAATGGTTTTCTTTTCATCCTCTCCATATTTTCCCTCTGCACCACTGCACACAAGTGACACCCACAGAGAGCTGGTTGCAAAGTCACTAACTTCTTTGAAGCAAATGTCCACCACAGCTTGGTGGGCACAGCATCACTCAGCTTCCCTCACATATAACATTGCAGAAATTAATCACAGAAGGAGGGAAAAGAGATTATGTTTTTTTTCTTCCCTGGAAGATTTAAGTTCAAAACAAAAAAGCCAATGTCAACATTATGCCTTATCCCTGTAAACTAAGAGGGAAGACTAATAACTAAATATGCAGTAGAAAGTGAGTTGATTCTGCCCTGCAGCATCATTGATACCAATTTGCAGAAAACTATGTCAAAAACATGAGAGTCAGAACAAAAGGGAGTTGAAATACTAATTTCCTTCTTTTTCCTATTGCATTATCGGTACTTTGTTAGAATTCTCAGTATTTTTCCCAGGGCTGTCATACTTCTGTAAAATGAAAGCAAATATGATTGCATCATAATAAAATAAGCAGAACCAAAGAGGGTAGCTAAAATGATATATCAGGAGTGACACAGAAATGTGATTTCAAAAAAAAAAAAAAAACCTAACTTGATTTTAAGCAGTCATTGCAGAATGTGTTAGCAAATGATGACAGCTTTCCAATCCTTTTTGTAACTCCCATTATAAACTTTATATGAGCTCTCTAACACTCCCAGTTTTTTCCATTTATTGTTATTCAGGATATTTCTTTATAATGAAAATGGTTTGACTGTATACGATTCTTTATTTTTTTAAAGATGTAAAAGTACAAAGATAAGGTTATAATTATTTTAAATAAAATAATATAGATAATATTGAGAAATATTTCCTTTTAGGATTCAAGCCTGAAATCCTACACAGGACAAAAGCAGCAGTCAAAAATTGATTGCTGGATAATGCCAAATTATGTGATACTTCTCAGTGTGTGTGTGTGTATTATACAGATATATATATATATAGCACATATATAATATATAATTGTATATATAATAATAACTGTACATATATATATATATAGTTTCTAACAGTGCTTTCTTTTTATTTGCATATTTCCATTAAAATGAACTAGCATTTTCCCAGAAGACTTTATAGCTTACTAGGAGCTCATAAAATTAGAGACTAGAAAAAATAAGAAAGAAATGAACGGAATTACATTTAGCTTCCATGTATTGCCCATAGCACCGTCACATAATAACAGTGATGAAATAGTGGCTCTTATTTTGATCTCCTGAAATCCTATGTGTGTGCTCTATCTCAGCTTTAGCAAACATGGTTGCATTTGCTAAAATTCACTGGATTCTCTAGAGTAAGTAAATACATTAATTTTGCCCAAAATGTTATGTTACTTTTATTCAACTCTTATTGTCTTCAGTGATATTCTAAAGCCAAATTTTGGAAAGATTTTTTTTGGGGTCATCAATGTCCAAATGGGAACACAGAAAATAATGGGCATATTTGGACATGAGGTCCAGCTCAGTGATTGTATTTCAGATGGCAAGTATACCTTTTTGTACAGAAGATAATATAACTTATCAATGTTACCAACATTTTGATATATAGTTAGCTTAGTTATCATTTTAGACCAGATATATATTTCTATCTTTAAAAGTAAAATTTGTCTCCTGAGTGATAATAATGTTCTAACATAAAGTAATGGGAAAAAATTGAAAAAGTTCCTTATTAAGATGAATAAGTGTGATTTCGTACTTACATATATGATATGTACGTACGTGTGTGTGTGTGTTTCTAATCAGTTTTTCAACTTGGTCACTCTAGAATTAACTGTCTACCTGGGTTTAAGTTATTGATCCACATATTGAGATGAATTGAATTGCAATCCAGTGATCAGACTTACCATTTGCCCATATCTGTTTTTGACCGGTATGCTAAGAAGTAGATACTGCTTTGTCCTGGGAATTAAATACTGACTTGGAGCCCTATATTTATGAATGGAGAGATTTATTAAAATCTCTCTTGGTTTAACACATGTCTTTCTGTTGTCAGGCCCTGACAACAGAAATGCTTTTCTCCACCCATGTCAAGGACATCCTTGTTGCCTCCTGATTGATTTGACCAACCTAGCAGCTGAGATTCCACTTAGATCTTACGATTCTCTTTTATTCAGTTGCAGATTGAACCATCCTTTAGAATGGATGTTTGTAGTTTGTTTGTTGAGCTACTACTATGCTTGTTATGATCGTCTCTTATCTTACAAATATGTTTGCCAGAACAGACCTAATGACAATGGGTGATTATGTTAACTCTTTTGATTTAAATTATAATTTATTTTGGACAAAAATTTTTTAAGGGTATAATCCTACTGGGGAAGTTCTTAATATATTTGTATGCTTTGTCTTCATATTGTATTTCTGCAATTTAAATATAAATACCTTCAAAGAAGAGACCAGAGCAACAGAACATTAAAAAGCACTATATTTTTAATTGGGTTGCATGAAAAAGCAGATTTCAGTTCACATAGGAAGATCCTTCCTAATTTAACCTTGAACTACTCCAAAAGTAATTAAATAACCCAAGAACAGAGGAGTGAGTTTGAAGATATTAAAAAACAAATTAGCCTATCACTAGATGGTGATGTCTTATATGCCGTAAAATAACAGAACCAAAATAGTTTAGAATATGATCCCTAAGAGTACTCCCAACTCTACAATTTTATAATACTGTGTAATGGTACAAGTCCAGTGTAACTAAGGTTATAAGCCCAGCTCCTTCTACATGCCATAGGCCCTCATCCAAAATGCTGAACCTTTCTGATCCTCATTCCTCTCATATTTAAAATGAGTATAATAATGTTTTCAGGGCCATGGTGAGGATTAAGGAGAGTGTGTCAAGCTCTCCAGCACTTTATTTGTAGACAATGTTATAATTTCATTATAGTTATTATTAAAATGATGTTTGATAAGACTTTAAAAGCTGTCCAATTCAAATATTCTTTCAAATGCTTAAATGTTTTTTACAGCATTATTGCCAATGCAATTCTGTGATTGTAAAATTTTAAAACATAGCTTCATTATCTTTTCATCTTATAAAATCTGGATATGTAAAATACAAAAATGTGGAGTTGTTTTTCTTAAGTTGAGGTAGAGGTCTCTTGTCCTACCAATTTACCTCCTTAGCCAGAACATCCTCTGAGCCTGAAAATCATGAATTATTAATACATTTTTATAGCTGCATAAACATCATTACTTTTAAGATAGCTCTTCCCTTATCGAATATCTACCATTATTAGAAAGCTCTTTCTTATAATAGAAAATAAAACTGCCTCTCTGGCACTTCCTCTCCATGAGACTGTTGCAACAATTTGTGGCCAAACAGAACAAGTCACCAACAGGCATTCTTAAACATTTGGAAACAAAAGTTAGTTTTACCACTCTTTATTTTTCAAAGGTAAAATTTCCCAATCTGAAGGAACACAGTTTATATATATTTTCAAATGCCTCCAAATCCATTGACACTCTTAGCTTATTTTATTTTATTTTATTTTATTTATCTTTATGATGTTACCCAAACACCAAGGGTTATTCTGACTAGGGGAAAGTATTATAAGACTGTGACCTCCCTTATTCTCAGAATATAACCTAAATCTGTATTTTCAAGCAATCATATCCCACTAATGACTAACATTTAGATTTCAGCCAAATAAAAGTTCTAAGGCTTTTTATACACTCTGCTGCTAAAATCAAACTGTCTCATTCCATATAGACAGGTTTTTTTTTTTAATTTTGAACCTAGCCCACTTGATGTTCTCTTGTTAAATCTGAAATCTAATAGGTATGACAAATCATTCATCTAAATTGTTGATTTGAAGTATTGAACAAGATAGATGTAAATACAAACATCATAGTGAAAACCTCTCTCCAGACTGGCAACAAATGATTCTTTAAGTGTCTTCAAACGCAGTAATTCTAGTCAATCCAAAAATACCATGAGCATTCAGTCACTACTTCTTTGTCAAAGGTAATATAGGAGGACATATTCACAAGTTAATTTAAAAAATCGTATATTAAACTGGTTGTGTTTAGCCCAAGTAAAAGCTACTTGTTAAAGCTTCATATCTAAGACTAGCACACAGTCAACACATTTATTACAATAATAAAAAGTAAATATGAGGAACTTTTAGAATATGTAGTATTTGAGGAGATACTACTGGACGATGGTACAAACATATACTTTGCATTACAACACCAAATTTTAAGTTTAACAACTTATTCTTATATTAATAGCTTTGATGAGAAAGGTATGCTGTTTTTCATATGAAGGAATAATATTGCAGTTTGTTCAACTGTAATAAGAACTTCAAGTGAGACAACTGACTTGTTAAAAACATGGCTAAAGATAATTCAATAATAAAAGTTTTTATCAGCACAAAAGGATTAAAAATTATAGAAAAGATGGTCATTATGATGTACAAAACAATGATCAAGTTAACTCTAGTACTGATGAAAATATCAGAAATTTCAGATCTGAATTCTTAAGTAAGAAAATAAGCTATGAGAACAAAGAAATCTGAATTTAGATCTATACGACTAGTTCTCAAACACCATGAACATGTAGAATATTTTTACAGAACACAGTGCTCCACATTTTGAGCAATAAACATTCATTCTTTATTCTGAGAGAAGTAAAGCAAAGCATTTCTACAGAAAATAGTTGTCAGGGCAAAGACATAGGTGTCTGGGCATATGCAAAAATGTATGTCAAAAAGCCAAGGAGAAAAATTAAAGATGTCTGATATCCAAAAAGTTTTATGCTTTAAAATCATAAGAAGTCAATGGGTTGATTTAGATTCTCTTTATGCATAATTCATTTCACTAGATCAAAATATCAATCAAACTTAGTATATAGAAATTCTATATTATTTTAAAAATTCAGAATGAGAAACTTTTATAATTTTCAAATCTATATTTAACAAGAATATGTCAGAGATTCTGAATAGAATTTTTTCTTTTTTTTGAGGCAGAATCTCTCTGTCACCCAGGATGGAGTGCAGTGGTGCAATCTCGGCTCACTGCACCCTCTGCCTCCTGAGTTCAAGCGATCCTCTTGCCTCAGCCTCCCAAGTAACTGGGATCACAGGCATGTGCCACCACACCTGGCTAACTTGGGTATTTTTAGTAGAGATGGGGTTTCATCATATTGGTCAGGCTGGTCTCGAACTTCTGACCTCAAGTGATCTGCCTGCCTTGGTCTCCCAAGTTGCTGGGATTACAGGTGTGAGCCACTGAGCCCAACCCTAATATAATTTTAATTAAAACATTTAAATGGTAAATATATGTATTTAATTCATTATTGTTTTCTTTTTCCAAATGAGCTTTAAGAGCAGAAGAAGCATATTTTGAAGAAGTGAATAGTTTCAGAAGTAACTAATATTTGACAACAGTTACCTTTTAATTATACAAGTTTCTGAAAAGTTTTTTTTAATTATTGGCATTATTTTACAAAAGTCTACCAGTTACTTTACAATTTTTAAAAAGCAAACACAATGGCCAGGTGTGGTGGCTCACACCTGTAATCCCAGCACTTTGGGAGGCTGAGGCCTGCAGATCACTTGAGGTCAAGAGTTCAAGACCAGCCTGGCCAACATGGTGAAACCCCATCTCTACTAAAAACACAAAAATTAGCTGGGTGTGGTGGTGCACGCCTGTAATCCCACCTACTCAGGAGGCTGAGGCAGGAGAATTGCTTGAACCTGGGAGGCGGAGGTTGCAGTGAGCCAAGACCATGCCACTGCACTCCAGCCTGGGCGACAGAGCAAGACTCCATCTCAAAATAAATAAATAAAACAAACAAACAAACAAAAAACATAAACACAATAGAATTTCTAAGACTGACTTAATTATTTCTACTATTTTTCTTTTATTAATTAATTTAGATTGAGTCAATAATTTACTTGCTCTTATATGGCTATAAAATTTGAGAAGAATCTATGTCATTTAAAAATTATGGGGCTTTGATAACTGCTTTTTTATTATTTAAATTTTTAGGTGGAATTAAGTATGTTAATAAACTTCTTAAAGTAAGCTTTTAACAATTTATCTTTTACCTATAGATAAAAATGTCAGCATATTAATTATTCATCTGGGGTTTCATTCTAAATTCCATTTTATTATGATGGACTATCAATATTAGGTCAGATAAATTGAGTTTTATTAATAGATGTGTATATCTTCATGAAACTAGGGTGGCTAAAGGAAAAAATGTTATGACATGAATATATGATATTTATATGCAATAGTTTCAAGTAAACTATTTTATAACCAAAGTGCTTCAAATTGTTCTACTTTGTGGTCTTTTTAACTCTATAAGTAACAATGTAGTATAGTGGACATAGAAAAAATATTTCAGTATCAGAGTACACTTTTCTAAAAATGTTATATGCTTGTGATAATTGATTTCATAAATTTATCTATTTAATTCATTAAACAAATATTATTCCTTTCTACTAAGTGCCAGACAATGTTTTAGAATCTGGAGATACCCCAGTGAAGAAAACATTTTAAAATGTCTTCCATCTTACACTGTAGTCTATATATTTGAATAGATGGGCTGAAAGTGGATGTCAACTTCTTTGTGCACAGTAAATATTTTGATGCTGTTGACAACTCCACCTTCTTGGTATATTCTATTTTAGTTCCACTTCTTTGCCAAACTACTTTTCTACCAACTTAATGTTAGTCTCCTTTGCTAGCTCTTATTTCAATACTTTAAATATTAGTGTTTCCAAAATTATGTTCTCTGGTTCCTTCATTTCTTTGTTGTCTAGCCATGAATATTAACATTCCCTTATAAGACTTCATCCACCATCTTTATGTATTTAATATTAACTTCTAATCTCTGATCTATGCCACGCCTTTGAATTCCATATCATTATTTGGAATATGATAATTTCAAATAATGATTATATTCCTGATCATATTCCTGTCTCTATCCAAAGTAAAGTTCAGGCACAAGCATTGTAAAAGGCAAACAGGATAATTTAATTGATGTATAATAACATTAACAGAACATTAGGTACCAAATAACAGCTTCCAACATAAAATGAAAGTATTATTAGTATTGAAATTATTGTTTTATATACATAAACAAACACAGCAGTACAGATAGCCTTTAAAACACACGTCATTGGGCTACGTTGCAGTGATCAATACAGTTAAAACATCAGAAGACATTAATTAATTATTAGAAAGATGTAGATTTGTCTAATACTGTAATCAAATGAAATTACATGTAAAAATCAGTAACATAATTTTATTATAAAAACTTAAATATTCTTCTAAACAACATCAAAACCATTATCAGGAAACTATAATAATTAACATAGAAAATTTTATATTGAATACTATAAAATTTAACTTGACAAGAATTTAAAATACTAACAGCATCACTAAATAGGGTTCATAATTGAAGTAAAAAAATTTATTCTGTGACAAAATGAATAATCATTGTTGATCAACATGTTTGGCACATCTCATCTCATAAAGTGATGGCTGCAGTCTCTAGGAGTTGATTTGCAAATTCACTAGCTGAAGGAGTATTTGGAACATCCCAGCCTGGACAGGAAACATAGAGACTGAAAAATGGTGTATTGTGGAGAGTAGCCCCCTCGCCAGGCATCATTCATGCTGAAATATCAAGGAGAGAGACCCTGAAAGCTGAATCTGAGCTTAGTCTTCAAGGGACTCTGAAATACAAGCACAGGATTAATGCTTCATGACATGGGAAAAATGTGTGAGGAAGAGTGAGAGAGTAGAGTTGTTCATGTTTATGCAAAAACACACACACATATATACATATACATATACATATGTCATGTTCTTAGCAGATTGAGAACTCTTAGTGTTTGTGCATTGTTTTAATATCTTAAGATCTTAAATTTTGCAAGCAATAGTAGACAACATTCTTGGCCAGGATGGCAATGTTGTCAAAGCAGACGTTAGACAAAATAGTGGAAGTTAGCACCTATCAACAGCTTCCAGTGAGAAAGAATCATAGCAAATGATATAAGAAAGCTGTAAAACTTTATGCCAAAACATTTTAAAACTTAGATGAAATTTACAATTTCCTACAGAGATTCCAACTAACAAAACTGCCTCAAAAAGAAATAAATAATCTGAATAGTCCGTAACTACTAAAGAACTTAATTCGGCAAGTTTAAATTTTCCCACAAAAATACACCATGCCTAGATGGTTTTATTAGTAAGTAATAAATATTACATAATAGATGATGAAATTTTTTACAAATAGAAAAGAGGAACCATCCTACAACTCATTTATGAGATTATATAACATTGATACAAAAACAGATAAGGACATTATGAAAGAATTTTTTATATCCATTTTACTATTTAATATAGATACAAAAACACAGAAGAAAACTCAGAAACAATATATAACTTACTGAAGAATTTGAGATTAACCCAGGATTTCAGTTAGTTTGATGTCAAAGACTATTAATGTAATTTGCCACCTTAGGAGAGTAAAGGTGAATATCTAAATGATCATTTTGATAAACACAGGGAGAAAAATATAAATAAAAAGTCTATAATCTTTCATGTTACATCCTTCAACACAAGGAAGAAAAGAAAACTTTCCAAATATGATAAAGAATATTTACCCAAAACTCATAGTGAAATATATTAAAATCATGTATTCCTTTTAAAATAGAAATTATATTATACATCGAGACTATGCCTACTGTGAGCAATTTTATTCCATCTTTTACAAGATGCTAAAGTCAGTGTAATCAGAGAGGATAAAGAAATAAGATGCAAGATTTAAAAGGAAGAAACAAGTGTTTCATAATAAGCATATTATAAGATACTCTAAATAGAAAACCCCCCAAATCTGTAGATATATAATTAATATATAATTCAAGGTACAGTCAGTTAAAGGGAAATAAGAGACAAGAATTTAATGCCAGTAATTGGGTTACAAAATTTCTACGTGGATTAGAGAAACAAAACAAAGTGAAAATAATAACGAGATTAGGAAAAATGGGGGAAGAAATCAGGTACTATAGGGAGATCTGGTGGTCTATGCCGGGGCAGGCACTACTGCAGAAAAC
Source organism: Homo sapiens (assembly GCF_000001405.40). NCBI lineage: Eukaryota > Metazoa > Chordata > Mammalia > Primates > Hominidae > Homo > Homo sapiens. The sequence goes on along the minus strand of NC_000014.9, from coordinate 47,738,577 downwards.
TTCAGCCCTTTGCTGGTTACCAGCCTCCAAAACCTGTGCTCTTCTGAACTTACTTCCTTCTGTCCCCAAGTATGACCTAGTCACCACAGAAGGCACCATTCGTTGCCGGTTACCAGCACAAACACCATGATTGCCATAATCAATTGCTATAACCAGTTGCCTAAAACCACCTCTGCTATGGCTGCTGATACTGTGAAAGCCAACAGTTGCCTGTGGAAGCCACAGGCCAATGGCTTCCATCTTCCTCTTCTCTCCTCCTCTCTAATCTCCTGAGAGTGTTGACCTTTGGCAGGAATAATCCCAACCTCGTTCTCAAGGAATTCTAGAAATTCTCAGTTTTAAGTATCTAGCTTCAGCAGTAGAAGGATAGAATTGAAGGTGAGTGTGGGCCTCAGAACCAACAGAAAATATCAGGTGAAATTAATACAAGAAATGGGCAAAATTTCTAAATGCAAAAGCTAGATATAAAATCATTATACAAAAATAAATTAAATTTTCATATAAGTTATCAATCAGAAATTAAAATAGGCCAGGCTTGGTGGCTCACACTTGTAATCCTAGCACTTTGGGAGGCTGAGGCAGGAGGACGGCTTGAGCCCAGGAGTTTGAGACCAGTTCTGGGCAACATAGCAAGACCCTGTCTCTAAAAAAAAAAAAAAACTTAAAAATATTAGCCAGGCATGGTGGCATGCACCTGTGGTCCTAGCTACTTGGGAGACTGAGGTTTGAGGATCACTTGAGCCTAGGAGATTGAGGCTGCAGTGAGCCACGATGGTGTCAGTGCACTCCAGTGTGAGCAACAAAGTGAGACCCCCATCTCAAACAATAGTAATAAATTACTATGAATTATTCTAAAACAACTAAAATATCTATGACTAAAACTAAAATTACAGAACTTTATTATAAGACATTAAAGAGGCTGGGTGCGGTGGCTCATGCCTGTAATCCCAGTGCTTTGGGAGGCCAAGAGGAACAGATCACTTGAGCCCAGGAGTTCGAGACAAGCCTGAGCAACATGGTGAAACCCTGTCTCTATAAAAAATGCAAAAATTAGCCGGGCATGGTGGCATGCACCTATAGTCCCAGCTACTCAGGAGGTCGAGGTGAGAGGATCACCTTAGCCCAGGGGGACTAAAAAAAAAAAGACATTACAGAATATGAGTTGCAAATCATAACCAGACTAAGAAGACTCAATATTTCCAATATCAAATCTCCCCGGATTGATATATAAAATCAGAGTACCTCCAATCATCATCACTATATCATCTGTTTTGTTGTTTCTGTTTTTGTTTTTTTAACACCAAAATGTATATAAAATATCTAGCTCCAATATATACCTGAATGAGTTGAAATTGCTCTACCATATGTAAAGCATAAGCAATGAGACAATATATATACATATAGTAATTAAGACTGAGTAATGAATAGATAAATTACAGAGACTATAGTACCCAGGCTTACACATTATATCCCAAATGATAAAACTATCATTGCCAATCAATAGGAAAAGTATGGATTGTTAAAAAAAATTGTACTAACAAAATTATTTGATCTTATTTTTAAAAATTAAGTGAGATTTCTATTTCACATCTTATACAAATCATTTCCAGGAATACTTAATATGTAAGTAGTAAAAGCAAAATTTAGAACTTTTACTTTTTAAAAGTAAGGAATTATGACACCTGTTAATCAAAAGTCACCATAAAGACAATATACAAATTGAAAAAATTTTTCAGCAATATTAGCTGACAAATACTTCTACCTAGAGACTACAAAATTTTTTTTACCATATTAAAGGCAAATAATTACTCCAATAGAAAATGAAAAAAAAAATACATATTTCACAGAAGAAAAAATTCCTGTC